>NC_000009.12:115720552-116345552 GCF_000001405.40 Homo sapiens
TGTTCACATAGCGACATAGGGAGAGGCAGCCCTGTCTACCAGAACAATTTAAAGCTGACACTGGAGTGAATGTGGTAGATGTTCAAAGACTGTTTCTTTCCTTTGTGAGGTGCCTCTGGGGTTGTTAGGAATTTGCGACTCCAGCCCCATCATAGCAGGGCCCCCTAATTTGATGACCTCTGATTCCAATACCCCTCTGGCTGTATATTTATGACCACACCTCAGCCCCACAATCCATCCCTCTACCTCACACGGACTGTCTCCATTAGGTTTCCTCACCCGCAGGCAGTTTTGTGCACAGTCCCTTTCAAGATGCCTGATGGCTGCTGCCTTGCCTGGCCCAGAGGACACACGTGCCTTCCCCCATCATGGCAGGAAGTGGATCTCCAACAGCCACCCCCACTCCCAGCTGCTAAAGACTCTTTTGGCAAGTTTTTTCCACCAGTTTCATTGCTCTCACCTTGTGCTGCATCAATAGGTGGCAATGGATATTCTGGGCCTTTGGAGCACCTCCTGAGACACAAAGACATCGGGAAAGGTCTTGGTACATAATGTTTAATAAATTGATATATTTAAATATATAAATATATGCTTAATATATTATATATTTATATATTTAATTATAGATAAATATATTTAACAAATATATACATACACACATTGTTTACTTTTGATGCATTATTTGTTGTGTGTGTGTGTGTGTGTGTGTGTGTGTGTGTATAAAATCCAGGGTAATCTTCCCATTTTAAGATCCGTAAATTAATCACATCTGAGAAATCCTTTCTGCTAGGTAATGTATTACTCAGGTAATGTATTCACGGGTATAGGGGACTAGAACCTGGACATCTTTGGTGTGAAACTACTATTCTACCTACCACACCATCCTTAATTTTTATATACATATACATTTATATATATGTGTATATATCATATATATATAACAAATAACAAGTAAACAGTGTGTGTGTATTTATTTATTTATAAATATATGGTTTAGTACCAGATGTGGTGGAGGAGATATTTGAGATCCTCTCATTTAAAATATGATTTATGTAGCCCTGTGAGATTCACCTGGTTGGAGAGGGGCACCCCTGCTTGACACTTAAAAGACATAAGAGATAAATTCCAGATGCCATTTGTATTATTTTCCTGTTACTATTATAATAAATTATCATATATTTAGTGGCTGAAGACAGTGCAGATTTATTATCTTAATGTTCTAGAAGTCAGAAACCTGAGAAAAGTTCTTCCAAGGCTAAAAATCAAGATGCCAATAGAGCTGCCATTCCTTCTAGAGGAACTAGGGGAGAACCTGTTTCCTTTCCTTGTATGTTTTCTGGAGGCTACCTGCATTCCTTGTTTCATGACAACAAATCACTCCAATCTCTGCCACGATCATCACATTGCCTTTTCTCTGATCTTGACCCTCCTGTGTCTTTTTTATAATGACTCTTGTGATTACATTGGGTCCATCTGGATAATCCAGGATCATCTTCCCATTTTAAGATGTTTAAATTAATCACATCTGAGAAGTCCTTTCTGCCAGGTAATTTATTCTGCAGGTAATGTATTCTTCAGGTGACATATTCACAGGTACAGGGGACTAGAACCTGGACATCTTTGGTGGGAAGCTACTATATTATTCTACCTACCACATCATCCTTAATAGAAGGTCACAAGTAGAGACAACTTTTTAAAAGTTACAAATTTGAGCTCTTTAAAGAGTGAACTTGATTAATTTAAACTCTCTCAGCCCTCAGTTTCTTCATCTCTAAAAGGAAAATTAATATTAGTACCTGCCCCATACAGTTGTTATGAGTATTAAATGAGTTAATATTTTAAATACACTGAGAACAGTGCTGGCTCATGGTTAGTGCTATATAAGTGGTTTTGAAAAATTACAAACTACATTGCAAAGTTGACTTAAGATCCAGCTGCTTCTTATTTAGTCACCACTGTGTTATGTATTCTAGAATTAATTACAGCAGAGGCTTATTAACTTAATGGATGTCAATACATCTGTGGAGTCTGATACAATATTATATGTATTTACTGGGGTTTTGAAAGAAAATATTTTAACATAGTAAAGTTTCTATTGTGAGATTATAGGTGATTTTTATATTCTTTATATTTAATCTATGCCCTATATTTTCTTCAATTAACCTGTGTAAGAGTTATGTTCGAGAAAAAAATAAGCAATACATGCAATTTTATACATAGTATATATGTATATTTAAATATATATGTGTGTGTATACACACACACACATATACACACGTATACACAGAAACAGAAAGAGAGAGAGAAACCAGATTAGAGTCATTGGAGAAAAATATTCTTTACTCAAGCTTATAAGCTAAGATAACACAAAAATACTTAGTGGTCTTTCTTTGACTATTGGATACAGTCTAGACACCCTGACCTAGCATTCAAGACCTTCTAGAAGCTGGCTCAAATCACTCTTTACCCCTGTAGTTCTCTGTATTCCCTTGTTTCTGAGAATCAATCCAGCTACACTGAGATGTGAAACTGCACTGTGGAAGAGAAAGCAACCTCCTTGAAAGTCAAATGTTGATTTGGTAGCAATTTTGAAGAAGAAAGGTGCATGCTTGGCCATCAGACTCCTACTTGAGACTCTTTAAAAATGTACCTGCTAAGCATAATTAAAATACAAGAGTCTCCAACAGGACTGGTCCTGTTTTCTAAGAAAATGCATTGTTTGAGGCAAATTGCACCATTTTCACTTTTTAAACAAACAATTGAAATGAGACATAAATGAACATGCGGGAACATCCTGGAAGGAGATATAAATCAGAATAGAGAAACTCACAGCCCTGCCCTGGTGTGGATATGAGAAGGACTGGCCTCCTCGTGTCCACGTGCTCCTATCAGACGATGCACCATACACCAGACAGAATGGCCTTTTTTGAAACGCAAACCTCCTCGTCACCACCCTCAACACTGGTGCAGCCCTTCATATGGAGCTTGGGGTTGTAGAAACAGCATTAATTGAGGGTGGGGCCAAGATGGCCAACTAGAAACAGTGGCATTTAGAGGCTCCCATTGAAAAGAACCATAATAAGTGAGTGAATCCTTCATCAGCAACCAAGGTATCCAGGTTCTCTCCTTAGAACTGACTAGGGGCTGGTGTGATCTATGGAGAGGAAGGAAGAACAGTGTGGTGTGGTGATCCACCTGACAGCCACAGGTGGGAGCCCCTTCCCCCAAGCCAAGGGAGGCAGTGAGTAAGCATGCTACTTAGCTGGGTAAACCATGCTTTTTCCATGGAACTGTGCAACCCACGGATGGGAAGATCCCGCTCATGAACCCACACCACCAGGTGTGGTGGTCCCAACCTTGGAGCATTCTCAACAGCCTCTCTGCTGGAATCTGCTTAAGCTTACGGAGCTCCCATGGGGAGGGGCAACCAGCATCACAGATGCGGCTGCCTGCTGTCTAAGCCATCTGAGCTCCCTGGGGAAGGGGCAGCAGCCAGCACTGGGACTTACAACTGCTTAACACACTAAACTCCCTGGGTAGGGTAAGGGTGGCATCCATCTCTATAGCTCCAGGCTGTGCTTTTCCCCCGCTGGAGCCAGTGATGCTGGATGGATTGGTCCCAAGACATGTCCCCCACAGCTCAACACACCAGCTGTGGCAGACTGTGCCCAGAGTGCATCTTCAGGCCTGACCCTGACCCGTCCATCCTCACTGGGCAGGGCTTCCCTTCAGGAACTCCAATAACTCCAGCCAGAGGCTCAGGGACAGAACTCTGATCTCCCTGGGCCTGAGCCAATAGGAAAAAGAGTGGCCACAGTCTCTGTGGACCAGCAGACTTAGCCTTTCCTTCTCATAGTTTTGAGGAATGCTGGCAGCCCAGATAAGTGGGTTTCCCGTCCAGCGAACCACACCCCCTCCACTAAGGGACAAAGTGCGTCGTTAAATGGGTCCTGTTCCCCGTGCCACCCAACTGGGTGAGACCCTCCAACAGGGGATGTCAGACACCCTATACAGGAGCGATCCTACTGGCATCAGGTTGGTGCCTCTTGAGGTCAGAGGTCCCAGAAGAAGGAGGAGGCACACATCTTTGCTGTCCTCCAGCCTCCGTGAGTGACATCTCCAGGTGCAAGGGCGAACCAGATGAACGAGGTCTGAAGTGAACCTTCAGCAAATTGCAGCAGCCGTACAGAAGAGGGACCTGACCATTGAAAAAAAACAAACAGGAAGCAACAACAACAGCATCATCAACAACAAAAAAAACCCATCCAAGGATTAGCAGCCTCAAAGACTGAAACCAGACAAACTCACAAAGATGAGAAAGAATCAATGAAAAAAATGCTGAAAACTCAAAAGGCCAGAGTGCCTCTTCTCCTCCAAATGATTGCAACATCTCCAGCAAGGGCTCAGAACTGGACAGAGGATGAGGTGGACTAATTGATAGAAGTAGGCTTCAGAAGATGGGTAATAAAAAACTATGCTGAGCTAAAGGAGCATGCTCTAACCCAATGCAAAGAAGCTAAGAACCTTGATAAAAGGTTAGAGGAGCTGTTAACTAGAATAACCAATTTTGAGAGGAACATAAATGACCTGATGGAAAAAACACAGCATGAAAACTTCATGAAGCATACACAAGTATCAATAACTGAATTGACCAAGTGGAAGAAAGCATATCAGAGTTTGAAGACCACCTTGCTGAAATAAGGCATGCAGATGAGACTAGAGAAAAAAGAATGAAAAGGAATGAACAATGCCTCCAAGAAATAAGGGACTTCATAAGAAGACCAAACCTGTGATTGATTGGAGTACCTGAAGGAGATGGGGAGAATGGAAACAAGCTGGAAAACACACTCCAGGATATTATCCAGGAGAACACCCCCAACCTAGCAAGAAAGGCCAACGTGCAAATTCAGGAAATATGGAGAAGACCACTACGACACTCCATGAGAAGATCAACCCCAAGAAACATAACCATCAGATTCTCCCAGGTCAAAAATGAAGGAAAAAATGTTAAGGGCAGCCAGAGAGAAAGGCCAGGTCATCTACAAAGGGAGGTCCATCACACTAACAGTGGACTTCTCAGCAGAAACTCCACAAGCCATAAGAGATTGGGAGCCAATAATCAACATTCTTAAAGAAAAGAATTTTCAACTCAGAATTTCATATCCAGCCAAACTAAGCTTCATAAGCAAAGGAGAAATAAAATCCTTTCCAGAGAAGTAAATGCTGAGGGATTGCATTACCACCAGGCCTGTCTTGCAAGGGCTCCTAAAACAAGCACTAAATATGGAAAGGAAAAACCGGTACCAGCCGCTGCAAAAATACACTAAAATATAAAGACCAATGACACTGAAGAAACTGCATCAACTAGTGTGCAAATAACCAAATAGCATCGTGCTGACAGGATCAAATTTGCATGTAACAATTCTAACCTTAAATGTAAGCAGGATAAATGTCCCAATTAAAAGACACAGACTGGCAAATTGTATAAAGATTCAAGACCCATCAGTGTGCTGTATTCAGGAGACCTATCTCATGTGCAAGGACACACATAAGCTCAAAATAAAGATATGAAGGAAAATTTACCAAAGAAATAAAAAGCAAAAAAAAAAAAAAAAGGAGGGGTTGCAATCCTAGTCTCTGACAAAATAGCCTTTAAATCAACAAAGATAAAAAAAGACAAAGAAAGGCATTACATATTGGTAAAGGGAACAATTCAATGAGAAGAGCTAACTATTCTACATATATATGCACCCAATACTGGAGCACCCAGATTCATAAAACAAGTACTTAGAGACTTACAAAGAAACTTGTACTCCCACACAATAATAGTGGAAGACTTTAACACTCCGCTGTCAATATTAGACAGATCAACGAGGCAGAAAATTAAAAGGATATTCAGTACTTGAACTCGGCTCTGGATCATGTGGACCTAATAGACATCTGCAGAATTCTCCAACCCAAATCAGTAGAATATGCACTCTTCTCAGTGCCATGTGGCACTTATTCTAAAATCGACCACATAATTTGAAGTAAAACACTCCTCAGCAAATGCAAAAAACTGAAACTATAGCAAACAGTCTCTCAGACCACAGTGCAATCAAATTAGAATTCAGGATTAAGAAACTCACTCGAAATCACACAATTACATGGAAATTGAACAATCTGCTCCTGAATGACTCCTGGGTAAATAATGAAATTAAAGCAGAAATCAAATTCTTTGAAACCAATGAGGACAAAAAGACAACATACCAGAATCTCTGGAACACAGCTAAAGTAGCATTAAGAGGGAAATTTATAGCACTAAATGCTACATCAGAAAGCTTGAAAGATCTCAAATTGACACCCTAACATCACAACTAAAGAATGAGAGAAGCAAGAGCAAACTAATCCAAAAGTTAGCATAAGACAAGAAATAACTAAGATCAGAGCAGAATTGAAGGAGATAGAGACATGAAAAACCCTCCAAAAAATCAATGAATCCAGGAGTTGATTCTTTGAAAAAAATTAACAAAACAGATAGACTGCTAGCTGCACTAATAAACAAGAAAAGAGAGAAGAATCAAATAGATGCAATAAAAGATGATAAAGGTGATATCACCACTGACCCCACAGAAATACAAACTACCATCAGAGCATACTATAAAACCTCTATGCAAATAAACTAGAAAATCTAGAAGAAATGGATAAATTCTTGGACACATACACCCTCCCAAGACTAAACCAGGAAGAAGTCAAATCCTTGAAAAGACCAATAACAAGTTCTGAAATTGAAGCAATAATTAATACCCTACCAACCAAAAAAAGCCCAGGACCAGATGGATTCACTGCCAAATTCTACCAGAAGTACAAAGAGGAGCTGGTATCATTCCTTCTGAAATTATTCCAAACAATTGAAGAGGAGGGACTCCTCCCGAACTCATTTTAGGAGGCAGCATCATCCTGATACCAAAACTGGGAAGAGACACAACAGAAAAAGAAACTTCAGGCCAATATCCTTGTTGAACATTGATGCAAAAATCCTCAATAAAATACTGGCCAACTGAATCCAGCAGCACATCAAAAAACTTATCCACCACGATCAAGTTGGCTTCATCCCTGGGATGCAAGGCTGGTTCAACATGCACAAATCAATAAATATAATTCATCACATAAACAGAACCAAAGACAAAAACCACATGATTATCTCAATAGATTGAGAAAAGGGCTTCAATAAAATTCAACATCTCTTCATGTTAAAAACTCTCAATAAACTAGGTATAGATAAAATATACCTCAAAATGATAAGAACTATTCATGACAAAGCCACAGCGAATATCGTATTGAATGGGCAAAAGCTGGAAACATTCCCTTTGAAAATCAGTACAAGACAAGGATGCCCTCTCTCACCACTCCTATTCAACATGCTATTGGAAGTTCTAGCCAGGGCAATCAGGCAAGAGGAAGAAATACAGGGAAGAGAGGAAGTCATACTATATTTGCAGATGACATAATTTTATATTTAGAAAACCCCATCATCTCAGCCCCAAAACTCCTTAAACTGATAAGCAAATTCAGCAAAGTCTCAGGATACAAAATCGATGTGCAAAAACCATAAGCATTTATTTACACCAACAATAGACAAACAGAGCCAAATCATGAATGAACCTCATTCACAATTGCTACAGAGAATAAAATACCTAGGAATACAGCTAAGAAGGGATGTGGAGGACCTTTTCAAGGAGAACTACAAACCACTGCTCAAGGAAATAAGAGAAGACACAAACAAAGGGAAAAACATTCCATTATATGGATAAGAAGAATCAATATCATGAAAATGGGCATATGTATGCCCAAAGTAATTTATAGATTTAATGCTATTTCCATCAAACTACCATTGACATTCTTCACAGAATTAGAAAAAATTACTTTAAATTTTGTATGGAATCAAAGAAGACCCTATATAGCCAAGACAATCCTAAGCAAAAAGAACAAAGCTGGAGCAACACAATACCTGACTTCAAACTATACTACAAGGCTACCATAACCAAACAGCATGGTATTGGTACCAAAGCAGACATATAGACCAATGGAACAGAATAGAGACCTCAGAAATAACACTACACATCTACAACCATCTGATCTTCAACAAACCTCACCAAAACCCAAGCAATGGGGAAAGGATCTCCTGTTCAATAAATGGTGTTGGGAAAACTGGCTATCCATATGCAGAAAACTGAAACTGTACCCCTTCCTTACCTTATACAAAAATTAACTCAAGATGGATTAAAGACTTAAATGTAAAACCCAAAAGCATAAAAACCCTTAAAAAAACTTAGAGTTTCTTCTAGTTTTAGAAGAAAACTTAGGCAATACCATTCAGGACATAGGCATGGGCAAATACTTCATGATTAAAGTGCCAAAAGCAATTGCAACAAAAACCAAAACTCACACATGGGATTTAATTAAACTAAAGAGCTTCTGCACAGCAAAAGTAACTATCATCAGAGTGAACAGGCAACCTACAGAATGGGAGAAAATGTTTGCAATCTACCCATCTGACAAAGGTCTAATATCCAGAATTTATGAGGAACTTAAACAAATTTACAAAAAAAAAAAAGCAACCCCATCAAAAAGTGGGCAAAGGATATGAACAGACACTTCTCAAAAGAAAACATTTATGTGGCCAACAGACATATGAAAAAAAACTCAACATCACTGATCATCAGAGAAATGCAAATCAAAACCACAATGAGATACCACTTCACATTGCTCAGAATGGCGATTATTAAAAAGTCAAGAAACAATAGATGCTGGTGAGGCTGTGGAGAAACAGGAACGCTTTTACACTATTGATGGGAATGTAAATTAGTTCAACCATTGTGGAAGACAGTATGGCGATTCTTCAAGAATCTAGAATCAGAAATACCATTTGACCCAGCAATACCATTACTGGATATATACCCAAAGGAATATAAATCATTCCACTACAAAGACACATGCACACGTATGTTTATTGCAGCACTATTTATAATAGTAAAAACATGGAACTAACCCAAATGCCCATGAATGATAGACTGAATAAAGAAAATGTGGTACATATACACCATGGAATACTATGCAGCCATAAAAAGGAATGAGATCATGTTCTTTGCAGGGGCATGAATGAAGCTGGAAGACATTATCCTCGGCAAACTAACACAGGAACAGAAAACCAAACACCACAATTTCTCACTCATAAGAGGGAGCTGAATGATGAGAACACATGGACACAGAGAGGAGAACAAACACACCAGGGTCTGCTATGGGGTAGGGGCTGAGGGGAGGGAACTTAGAGGATGGGTCAATAGGTGCAGCAAACCATCATGGCACACGTATACCCATGTAACAAACCTGCACGTTCTGCACATGTATGGTGTTTTGTTGTCTTTCTTTTTTTAGAAGAAATAAAGAAAAACAACAACAACAACAAAGAAACATAATGAATTCAAATCTTACCTCTGCTGTTTTCAAGCTGTGGGACCTGAAGCAATTGCTTCAGCCCTCTGTGTCTTGGTTTCAAGATTTATTTAAAAATCATAGAATGGTAATTAGGACACAGGGGTTGTGGTTCAGAGATTGTATGATGACATGTTAAGAGCACAGGCCCTGAAGACAGGCAATGAAGGAGTTCACATATTGGCTAGTCTAATTCATATCTGTGAATTTGAGCAGGTTACTTAATCTCTTTGGAATAAACAAGGATAAAAATTATATTTACCTTGTGGGTCACCGTGAAGACTAAATGAAATAATATATCTCACATCCTTGACTAAGCACTGGGCTCCTGGGAAGAGCTCAATGAAGGCTAGTTATATGAAGCACTGGGTAAATGCTTAATAAATAAATGGCAAATAATGTAAGTGGGGGAAAAAAGGAATTTGGGCAAATTGTAGTCACACAATGTAATGTGACTGAAACAGCACACGTCTCCTCCCAAGAATGCTCTCTGAACCCAGTGAATTTCCACTGCTGGGGGAGAAGAAGGGATGGCAGGCTAGATTAGGATAATTGTTTTTCTTGGAAACTAAAGAATCAAAGTTTGCCTCGGGCACCTCTATTACCGCAACTTCAGTCCAATCCCCAAATCCCACTGATACAATGAATGAAACTTAAAAGCTGCAAAGAAGAGAAGGAAGAATTGAGGAGAGAAGCCAAAAGCCTTTAGGCTTCAGTTTGATCCTCCCCTGCCATCTCCCCGCCCTGTCTTTACCCCAAGCTTCTGCAAGCTTCCTCTTTCTTTGGGGGAAAATAGTCTTTCTCCCTTCAGTTTGCTGTAGCAACATTTTCTTTTTTCTTTTCTTTTCATTTTTCTTTTAAGTGCAGGGGAAACATAAGCATGCTAAGTACTAAGAGGGAGACTCCAGAGGAACAAGAGGGCAGGGCCCTTGGTCTTGGATTACAAATGAAAAGGATGCAGGTCTCTCTCAAGTCCCTTACCACATCAGTGCAACTGCCTGTTTCCCTGTATGTGGTTTCACCAGGCAGAGAGGAATCATAGGCTCAATATTAAGATCATAAAGCAGTCAGCTTTGGAAGTAAGCCAAGTCCTACCAATAACTTTAGATTTAATCTGTTAGAACCTCAGTTTCAACATCAGTAAAATAGGATAAGATGCATAAAATACATGCCCAAGAAATCATTCCTTCTCCACGTCCTTCCCCTTTTCATCTTCACTTTCTTTTACCTCTCCTTTACATTTCCTGCATCTTTCTTCTTGTTATTTTTCTTGTCATTTTAAATTATCATTCTTTTATTCCTCTTTCATTCTCTATCTCTGTTGCTCAAAGTCAGGAGCCATGTTTCTTTACTGCTCTCTGCTTCCCCTAAGACCTTGTATGTAGGGGCTCAATGTATATTTATATGATAAGGAAAAAAGAACTCTTAACAATCCTTTATTTGTATATTAAAAAGCACCATCATATCTTGTATTCTTACTAATGGGTACTAACTAGTATAATGCAAATACTTCTCAGTAAATAATTAAAGAAGCATTAAAAATCCTAGAACGTTAGTACCAGAAAACCCACTGAGTGCCTTTAGCTCTGAATTTACAGAAAACACAATGAAGGCTAAGAGAGGAATAGGGATTGATCCACAGTTGTCTTGGAGGCAGGGACAGAGTGACCTATCTTGCTCCTCATCCATATCTCTATTTCTACAGCACTGCACCACCCTCTATGCAGGCAGGTCACTTGACTAATCCATTCATTCAATGAAAAATGTGTAATAGCATTTACAATGCGTCAGGTATGTATGGTGCTAGACATCACACATGACTAGTTTGTTGGTTTTAAATTTTGATGTTGTTTGGTTTCCTTTACTTTTTCTGTTATTTGCTTGCTTGGCTGTTATTGTTGAATAAGAAAAGAGAGTAAATAGGTTTTATAAAATGTAGCTAACTGTAACATATGCTTTTTTGTCACTTTTTTCTTATTTTGTTTTATTTGTAAAAATACACCAGATTTATATCCTCACAGAACAAACTTACAGCCTAACAGGGGAGACTGAATTAAAACACACACACACACCACTCTACTTGGTATGTTGATGGGTGGCCCCATCAACATACATAAATAGATATTCAGTTTTAAATTATAATATGTAATTTGAAGGAAAACTGTAGTATGCTATGAGGGAGGGGAAAAAAGTGAACACTATTGAACTGGGGTATTGAGGAATGCATCTTTAAGGAAATTCCTTTCAAGAGGAAGCCTAAGGATTAAAGAATATACTTATGAGTAAATTCTGCTAGTTCTCCATCCCATTTCTTATGTGGTTGGCCCACCTACAATAGCCTCCCTTACCTCCTTACTTCATCAAAGACGTACACATTCTTCAAGGCACAGGACAAGTGCCATTGATTCTGCAAGTCCTTATCTACCCTAGCCCTGCCCTTTCTAAAAAAAAAAAAAAAAAGATTAAAGTTTCCCTATAAGAATAAATTTTAGTCATTTCCATTCGTAGTCAGCAAACACTTTCTTAAAGACAGTTGACTCCATTTATGATGACAAATCCACCAGTCTTCTCTATATTTAGGTGAGATCGTTCTATGTTTACCTGGCTAACATTTTCTGAGATGTATTGGATTGGTATGAGTTAAGGCCTGGTCTGAAAAGTTCCATAAACTACCTACTACCTCGTTGCATCAGATGTATATGCCACTAGTTATTATATATTAGAACAATAATATTTGCTAAAGCCATGTGAAATCTTAAGAGATTAAAAGTTACAGAATGGAAAGAAAAGAAGGATGAATTTAAAGATGGAAAGAATGAATTTGGATTCTACTTCCATTTCTTAATGAATATTAATAACAATAGTAATAACAGCAACAAAAACAAGAATAAGCTCCAGGCTTTATGGAGCTCTTAATATCTTCTAGGCATTGTGCTAGGAACTTTGTGTACATTACCACATTTATTTCTTACAGAAATCCTATTACGTAGAAATCATTAGTTTTACAGGTGAGGAAACAGAGGCTTGAGGTACATAATTTTCCCAAGGTAATACACTTCATTAGTAATGAATGCAAGGTTCAAGCTAGGTGGTTTAATTCCAGAGCTCACACTACATACTCACCTGCAAGTGCAGAGTAATCATAATAACTCATTTAGCCAGGTTGCATTAATTTTTATATTCTAAAATAATTAGTGGGGATGGCATAATCAATGACTTCTAAAGTACCTCTCTTTTAAAAAGGGTATTATTTCACTGCCAGGGAAGATGAAGAAAGGCTTCTTGGAAGAGGTGTGTGAAGACCTGGAGTTAGAGAAATTCTCAATCTCCTTTACTCCTTTCACTGCATCTCAAACTCCCATCCTGAAATTCTTTGATTGTTTATAGAAGATATTCCCAAAGGGGCAGCTCCATACTCTGCCTTGCAGATTGCAAAGAGAGATAAATAACACATTCCTCATTCTCTTACTCGCAGGGGAAATTGGGGGCTGTGTTTACATCGCTTCCTTGGTATTTATCCTCCTGCTGGCTGTTCCATCCCCTCTATTTCATGTTGTTATTTTACTTCCATTAGGGGAGTAGAAAAAATATTAGAAACCATTCTGATCCACCCCAATCCTCAGAGGGCACTGCTCGGTCAAAGTCAGCCTCCTCTCCCTTGTAATTTTCCCTACAAACATCTCATTCAAGAGGCATTTTCCTTCCTCTGAATACTAATGTCCTGATGGTGATTGAAATAAATAAATATTTCACACACATACATAGACACACATCAAAACAAAACAGAAGGAAAAAGAGAGAAAGAAAATATTGCTTGATTTTGCTTGAAAATCTTGCATGCTTGATTCATTTCATGTTTATATCCTTCTGGATTTCCTTCCTGGGCTCCTGGGAATTGCCTAGTCAGCAGTTAGGAAGGACTACTGGGTTACTACTGTTTTAAATGTGGCATGCCTGTCGTCTGTGGCTTTTCCTCTTTAGGAGAGAGCTAGGCTTTATTAAGAAACCTTCTAAACATGTGATTCTTCATTCTTTATCCACCAAAAACAAACAAACAAAAAACAAAACAAACAAACAAAAAAACAACCTGTGGTTGGTCAAACAAATTTTGAACACCCGAGTCCTTATGGGGTTAAAGTTTCTTTACCCTGGCTTTTCAATGAAGGAAAAATATATACTGAATATCTAGTCATATGCCAAAGCATGCTCCCTATGTTTTTCCATTTAATCTTAAAAAAAGAAAGACACTGACAATAATAAGTGTCCTAATTTCATAAATGAAGAAACTGAGAGTGAGCATAAATGTAATTTAAATTGGAGATTCTAAGGAATCTTCGTAGCACATTATTATAGATTTACTTCCGTATTGCTTCTCAGTCTTTTGGCTAAGATCAAGTGTAGAATCTGTTCTTATCAGATTTACTTCCCTATGAAAATCTTTAAGAGGCAATGTGGTGCAACTCACTTCACTAGATTTTAGAATAGTAGACTTAAGTCTTTTACCAACTGCCTGACCTTGAGAAAAAAATATGAACCTCTCTGAATCTTACTTTCCTCCCCTTTGTAGAGGTGCAAAATTTGAATACAGAAATGGGAGACAGTACTTACTAATTCTGCATCTTAGGTCAGCTTTCTCCAAAGTAGTGTCTGAAATGATATATCACGCACATGGTATTTATTAAGAACATGCTGTCAGGAAAGATCAATAAGGTAAAAGTGGGAGGGATGGAACAAAACCAAGCAAGGGCATGATTTTGGGTGAACCCTCACTATCAGCCTGATGCTGAGGAAACTCTAGAGCATGTTGTTCCTCAGAGTATGTCCTAACTCAAGGCAAGGTTGTATAATAATCAAAGTGGGGCTATTTAGCATTATCCCAAATATTTATAATTTTTTGTTATAAGAAATTTCAAAATTCCCTCCTCTAGCTATTTTGAGATATAGAATACAACACTGTTAACCATAGTCACCCTACTGGGCAATAGAAGACCGGAACTTATTCCTCTTATTTAACCATAACTTTGTATTCATTAACTAATCTCTCCCCATCCCACTCGCCTCTTCACTCTCCAGCCTCTGGTGACCACAGTTCTTTCTATTTCTATAAGATCAATGTTTTTAGATTCCACATGTGTGTGAGATCATGTGGTTTTTGTCTTTTTGTGCTTTTGTGCCTGGTTTATTTCACCTACCATAATATCCTCCAACTTCACTCATGTTGCCATAAATGACAGGATTTCATTCTTTTTAACATCTGAATAGTATTCCATTGTGTATATCCACACATTTTCTTTATACATTTTATACATTCATCTGTTGATGGATACTTAGGTTGATTCTATGTCTCGGGTATTGCTATAATAAACATGGGAGTGCAGATATCTCTTCAACATACTTATTTCATTTCCTTTGGATGTGTAATATCCAGTTGTGCAATTGTTGGATCATATGGTAACTTAGTTTTTAATTTTGTGGAAACTTTTCATACTGTTTTCCATAATGATTCTACAAACGTACAACCTCACCAACAGTGCATGAGTTTCTCTTTTTTAGCCATGCATGGTGGTGTGTGCCTGCAGTCTCAGCTACTCAGGAGGTTAATGAAGGAGGATCCCCTTGAGCCTAAGAGTTCTAGGTTGCAGTTAGCCATGATCAGGCCACTGTACTCCAGCCTGGGCAACAGAGCAAGATTCTATCTCTAAAAGTAAAAATAATAATAATATATTTTTTAAAAAGTTGCCCTCTCTCTACATCCACACCAGCATTTGTGGATTTGTTTTGTTTTGTTTTGATAATAGGCATTCTCGAAATGGGGTGAAGTGATATCTCATTGTGGTTTTGGTTTGCATTTCCTTGATGATTAGTGATATCACACATGTTTTCATATAGCTGTTAGCCATCTGTATGTCTTCTTTTGAGAAATGTCTATTCAAGTATTTTGTCCATTTTTAGATTTGGTTATTTTTTTTTTTTTGCTATTGAGTTGTTTGAGTTTCTTATATATTCTCGATATTAGTCCTTTGTCAGATAGATGGTGGGCAAATTTTTCTATCATTATATAAGTTGCCTCTTTCGTCTGCTGATTGTTTGCTGTGCAGAAGCTTTTTAGCTTGATGTAATTCCATTTGTCTATTTTTGCTTTTGTTTGTTTGTGCTTTCAAGTTCTTATTCAAAAAAATTTTTGCTGAAGCCAATGTCATGAAATGTTTCCCCTATGTTTTTTCTGGTAGTTTTATCATTTTGGGTCTTACATTCAAGTCTTTAACCCATTTTGAGTTGATTTTTGTATTTGGTGAGAGATAGGGGTCTAGTTTTCATTTTTCTGCATATGAAGAAAACTGGATATCCAGTTTTGCCAGCATTATTTATTGAAGAGACTCTGTTCTTGACATCTTTGTTGAAAATCAATTTGCTGTCAGTGCATGGATTTATTTCTGTGTTCTGTATTCTGTTTCACTGTTCTGTTTTTAAGGCCAGTACCACACCATTTTGGTTACTATAGCTTTGTAGTATACTGAAAGTTAGGTAGTGTGATGTTTCCAGCTTTGCTATTTTTGCTCAGAATTGCTTTGGTGAATTGTATATTTAAAACAAGTAAACTTTATGGCATGTTAATTATATCTCAGTAAAATTTTTACAAATTGCTAGTGAAATATCTGGAATGTCTAATACAGGCAAATTATAATCTTCTCCGGATGATCATGTCTTCATCTCAGGTCTCACTGGGTTCTTCTAGATAAAACCTCACTGAAGATGAGCTCACAATTTTTAGTTACAAAGCACACAACAAAATAATTCAACATGAGTAACAGCAGAAATACTAAACAGAAGGGTTAAGTCCCCCAATTTTTATTCTGTCTTTATCAGTTACTTAACATCTCTGAGCCAGTTTTGTCCTCTGTATCAATGGGGACAATAATAGTACCTAGCCTATAGGGTTTATTGTAAAGATTCAATGAACAACAGTGATTTAAGCATTAAAAATGGTGCTTGAAACAGAGAAATGCATGCTGTATAAATACTAAGTATAATTAGCTGTCAACAACAAAAAAGGAAAAATAAAAGCAGCTGAATTGAAAAACTGGAAACTGATATATAAACATATAAAAATAATTCACAGGTGAAACAACCACAGTCAATACACGTCAATGGGTGTTTGACTTCACACGGGAACCAATACATGTGCCTTACATTTTACAAGATGTGTTATTTTTATCCTATTAAATTGGCATAGATTGAAATATTTTTTTGTGTATTACCCAGAGGTTGGCATAAAAGTATAAGAATGGGCTTTGCAACAAACACTTGGAGAAAATGTAAATTGGAACAAACCCTTCTAATGTGTATTTATTTAGGCAAGTTTATGAAAAACTATTTTATATTATGAAATATTTCATTATATATTTTAAGAGCCAAGGGCAAGTGAAATTAGCTTATTTTAATGGAAAATTATACAGAACACATAAGAGATATTCTCATAAAAAGGAGATAACACAGCATACCATAGACTAGGGTATGATCTCCAAGGCTCCAAGCTGCACACAGGGACAGGTTGCTGTGAACAATATGGTTGCTCAGAAATGCAAGTTTGAGTTTATTCCACCTTTAATTGAAGCTGTAGATCTTTGAGTGTTCTGGCTTAATGCAGAAGTATAAATCTCAGCCCTCACCCTGAGCATGCACAGATTCTCCTCTCCTGACTCCACTGGAGCTTGAACCCCAATTTTTCCAGCATGAAGACCCCAAACAACAGCCCCCAACATTTTCCCCCACCTTGACCCTGCCCTCCTAGGGCAGCTGCAGCATCCACTTTTTTGCTCATTATCTAGATCTCAGTTCCTTTTATCACTTTTGCTGCATGAGATTTGAAAAGCATGTTGGTCATCTTAAAATCAGATGTTTGTTTTTGCCATAGAATAGGAAATTGAAAAGCTCCACTGCTACACATCACTTAGAAACCCTAGACACAATAAGAGGTCCTATGAAACAAACAACTGAATTCACAACCCTCTTATATCTAGGGTTAGTAAGTGTTGTGTAGCAGTGAAGCTTTTCCATGCTATCCTATGGTAAAAAAACAAACATCTGATTTCAAAGTGACCAACACACTTTTCAAATCTCATGGTCCTATAACTCCAGGATAAAAACCTAAAATTACTCATAATGAAAAGCCTATTTGAATGTATGAAAACATGAGAAAACAAAGGATTGTTGCATTTGGTCAGGCACTGGAATACTCCAGGTTTTTACCTCTTTCTAAAGCTGTCTATAGAGTCTTCCTCTGTGCTGTCTTAGGCCCCACATGCACATACCTGTATGACTTATCACATTGTTTGACATTGTCAGTTTAGAAGTCTGTTATCCCCAGATTGTGTCCTCTCTAGAAGCTAGAATGTTTTCTCCCATAACTGTGTCCCATTGCCTAGAACTATATCTGCCACAAGTGTATATATGTTCTCTGTGCATGCTTGCTGAAAAAAATTAATGAATTTCTTTTTACAAAATTTTCTGATGGGTTGGTAGGAGAAAAGGTCATAGATGCAACCCTTTGGATCAACTGGAATAAATGATGCATTTTTTATTTCACAAATATTAATTGAACACCTAATACAACTGTAACTGCTTTTTAGGTACTAAAAGATAAGTACACTTATTTTAATGAAATAGTTCTTTTTGTCAGAAATTTCATTTAAATGTCATATCAGTATATATATGTATATGTCTTCCTTATAAATAAAATTTATATTCCATATCAGTATATATATATATATCTTCCTTACAAATAATTAAAATGTAAACTCCATATTAGTATGTGTGTGTGTGTGTGTGTGTGTGTGTGTGTGTGTATATATATATATATATATCTTCCTTATAAATAATTAACATGTTTTATATATGATCTGAAGACAAACACTTCAGTGTAGTAGCAGAAACACCTGCTGGAGAAACCAGCCTGGGTTAGATATTTTCTAAATATGTGACCTTCAGCAAGTTACTTTCCTTTACCAAGTATCAATTTTCTTTCACATGCTTTGCAGAGTAGTTATGAGCATTATAAATAACATCAATAAAATACCTGGCCCATAGTAGGTGCTCAATAAATCATAGCTGTCACTATTACATCATGAGAATAATTTTCCAATGTGAGGGTTAACTCCCTTGTTGAATCTGTTTTCCAGGTTCAGGGCCTAGACATTTGTTTTTGTTAAAATAGGGCACACTGTGACTTCCTGTTACTGGTTCTAATCCCACGAAACGCATCCGTGATGAATAATTATGCCAGTTAGGACAAGACAAGATTGAGCTCACACATTTTTTTAGAGATCAAGTAAATATAAAGCACACCAACTTTACTGGCATTTCCAAATCAGAGCCGGCAGTGGAAATATAGATAATGTTGATGCCTTGAAATTCCCTAAAAAACAAACTTGATATGACAAAAAGTCTATTACATTGGCTTCTGAGAAAACCTCACGATGTCCAGACAGGCCCTTAGGACATCAAGGGCTAAAGCATCTCACTGCCTCCTGTCTCTAAGCAGATAGTGTCTCACAGGGATATTTTACTGCATTACCACATTACTCTCATCTGGTGCCAAGCATGTGCTGGAAAAGCCAACAGGAAATGAAAGCTAGCTAATTTGTAAAATTTTCTCATGACTTTTATTTCTCAATGTATGCTTTCATCGATCTCGCAGAGTTCTTGGGGCTGGAATGGAGAACAATGACTTCAGGCAATGTGTGGTCTGCCCTTGGCAGTGGCCTTTCCTTTGGCTTTTCCTGGTCAAAATGGTTCAGACTCCCTTGAGTGAGCAGCACAGCCACAGAAGAATCCCATCTCTTTTCTGCCTATTTATTTGGAGAAAGGCATGGAAAGATGTGCGGGGAGAATATCAGACTCAGAGTTCTACCACATATGAGTTTAGAAGTCTTGAGCAAATCATTTTATATTCCCAGGCCTTCATTTGTATTTATAAAATAGGGTCAATATCTAGTTTATGGGATTGAAAATCAGAATCCTTTGATACAATATTTGCAAAAATCATTTATAAGTGTTAAATCCCTGTACCCATGGTGGGGACTTGTTTATCTGGCCATTGCTGTCACTAGGGAGATGAAACACCCTTCATCTCTCAGGCTAATGTCATTCCTAACACTGGCTTGTCTACAGTGTAGGCAACAGGCTAGAAATAAGACTGTGAAAAGGTCTTGTATTATGTTCTTCACATATATTTATCCTCACCAAACATCTGTAAGTATCTCAACATACTGAGTATTGAAAGATATTGTGATTTATCCACAATTGTGAAAGGCTCCTGAAAACCCTACTGCATCACATTAATTCACTATCTCAATCTGTGATGCTGGTATCTATTTAATTCTGCAAATCATTACAGAGGCACAGCACCTGTATCAGGCAAGGTTCTCCACCGAAAAAGAACTTCAGTCTTTGCCCTCAAGGCTTTCAAATGATTGGAAGACATCCCCTCTAAACACACACACACACACACACATCATGGAGGATAATCTGCATCACTGAAAGTCTACTGATTTAAATATTAATCACATCTAAAAAATACCAACACAGCAACATCTAGACTGGCATCAGACCAAAAAAATGGGCCCTATACTTAGCCAAATTGACATGTAAAATTAACCATCACAGCACCAAACACTGTACAGTATTTCCAAGTGGAAAGAACTGGGTAGTGGTTTGTAAACAAGAAGGCACGGGGTGCACATGATCGTGGTCTCCAATATCTAAATAGCAGTTGCGAAGCAGGGCTTACTTTTAGAGGTTGCTGAAGGCCCAACAAAGACTAAGAAATGCAGCTCCAGAGACAGCAAGGGCAAAATAAGAAAGAACGTTCTATCAGTTGATAGGTTCAAACTCATGTGTCAAATTCTAGCTGTATTATTTCAATGGAGGCTTCGAAATATAGCTGGGCTTTTGTGCCCAGTGAATGCTGCCCAGGGATGGTATGCTGCACAGACAGGATGGCTCAAGGTAGCACCTAAGTTCCCTCTAAAGAATGGGATTCTAAGATGTCAAAGAGATATTGTAAATCACCTACAGCAATTTTCAAATCCCACTTCCTTACTGTGTAACGTGCTTTTCTCTTAATGAGGCTGTAGAATATCTCCTTTCAAGAAGCAGGTATAAACATGCTTTTTCCTGTTGGAGACATTTGTTTTCAAAGGTGCTGATTCCTCTCTAAGACTCATTTTGGACTGATTGTTTTCTCATTATCATGTCAAAGCAAGACTGTAGAAAGTAAAAATTGGCATTATATTCTTGAATTAGTACCCTCTTTCTTTGGTATACTGAGCTTTTACTAGATAAGCTTGAAAACTGGAATTCAAATTGTTTTAATCACCCTTCAAATTATTGCACTCAACTCTACTAGAAAGAAATAAATAAGATTATTTACTCACATAGTTCAAGTTTCTCTAAATTTGATGACATGGTCCTGTTCTGTCCTTGACTCATTCTCTGATCTTAGGTAAGTTAACTTCTTCATGTCGCAGTTCCCCATCTGTAAAATGAATATATTTGTTCTATGGAATCACTCATTTTTTAGGTTATTTCTGACTCTTTATTTTCAGTGACGCTGACTTAAGTCATCTTTAGAAACCTTACAGAACTCTATTAAAGCATAGCATATGGAACTATTGATACATCCTTATGTTATATGAGATTTACCAATATTTTCTGCTTGTAAACAAAATCTGTTAGAATAATAAAGCTTCTCATACAAGTGTTGACCAATGCTGAATCCTGGCATCATAAAGAAATGCTGCTATTTTTCTATTATAAAAAGCACATTCAAAAAACCTGACATTTAAGGCCGGGCGCTGTGGCTCACGCCTATAATCCCAGCACTTTGGGAGGCCAAGGTGGGAGGATCACCTGAGGTCGGGAGTTCGAGACTAGCCTGACCAACATGGAGAAATCCCATCTCTACTAAAAATACAAAATTAGCTGGGCATAGTGGTGCATGCCTGTAATCCCAGCTACTCAGGAGGCTTAGGCAGGAGAATCGCTTGAACCCAGGAGATGGAGGTTGTGGTGAGCCAAGATCGTGCCATTGCACTCCAGCCTGGGCAACAAGAACAAAACTCTGTCTCAAAAAAAAAAAAACAAAAAACAAACAAAAAAAAACCTGACATTTTTTTCAACTACAAGGTATTCAGAGATACAATTGTGTTTACTGGGTACTGATCTGATTGGAAAAATAATTCCCAAATAGTCTCATTCAATGGCTTTAAATGTGTTCACTCTGTTATCCCATGCTGTTCATCTTTATTTATTTATTTTTAACATGTATGTCCCTTTGTGAGGTTCATGTATTCCTATTATTTTCTAGGTTTGAAATTCTTATTTCCAGGGTAGAATTACAAAGAAGGGAGCAATTGAAAACATCTGCTCTGCTTTCAAACACTGACAGGCACCTCCATCACACTCCTTTCTGCTGCTGGACAATTAGGTACAGCTACAGGCAGAATTGTTTTTACCTTTGACTGGGGTTCTCTTCTTGGCAGCGAATTAATGAAATGCACGGAATAAAAAGCTGTTTCTCGCCCACTGAATGGATGTAACTGTCACTCGCTCTGATAAGGAACATCTATCCCACGCAAGACAGAAGTGGCAGAAATCTTACTTAGTTGACTATTCTAATGACTCTGTTTGTTTTCCTAAAGCTCAGGCTGTTTGAGGCAGTGTAAATAATGGATTTTGTCTATGTTGCTACAGGGTGAGGAGAGGAGGGAAAGAAGAGCTGCTCCTACCATGAGTTTCTGAAGTGGATGAAGGCTGTAGATGCAGAGGAAATTATCCACATCACTGCAGATAGTCTCGATAGCAGCGCCAATGAAGTTACTGAGAGTTGTATTATTAAAAACACCTATCATTTGCTGAGCACTTACATTTAGAAGGTGCAATGAAAAGCAATTCAAACAGACTCGATCCTCATGAAGTCTTTCTGAGTTTGGTATTATTTTTCCTTCTTTTTTTCAGATGAAGAAACAGGCTGCAAGGCCAGAGCTATAATGTTAAAAAGGTGAAGACTCAGGATCCAAACTCAGGTGCAGGTGATACCAAAATCTGTGCTCCTAACTGCTACATGGTAGACAGACTTTAGAGGCAAACACACACTTAGGCTAGAAAGCAAATCTACAGCTAATGTGTCCTGAACTTTGGCCAAAATATTTCATCTCTCTCAAGGTCAATTTTCGCACACGTAAATATAGATAATCATAATTACCACAGAGTGGTTATTGGAATTAAATTCATAACACATTGAAATGCTGGTTGAAGTGCCTGATGTACAATAGGTTCTCAGAAAGTGGGTGTCAGTTCTCCTTTTTGGAGATATTCAAAGGGGACAGCTACTTGGTAGGTATTTTATTTGGCATTACTACCCCTTGTGGGAGAGAGGTGGATAAGAAGCCTTTCTAATGTCTCCCAGCCCAGAGCGTTCATGCCATCAATCATTTGTTCAGGATAACACAAACTTGCTGTCTGCCTCCTAACTCAGAGATCTTACTTCACTCTCAAAGGTATAAGAAACAGAGAAGGTATAAATTGTTGTTCAAACTTTTCTAATAAGATCATGAAACCTCAAATCTAAAAGCTTTACATTGTCAAATGTAAAGTCCCTTCAATGTCCACTTATAAGAACAAAAAAGAAACCCTTACTCTGAAAAATTAATGCACTGTTTGAATTTTTCCTTGGGAAAGGAGAGACATAGACCTGGTAAAGGGGGAGAGGAGACGTTAGGGCACAGGGGACTCTGGTCTGGTCCTGCAGCCTCTCCTTTTGTGACTCCACCTATTACAGGGGAAGAGACCGGAGTTACACCGAGTTACTGGCGGAAGTATCCGTCCAGGTCTGCAGCAACGTCAATTCTTGCCTCCTAAGAAGGAAGAATTCGACTGAGGGGCACAAAGCAGAAAGGGCGACTGAGTCAAGTTCCAGAGCAGGAATGAAAGTTTATTTTAAAATGCCTTAGAACAGGAACGAAATGAAGGTGTGCATGGAAAAGACCCACGCAGGCACATGAAGGTTAAAGAGAGAAGGTCAGTGCCCCGTTTAACTGTAATCTTGGGACTTTCCCAAGGGAAACTCACCTCTTTCCCATGATTCTTCCCTTAGGGTGGGCTGCCCGCCTGCACAGAGCCCTCCTTAGCTTTGGGAAGCAAGCATGCGCCATGTGTTAAAGGCGTTATTGGCATGCCCCTCCGAGGCTTTTTTCCTTTTTCCGGTGGCGTGTACCCGGAAGATCATACTTCGCCATTTTCCTCTTAATACGCATGCCCAGGAAGTTTCTTCTCCCTGGGCTCTGCGTTCATTTACCATTTTGATGTTAACAGGTGTGGACTATCAGGAAATGGCCTCTGCCTGACGCTGCTAAATCATCACTCTCAGAGAGGCAATGCGAGAATTGCCAAACCAGCACCTGACACTTCTAGTGCGTGGGGGAAGAGCCCTCTTCTGTCTGGCTCACGCCTACCTACCTACCTGTAACACATCCTAGATGCCTATCTGGACTTAGTGTTTTCATCTTTTAAATGAGCAAATTAACGTAATACTAGAGGATCACTGGAAACTTTACAATCCAGTGGGTTTGGTTCTCCCATCTACCTCTCTTTCTGTCCCTGCCCTTGGATCTCCTGTACTTCTTACGATATTGTGATGGCTTAATTTTATGTGTCAACTTGATTGGGCCATGCAATGCCCAGATATTTAGTCACACAATATTCTGGGTGTTTCCTTAAGAGTGCTTTTAGATGAGGTTAACATTTAAATTGTTAAACTGAGTAAAGCAGATGGCCCTCCCTAATGTGAATGGGCCTCACCAAATCAGTTGAAGGTCTGAGTAGAACAGAAAGGCTGACCCTCCCCCAGGTAAGAGAGGATTTTTCTTGCTTAATGGCCTTCAAACTGGGACATCAGCATTTTTCCTCTCCTCAGACCTAAACTGGGGTTCAAGTCTGCTGGCCTTAGGACTGAAACTCAACATCAGCCTGAGTCTCCAGGTTGTGAACTCACCCTGCAGACTTGCAAACCATGACACTTGCCGGCCTCCAAAATTACAGGTGTCAATTTCTTATGGTAAATCTCTTCATTTAAAAGCTCTCTCTCACACACAGACACACACACAAAGCTTATCTGTCCTAAAGAATCTTCACTGTGAAGCCTCATAAATTCAATTTAAGACAATAGTACAGTAGAAATGACTGACAAGTCATAATAAGTAACATTAGCAATATATAATTAAATATTTGCAAACATTCTTTATACTCACCTATTCTTTGATATTTCCATTTCCAACTAACCCCACTGAGCAGATTAATGCAATCCTACTTTCCAGATTAAAAAAGAAAAAAAGGAAGTTGAGAGTGATCCTTGGCCATATAGCAGAGATAGATTTCAAATTGCAATTGTCCTCAATACACAGGGACATACCTTTCTATTGCACCACAACGAATTTCTAACTGATACTTGCACTTAACAGAGACCTTTGAAAACTCACTTCAAAGCAATGAATAACCTAGCTGAGTCCAGTTAAGTAGCCTGACAGAGGAGAATAATGCCTATGGTCTATGGTTGCTTTGCAATGAAGATCTGTCCTTGGTACAGAACCTTTTTATAGGTGCAAAAATTGTAATCCTGATTATCCTGCTCAATAGAGATCAGAGTGGTAGAGCAGCAGTTGAAAATACAGCAGAATGAAATGCTTACCTTATCTTAGGCTCTGATGTCAGAATTTCTCTTCAGGATAAAATTATTTTTAAAAATAGAAAATACCTTAATAAACCCCTTGGGATGATTTAGTGAAGGGAAAGGTCCAAAGACAATTATTTCTGTGCAACAAAAAATGATCCCTCACTAGACTCTATTAAGTCAGGATGAATTTTTGTTTCCCTTCTGGAAGTAAGAGCTGGAGCTCAGCTTATGGGGAAGAGATTAGAGACAAGAGGCAGGAAGATCAAAATAGGTTGAGATGATGAGGTAGAAGCGACAGTGAAAACATTTTAGTGTCTGGACAACTGAAAATATTTTTGGCACACTGCAGACTAAGACTTGAGTAGTGAGGTTTTTGGGGATAAAGAGTTAAGATGTGGAACAAAAGGGAACACATAGATGCTGAAGTTAGGAGACAAAGATGATTTTGAGAACAAAAAAATTCCTAGCAACTAACAAAAATCTTGAAATCAGCTTTGGATCTGAGTATAAATCTGAAGGCTGAAATAAATATTGAAATCTCAAGATTCAGAAAGGCCCTGCCTATTGTCTGGGTTACAGTTCTACACAGGTGGGTGGAAAGATTCCAAGGTGAATTTGTCTCTTCTACTCCCCCTCTACATTTTTTACACTATAGGAAAATCAGAAAAGTAGCCTGTTAGCTAGATGGCAGCTTCCATGTAGCAATATCTACATGTCATAGATTGAAAGGGGATTAAACCCTTCCCACTGTGCCTAGCATTGTGAGATTTCATCCTTGAGAGCATCTAGCAGTGGGAATGATTTAAGATGACAGCACAGCTTACTGTTCTATCCTTCAAATCTTTCCCACGTCCATCCTGACCACTGTAACAGTGTGTCTGGTATATTGCATTCCACTGTGGTTGAAAGATGCATCCGGGGTCTGTAGTGTATCCCCCTTCCTCATGTTTCCATTACTCAGGGAACATTTTCGAAAGATGAGATCTGCTCAATTTTGGAATAGTTTCCAGAGGGATGTGGCAAAGTGCCGCATCATTTTATTTACTTAAAATTAGACCAGAGCGAGGAATCCCAGTGTCCCACTGTGAGCAGTTTTGTACCGGTGGGAGGATAGGGAAGAGAATCATGCCCATTTGCTGCTGGAATACAAGAGGGGCTCTTCATCATTACTTCATATGACTCCCCAATTCTGATAATTGCCATTTCAAATATTGGTCTTCTTATGGAGAACACAAATTATATTTTTTTCTAAGTTTCTTCCTTTCTGCTCCTACTTCTCACCTAGCATTATCATACTGTCTTCACTAATCTAAGTTCCAGTTGAATTGTAGAGCACTTAATGGAAAAACAATAACTTTACAAACTAATGTCCTGTTCCCCAAGTTCTAAGAAGCCAACTACAGATTGTATTTGTTAAAGATTTAAAATGTACCCTCATTGCAAATGGATGTATTTGTCAGCTTGGGCTGTCATAAAAAGTACTATAGACTGGGAGATTTAAACCATTGAAAATTTACTTTCTTACAGTTCTGGAGGCTGGAAGTCTAAGATCAGAGTGCCAGCATGGTCATGTTTAGGCAAGAACTCTCTTCCTGGCTTGCAGATGAACACCTTCTGACTATGTCTTCCCATAGCAGAGGGAGAAAGATCTGTTTCTCTTCTCAGAGGCTACTTTCTTGTTGGATTAGGGTTTCACCCTATGGCCTCATTTAACCTTAATTACCTCCTAAAGACCCTATCCCCAGATACAGTCACACTGAAAGTTAGGGCTTCAACATTTGATAGGGTGGGAAGGGCTGGGGAGGGCACACAATTCCATCTATAGCACTGAGATTTCCAATGCCTAAAACATTTAATTTTTCAATCCTCAGAGATGGATCTCAAAAAAGAAATCAAAACTGGCTCAGATTTCCCAAGGATTTCCATATCTATATACTAGAAGATAATTCAGACTTATGCATCTGAGAAGGGTAAGTTCAGTGATCTGGTTTGTTCTTTTCATGTGCCCATTTATGGATTGGAAAAAATTCAACCTTTGGGGAGAACAGATTGAGTTCTAATCCTGGTCATATTACTAATTTGATTTATGACCTCAGCTTTTTCCATCTGTAAAATGAATCCTTCTCTTTAGATTCCTTCCCACTCTGATAGTTCAGAAATCTGAGAACTATGGATTGGCATTAGTATTCATTTGGGCATAGACACTCTGATTATCAAAATTCAAAGAATGCTCCAATCCCCAAGGGTCTACATTTTTATTGGCCTCATGACCAAGACACTGGAACTGAGAGGACCTGAGTAGCACGTTGGAATCAGACTTTCAGGGCAGAGGTGGAAGACAGACAATACACCACAGTCTAGAAGTGACATTGGGGGCCAACAGGTAGAAAGATTCATGGGCCAAAAGGGGCAGTTCCTGGAGTGCTCTTCCTGCCTGCTGGTTTACATCTTGTGGGGTCACTGGGATAGAGGAGACAACAGAGTGATTTATAGTCTAGAAGTTTGGTGAAGGATAGAATAATAATAGTTGATGCTTAACTAACAGGTATTTTCTAAATGCTAGATATTTTATAAGTACTTTATTTTTATTATATTTAATATTAAATTCTGACCATAGAGCTTGAAGTAAGTACCATTTTTATCCGTACATTTCGGAAAAAGGAAAATAGCACTTTAAAGAAATTAAACAAGTTGTCCAAAATCACATAGCCAAGAGGAGCAGAGCTCAGATTCAGTTGACCTTTGATCTCCCAATTCCTATTCCACTCTGCCATACCAGGAAAACTGAGTCTCAGTAACGGGGCCCATGTTTTCTCCACTATGCGGTGTTCCAAGATAGCGGCAATTAATACGACTTTTTACCTCCAGCATTTATACCTTCTAAAAAATTCTTGAATGTAGAAAAACACAGAGTGATAGCAAACTCCAAATGAAGATTCTCAAATTCAATCAGAATAGGGGCATCTTCATGGAAGAAAAAAAGTGGAGAATGAGACCCAAAGACTAAGCATGAGTTATAAAAGTGTCTATGGGAGAACCACAGTGAAAGAAGAGAAGGATGAAATATTCCAGGCACCAAGAAGGTGCTTATACCAAAAGCTATCGGTCTCCCCCTCTCAGTAACTCCAAGATCCCAAACAGCTATACTTGCTAAATGTGTGTAATGTACACTATTGTGTACCCAAAAACCACTATTTGGGTAGTGGTTACAATAAAAATCCAGACTTCACCACTGTGTAGTATATCCTTGTAGCAAAACTGCACTTGTGCCACTTAAATTTATATAAATAAATAGATAAATAAATATATTCTGAATACCATAACACTTATCTGTATCATAGCCTTCTCATCATATTCTAATCACATGTTTATTCGTCTGTGTTTACAGACAGTGAATTCCTTGAAAACATGGTCCTCGTATTTCTTATCTTTCTGTCCCTTGTACCAAGTGTAAAATAAATGTCCAATGCTTATTGAATGTTCAATGCTTGTTGAATCACTAAATAAATTAAGGACTCCTGACTTCACCCCTGACTAGCTATTTGTCTTGGATTTACTATTTAATCTTGTCCAATCAATGTTTCCTTGCCACTGCATAAGTAGCATGTAGCTCTGCTAGGCATTAGAGGAGTGATAAGGCAAAATGCATGGTTTCCAGAGTATCAGCATGTGTTGGGGATGGCAGACAAGTATGCAAGTAAGTGAGTTCCAGTGTGTCCATATGTAAAAATGAAGATGAGAAAACAACTTCTTGCTACCTCACAGGATGATAGGGGTGTGTAATAAAATAATGAGTGAAAAAATGTATTAGAAGTTACAAAGTATCATTTATATCCAAGTTAATAGCTATGATTTTGTGGAAGTTTTGCTCAGTATTACAACTTTTCTGGATTTGGGATCATTGAATAACATATAGAAACCTTGCTGTAGGTGCTTATAGAGGAGGCTTAGGCTGAAATTTGAGTAACTATTAATATATTTTTATGCTATTGCCTTTTGTACTTAAGACCTTATGTTTATGTGGCTTCAAGAATGGTTTACTTATTCTCTAGTTTTATAACTTTAATAATTCAGTACTTGGAAAGATTAGGGATTGAGGCTTCATTCTCTTACAGTATCATAGTATGCAACCTTTCATGTAAAAATAAGGTGGCATAAATCAATATGCATGTATATGTACATTTGTTCAAAAAGAAATACAGGAAGGTAAACCAGACACTAACAAGATGGATTGCCTGCAGAGAGTGGGTAGGAAAGAATAAGGGAATGGAAATTGGTTGGAAGGAATAAAGGATGAGTGGTACCTCCTTGAGTATATGTCTTTGTAAAGCTTTGACTTTTGAAAGAGTGATAGTATATCACATACCAAATAAATAAATACCAACCAATCAAATAGACAGACAAAATCAACGGAGAATTGGGAAGGAGGTAAACTTTAAGCAGAATACAAACATTAACAAATGAACTAACTCTACAAAAAATAGATGAAATCATTTTACTGAAGGGAGTGGGAAAGTTAAGGACTAACCTAAGTAATACTGGAAAACAGGATTTCGACTACAAATTGCAAAGCTAACAACAAAAATAACTGTACATGGAATTTTACTCTAGTTAATAAGTTTGTTTTCCATAACGTTAGTAATCCTGGAATGACTTTAAATGCATTCTAAGATAGCAAATAAATAAACTTGCTATCAAATCATGGATAATGAAAGCCAGTTTTCTCATTTTTGAAGAAAGGAATCATAATTAAAGGTTGAAGGCTAGAATGAACTGTGTAATGTTGGATTTGAATCAGAGGTATTACAATAAATTAATATATGTATGTGTGTATATATTTATATATGTATATATTATATGCATTATATACAATATATGTATATATTAATATATGTATGTGTGTATATATTTATATACACACATTCATATGCACACACACATAAATCACATTTGTGTATATATACGGTTAAATTGATGTAGATGTGTGTGTGTGCATACTTATTTTTTTTTCATTTTTGTCTGCTGAGAGGGCCTAGAAGTAATAATACTGTAGTACAGCAATTATAATGAGCACACCTAAAGTTTCAAAATAGTTTCTAAATACTATTTTTAAAATAAATAAAAAGGAAAAATGAATTCATTTAAGTACTGGATTATTTCAGTGCTAGTACAGGGAAATGCAAGATAAGCCTGGGACTACTTATGGTGCCAAGAAATAAGAGAATACTCCAAAAATGATGGGGCATGTAAAAAGAATGTAGCAGTTAACCTGAAGAAGCTTTCACTGGTAAATTTTATGACACCATAAGCAACAAAATAAGTACTAATAAAACAGCCTGTGTTGTTTTATATTGATATAAATAAATAAGTAAATGAGGGAGAGTGAAAGCTCTTTTCCTCAGCAGAATTCCAACTTATATATGAAGAAAGATAGATGGACTTCATCACTTAGCAAATACTACAGAAATAGGTGTTGCAGGCAAGATTTATCAATGAAAACTAAAATTAGTGGGTAAAGGTATGATGAGAAACAAGATTTTTGCATGCAAACATATTTATAGAAAGTACCTCCCTATAAGGTACTTATTAAATACATGGGAGAAGATAGTAACTTTACATTGGTAAACCAAGCAGAAACCACTTCAGTCAATGGTGAACTTTAATATGGCCAGCCATGAAATACATGGACATTGTTTACCTTCTAATATGATGCACTAAGAAGAACACAGCATAATTTTTATGATATTCTTGCCAAAAAATGCATTATCCAAATTTAAATATGAAGGAAGAGCAGATGGTAGACATTCTACCAAATAATGGAGCTGTATTCTTCAAATGTCATAGTCATACACAAAAAGTTTATAAAATAAAAATTAAAAAAGTCTGAGGACCTGCCCCAGTTTGGAGAAGACCGAGGAAAAGGGGCACTGAAAAGTAACCTGTAATCCAGGATTAAATCCTGGGTCTGACAAAGGACGCCAGTGGGACAATGGGCAAACGTCACATCAGGTTTGCAGGTTAGTTACTAGAACTGCACCCATGTCCATTTCATAGTTTGATAATTATACCAAGGTTATAAAACATCAGGAAATGCTTGGTGAAAGGTAAACAGAAACATTGTGTACTATTTTTTCTACTTTATCGTAAATTTAATGTTTTCTCAAATTAAAAAGTAAAAATAAAATAAAAGCTTTATTCCTGCAATTAGGTCTGTGATGTTAGAAACAAGGTGGTCACGATATGAGATCTGTTGCCAGAATCCGGAGTATCTTGATATCCTGTATAATTCAGTGGAATTTTCTGTCTGACTTCTTCAGAATCCCAGTGTCAAAAAATTTATATTCAGAATCTTTGGGTAATAAAAATGGCAGAACACCAACCCACACTGTGCCAGGTGCTGTGTTGGGCGCTATATTTACATCTCTGTGTCACTCATTATTTTGCATCATGTCATTTTCCTGTCCTCTACTACATACAATTTTAATTCTGTTTTATAGAAAGAGCAGGTCCAAACCAGTCCAATCCTCTTTCTGAATACGGAGAGCAAACAGCTTAATTGGAAATTGCTGTTTTTCTTCTCCCTAAGATGGTAAAAATCATTTTCCATTTCTTTAGTCAGTTGAGAGTCACTGCCCTCCAGGAAATGAGGAACGTTTCCCTGGACTTTATTTTTTTGTGTGCTATAAAATGATTACAATTTTGTTTCATTTTAGGGTTGAGGTAGGGATGTCAGAGGAGAAATGCATTAGGGCAAGGGAGTAAATAATATACAAACCTATAAGATGCTTTGAAAGATTGCCAGGAATGTGGTGAATAATTGATGATGATCTGATGCATTCGGTTATTTCCTATGAAATGGTCCTTATACCAAAATGAATTGCAAGCTATTTCCTTCTCTTTCACACATACACACACACACACACATGCACACACACATGCGCGCACACACACACGAGTCTATTTCTTGAGCTCCTTTCAAAGTTAACAGACTGATCGTATCGTTGTTCATTCAGAGTGTCCAGAAAGTCAGAGCCATTCACCATCTCTCTTATTCCCAAGCTTTTGTCATAACGTTGGCACACACTGACTTGCATGCAATCTTATGCACCTGGTCCCTCTGCTCCAGGACGGGCTGAACTGCTGCCTCCTGTAGAACTTTCCTGCTCTGACCCGAGCATGATCTGCCCAACAAAACAAATCTGCTCTATCATCAGTACCTACCTGTGAACAGTAGCCCACATGTCTTGACCTGTCATAGAAAGCTTTCTGAGATCTGGCTTCTGACCTCTTTTTCACTGGATGCTACAAAAACCCTTAGTATCGTTCCTTTTTAACTTTTATCTTAAGTTCAGGGGTACAAGTGCAGGTTTGTTACACAGGTAAACTTATGGGGGTTTGCTGTTAAATTGATATTTATTCTCTGCGATTTTATTCCCTGATGTTTCTCGCCACCCTGCCTTTATTCACATAGTCTCTCCACTTGGAATAAATATCCTTTGTCCTCATCTTAACCTGCCAAAATTCTGTCTCTCATGCCCATATAAGTGTGACTTCTTTCTTGAAACCCTCCCCAATTTTTCTAAATGAGAATTCATCATTCCCCTTTGTCTTCACCTTGCAAAGTTTTTTTTCCAGTTATTCTCTTAGTAACCTGCCTCCAGTGTCTTTTGCAGGCAGCTTTCTCTATTCCTTGACTGAAAACATCTCGAAAATAGGGAGGGAATTTGTATTTTAGTGTCTGTTCTGCTTAGAAATGCAGAGGTACAATTCTGAAAGATTGTAAGTGAAAGGTTTAAGAGGAAATGTTGCAATAGAGAGAGAGAGATAGAGATATGTGATACATAGTTTATTGAGATAGAAAATCTTCTATGGAACATAGCATACCACCATGATTCTGGAAAAATTTAAAGTGCTACTCTGTGTATGTTTTTACAGCAATATCTTACAATTTTTTATGTTATTAATTCTTAAAAACCTACTGGGTTTGGCTTTCCTTGTTTTTCTGATGAGAAAATTTGGAGTTGGACCAGGCTCATGGCTGGCTGAAGTCTATCCAGGGGCAGAATGAGGACTTATGACTACACAGATTTAGGTGAAAGTCAGAACCTGGAAAAGAATGCCACAGAAAAGGTGTAGTGGGGAATACACCATAGTGGTCTTAGGCATGTCCTTTGAGTTTTCCAGGCTTTTCTTTCCTGTTTATAGGTCTACAGATAGACTTTCTAAGGATACCTGCACTTAGAAAGGCCTTCTTTTGAGAAGGCCTTAAATATGATGAGCTACGTCCATAGTGGAACATCCGTTTAGTCAGGATAAGAGGCCCCCAAAACCCTGAATTGTTAGAGATTCATTCTTCTTCATTTGTCTTTTTGGTGTTTAGCTTTGTTCATCAAAAGGGTGCTCTGTTTTGTTAGTGGTCAACATATAATCTCTTTTAGCCAGTGTTTCTTCATGCAAGCTGTGGTCACAGGAGAGTCTAGGGCACTGGTTAAGAACATGAACTATGGAGCAAACAACCTGGGTTTATACTTCAGCTTCATCCCAAACTAGCAGTACCTCATGCTCCCAATCTGCAAAATGACAACAGCAATAGTATTTTTAAAGTAATGGCAAAAACTGCTATTACTTTTGCATCACCCTAATACTTATGTCATGGGACTGCTTGAGCATTCATGACACCCCACATGTAAGTCTCTAAGAACAGTGCCTCTCGTAAATGGTAGCTGTTTTTATTCTTATGCCAACCCCTCAGGCTAACTGGGAAGATCAAATGACAACAGTTTGTAAACTTTGAAGTATTATGCTAATGGAAAATAAAGACTTAGTAGAACTAATTTTATTATTATTATTTAAAACTAGGAAAAATGTGCCCTCTTGTTCTAAAATCTCTCTGGGGTCATAAGCTAAGCATCCCAAAGAAATATTTATGCCATTTATAGGAGATAATTTTATTCTCTCTAAGATATTTTCAAGTTAATTTTATAGTAGACTTTCACCAAAATACCTTTTGTTGGAATCAGTTTGTAGACTTGTTTTTTTAAGGACTTCATTTTAAACACCCCCCCTCCCAAAGTTAGAAAAAAATAAGTAAATGTAAACAAATAACACAAGCTACAAATTACAAAAGCCATTTTCAATCTGCAAAGATTTTTAAATAAAAGTAGATATATACTCTCCACAGAAGACTTCTCCCTATAAATTTATATTCAGATAATAACTTTAGGCTGTAAACTCAGGACTCAGTAAGAAAAACTATCTTTTTATTTTGGAAGCACACAGGTGTTAAATAAAATGGATGGATGATACATGCCGTTCCTATCACGTGCAAAGTAACCTGTAAGAGCAGAATATGTTAAACTTTTAAAGCATAACACCTATATATGAATTGAATACATATGTGCAGAAAATAACTTGAGAAATGGTTTAAGGCAGTTTCCAAACTGGTTTATTGTCATCGTTTGCATTAATATCCTATTCTTTGCTTATATTATAAAAAGGGAATTGTTGAGTGGTGGGCACAAGGGAACAGTGGTGGGTACAAAGAGGCTGGCCAATCTAGTACATATAAAATATTGATTTCAACCCAACACTCATGTTTTTGGACAAGTTTCCACTTACAATTAACTATATATAAGGAGCTAGACTGATGTGTATCACTGAAATATTCAAAATACATACAGGGCCAGGCATGGTGACTCACGCCTGTAATCCCAGCACTTTGGGAGGCTGAGGCGAGTGGATCATTTGAGGTCAGGAATTCAAGACCAGTCTGACCAACATGGTGAAACCCCTCTCTACTGAAAACACAAAAAATTAGCTCAGCAGTAGTGGCGTGTGCCTGTAATTCTAGCCACTCCAGAGACTGAGGCAGGAGAATCACTTCAGCCTGGGAGGCAGAGGTTGCAGTGAGCTGAGATTGTGCCACTGCACTCCAGTCTGGGCAACAGAGTGAGACCCTGTCTCAAAAAATAAAATAGATACAGAAATAAATACTGCTGAATCACTTGCTAAAGGTGAAATTATTTCCCCTTGGGGGCACTGGGCAGGAATGGGAGGAATGACGAATGAAAATGACTGTGGAATTCTTCATGAAGTGGAGGTACCTGACTCAGGCCTTAGAAACAAGATTTTTAAATGTAATGACTGCTGGAAAAGAGATGGTAAGTAGAGCTCAGAGCAAAGAGATTACGTAGAAGGTGGCGATTTCAGGAGTATGTTGCAATGACAAAAGGATGAAGACAAGGACTGTGGCTCAGGTCATTGGGATGTCACTGGACATGATTTGTTTAAAGACTAACAAGGGTGAAGCACTGGGAACGGTCAGGTGAAGATCCTTGAATGTTTTTGAGCTGGCTTTGCTCTATCTGTCCTCAAGTCTGTCCATAATCACCTTCCCAAGGAAGCAACTCCCCAAGAATTTTCCACAGATGACTAGTTCCATGTGATGCTATGTAAAAAGAAAAAAAGAAAAAAACACACCAAATTTCCATTTCAAATAAACTTGGAAAAATTGGCATAAGTCAAATTAAACATATTTCATTCTCAAAAAAAATGTTGGTAAAAAGATTAAGGGAGAGGCAGAGAAAAAACAAGGGAAGCAAGAAGGAAGGAACTTGGAGTGGGAAAGAAAGATGGATAGAGGGGCCAGTCTGGGAGCATAACTGAAATGCAGACAGGTGATTAACCAACACTGAAAAACTCTGGAAGTTTCTAAAGGAAGTGGGGCTATTCTGTCTAAGAAAACTGAGGGTAGAAAATAAAGGGAAATATCCTAAATCAAAAGATTGCTTCAGGTTGGCCCTATTATAGATATAGACATACTATAAACCATAGAGTGAGATAGCCTAGAAAATTACTGTTAGACGAGATCTTGGAGGCTTTCTAGTATGAACTTCTTTTCTTCATCTCTCCATATAAACTTGTCCACTCACTTTTTTATGTTGTTTTTAGCAGACAAGGTCCACTTAATCCATTGTGCAGTTCCTTCTTATTTGACCTCTAGGAAGCTCAGAGCTTAATTTAATGTAATACTCAATTGCAGTAACTGTTACCTATTAGGTTTCCATTATATCCATATCTTCCCTTCTTGCAAATATAGCCAGAAAAGCTGCAGTGGCTCAAGGGCTATTCTAGGCTCTGTGAGGGCTACAGCAATGCTTCAAAGAGCTCCAACTGGCAATGAGAAATACATATTTTCCACATTGATTCATTCAATAACTCCTGGAGTTATTGAATGTCCATCATATGCCAGAATCTTTGCCAAGAACACTAACAGATGTAAAGAATAAAAATTAAAGAAATACTCTCTGTTTTCATTATCTTAATAATGTGTTAATGTGCACTTATTGAGAATACATTTTATAAATATGCAAAGTATCTCAAAAATTGGTTACAGCGAGTGTTCAAACAGATATGACATTTTCATTGCAGGTCCTCTGAGATGTTTGTGGTATCGATTCATATATCGATTCATAAAATCTCAGTCATGAAAAGACACAAATCTAAGTTTGTAAGATCTATGTGGGTATAAATGGAAACCCTTTAAAATGTTGGGACTTATCCATTGTAATTTATCTGATTAGTCTTCCTGCCAGATCTTTTTAACCGAATCACATTAGATTTGGGATAATTACCCAAGGACATTTATACTATTTTGAAGGTTAATTCCAACCTCACTCATTCAGCATATGTTTGGAGTGTCCTTGCCTAATGCCAAGTCCTGGGCTAGGCAAAAGGACCTGGAGATTGTTTCTTAGTTTCCTCATTGAGGGATTCTGATTAAGAGCCCTCTGCCAATCACTACTGTAAATATATTATCTAAGTGCTCAGCAGAGAAAATTCATGTCCCAATTTTCTGATTGAGTAACCACCATGACCAATCTCTGGGCAGAGCCACCAGGAAATAACTGCTATTTAGCCTCACATGTCTTTGTTGAGCTTTGTGCCTCCACGATAGGAGGATTATACAAGGAAGTAAAAGATAAATTGACAATACGTAATATAAACACATTCTTTTCAGAATGGAGCAAACTACATGAGATGGGAAACATGGCAAGTGGTTCACAGAAACCAGTGAATAAGATTTAGGATGGGCATTTGACATTCTCTAACAAGTTTTGGTCCTGACTTTTGGCCAAATTAGTCTGTCAACAGCATCTACTTGGTGTCCACAATGTACAGTGGCTTGCATTTGGTACTGAAGATGGAAAAAATAAGAAAAGGTCAGAGACATTTTTAGATACAACTCCAGAGGGCACCATTCACAAAGATTGCAGTATAAATGGCACCCTCTAAAATCGTGCGATCCACAATCTTTACAATGATGTAAACTGAAACTAGGAAATATTTCACACTTCTGTGTTTTTATATATTCATAGGAAGGGCTTAATCAGGTAAAAATAAAAAGCCATGAACAAAAAAAATGTTGATGAGAGAAAATAGGAAATTGTAGAGCTGAGGTTTAGAAGCAAGGACAATGAGTTGAGATTTTTCAGGCTCCAATTCAAATCCAGACTTCAGAGCAACGTTAGGAACCCATGATGAAGACTGATGGGAAAACAGAGCCAATTAGAGGGTGAGACTGAGATTAGAAACTTTTATTTAAGATTTGTCAGTAGAAAGTTGATAGCTGGAAAGATGAGATGGGACAATTTTCTAATGGAAATAGATCATAGAATTAGAATAGACACAAGAGAAATATAGGATTAGACCTTGGCAAACCTCTACTTAAGGAAAAGGATTAAGGTAGGAGAACCTAGAGAAGAAGCTGGAAGCTTGTGCATTCATCCCCAGTGTCACTGGGTGAATCGCAGTGGCATATCACAGACCACAAAGATTGTCAAATCCACAAAGACTCTGCGGATTTCAGAATTGTTGTTTGGCAAAGTCTGGTTTGCCATATAAGGACACAGATTGTCATTTTTCACAAATTCCAACCTTCTGTTTCTCAAGATATGCCTCAAGTGCATTCGTCAATTCCATCAAGGACATTTCCTGGTGGTGAGGAAACTTTAAATCCCACAAATTCTTAAGAATTCTTTTTTTAAATAATAGTAGTATTTAGATAGTAAAAGAGGTTAAATTACCCCATTGTTTTATATTCAGGGGGAGCTGTATTTCATATTCAGGGGGAGACTCAACAAACATCCTCTGAAATTCAATAGATAGGCAGAAATTAACAGACATTCCTTCCATTCTGTGGGTGTTTAATCCATCCCTGACAATGTGACAGTGCTAGAGACTGCAATAAATTGGTGAACAAAGCTGACACAAACCTTTCTTGGAAAATTGATATTCTAACAGGAGAAACACACACATACACAAAAGTAACAATAAAGACAGCAAAGAAGTGCACACATAAAAGTGTTCTGTGAACAGGAGATAAAAGAGGGAATTATAGGGGACCACGATTTAGATAGGGTAGTAATGGAAAGCCATTCTGAGATGATATTTTAGTAGGGACCTCAAAGGTAAGAAAGTGCAACCTCATGAAGAGGCTGAAGAAGGAATATTTTAAGTAAACAGAATGGCATTGGCAAAGGCTTTGAGGGTGGCATAAACTAGACAAGTTTAAGGAGGTGGCTAGAAGAGGAAAAGAGTGGAAAGAATTACCATGGGAGGAGTTGGGAGCTGGGTTATTGCCTCATGTGAAGAACGATTAAGGTAAGCAACAGTGGAGTAGAAATCACCTTTGAATTACTGTCATCACCATCCAGGAGCTGCTGGGCTAAGTTCGTGGCAATCAGTGAGAGAGAGAGAGATGGATGAATCCAATGATAGGCATGAAGACAATTTACAGGGCTTGTTTATGGATCAGTGCATAGAGCCAAAGACGGAAGAATTTTAGGGATGATTCCCAGATTTTTATTTGAGAAACAGGACGGATGATGGAGCCATTTACTAAGAGGAAGATAATGAGGTAGTGCCAAGTTTCGGGAGGAAAATCTAGTTTTATTTTAAATGTGCTAAACTTGAAATATCTGTGAATGATGTAGTCAAAGACAAGAATAGCAAAATTTGAAAGCAAAAAGTAATTCTTTTTCCTGTAGTAAAAAAAAAAATGGATAGGACTCTCAACAAAGTGAACAAAAATGTGTTCAGATCATTTATTTGCTTAAGCTTTTCAATGGCCCTGTTTTTCCTCCTGTCTAAGGATCCTGACACTTGGCTGGGTATTCAAGGCTCTCTGTGGTTTGTCCACAACCACTTCCCCTACTTATCCCACACTGCAACACAACAGACAGTCCCTCATTTTATAAAGTATTCATTTCCAAAATTAGGGAATACCTTTTTCCCTCCTTCTCAGGTACATGTGATCTAAATGGAGTGGTATTATAAGAAAGAAGGGAGTGAAAAACAAAGTATTGTTTTTTCTAATCCATGAATCATTGGTTTATGGACCAAGGCTATTGTATTAAGGCTGATTTTGAAAAGTAAAACATAAATACTTGCTAATCCCCTATTTTTTATTCATTTGTTTCCTTCTCTGCCTCAGCTAACCAGCTCACTGCATTAACTCACTTGGAAAGGGGAAGAATTGGCTACCAAATAAGCCCACTGCTGGATAGGTATGAGTTAAACTCTCAGAACCCTTAGCCCTCAGACCTTCTCTAAGAGGCAGAAATGGGGTTTTTGATGTTAATAGAAATATACTCACTGTGTTTCACTGGGACAATGACCTCGAAAACTCATTGGCTGAATTGCCTATAATATGTTGGGCAGGTACTTGGCACTCTAAGGGGAAGTAATAACAAGGGAGGTGCATTCTTCTTTCTCAGAGAACTTGTAGTATCTGGGAATACAAGGTTGGAAGCTGTCAGTCCCAGGAATAAAGGGCATTTAAATTGTTATCAGAAATAAGATGATGGAGAGAGAACCTTTAGATGAGAATAATATGAAGAGCTTTATGGAAGAGGATCTGTTTGAACTGGGCCTTAAATTATGGATATGATTTCAACAACATGGAAAGAAAGATATTTCAGGAGGAAAGTAGACTGGAACAGAGGCTGGAAGATCAAGTATGTGCTTGTCAAACTAGAAGTAGTTCACTAAGCATGGAAAGTAAAATCTGAAGTAGAAGGTAAGGATGAAAAAAAATTGGTTGAGTCCAGAAGTTAGAAAAACTTGTTGGTTGCTTCTTCCGTATCTAATCCACCAACCTCCACAATTCTGAGCCTGAAAGATTTGATGGGATTAGCTCCACTATCAGTTCTATAGAAGGGGGTCCTGATTAGATTGAATTTATCCTTGTATCCCATTCTCATATTCAAAAGGATTAATCCAGAGATATTAGCTGGTGGGGGGTAAAAGAAGATACTCTTCTATGGGTTTTGAGCAAGCCAACCTCTTTATCTTCAATGCATACTATAGGATATTACTCTCTTTCTCTTGCTGGATGTAGACATGGAAATCTGAAGTTCTAGGACCAGAGGAAAAGTAAATAATAAAAATAATCTGGCACTGAGTAAGCAAGGCTAAAAATTAAAAAGGAGAAGAACTGAGTCCTGACAACATTTTCTTTTGAGCCAGTGGATTAAAGCTTACATGAGAGTATTGCTATTTCTGGACTTTTAAGTTCCATGAGCCAATAAATCCCCATTATGTTTTAAGTCAATTTGACTAGTATTTGCTATTACTTGCCATTCAAAGCATCTTGATACAGAATCCTTGAAAAGTACATTAAACTTTGTTGGCAATAAGAGATCTACTGATATTTGTGTCTCCCAGAGTGCCATAATCTGGAAAGTAATCCTTATGGTAGTGCACAATGCAGAACACCATTAAGTCAGGATAGTCCAAAACAGAGTCCATGAAAGTCAGCCAGTCTTTTAATTTGCGATTAGTCTTATTTTGTTCTCATTCCATGCCTAGTCATTCGACTTCTCTCTTTGTCTCCCAGAAGAGGAAAGGAAGTAATTCTACTTATGTCTTTCCTTGAGAAGAACTACCTCCCTTGGGCTTGGAGCCTGACACTGTTTTTCTCTCTCCCACTGACTCCATAGATGTATTCATTTCTCTTTAGGTATTTAATATAAACCAGATAAGCCACAAACTTATAATAACTTGAGTCAATTTCAATTCTAAGGCAAGTTGAATCTTTAGGGCCAATGCTTCAAGTACAAGATACTGTGATTTCAATGACAATGAAACTGTTTGGGGAATTGCTTTCCCAAACTTTTCTACCAGTGTTTAGATTATAGCATGCAGTCCAGGAGTATATTATGAGTGATCCTCTTGAACTTTGTCAGAAAGTCCTCATAAATCACATTCAAGAAAATATATTTAACTTCCATATACATATATATGAAATTTAAGAACTTGGACAAGTGGAATAAATTCCAAACTGTCAGTTTATAGCAGTAACTTTCTTTTTCAATTTGGAGATTGAAATTTGGGGTGAGAAGGCTCTAATGGAAATAGCATGTTCTCTGAGAAACCAGAGGTGCTGCTTGACTTCTGGAATACTTTATATGGAATGATACCTTATTTTGGAATTTTAGAAAGCCTGAGTTATGGGCCCAGGTATTTGTGGGATTCCACCATATCCCAGCTGCTAAACCTTAGCCTTTTCATCAATGAAATGGGTTTAACATTTCCATTTTATGGTAGACCATAAAAGGAAAATATTCCTGAATAAATAAAATAATATTTACAATTTATTGTGCTGTTACTATGCTTCAGGGGCTGTGTAATAGACATTAGTATTTATCATTTATTTAGCTCTTAATATTTATAAGGTACTAAGTATTCATACTCACCCATTCAAATAATGTAAGTACCAATATTATCATTTTCTAGATAAAAAAGTTGAGGCACAAAAATATGAGGAATTTACCTAAGGTCACACAGGCAAAATATGTGAAAGCAGAGAATCAGAGGGGGGCAGTCTGATTTTTACAGAACCTGTTACTCTTCCTTTTCCTAGTAGCACTGAGAGCTGGGTACTGGGAATATCATTTTATCAGATGAGAAAACTAAGACTCTTTTTGTTTTGTGCTACAATAACAGAATACCGCAGACTGGGCGATTTATGAAGAACAGAAATGTATTTTCTCACAGTTCTGGAGGCTGGCAAGTCTAAGATCAAGGCATCCATATCTGATGAAGGCCTTGTTGCTGTGTCCTCACATGGTAGAAGGCAGAAGGGGAAGAGGGAGATCAATCCTGTGTCTTCACATGGCCGAAGAGAGCGAGAGAGTAAAGCCATTCCTGCAAGCGTTTTTACAGTGGCATTAATCCCTTCATGAGGTGGTATGGTTTGGCTGTGTCCCCACCCAAATCTCATCTTGAATTGTAGCTTGCAGAATCCCATGTGTCATGGAAGGGACCTGGTGGGAGGTAACTGAATTATGGGGGTGGGTTTTTCCCATGCTGTTCTCATGATAGTGAATAAGTCTCATGAGATTTGATGATTTTATAAAAGGCACTTCCCCGCACAAGCTCTCTTGCCTGCTGCCATGTAAGATGTGACTTTGCTCCACTCTGGCCTTTCACCATGATTGTGAGGCCTCCCCAGACATGTGGAACTGTGAGTCCATTAAACCTCTTTTTTTTCTTTTAAATAGATTTCACAGTCTTAGGTATTCCTTCATAGCAGTATGAAAATAGACTAATACATGAGGAAAGAGCATTTATGACCTATACATCTTCCATGAGGCCACATCTCCCAAAACTGCTTCATTGGGGATTAATTTCAACATGAGTTTTGGAAGGCACAAAAATATTCAAACCATAGCTCTTACAGACTATATAGAACTTTCTCAAGTTCACTCAGCTCTTTGGTCACAGTATTTAGACTTAAAACTTAACTCCAACATTCTTTTTATCTTTCAGTTTATGTACTGTGATATTTTCCTTATATACCCACTCTCTTCATTTCAAAATTTTCCATTTTGTGTTTTCTTCAAATTAAATTCTCACCTTCCTCCTTCTGAGCTAGATTTGAGTAGCATACAAGAGGTCAAATAGACAAATTACTGATCACTAGGTGTGTTTTAAACCCATGTTACTTTTAAGGAAACTGCTGGAAGAACTTTATATGAACTCTTGTTATATTGACTCAATTGAATATTAGTTTAAAAAACATAATCTGTAATTTCATTTTGAAGTTTACTATACTTTATATTTTTAAACTACATTCATGACCAGATTGTTGTCTTAAAATCATTAACACATTATTATGTTCCCCTAATGCATGCCATGCTTATTCATTTCAAACTCAAATTTTAATCAGGATTAGGGAGTTTGAGTTCTCATTCTTTATTATTGGTAAGTTTCACAGCCATATATGTAGAAATATTCTGTTGTTTTTTTATGGCCAAGTTTGTAGATTCTTCTAAAATTCTCTTTTCTCTAAGACAGAAAATGTAGAATATTAGAATTTCCAGTTTTTGTATCACTGGCTGCCACCTCAATCAACTTACACAGCCCCATCCCCGTATATATTGTTCAACAGGCAAGATGTTAAGCAATGTAGCATAGTGGTTTGACTACACTAGCTAAATAAAATGTTCTATTATAGAACCACCAAAATGCAAAAAAGAAATTGGCCAGGTTAAAATGAGAACAAGCTATAGAAAGCAATTGAATTCAGAATCATGAGAATTAGAAGGCCTGCTATTATGAAACTCCTCTGCATTAGATGCTCACATTGGCTTATGTTGTAGCTTGCAATGATATTCCAAATCTCTCATCTCCTTTAATTTATATAAGCACTCTGTGAGACAGGTATTCTTTTTTAAATTTTCCAAAAGGGAGGATCAGAGACATGACAAAATTTCCCAAGGTTCTGTAGTTAGAAAGTCATTGGGCTACGATATAAATCCAATTCTGATTCCAGCATCCAAGCACAACTCATTATACTAACTGACATGGATATTATCAGTAGATAAAGGGTTAAAATTCCATAGGCTTTCATTCTGTCATCTCTGGTCTTGGAATCTACTGGGCCCCCAATGAATGACTTTGTTTTTCTCTGTTTTTGTCCCTTTCTATTCTTTTTACAGTTTTCTTGGCCACATTCATAAGAAATGACGCCAATTAAAACTTTGCAAGGCCAAGGCTGGTTAATGTATCACTGACCACAGATTTCCCAGGATTTGGCCAAACTCTGGTTCCTTGATTATTTTTATTCTGCCCCCTCCTGTCTGGAGCCCCTAAGGACCTTCTCTTGCCAGGGCTCTGATCTCTTTGTCATTAGCCTTGGGCTCCATACCTAGAGGGTGGGCATCCTGTTTGTGTCTACAGCTGGGACACCTTCTACATGCTGTTTTTATATGAACACTTTCAAAATACAAAGCCTTTTCATTTTCTTTACTAACCCCGCTTTTTTATCTCCCTTCATTTCCTAGATGGAGGGCTTATCTGTAGGTTCCTCAACTTTCTCTGCCTACAGTTAACATGTCGGGCCTAGAGTGGGCCACAGACTGACATGGCCTTTGCTCTAGCACTCTCACTTAGTTGTGATCTTGTGTTCTGAACTTTTGGTTCTCTGGGTCCCTCTCTAAACTATCTGTTTAGAGAGAAATGGGATTGAATCCAGGTCAGTTTGATGCCACAGCCAGCACACTTTCTACCACCTCATGCTGGCATTTAAGCTGGGATTTGAAATCCCAGTGACCTGAAGATTTCTGGTTGATTCCCAATATTCATCCTGCTCAGATTCTTTTTAGCAAAGACAGACATTTTAGAGCAATAGTTAGAATGTCTGTTTTTGTTCCCAGTGTCAATGAACTGGACCAGTTTTCACAGTCCTCTTCTCAGTAATGTTGAGCTACACTTTGCAGCTGAGCACATTATCACCCACCTATAAGCTCATTTTTGCCATCCTCTTTCTTTTTCTGTAACTAAGTGTTATCATGCCACGATGTTCTGGCAAAAGAGATATAACCTGATGTAGTGTATATGGGGTACTTATCCCTAAAAGAGAAGCTGTGTACCCATCCTAACCTATTTTTTCTTTCTGATGCTTGGAACAGTGTTTTAAAGGTTGCCACTGTGCAGCCATTTTGGTCCATGAGGTTGAGGTACATACCCCAGGAATGATGGAATAGAGAAGTAAAACCTCCTATGTCACTGATCTAAACAGACTCATCATACTAAATTCATACCTCCATCCCACAGTGTGCTTCATAATGAAGACAGCTGATCATCTATCTTCTTTTAAAGCATTGTTATTTATTTCCCTTGTATACAACAGAAACCAATCCCAACTAATATAGATTGAGAGCTCATTAAAGAGAAGAACAGAGAGAGTTAGATGTTGATAAAGTGAAGGAAATTGACATGAATAGAGGCAATCTAATGTAGCTGTTGTAGGTTATATGTGGGTGAGAGAAAATATTTCAAAAGCTTAGATTCTTGCAGCATTATCTGGTATCTCTGTATTTAAACAACTTAATTATAATATTCTCCTAGTCCATCTAGTCCTCTGTGAAAGCATAAGGTCTGTGATCAAACCCTTGAATTTCCGCTTGCTACCTATTTGACATTGGATGAGTCCATTTATCTCTCAAAGCTTTATTTGTATACAAATAAAAGAGTGTGAGGTATCAAGTGTTTATCATAGTAATGGAACAGAGACGGCACTCAAGTAGTAGGAATTCCCATGGGTTCAGACATTCCCTACAGTTCCAGGAACTTCATTGCTGGCTTGCCTTAAAGGAGCTGACTGTATTCTGCTAAGAAAATCTCTCCCTTACTCCTGCCCCGTTCCCTTCCCTATTTGGATATATAGAGAGATAAGTTTCAATGATTTTGCAAAGATTCCATTAGCATTAAATGGAGTACACATGACCCAGGAGAATTGAAACTGTCAGTGGAAATATCTAAGTGGAAATGTTCCTGTCCATGAAGCTGTTGCTTTAGAGACCTTGTCAGTAAGAGCTTTTGTCTTAGGGGTTTGTAAATATTTATATTTTTAAACTACTATGAGAGGAACAACAGCCATTCCACATGAATGGATTACGTTAAATGTACCCAAAGTCTGTAATTCAAGCTGTCAAACGTGAGGAAATACCAGACTTAAGGCTGCCATTCCAATCCACTCCGAATAAATAAGGACTTTGGGCAGAACTCTTTAACACAATGGCCCACAGACATATGGAAGACGTTACCAGGGAAGATGACTGAAGAGAAGGAAAAACACATTAAATGAATTTGAGAAATACCTAGTCTTTCCTCCAGAGTGGAAAAGGTTTGAGGCTTGAGGGAGATGATTGTTGGCCTAGAAATAGAAAAATAGATTAATATTAAACCGAGAATTAGGGGTGGCACGTGGAGGCTTTTCCTGTTGCTAAGACAGTTGTCTGTTTTTCACTTATTGTTTTGGGAGTCTGTTGATATGACACCAATATAGGAACCAAAGTGTGTTTCTAGGCAGACTAGGTGAGGGTATGGGATTTACTTACTGTGGAGGCTCTGTGTTAAGAGTGTGGCAGAATTTCCTGGAGTATAGAACACAGGTGGGAGCTGTGTTTATAGAACTGAGAAAATGCATTTCAGTGTGAGATTGACCAGTGGGTCATATATAAATTTGATTCAATTCTACAAGCGTGTACTGGACACCTACTTTGTGCCAGGCATAGGCAATGAAGCTTGAGAAGCAATCTGATTTAGTGGAAAGAATGTGAGCTTCTAGTCCTTGCTCTAAGGCTCACAAGCTTTGCAGAGTAAAACAAATCACTTCCACTTTGTGCGTGTCAACTTAAAATGTCAGATTTTTCTTTTTAATAAATAAATCCTAGGTCAGATCATTTGGCAGAAGACTAAATGGGCTTGCTAATGCTCCCTCTTTCACTCTCCGGTCTAGACTGGGGAGAGTTCCAGGTGTGGTAATATGTTCACTCATGTTTGATGCCCCTCCTTGCAATACCCCTACTTGTGATGGGATATGCCAGCCCACAGTTTAAAACTCAGGTATGGTCAAATGACTTTTTTGTGCAGTGGGATGTAGGCAGAAGTGACAAGTGTATAAGCAGGAGCTTTTAGAGCCAGTAAGAGGCTCAGTGTATCTGCTTTTTCCTCCTCTCTGCCCTGATGACCAACAATGGTCCAGATAGAAGCTAACACATCAGCCTGTGGCCTAGGGTAAAAATGATATAAAGCTGTACTATGACTGACTCTCACCAACATACAGCATAAGTGAGAAATTTACACTTAATGTTTTAAGTCACTGAGATTTGGGGGCTCTCTTGTTACTCCAACAAAACCCATTTACCTCTACTCACAGGATAGGAGAAAACTCTAGTCTGAAAAGTACACTTTCTTTTTTTTTTCTTATGATAATTATAATTTAGTATGCATTTATTTATTTATTTATTTATTTTTTATTTTATTATTATTATTATACTTTAAGTTTTAGGGTACATGTGCACAATGTGGAGGTTAGTTACATATGTATACATGTGCCATGCTGGTGTGCTGCACCCATTCACTCGTCACTTAGCATTAGGTATATCTCCTAAAGCTATCCCTCCCCCCTCCCCCTACCCCACAACAGTCCCCAGAGTGTGATGTTCCCCTTCCTGGGTCCATGTGTTCTCATTGTTCAGTTCCCACCTAGAAGTGAGAATATACGGTGTTTGGTTTTTTGTTCTTGTGATAGTTTACTGAGAATGATGATTTCCAATTCCATCCATGTCCCTACAAAGGACATGAACTCATCATTTTTTGTGGCTGCATAGTATTCCATGGTGTATATGTGCCACATTTTCTTAATCCAGTCTATCATTGTTGGACATTTGGGTTGGTTCCAAGTCTTTGCTATTGTGAATAGTGCCATAATAAACATACGTGTGCATGTATCTTTATAGCAGCATAATTTATAGTCCTTTGGGTATATACCCAGTAATGGGATGGCTGGGTCAAATGATATTTCTAGTTCTAGATCCCTGAGGAATTGCCACACTGACTTCCACAATGGTTGAACTAGTTTACAGTCCCACCAACAGTGTAAAAGCATTCCTATTTCTCCACATCCTCTCCAGCACCTGTTGTTTCCTGACTTTTTAATGATCACCATTCTAACTGGTGTGAGATGGTATCTCATTGTGGTTTTGATTTGCATTTCTCTGATAGCCAGTGATGGTGAGCATTTTTTCATGTGTTTTTTGGCTGCATAAATGTCTTCTTTTGAGAAGTGTCTGTTTATGTCCTTCACCCACTTTTTGATGGGGTTGTTTGTTTTTTTCTTGTAAATTTGTTTGAGTTCATTGTAGATTCTGGATATTAGCCCTTTGTCAGATGAGTAGGTTGTGAAAATTTTCTCCCATTTTTTAGGTTGCCTATTCACTCTGATGGTAGTTTCTTTTGCTGTGCAGAAGCTCTTTAGTTTAATTAGATCCCATTTGTCAATTTTGTCTTTTGTTGCCATTGCTTTTGGTGTTTTAGACATGAAGTCCTTGCCCATGCCTATGTCCTGAATGGTAATGCCTAGGTTTTCTTCTAGGGTTTTTATAATCACAAGCATTCTTATACACCAATAACAGACAAACAGAGAGCCAAATCATGAGTGAACTCCCATTCACAATTGCTTCAAAGAGAATAAAATACCTAGGAATCCAACTTACAAGGGATGTGAAGGACCTCTTCAAGGAGAACTACAAACCACTGCTCAATGAAATAAAAGAGGATACAAACAAATGGAAGAACATTCCATGCTCATGGGTAGGAAGAATCAATATTGTGAAAATGGCCATACTGCCCAAGGTAATTTATAGATTCAATGCCATCCCCATCAAGCTACCAATGACTTTCTTCACAGAATTGGAAAAAACTACTTTAAAGTTCATATGGAACCAAAAAAGAGCCCGCATCGCCAAGTCAATCCTAAGCCAAAAGAACAAAGCTGGAGGCATCACGCTACCTGACTTCAAACTATACTACAAGGCTACAGTAACCAAAACAGCATGGTACTGGTACCAAAACAGAGATATAGATCAATGGAACAGAACAGAGCCCTCAGAAATAACGCCACATATCTACAACTATCTGATCTTTGACAAACCTGAGAAAAACAAGCAATGGGGAAAGGATTCCCTATTTAATAAATGGTGCTGGGAAAACTGGCTAGCCATATGTAGAAAGCTGAAACTGGATCCCTTCCTTACACCTTATACAAAAATTAATTCAAGATGTATTAAAGACTGAAAAGTACACTTTCTTACCTCATGATGGACTAAGTCACAGTGTGCTATATCCCTAGCAGAGAGGGGAGAAATAAAAAATTCTTTGTGTTTATGGCCTTTCAATAGATTAACTCTACCCAATTAAGAAATGTAGCCCAAACTTTGTCACCTAGCAATTGGTTTACTCACTCCTCCTCTATGGGAAGGAGAGAGTAAAATTAGGCTAAGAAACAAGAGGCAGTGTTACTTTAGTGGTGTCTCCTGTAAATGAAAATAAGATGTCTGTTACCTCTAATAGTACTGAAGACCTATTGACCAAGGAGGTAACCTGATCAGATATCATTCAGAAATGTCTCTCTTGATACACTTTGGAGGATAAACTGGAGTAAATATAGCTGCAGCAAGATTGACCAAGTAGGAGGAAGTAAAATAATGAGGACAAATGAATGAAGAGGGTGCACTTAATAAAGACAATTACAATAGAGCTGAAGAGTGCAAGCATGAGAAGCCTTTTGTAGACCGAGTGTCAGTGAGAGTTCAGATGTGTAGAGGAAATGTAGCCAAAGGTGCGAATGATAGGACTCTGACTGTGTCATTTATTCACAGGGAAAATTTCACCAGGGGAATCAGTTTAAAATGTTAACTAAGGCATTCAGTTTTGGGATTTTTCTTTGATCTTACATGGAATATCAGTGGTCGCATTGGTCTGTCCTTTAAGGCCATGTTGATATACAGATCCCTGGGCAAGATGCATCATTCCACTGGACACTTGTGGCCTTTCTAGTAAGTTTATGGAAGATTTACTGGAAGACCACATTGTTTATGGTTTGTGGGAGGTATTCATAGGCATGTTAAAGAAGTGGAGATTTGACCACAGTTGTGCACCCTGAGACAGGAGACCACTAGACAAAGTGCCAGAATAGCCTAAGGAATTTAGTAGACCTGAGTTCAATTTCCAGCTCTAGTTTGGCTTAGAGCAAGTTACTTAAAACCACCGAGTCTCAGTTTTCTCACCTATGAAATAGAGTATAATAATAATATGTACTTAAAAGTGTTGTGAAGATCCCAGAATGTAATCAATGTAATGTGACCAAAGCAGAGTAGGTATTCCATAAATGCTATTTCCGTTTCCTTTCCCACACACCACTTAAATAATATGGAATGAGACTGTGTCTGAAAGACACCATTGAATGATATGTTTGTTACTGGTCAACTCACCCTTTCATTTTGAAAGTCCAAAAACAATCTTTCATGGTAAATCAAAGCAATTATGCCATCAAAGAAAAGAAAGGGACTAGAAATTTTTGGCTTACTATTCATTTAAAATAGCTTGAGCCAGAGGGACATTTTCCCTGGAGGAGAGATGACTTGGTTAGGTTTGTGCGTGGGGTGAGGTGGAGGCAGTGGTTACTCTTTCCAAATATCATCTCATCTGCTGTGGGGGGAAAGATTTGATGTGCTTTGTGGTCCAGACAAGAGAACTCTGGCCAGTAGATCAAAGTTACCATGAGACATTTCTCAGTTCAATTCATTGCAGCTAATAGTCCCACAGTGACTCTTCAGAGGTAGTCAATGCTCTGTTACTGGACACATGCAATCTGAGGTTAGGATAAGACTGGTAAGTTAAATAAGGGGTAGAGATTCCCATACTTAATGAGCACTTGGACTAGATGCAGGTAAATGCAACAAATGTTTAATGACAGTCAAGTACATGAAAGACCCCAGCCATACTTTGGGAGAGGAACAGATTCAAACATAATAGAGTGTCTTTCCTCTTAAGTACAGATAGCCAACCTAGGTTCTTTGATTCTAGGACAGACTTAGTAACTCAGCTTTCCCAATTTCATTTCAGTCACTGACTAGATATTATACATTGTCAAACTTGTGCACTATTTACTCTGATAATTCTACTTCATGTAGAATTAGCCAGCCAGAATTTTCTTCCAAAAGAAAATGGTCATGTAAACTTGACTTTTAACAGAGTTGCATCTTCAATGTTAACCATGAAATTAAAGGAGAAAAAAGTAAATGAATTATGTTAAGACACACTTAATTGAAAAGCAGACAGTTTAAATCAGCAAGGATTTATATTTTATAAAATTGGGTTATAGGCCTAACTTAGACAATAACTGTATGCTTTCAGTGATTCATTTCCAGTCCATGAGCCTCGGCATCCCCATCTGTACTATAGAGATGCATTATTTCAGTGATTCCTTTCTCTTCTCTGAGCCTCAGTATCCCCATCTGTACTATAGGGATGGAACTTGGTAATTTTCAAGCATACCTCCTGCACCTAAATGCTATCATGATATTAGTAATATAACAAACATGTACTAAGTTTATACCATGTGCCAGACACCATCTGAGGAAATGGGAACAGAGAAAGTAACAAGACAGTGACCCTGTCATGGAAAAATTCATTGTCTCATGGATAAAGTAGCTAATAAATGCATGATTGTGAGATGAGATATAAAGAGTTGCATGTACTAGGTACTATGGGAATAAAATGAGTTAACAAATGATTCTGCTTTGAAGGAATGAGAAAGGCTTCTTTCTTTAATGAGCTAGTATTAAATTTTCACATCAGAATATGGGGAAAATCAAGGTGATTCTATTAATAAGATAGATTTTTATATATTCTTTCACTAGAACTGTTTAGAAACATGTACTATAGACCAGGTGCATTGGCTCACGCTTGTAACCCCAGCACTTTGGGAGGCTGAGACGGGTGGATCACCTGAGGTCAGGAGTTCTAGACCAGCCTGGCCAACATGGTGAAACCCTGTCTCTACTAAAAAAAAATATATAAAAATTATCTGGGTGTGGTGGCATGCTCCTGTAGTCCCAGCTACTCAGGAGGCTGAGTGAGGAGAATCACTTGAACATGGGAGGTGAAGGTTGCAGTGAGCCGGGATTGCGCCATTTTACTCCAGCCTGGGCAACAAGAGCAAAACTCTGTCTCAAAAACAAACAAACAAACAAAAAAACAACGTACTATAAGCCAGATAAATAAAAGTCATCAAATAATAGTTAGAAATAATTATTGAGTACCTACTAAAGACCATGCATTGTGCTAAGCACTTTACATATATTGACTCACTCACTCCTTCTGACAGCCGTATAGTAGATGACAACAACTCCATTTAAATTTACAATAAGGAAACAGGTGCATAGTATTTGAGTTGTAATTAAAATATCCATTCAGATCTAGTGGTAGTGGCTAAACATAAGGCTGTGTTGAGAAGGATTCTGAAGCTACATTTAATAACAATAGAGGGAATGACATGCTCAATTAGTAATTTGTACAACAAATATTACTCAGCTCTTTAGATGTGCCTGGCATTATTATAGATGATTAGAATACACTGGTAAACAAAAGTAGGCATGAGTCCCTGCTTTTTTATTGCTGATATTCTAGAGGAAGATACAAGGAACAGCAAACATAATAAATAAGTAGATCATTCAGCTTGTTAGACATTAAAACACGTTCTGGAAAAACAAGACAATGTAGACCAAGGTAAGTGGTCTCTGCAAGAAGGCACAGGTGTTGCAAGTTTCAATGTGGTGGACAATGTGTGCTTTGTTGAGAAGGTGGCATTTCATTAAACCCTTGAAGAAGGTTTAAGAGTTAGCAATAGCATGACAAGAAAAGTGGAAATGGTGGATTGTGAGAAAACATGGCAAAATGAAAAGAAAATTAATCTTTAAATTATGGACCTTTGTGGCTTTAAAGCTTGAAGAATAGCATTCCAGCTAAGCAAACCAAGAAATATGAGTTACAATCTTACTAGACCTATTTCAAATTTAAGAAAGATTTAGAATTTCAAGCTATGAAAAATTGAAAAAAAATACTTTCTCTCTGGGCTTGAGTTTTCTCATCTGTAAAATGGGCACCAAATATCTAACTCACTGAGTCTGTGTGATCATTTCATGTGCTAAGGATTATAAAGAGCCTGACATGGGGCCTGACACAAAGGTGGAGTTCTGTGATTCCTGTCACTCTCTCTGTAAACTTTTCTGGTATTAAAAGGAAAGAAACAGTGAATGGTTTGCTTTGAGTAACCCACCACATTGTGCAAATGTTTCCGAAAGTGAAAAGGCACCATCCGTCTGTTTAATTGGATTGTCTCAGAAATATATTCAAGTATTGAGATAGCTTTGAATCACTTATACTTAAGACTATCAGAGAAATTTTTCTCTCCTCTGCTTCATTAGTCCAAAGATGAAAGTGACGTGAATTGGATATTTCTGTCCCCTTACTGTATCTCTCTGTAGATGTCTATTTTGTGGATTTATGAAATATGTTAGAGTGTAGAGATTTTTTTTTTTTTTTTTTTTTTGAGATGGAGTCTTACTCTGTCACCCAGGCTGGAGTGCAGTGGCTCAGTCTTGGCTCACTGCAACCTGCTCCTCCAGGGCTCAAGTGATCCTCCTGCCTCAGCCTCCCCAGTAGCTAGGATTACAGGCATGCACTACCACACCCAGCTAATTTTTGTATTTTTAGTAGAGACAGGGTTTCACCATGTTGGCCAGGCTTGTCTCAAACTCCTGATCTCAGGTGATCTACCTGCCTCGGATTCACAAAGTGCTGGGATTACAGGCATGAGCCACTGCACCCGGCCGAAGTGTAGATATTTTTAAATTTATTTTTTATGAGTGAAAAAGGGAAATAGAAAAATTGGAGTGCAACTGAACTATATTATATGAGAAAACTTTAAATTAGGAAAAGTGGATGAACGTGATTTTTAGGCTGGTGATAGTTCACATGCCCAAATATAAATTCAAGTCACTGAAAGACTTTTTTCAGATACATTCTGGGAATTAGGAACTTTGGTTAAAAATCATTCAAATAAGCCTCACTGAAGGGCATTGAGAGTAGTGTTTACAAAATTTTGCTTTGGGTCAATTCTCACTTAAAATACTTATTGTAAATTCATTAAGACCCCCATATGCCTGGCACTGTGAAAGGGATTTTAATATCCCATCTTGTTTAAGTCTTAACAACAACTCTATGAGATGGGCACTTTATCCTTTTCATATAAAGAAACTGAGGCGTTTTATATCCTTTCTATATAAGAAAACTGAGGCATATTCTGGTGAAATATTTGTTCAAGGTCATAGAACTTCTAAGATGCAGCATCAATAAGTCATACCCTGAATCCCTCTTGATTCTATACTTTTTCTATGATACCATGCTTTTCTATATTTTAATCAAATAGATTTTATAAGAGAAATTCAAAGTATAGATGTGCAGTTTATAGCATACAACCTAGGAAACTTTGTGGAAAGAATTTTTATAACTTCACAGAATAATTTTTTAAGAGAGAGAAATGTGCTTTCAAATGTAAAACTTATCTAATGCAAGAGCTAAATTTCAGGGCAACATTTTTGTTTTGGCATAACATCTGAAGATGACATGCTATGAATGTCATACATTTTCTACATCCTTATTTAGTATTGATACAGAATTATAGACAGGTAAGACAAAAGAAACAGAGACATATCTGAGTAGTTTCTGGGGACAGAAAGATAGGATGGAAAGAAAATTGGCCTGGGAGGCAAGAGACATACATTCTGGTTCTTTATTGGTAAATAGCTTGATTTGCATACATCTTGATCATGTTGCTTTCCCCTCTCAGATAGAAAAGAGGTAATGTTCATCTCCTCAATTTCCACACTCAATCTTCAGTTTCTGCACATCTTTTAAGATTGAATGGGTGTTTTCTGCTCCCCTCTTACGGGAAACTCCTTAGATTGGCTATTGAGTGTAGCTTCCCTGATTAGGCTCTTTCCTGTTGTAACACTAGAATAAAGAGTGAAAAAGAGTCCATAGTCATCACCTAATTCATCCTTAATGATCGGATGAGAGACACTGAGGATCACAGAAGGACAAGCTTTGGCTTAGCAAAGCCACATGTCAATTCAGTGCAGAGCTGGGACCAGACCCAGGCCCCCACATTCCAGTCCAGTGACCTGCATTTCCTCCAACGTGATTAAATCTGATGTCAGACTTCACAGAGAGAAGATGTTTTGTTGTTTTGTTCTATTAAGTTAGTCCAGAACATATAAGTTTTTACTCTATAATGAAAAATGATCACTCTTCTTAAAGAATAATTGAAATGAAAAAGGCAAAGTAATCACACTGCATCTGCAGATATTGGCATTTCAGAACACTGAGTGCATAATAAAATAATCCTTAAGGAAATTAGTTATTGTCTGAGTACACTGGCTGCTTTGACTTCCTCAAATGCACTCTCACCGATATTAATATTGTATTGAAAATATCCAAGGTCTTCTTTCTTTGGTCTGCATTATAATGTCCAAAGAAAAATTAGATGTTTTAGTATTATAGAATACTTGCAATAATAAACATGTAATGGCCTAAATCAAGGAGGTAAGATGCCAGCTTGCCAATTTATCTAGAATTATGTTTACCTCCAGACCCTGGGTTTTCTTGGGAGACAAGCAGGGACATTGCATGACAAATGGGTATGAATTCATATCATATCATATCATATCATATCATATCATATCATATCATATCATATCAGTATAAAGAAAGAAGAAAAGCCAGTGGGGAACGTGGAGAGTATAGTGTACTGATTGCTTACCATGGAGAAGTCTTCATACTTGCCTTCTTTATTTCTCACAATAATCCTGTTATGTAGTCATTATTTCCATTATCTTAAAATGTGAAAGATGAGGCTCACCAACACTAAGTAGAGAATTCCAGGTCATTAGTGTTCAGGTGAAAGAGAAGAGTTTAGAACTCTGGCACTTTCTAAATTCAAAAGCTATGCTTTCTTCTGGTTGGTCTGATTACTTCCAATAAAGAAACAGGGAATGTTTATGTTGAAAGATTAAAATATCATAGAGGGAGATGCTTTTTTTTCTTCAAAACTCAAGACCAGTTTATAAAGGAGAGAATAAATTTTTTCCCTTTGCATCCTCAGAATACTGAGCAAGAAATACAGATGGACATAATAGAAGATATATGTATAAGAAAGAGAGGCCATTGAAATAAGAAGAGTTGCATGATATCAGATTGGCCTGCCTGAGAATTAACATGCTATTCCACATGCCCATCAATAATAGACTGTATAAAGAAAACTTGGTACATATATATATTATCATGGAATACTATGCAGCCATAAAAAGGAATGAGATCATGTCCTTTGCAGGGACATGGACGGAGCTGGAAGCTGTCCTCCTCAGCACACTAATGCAGGAACAGAAAACCAAACACCGTATGTTTTCACTTATAAGTGAGAGCTGAATGATGAGAACATTTGGACACATTGTGGGGGAACAACACACACTGGGGCCTATTGAGGACGCAGGGTTGTGGAGAGCATCAGAAAGAACAGCCAATGGGTGCTGGGCTTAATACTTGGGTGATGGTTTGATCTATGCATCAAACTACCATGGTATATATTTACCTATGTAACAAACCTGCACATCCTGCACATGTACACTGGAACTTAAAATAAAAGTTGATTAAAACTTTTAAAAAATCAAATAAAAATGAAAAATAACAAACTATTCAAAAGCATGGGCAAGGAAGAAAGTAATGACTTCACAGGTATATAAGAAAGATTGAAGTCTTATCTGAAACTTTGAACTGGCAAATCCCTAGGAGGACATCACACTCTACATTTCTGTGATTTATTATTTGATCTGTAGCACTTTGGTTAACATAGAAGTTACATTCAATTCCTGTAATTTTAGGTTCCTAAGTTTTGTCCAAATGCATATTTTTGAAAGAAAAAATCCTCTGCAGTGCTATATTATGGCTTTTGGCTGAAGTCACATGCCTAAAATGTGCAACTGAAATATGGCTTTATGGAGGAGCTCCAAGTTTTTTCAGAATTATGTACTATTTGAGAGGGGTCAACCGCAGAACTGCACATCTCTGCAGTGTCTTCAAACATTCTGAATTGCTGAGGTCTGCAAAACCAATTTGGAAACCTCCAGAATGGGAGGTCTTTTTGGCTTCCTGTCTTCAAGCTGCTATCCAGCAGAACAGGAACCAGAAACAATATGCACTCGCTCAAAGCCACCAGGTTGGACACTTGCTAGCATTAGAAGAAGGCAGGCCCAGGAGAACTGTCAAGTAGGTAAAACCCATCTTTGGTGCCCTGAAGCCTCCATAAAACCACAAGATATTGGAGATAAAGAGTTTCAGCAATTTTTTTTTCAGCTAGTGACACTAAACTGAGGCTCAGAATATAGAAGGAAATTATTTAAGAAGGGCCAGTGAATTTGTTTCCAAGATTAGTGCTACGTTTTAAGTTCCTTGACTCATTTTGTGCTTGAGGAATTAGAGAATTTCAGAATGATAGAGAAATTGAGATTATGACCTCACTAGACTTCCCCTAATTTCATATTAATAAGTGTCCATGGAAAAGGGATTTCGTGGTCAGTCAAGTTTGTGAATCAGTGGCTACTATACAAGTTTATTGAAGAGCCACCATGCCTGTTTTCAAAGCTCTGATAAATCTTACAAAGATGCTCATTTGACTTTGTTTCCCAAACTCACTTGACTGCAGAATAATTTTCCTTCTTGCCACATATTGACATGCTAGGAAACACTTGGATTTTGCAAAATATAGTTTGTAAAGTGTTAAGGTTGACCATTCCAACTGGATACTTGGTTTCACAATCAACAGGGTCATCACGTAAATGTCCAGCTTGATGCTTTACAATAATGGGACACTTACCTGACTCTATTTCCCCTATCAAACTGTACGTTTTCTGAGCACATCATTGTGACATGTTCACCATTGTGTCTCCCACACAAGAATACCAGGGTTCAATAATTATGTAATCATTGCTCCCATAGGTATCCCCATTATATTTTTCAACAATTCCAATAATCAAAATGCCAGTCCTAATATTCAGTGCCACTTGCCTTGCTACAATTCTGGTCCTCTTCCATACTAATCTTCCCTCTATACAGATGATAGCCCTTCAAGAATTGAAAATGCTGATTATTTCTGTCCCTCTGTCATAAGCCTCAACTTCTCCATGTTAAACATTCCCAGGTTCTTTCACTACTTCTTATCTAATTTGATTTTATTTTCTCTCATCATTCTGGAAATGGATTCCAGTTAAAACCATGAGCTTGTAATAGTTTGCTGAGAATGATGGTTTCCAGCTTCATCCATGTCCCTACAAAGGACATGAACTCATCATTTTTTATGGCTGCATAGTATTCCATGGTGTATATGTGCCACATTTTCTTAATCCAGTCTATCATTGTTGGACATTTGGGTTGGTTCCAAGTCTTTGCTATTGTGAATAGTGCCACAATAAATATACGTGTGCATGTGCAGCACACCAACATGGCACATGTATACATATGTAACAAACCTGCACGTTGTGCACATGTACCCTAAAACTTAAAGTATAATAAAAAAAACCATGAGATTTTACACAATTAGATAAATCTAGGTTCACTTTGTAGCTACTCCATTTGGTAAATGTATGAGCTTTTTGAAAAATGCATGGCCTTTGTGACTGTTTCTTACCTAACTCATAAGAAGTATTTATCTCTTAACCATTGTAAAATCAACCTCAAAAAACTGTGGTGAGAAATAAATGAGAAAGAATGTAGGGCCTATAACATATTGCTCAATCCATGTTATTCAATATGGCTTATTTAGCCCTGGCACCTTCGTTCCCAGAATCTTTCTAGTTGGCTTTATTTGAGCCTATGTTGTGAACATTTGCTTAAACAAGAAAAAATAGAGTGCACAATCAAGAGAGGTGATTGTTATCAATTTCTGACCACTTTCAGAGAATGGAGTTCCAGTTCTTCTTCATATCTTACAAAGTTGCCTTTTTACTTCTCTTTCTGTTCATGTTGCCTACCTCATGCCTTTACAACTGTTCTTTGAAAACACTCCCCAATAAATACCTCCATGCAAATCTCTAGTTAAAGTAGGGGAGACTCAACCTATGATACCCAGAAACTGCATGAAGATTTTTGAGGAGGGAGGCATGCTGAGGTCTTGCAACTGTATAGGAAGGAGCAATGAGCTAGCCATTTTCATGCAGTGATAGAAACGTGCCCTAACTTCATACTCTTTTTCAGTGAAGAAGTCTGGAGACTACAGACGCTATGTTACCTGTATTTAAATCAGTTTCTATTTGTGCATCAAATTCTTGTCTTCTTTTTGACAATATTCCAATTTCATAAATTTGGGGCTAGGGAAAAGACATAAGAAGGAAGTATGCACTAGTTGGGATATATTAGACCAGTCTTATTTTTCTCTCTGGGTACTAAGTCTGCACTATTACAATGGATCTGTTAACCAGATGATTTCTGAAGGGCTGTGTGACTCTGTTCTGATTCTTAGAGTTTTGAGTCTTTTGCCCAATTAATAAATAGTTATGGTACAATTACCATGTGCTAATTCCGTTGCTTGATTTTGGAGATGTAATAGTGAGCTTGCTAGAGAAAGTTTAGAACTTCATGAAGATTCCATCTAAGTAGTAAGACATATGATGAACAATATGAAAAGATAATGAGTAATACAGAAAGTCCAGAATGTTCAGGGAACACAATGAAAGGGACTCAGCAAACAAGAACTGAGAAAAATCTTCACAGGAAATGTCCTTTAAACTGAGGCTTAAAAAATGAGCCACACCAACAGATAATGAAAGAGATTTCAGACAGATTAAACATCAGGTGCAAAATCTTAACGGCTTCAATATGTTTGACAATTTGAGCAACTGGAAGAAGGTAACCCCTGCAAAAACATTCAATCTCTAATGGAAATTATAAAAATATACAATGTGCATCAGAAAGAAGGGATATCTTATATTTTGCCTCCTAACCTAAATACTCTATGTCATCATTTGTGTACATGATTCAACATATCTGTATTACCTGGAGGCTTCCTAGAATTACTGATTTTTGGGCCCTACCACAAACTCACTGAATCAGAATCTTGGAGGTGGGAGTCCAGGAATCTGTTTCAATACACTCTCTGCGTGATTCTTAGGCACACTAGAGACTGAGAATCACTGTTCTGTTATTCCAGGAGTTGAAACTACCTTTCTAATATATCTGATTAAAATCTTGGCATTTGAGATTGCATTCACAAAGACACAGATAATCAAACATCTAGTCCTGAATATTTGGTACCCAAGGGCTACATATTCAGCACTCCAAATCCGCTTGCCAACTCCCCAAAATTTCTGAACAAACGATGACCTCACTGGACTCTAAAATATAGCTCTCTAGAGGGCATGATGTTTACAGGATTTGAGAATATCAATTATATGACAAAGACACTTTCCTCTCTGCAAGCAGCCAACAATAGCCCTGTTTCTCCATAAATGTCACTAGTGGGGTGGGTCAGATATGATTTGGTTGGTGCTACCACGTGAAATACCTTTTATGTGTCATTTTTTAAAGAAATGGGATAATTTAGCATCCTCCTAATATCTTACATTAGTATGCTGCAACCTAGGCCCAGATAAGAAAAACTGCCCTTCATTGCTAAGAGTCATGTTAACACCTTTTTAGGGCAGTAAAGGAAAAGATATATGATAATGGAAGAAAGAAAAAAAAAACAATTTCCATAGTGCTTTCAGCTGTGACTAAAACCCAGCATATGAGGCAGAGGCTTTTATTGAGAGATCATAACAGACAATGCGTCATAAACCCCACCTCCATCAAGGAGGACAAACAGTGTGTACGAAGGAAAGCCCTTGCCTGGTAAGAGACTTGCTTAATAGACTTGGAAAATCCTTAAGGTAAAGAACAATTCAAGCAAACACATCAAATGTTACTGTTTGGTTTAAGGCCTGAATTAGTGCTTACAACTTTGCTCTTCTTGCTCCATTATGACGGTCAAATACCTAAAGAAAGAAACATAAAAAACAGGTCCTAGGAATCCTAAAAGCAGGGAATTGTGAAGTAATGAACTCTAGATAAGAGTGTTGATTAGTGGGAGGATTGAGCAATTTGGGTCTTCAAGAGACTTACGCCTGCTCTGAGTTCCATGCCTTCTTATATAGCATAACTATATAAGAATAAGATGCTCTGGACAACTAAAATGCCTCTCATTTAGCAAGCCCTATTCTCTTGAGAAGGCTGTTTTGGTTTTAAATAGCAAAGGTTTTCTTTTTTCACTGTATACCCATAAATAGTTAATTCTTACACTAGTCAGTTACCTCATGTTAGAGCAATTAATATTTATGTTGGCCTTCCCCAAACTAGATTGGAAGTTTTAAGATATGATATGGTTTGGCTGTGTCCCCACCCAGCTCTCATCTTGAATTGTAGCTCTCATAATCCCCACATGTCATGGGAGGGACCTGGTAGGAGGTAATTGAATCATGGGCGTGGGTTTTTCCTGTGCTGTTCTCATGATAGTGAATAAGTCTCATGAGAGCTGATGGTTTTAGAAAAGGCATTTCTCTTGCACGTGCTCTCTTGCCTGCCACCATGTAAGATGTGCCTTTGCTCCTTCTTCACCTTCTGCCATGATTGTGAGGCCTCCCCAGCCATGTGGAGCTGTGAGCCTATTAAACCTTTTTTTTAAAAAAATAAATTACCGAGTCTCACGTATGTCCTTATAGCCGCATGAGAATGAACTAATACAGAAAACTGGTATTTGGAGTGGGGTGCTGCTGCAAAGACACCTGAAAATGTGAAAGCAACTTTGGAACTTGGTAACATGCAGAGGTTGGAACAGCTCGAAAGGCTCAGAAGAAGATAGGAAAATATATGAGAGTTTGAAACTGTCTACAGAATTGGAGGGCTCAGAAGATGGGAAGATGTGGGAAAGCTTGGAACTTCCTAGAGACTCATTGAATGGTTTTGAACAAAATGCTAACAGTGATATGGACAATAAAGTCCAGGTTGAGATGGTCTCAGATGGAGATGAGGAACTTATTGGGAACTCAAGTAAGGTCACTCTTCCTAGGCAAAGAGACTGGTAGCATTTTTCTCCTGCCCTAGAGATCTGTAGAACTTTGAACTTGAGAGAGATGATTTAGGGTATCTGGAGAAAGAAATTTCTAAGTGGCAAAGTGTTCAAGAGGAAGCAGAGCATAAAAATTTGGAAAATTTGCAGACCAAGGATGCAGTAGAAAAGAAAAACCCTTTTTCTGGAGAGAAATTCAAGACTGCAGCAGAAATTTGTATAAGTAACAATTAGCCTAATGCTAATTGCCAAGACAATGGGGAAAATGTCTCCAGGCCATGTCAGATACCTTCGTCAGACTTGGAGGCCTAGGAGGGAAAAATGGTTTCCTGGGCTGGGTCCAGGGCGCCCCTGTTGTGTGCAGCCTCAGGATTTGGTGCCCTGCATCCCAGTTGCTTCAGCCATGGCTAAAAGGGGCCAAGGTACAGCTTGGGCCATAGCTTCACAGGGTGAAAGCCCCAAGCCTTGGCAGCTTCCATGTGGTGTTCAGCCTGTGGGTACACAGAAGTCAAGAATTGAGGTTTGGGAACCTTTGCCTAGATTTCAGAGGATGTGTGAAAATACCTAGGATGTTCAGGCACAGGTGTGATGCAGGGGTAACGCCCTCATGGAGAACCTCTGCTAAGACAGTGGGGAAAGAAAATATGGGGTGGGAGGCACCACACAGAGTCCCCACTGGGGCACTGCCTAGTGGAGCTATGGGAAGAGGGCCTACACCTTCAGACCCCAGAATGGTAGATCCACTGACAGCTTGCACTGTGCTCCTGAAAAGCCACAGACACTCAATGCCAGCCCATGAATGCAGCCAGGATGGGGGTTGTACCCTGCAAAGCCACAGGGGCAGAGCTGTGCAAGACCATGGGGACCCACCTCTTGCATCAGCATGATCTGGATGTGAGACATAAAGTCAAAGGAGATCATTTTGGAGTTTTAAGATTTTACTGCACCACAGGATTTTGGACTTGCATGGTGCCTGAGGCCCCTTTGTTTTGGCCAATTTCTTCCATTTAAAATGGGTGTATTTACCCAATGCCAGTACCCCCATTGTATATAGGAAGTAACTAACTTGCTTTTGATTTTACAGGCTCATAGGTGGGAGGGATTTGCCTTGTCTCAGATTAGACTTCGGAATGTGGACTTTTAAGTTAATGCTGAAATAAGTTAAGATTGGGGGACTATTGGGAAGGCATGATTGGTTTTGAAATGAGATTTGGAAGGGCCAGAGGCAGAATGATATGGTTTGGCTGTGTCCCCACCCAAATCTCATATTGAATTGTAGCTCCCATAATCCCCACATGTCATGGGAGGGACCCAGTGGGAGGTAATTGAATCACAGGGGCAGGGTTTTTTCTGTGCTCTTCTTATGGTAGTGAATAAGTCTCATGAGATCTGATGGTTTTATAAAGGGCAGTTCCTCTGCACACACTCTCTTGCCTGCCACCGTGTAAGAAGTGCCTTTGCTCTTCCTTTCCCTTCCACTATAATTGTGAAGCTTCCCCAGCCATGTGGAACTGTGAGCCCATTACTATGAGGTAAGATAGGCTTGTTGTGATAAGTAAGGTGTCGATAAAATGAAAAAGTTCAGAGGAGAACATATTGCTTTTGGGGTAACTTCATGGAATAAGCAGCATTTTAACTGATACTTGAAGAATGGATTGGGATTTTTTCAGGTAAGAGAGCTCCTAGAGTTATGACTGATGCAAAGAGTATGTTTGCTTATTTTTTTTTTTAAATGCACTTTATACTGGAAGTTATATCCCGGGTTCCTGGCCAAGCATTACAGAGAAGAAAGAGTCTATCTTGCATAATTAAGGTGAGAGGAAGGCCAGCATAAAAATTCAAACTGTTTGGAAGAAGTGTCAGCATCAAGTGTTAGGAGTAACCCAGATGGTGCTCAAGATAAGGAGGAGGTACCTGCAGTAGAAGACACATTCAGTGGGTGTATTTCAAGTGAAATACTGTTGCTATACTATATTACTCTTCCTCAGAACCTACTCTTCTTCAGAACCTCGTAAATTCTCAGCAAAATATTTAAGAGATTAAAAATATTGTTGTTCATTATTCTTAGTAAAATCACACAGGAACAGAATACTGCGTGTTCTCACTTACTAGTGGGATCTAAACGATGAGAACACATGGACACATAGAGAGGAACAACACACACTGGGACCTTTTGGAGGGTAGAGGCTGGGAGGAGGGAGAGGATCAGGAAAAATAACTAATGGGTACTAAGCTTAGTATCTGGATGAGGAATAATCTGTACAACAAACCCTCATGACACAAGTTTACCTATGTAACAAACCTGCACTCGTACCCCTGAGCTTAAAATAAAGTTAAAAAATACTGCTGTGATAGAATTTCTAGTGAAAGCTCAGGAAAAGCTAGATGATTGTGTTAAGGTATTCATGGTGTCAAAGAGGCACCATGGAACTAACACAGTATATTCTTGGTAGAGAATTGTAGAGGTCCCACTGCTAATATCTTAGAGAAAATTCCCAAACATAACTGAGCCACTGAATAAATGAACATCTACATATAATGGCTGACGCCTATGCTCAATGTCAGACTATATTCATCCTGGGCTTTTAATGTGACCCAGGAATCAGTACTTTTAGCCAATTCTGCAGGTGATTTAATGCATCAAGTGCAACCCTATGTCTGAATACCTAAGTATGGGAAATACTTGTGTGGAGGATATAAACAAAGTAAGGAAATCTGGACACAGGAAGATAAAGTGACAATTAAAATTGAGTGGTTCTCCACATGGACACAGGGAGGGGAACAACACACACCAGGGCCTGTCAGGGGGTGGGGGGCAAGGGGAGGGAGAGCATTAAGACAAATACCTAATGCTTGCTGGGCTTAAAACCTAGATGACGGGTTGATAGGTACAGCAAACCACCGTGGCACATGTATGCCTATGTAACAAACCCACACATTCTGCACACATATACTGGAACTTAAAGTAAAATAATAAAAAGAAATCATGACAAAAAACATTAAAAAATATTTTGGTCAGGCGCAGTGGCTCACACCTGTATCCCAGCACTTTGGGAGGCTGAGGTGGATGGATCACGAGGTCAGGAGATCAAGACCTTCCTGGCTAACATGGTGAAACCCCGTCTCTACTAAAAATACAAAAAATTATCCAGGCCTGGTGGCATGTGCCTGTAGTACCAGCTACTTGGGAGGCTGAGGCAGGAGAATCACTTGAACCCGGGAGGTGGAGTTTGCAGTGAGCTGAGATCACACCACTGCACTCCAGCCTAGGTGACAGAGCGAGACTCTGTCTCAAAGAAAAAAAAAAAAGAAAAGATTTTACAGAAGCTCTAGGTTTACATGTGAGTCCAACCAGACTTTCCAAACAGAGCTTACAGTGGCCCAGTATGGTGACTATCTACCTCTAAAAATAAATAGATAAATAAATAAATAAAATTGAGAAGTTCATATATTAGTTATTAAAAGAGGAAAAAATGATGCTCTGGATTCATGTTATAATAGCAGGTTTGTGTGTAGATAATGGGCTGGCTAAAAGACTGCAAGTCAAATGAAGCAAACAAACTTTTCCATGTGTCTAGGACTGGCCAAAGACATAACAAAACATTGTGTGTGTGTTTTTTGTCTTTTCTATTTCTGCCCTCCCTTGGGACAGATAGCTCTGGGCCTCGTGGAGTTATGAATCAGAGTGTTCTGACATATGCAGCTAATAGAACATGCATTAGCTTTAAAATTAGGTGCTCTGTTCTGAGCACCCATGATTTCATTCGTTATTCTAAGAATATTAGCCTCTCCTAATATGGAAGAGATGTGAAATTACTTACAAGTTTCACTAACTCCCTTATGATGAATCCACTACCCATTTAGTCTTTTTTCTTTCTATTCTACTGTCTCTGCCCAGAAGACAGATCACAAAAATGGATCCCTCCCACCCTGATTCATGAATTACTAAGACTACTAACCACAGTATTTTTAAGTAAGGAGTTCTCAGTTAATTACTCCTGTAATTAAAGAAAATTGTGTGTGTGTGTGTATGTGTGTGTGTGTGTGTGTGTGTGTGTGTGTATTTGAAATCTCCCTCCCTCCAGGGACATAACCTATCAGATTTTCAAGCAGGCCATAACCCATACACTGTGAAGTACCTCTGTCATGTAAGAAACTGCACTACTTGGAAAACTGAATTCAAGGACTGACTATGACCCACAAACGTGTATGATTTCTGGATGAGACTGTCACTCCAAGTCTCATAGTGAATGCAAAATATCCAATATATTTAAAGATGCCAAATAACGAGGAATAGAATATAAGAGATTCGTGTACCCCATAAACATTCAGATGCACACAAAGACTAGAGCATCATAGCTAGATGCAAGGCACATTCCATTTGGGAGAAAAAAGCCATAAGCAAAAGTAACTTATGTATATTGATGATCTTTGTAATGGAAGTATCATGTTCATATGAAGAAATGTACTGTGCTCTCCAATTCATTGATCATCGGGATTGCCATGAGTATAAAAGGAACACTGATGTCATTGATCCTAATGGCTACTGTTTATTGAGTGTTTACCATGTAAATGGCATGTTTTAAGCCTCACAATCTTATTAGGTGGATATTATTATATCCACCATGTGAATGAGGGAGAAAACCTTACACAGATTGGGTGATCGAAGAAAGGTCAGAGTAAGTGCCAGAACCAGGGTTAGCAATTCAGGGGAAAGAAGAGAAGTTTGCACAAAGGTGGCTCTCATTAACAACAACAAAAAAAAAACAGAGAGACAGAGAAGAGAAATTGGTTTCATTCTTTGTGACTCTAGAGAATGGCAGAAATTCAATCAGGAGGGGCAACATTGTGAGGCTATGAGTGTCCAGTCATTAGAAATATTCAAATATTCACTTTTTCAAATATTCACTTGCCCAGAACATTATAGCCAAGATTCCTGATTTCTATGAAGACGTTAGAGTTGTCAATTTCAGGGATCTTTTCCCAAACTTGGAAAGATGTTTGCATCTCATGCTTCCATGATATAAATGGTCTGTTGGCTCAGTAATCACTGAAAACCACTCAGATAAAGAAGTGGACTTGACCCAGACATTGGCCCTTTGGACTCAGATTTGACAGTTCTTCTTAAATTAAAGCATAGGCTGATTCTCTTTTAGCTCCCTCTTGAGACAAGTGGGGGTTGCAATGCCTGTTGCTGATGTCAGCTATAGGTGATGCTGGTAAATGCTCTCAGACTGTTCAGAATTTGCATGTGAAAAGTGGTTTTGCTGTTGACATTTCATGCCATGAGGAAACTGGCCTATGAACCTGTGAACTAATGGGTAGCATAATGACACGTTCTTCATGCTAGAAAGATCAAACAAGATAAAATTTATAAAATTTCTTGGCACAGTGTCTAGCACATAGTAAGTTTTCAGTAAATATTAGTTGAATCCAGTTCTGTTCTGGTAGACACAAAGATATGCTGCCTAGATACCCTTTTAAGGAAGGGAATGTTCCCAGGTATGGAGAATACAGTCAACAGATGGCCTCCAACTGTCAGCAACTTCAGGGTCTACGTTGGCCACAGAAAACTGCCTCATTGAGCTCACATCCTCCCTGGGACAGTCTGCATCCAGAGCCTGGGTGGAGCAGGGTATAAAATCTGTTATTTCTCCTAATGCAGGGCACTCTGACAAGCTCTCTGCTGGACTGGCTGAACCTTGTCAGGCCTGCATGGCCTTTGACTTCTCCCAGTATCAATCCTGTACCCTCCCTCTTCCTTTCAGAGGTATTGATCCCTAATAAACATCTTGTATGCTGAACTTCATTTCAGCGTCTGAACCTAGAGAACAGAGCCTGCAACATCTGTCCATATCCAATAGACTCATATGTAAATTGCAAAGAATGTGAGCTTGGATATTTTTCTAGCCTTTAGCTACCTGGCTTAGCAGGGACTGGGCCAGAAAACCTCTAAGGATTCATCCAGTGCTAATGCTGCACATGCTTTCGCTTCCTCCATTTATATTCTCATCACTCCCTCTAGGAACCTCCTCTGTCTCTTGTTTTCTTCCCTGCATTTCCAGAGCTTCCTGTATTCCCAGCAGAAAACCCTTATCCCACTACATTGCCATGCAGCTTTAGCATGTCTGTCTTTCCTGTTTGACCCCTTCAGATCAAAGATGCTGTCTTTTACCTTAAAGTCACCTGCAGCACCTACTGCCTGGTTTGAAGTCTTGAAGGTATTCAGTAAATGAGCATTTAGTAAGCACACTCATACAGACACTCTTCAGGGTTACTCTGACTGAGGAATACATAACGAATGGTACTCCATAACCCTCTTTCCAATTGTCCTCTTCTTTAAGTAAACAGTTTCCCATTTCATGAAGATCAATTTGTTTTCCAGTGAATTGCTGCAGGACATAAACATGTCTAAGGACTGGCCAAGTAAATGAAGACATGGCTTTGTATTTTAGTCTACTGTCAAAGTCAGGTGGTACAATACCACAGCACATCATTCTTTTCCAACCAAGCATGTCTTTTTAAAAATGAAATTACAATTGCTTTGTATTAATTTATTTTATTTTCCTTGTAAGAAGAAAGGATGAGAGATGCCAAAAGACAAAGGCCAATGAGATAGCTGTCATGGGACAGGCAAAAGGAGGTAGAAAAGTAGGGAAAGGTAAAGAAAATTATATTTATTAAATGCTTAGTACATGTCAGGCACCATTCCAAGCTTTTTGTATACATTCCATTTAATAATTACATTTTATAGATAAGAAAGTTGAGGTTGAGATTAGCTAATGTTTTTCCCTGAGTCCTATAAGAATGGTCACACAATTGGAAATAGAAACTCGGGTATTATATGTCTAACAAATGGATCTGTCTCAACAAATAAATGGAGTTGGAGAACTTGGAGGTATCCGGCATATCAAGTCATCAAGGGTGGCCAGAGCAGATTGTTCAAAGGGTAAGATAAGAAGAGTGAGACTGAGAGAGAGAGAGAGAGAGCGCGCGCATTACCTGTAATAGTGTAATCAATGCTTATTGAGTAGAAAGTAATGGGCTAAACAGGAGAACATGTATAATTGCAAAGCATATTTCCTGTCCACAAAGAGTTTCTAGTGTATGTTTAGGGAGGCAAGACATGAGTGCATAAAAGGAGAATTAGCTATGCAGGTAAATGGGATAGGAATGTTACATCCTCCATAATAAATTCAGAGCCAAGAGCCTGTCTTAAGTAGGATAGTCAAAAAGGACTGAAAGGAAGATCTCTCTCCACTTCTAATTAATTTGGTGATTAATGTGAGGAATGTTTTGTGTCCTCATCTTTTCTTTGATCTCTTCTTTCAGGGTCTTTTCCTCTAACCAATTCTCCACTCCATAGCTTAGCAGCTAAATGGTTCCTTAGCTGCTTGAAGTAAAGGATGTTGCTTACATGGCTAGGCAATTGTTATATGTCTATCTAATAATCAAATTACCACTAATTTACCATAAGAGAAAAGGAAAATATATCCAGAATGTCCCATTTCAAGGAGTTGTACACATTGCCCTAAAAATTGTTTACAAATTTCAATTTACTTTCATATATTAATTTATTTGTAGATATAGAATTTGCCTATAACCACATCCAGCTGTACACCATGAGTATTTTAAGAGAGTGAATATATTAGACGGTATGGAAGAATCTTAGAAATAATGCTTACTGAAAACACTACTCATTTCAAACAAAGGCTCTTAGCAGGAGAAAGCCTCTTCATTAAAAAACCAGAATTCAAAAAATGCAAGGCTATTTTAAAGTTGGAGGCTGTTCTCAGGAAAAGCCAGAGAAAAGCCCATCCTATCTGTGAAGATTTTGCATATGGGTGTGTAATATAGACATACAGGTTCGATTTTCTTTGCAGAGAAGGAATGTAGCATTGTGACGTTTCTGAAATTCTAAACCCGAACAGGGGTCGGTGGGGAGACATTAGAGTCTGAGCACATATGCCAAAATATGCTTTATGAATGCTAATGCTGAAAGGTTTGCTTTTAAGGACGTACACAGGTTTCCCTCCTGGCCACCCTGTATCCGGTCTTTCTTAAAAGGGGCTCCCTTGGAAAATAAAGTCAGTGATTTTTTTTTTTCCAATGGACCCAAAAAGCAGGAACAGATGTGACACGAATAACCTCTACTTTGTGCATACCTCAGAGGAAAATGACACGGCCTAAAGCAGGGGATCTGGCTCCAGGCCAGAGAGAAGGACAATTGGAGTTTAGGCCCCTAATGACATGGTTCACCTCAGCTCACTCTTTTGTGCTTGTGTAAAAAGTGCAGGTGGAGAAAGTGAGTTGTGTTTACTCATTGCAGGTACAAATGAAGTTTCTGTAGAAGGCTGCCATTTTCCTTAGCTCTCTGTTATCTCTTTTTCCCACATCAGAATAGCCACACTGCTTTATTTGACCATCTTTCAAGGCATGGAAGAAGTGATCAAGCATAATGCTTGAGGCCTGAGTTCTAGAGTCTGACACCCTGAGTTGGAATTTTGGATTGGTTCTGCCACGTAACAAGATAATTTTTAAAAAAATTATTTGCCATCTCTGTGCCTCAGTTTCTTTCTCTGTTATATATACAGGATAATAATATGATCTACCTCACTGAAGTTTTTTTTCTGAGATTCTATAGACAAAACATGAGGAGCACTTAGAACAATGCCCAAAACATAGCAAGTGTTTAATAAATGTTGTTATAATTATTAAGAATCACTTTTTATTTTTAAAATTAAACAATTTAATTTTAGATTCTGAAACTAAACAGAACATGCATATGATTGTTACACAGGTGATATTGCATGTTGATGTGAACTGGGCACCTAACGTACCCATTACCCAAATAGTGAACATGGTACACAATAAGTAATTTTTCCATCTTCACCTCCTTTCCATCCTCTACTTTCTAGTATTTTTTATATTTATTTGGATCAATTTTTTTTCCTCAGCAGAAAGCAAGTCCTTGGAGTGCAGAAAGCATGTCAGATTCACCTTAATATTGTGCTGTCTCAACTCTGTTTCAGTCGTGTGCTGGTAAATGTTTAACAATAGGCTCTCCAAAAAAGGAAACCTCGATTTGTAGTGTTTGCCATTTTCTGTGGTGTAAATACTCCCACCATGTTCGTTTTCAAGCTATCAACATGACGTCAAGTGGCTCACAAAATTCCTGAAAATTTAATAGTAGTCTGTCGTGAGGAAATACAAACCAGCTTCAGCACACCACTCAAGGCATGTGCAAAGAAAAGATGTGAAAAAATAAACATGTGAATAAATGAATGATGAAATTAATGATTCTTATCATGGATTCTCAATGTTAAGAAAGCCACAGCATGCTACCATTTATAGGGTCTTTTAATACTCTTGTTTATCTCTGTTAAAGGAGTCTCTGACCAGGAGGACTATTTACCAAGGATTTCTATGCAACACTGGTTGTTTGTGTTGTCCCAAAAAAAAGTAAATCTTGATCCAAAAGCCTTGAGTACTGTCACACATTATATGTTTCCTGTGAAAATTCATAATGCACATGCATATATTAATGACACTGATAAGTCTTTTAGTAACAAAACCCACTTAACTATGTTTATTTCAACACTTCTCAAAATATTTGACCACTAAAACTCTTGGCTGGGTAACTAGTATCATCATGAGGAATTAATATCTCTGCAGAACACACAATGGAAAACATTGACAGAGCTACTTTTTCTTATTTATAGGGAAAAAAAGTAAATGTCTTTAGTAATGCTGGGAAAATATATTTTTAAAACTTTGAACAATGTATGCCTTGAATATCCCCCCTGAAAAATGGATTAATAAAAATAATAGGGACTATCTGCCAAGGGCTGCACAATTCTATAAGGTAGATAAAGTTACCTGCATTATACAGCTGACAAAATGAGGTCTCAAGAAATATAGTTGATTTTCTTACTGCCACACTGTTGATCAAAATTCAAATCCAGATCTTTCTGTCACTTAAGCTAGCATTCTTTCTACAACATTTAAATGAGATGTCATGATGAAATTATGGTCATCAGTTTCAGCTTAGTCTTTCACTCTACAAAGCAATTTCAGTATGTTTTCTTATTTCACCTTCTCTTTCTTCCACATTAACTATTTTAAAATTTCTATATTCTCTCTACTACTCCACTTGCAGAAGATTAATTCACTTCCTTTTGACCAAAAATAGAAATAGCTTTAGAAGTATACTTCCTCAACTATCCACAAACTGACTTAAAAATTTAGTTTTATCTGCACCCATCATTCCACTTTTCCTTTGTTTGTCTAAAAACAAAACAAAACAAAAACTAAAAACAATGTCTCTACACTTGCCTACATACTCCAGGCCTTTTTTGAATTTTCAAATTTTACCCTGAATCCACACCCCTGGCTCATTTTCTACCTCTTCCTCTCTATTGTTTATACTTTAAAATTTTTACAATTTTTAGTATGATTAATTTTCTCCCTATACACAAACAAGAATAATCCTTTCTCTTTTTTCTTTCATCCCTCTTTTTCCTCTTCCTATTCTCTCCTCTCTCTCTCCTTGTCAGCCAGTTTCTTGAAAATCTTGTCTATACCCCCTATCTACATATCTTCACTTCTCAGCCACTTTTCAGATTTCTGCAATTAGGCCTTTGCCATCACTCCATTGAAACTTTTTCAAGATCATTAGTGATCTTATTGTGAATCACTGGGCACCTTTCAATTCTGCATTTCATTAACCATTCCTTCTTCTTTCAACATGCTATTTCTTTACCTTCATGGACAGCTCACTTGACTTGTTTTCTTCTGCTTCTCTAGTGATGTCGTCTCAATCTCTTAAGGAGACTTCTTTTCCTTTGTCTATCCTCTAAATGCTAGTCCTCCTCAGAGATTAATTCCAGGCCATCTCAACAGTCACACTCTACTTGGGTGACTTCACCTACTCTCATGGATTCATCTACAACCTGGATGCTAATGACTCCAGATTTATATTCAGTCTAGAAGAACCCATGGCTTCAAGAGCATATCCAATTTCTTACTTAAAATTCCAACTTGAATGACCTGCAAGTATCTTGAAATCTAAATCTACTACTCTCAGTAGGTTCCATCACTTGTGTTCCTTTTTCTTTTTTTTTTTTTTTTTTTTTTTTTTGAGACGGAGTCTTGCTCTGTCGCCCAGGCCGGACTGCGGACTGCAGTGGCGCAATCTTGGCTCACTGCAAGCTCCGCTTCCCGGGTTCACGCCATTCTCCTGCCTCAGCCTCCCGAGTAGCTGGGACTACAGGCGCCCGCCACCGAGCCCGGCTAATTTTTTGTATTTTTAGTAGAGACGGGGTTTCACCTTGTTAGCCAGGATGGTCTCGATCTCCTGACCTCATGATCCACCCGCCTCGGCCTCCCAAAGTGGTGTTCCTTTTTCAAAGTAAATTTCACTCAGGCTTCTAAGCCAAATGAAAGAATGACTGAATAATAATCCTCAAATTTTCTCTATTTGTCTTTTCTTAAAACTAATTTATTGATAAGCCTAATTTATAGACAAGTAATTTATCTAATACTTCCAAAATGCGTTCATTTCTCTTCAACACATCATAACATACTATGATCCAATCTTTTTCTGCATGAGCATCAGTAGCAGCCTCCTCTCTCAGTTTCCAGTCTGCACTTCTGTCCCTGTGTAGTCCATTATGTATTTTAGAGCTGCAGGTATATTTCTAAAATTAAAATCTGTCCCTTTCAGTATTCTTCTTAAAAATTCTCCAGTGCTTTCTCTTGGCTTTTTATTCCTACCTAATCTTAAAGTTATTCAAAATATGTCAGTTGGCCGAAGCACTTTTATTCCCCAATCTTTTCTATTCCACAACTCCAGTACACACACACACACACACACACACACACACACACACATAATCTATTTATCTTGACCAATTCTCATTCATTCTCCATGTCTTAAGCCAAATGTCATTTCTTCAGGAAAGCCTCTCCTCTTCCAATTCCTAAGGTCTTTCTTCCTTATATTCTCATAGATCCCCAAACTTCCACTGGCATAACACTCACCAAGCATTTTTACAAAATTATGCTCTCCTTCCTCAATATGCTTGAGTTATGCATTTTTGAAAAAGTGTATGAAACCTAAAAATGCCATGGTAGAGCACTTCCTATAATAAATAACAGCAAAGTAATATTTTCCAGGATTCCCACTGCATTCTGGAGATAATGCATTTATATTATTCTTTTCTGTAGTCATAGTATTCAAATAGTCTGTATGCATATAATTTGCATTATTCAAATTCATTTTATGTTAATACAGGACAAAAGAATTCCAGTTAAAATGATGATCTAACACATGTGTTTTTCTATGTTTCCTTCTGAGTCACCATGAAAATGATGATAATCAAGTTATAATGTATAAATTCACGATGATTAAGGGAACTTGAAACAAAATGACCTGGAAAAGAGGGAACAACAAATTTTTGGAAGATGAAAAGCAGATGAATAAGTAGTAACTATCCCAACAGACTGGAAAATCCTGAAACCCAACTGCCTTTCAAAAGAGATTCTAATAAAAACCAAGCTGACTTACATCATAAAATCTCAGAAAGGCTAAAAAAATTGTAAGTACTAGGTAGAGGGCTAAACACACATCCTACTCATGAATCTGTACAAGGAGCTAGACCCCTAGATGGACTATACTCCGTGCAGTGAGCCAACTACTTCTTTATGACCCTTTCAGGAGGCAATTTTTTTTGTATGTGGGAATACAGAATGAGAAATGCTTTAAAGTTGGAAGTCTAGTCAAGCAAAGGCTAGGAGTAAGATGCCACTTTGAAAATAAGAGAATATAAGTGAAAGAGAATATAAGTGAATATTCTAAATGGTGACCACACCCTTCCCACAATCTCTTGTCAACCAAAAGGCATACAGAAGATGGTGGGCAGAGATATGGATGGTTTCTTCTCTGGAGATTCTGAGTGGCCCAAAGAGACAAACAGAAAATAGTGATTTTAAGAACCCCAGTCAAACAATGTAGTCACTACTAGATCACCATACAGGGAGGGCAACCCAACAGTCAACAAGTCCTACTTATGCACTAGATTTTTGTTCTTCATTCTTTAATGTAAATGAATAGTCAAGTATCCTGGGACATTTGAGGACAGGCTCTACCATGAAAGACAAAATCTGAAATGTAAAACCATAATCAGAAGTTTATAATAATTGTAAAATAAATTATTACATTCACAAAACAAGAATATGTTGCTATAAAATGGAATAATCTGAGAACAACAAAAAATGGTTATTGAAAATTAAAATCATGATTGTGCCTTAAAAGTATTTTCAAATTGGATTAAAAAATAATGTTGAGAAAATATCTCTGAAAGTAGAGGAAATAGATAAATACAAGGTAAGTGAGGGAAATTTTATTATTTTCGAGGATTGACTAAAAAGTCCAGAAGTAATTAGTAAAGCTTTCATAAGGAAGGAAAAGAAGGCTGGGCACAGTGGCTCATCCCTGTAATCCCAGTACTTTGGGAGGACTAGGTGGACAGATCACTTTCAGCCCTGGAGTTCAAGACCAGCCTGGGCAACATGGTGAAATCCCATCTCTACAAAAAATACAAAAAATAGCTGGGCATGATGACACGCACCTGTCGTCCCAGCTACTCGGGAGGCTGAGATGGGAGAATCACCTGAGCTCAGTAGGTCGAGACTGCAGTGAGTCCTGATCTTGACAGTGCACTCCAGCCTGAGTGACAGAGTGAAATCTGGTCTCAAACAAAAAGAAAGAAAACAAAAAAAGGAAGGAAAAGAGAAGAATGGAGATTGATTGGAGGAAATAATCATGTGTGTGCATGAATCATACAAATATGAATAAATGCATGTCATAGGCGAATTTCTGAACACTGAGGATGTTAAGAAGACTATAATAATTTTCAGGGAACAGACAAAAAGAGTTCATATAAAAATATTGAGATTTATGATGTTATCACTGCTCTCAACACAACATCAGACACCAGAAGAAAATAGAGTGGTCTTTAACATTGTAAAAAGAAAGTATTTCTAACAACTAATTTCTAGACTGTCATTCAAATTTAAAGATAAAATAAGGAAAAGATTAAAATATGCAAGAACTGAAAAAATGAACTTTATACAGAAAGCTCATGTGTCCCAATAAAATTAAGGATTCACAATGTAAATAAGAAAAGCATGGGTTTCAGGAAATAGCGGCTTGTATATTGGACAGAAGACAAAAGGAATCCTGAAGATAATGATGAAGACAAGTTCCAAGGCAAGAGCTGTTTGCCAAGGCTGGAGAGCGGTTAGATGGGAGTCAGAGGATGGTAGGCTCTAGGAGAGAGGTCTCAAGGGGGAAAAACCAGATATTAGGCTGATAGATAATGATTGATTGATAGATAGGCAGGCAGACAGACAGATTTTTGTTTTGACTTTAACCAAAATAATAAAAGTTTTATCATTCCGGTGGATATTTGGAGGGTTAAGGAAAAAAAGAAATCCCTGAGCAAATGGATTAATGAGGCAATTTTAAACCAAAGGAGGGGAAATTAATACAAAGAAAGAAAAAATTTATGTCATATTTCATGATTTAGCTCTGAAAATATCTGGGTTAGTAATATAAACACTAAAGTTTATTTTAATTTAAAAAACAGGTAAAACTATATTGAAAAGTTACAAGAAGGAAAATGTATGTGCTTTTGTGTTGATGTAAAGGAATGGGTCATAGGCACTTGCAGGGGAGCAGATAGGTCTTCATCAGATATTGCTAACAGTGGGTAGATAACATCTAAAATTAAGACTAAAAATATACTAAATAATTTAGAAAAATAGAGGTGAGTACCAAAAGAAATATTTTTAAGGTGTTGAAAATGTATGCCTCATATGAATAGGAATCAAAATCATATGCCTTATAGGAATAGGAATCAGTAGTGGAAAGGGAAACAATTGCTATTTATGTTAAATCTCTCATAATACTGTTTGACTTTTTTTTTAAAAAAAGTTCCATATATTACTCTGATAAACAATTAAACAGTGGGATGGGAGGGGCAGCACATGTAGATCAATGTGAATCAATGTCATGTTGTCTTTGAATTGAGTGCTGAGCTCAAAAGTTTTGATTGTGTTATTGTACTGTATAACCTACATAAAGCCTACGTATATTATTTTGTATGCATCAAACACCTAAAAAGGTATTTTTAATACCTAAAAATGTGTTAAAGAAAAAACAAAAGTGCTAAAGGAAAGACTTGAAAACAGGAAACCTCATGAATGTTATATGTTAAAGCTTTTGGAAATGGAAAATGGGAAATGGATTTACCTAAGCTTCTCGTTGAGTGTTGACTGTAGTCTCTAATAAGCTTCATTTTCTTTGGTTAAAAATAAATAAGTAAAATAGTAAAGTGCACAAGTCTCTGGTAAACCTTAATGGACAGTTAAATGTGTGATGCTTTTGAACAACAGGTACCATTGTGAGACACAAGACCATGAAAACCACTGGGTGGGAGAAGAGAGGCTGTAAGTTGCGTCTTAATGATGTGCGTTCTTCTACTACAAAGACTTGCAAAGGGCAGCTTAGGGTTGCATGTGGCTCTCATCCTGGAAGCTGTTGATAAAAAGCAGTGGAAAATTTGTATCAACGTAGATCTAAACATCAATTGCTTATTCTTTCTAATGAACCTAAAACAGAGCAGAGCTTATACTAACCTAATTGCTGTCTTTCCTGCTGGTCTACAAGCTCCATGAAGCTTGGGACCTTGTGTGTTGTTCACCCTTGAACACTCACTACTATTTGCCTGGCACATTGGGAGAACTAAGTAAATGGTCATTGAATAAATAGTTAAACTATAGTTCCTACTGATATTTTTGTTTTGCCATTGATTAAGCTGAGGTTCTATAAATTATAGCCACATCTCATACTTGTTCATTTATCTGCCTCTCTCTAAAATGATATAATGGCAAAAGCATAAGGTTTATAGATAGAAGACTCCAGTTTAACTCATGGCTCTGTCCTTTACTGACTATATTATTTTGAGCAAACCACCACAGCTCTCTGACCCTAAATTCTCCCATCCACTAAATGGTCATAACAAGACTTTTCTCGTAAGATGGTTATGAGGAAGGAATGAGCCAATAAATGTACACTTTATAGAATGTAAAGTAATACATAAATGTCAGTTGTATCTGCGACTGAAGTTCTTTCTGATACATATTTTCTATGAATCGTACCCATTTCAATCCTCTCTCTACTTCTTTCTCCAAATTGGATTTGCAAGTGAGAAATTTAAGCACCATGTTAGTCTTCATGTATTTATATTAAGAATTGTTAAGATAGGAATTGCCACATTTATATCTGTCTCCTTGAGTCACAGAGCCTCAAATATGTGAATCAGCTACATTTTGCCCAAGGTACTATTTGTCCTACCATTTTTCTGATGAATTTACACAGAGTTAAACAGTTCCATTACGCAGTTAATAATTAAGATGTAGGGAATTACTGAATGATTTTTTAAATTACCTATGTTTTAGACAAAGCCATGCTATGTGACATTCCAAATAAAGCTCAATTAAATTTAACCATGGAAAACAAAGAAACGATTATCATTAAATTGGAATTATACTTATGTGTATCAATGACACCTCTTTTAGACTAGTTAATGTCGTTGCAAATATAATATGTTAGACCTTTCTGTTAATTAGTTATAAGAGAATGTGATATAGTAGAAAGAGCTAATGTTTTATGTTTTATGACAGTATGGCTGAATTCAAACCCTGACTCAGCCACTTAATATCTCTGAGCCCTAGTTTCCTTCTCTGGACAAAAATCATAGAGATGCTTGCAAGGATTAAATATATTATACAGAAAGTGCCTGGTTGACATTCAATTAATATTAGCAATCATTGTTTTAGAGTCAAGTTTTAAATATTTGAACCCTAGTGCTCAGAAATAATTATCTGGCCATGTTTATATTTACATACTAAATTGAATATAAGGAAAGGAGTGGATACCAGGTGGTTCTCCATAGAAGTAATTGAGTTGCCTCTGAGAGTATAGCAGGACTAATAGTGCCAGAAGGAGAGAGTGGCTGGGCTGCATCTGTGTAGCTGTGTTGCACATGATCAGAGAGCCACAGATGTCAGTACAGTGCTGAGTGCTTTACATGTGTAACAGGAGCAAAAACAAAGACAGACAGTGAATCAGGAGTGTCTGCTTGCTATCCTCACACTGCAACTCTGTTCAAAGAAGGGTGCCTGTCAGATAGAAGCATTTTGTTTTTCTGAAACCTTAGATGCCTTTGGCTATGCACGTTTGGTATTAAAACCTGAGAAAAGTTGCAGTGCCCTACTTTTAGAGTGCCTAGAACTTTGGGAGATGGAAAGGGTGAATAGAGGGGAAAAAAGACAGAAATGGAGAAGTAGATAGCCTTATGATGCAGGGATCTTTGCACAGCTTTTCAGGGAAGCCCCCAGAATCCCCCAGTAAATTCTGCCAAACATCCATGTTAAGGTGTTACTGCTATATAAAGGAAAGTAATGCAGTTATAGACAGAGGTGGTAAGTAAAATATCAAGTCTCAAGGGAAACTAAATATCTTCCAATGATTCATATAAAGATGTACCTTGGAGATATTGTGAGTTTGGTTCCAGACCATCAGAATAAAGAGAGGTGCACAAATATTTTGGTTTTCCAGTGCATTTAAAAGTTATATTTTTTTGGTTCCATATGAACTTTAAAGTAGTTTTTTCCAATTCTGTGAAGAAAGTCATTGGTAGCTTGATGGGGATGACATTGAATCTATAAATTACCTTGGGCAGTATGGCCATTTTCACGATATTGATTCTTCCTACCCATGAGCATGGAATATTCTTCCATTTGTTTGTATCCTCTTTTATTTCATTGAGCAGTGGTTTGTAGTTCTCCTTGAAGAGGTCCTTCACATCCCTTGTAAGTTGGATTCCTAGGTATTTTATTCTCTTTGAAGCAATTGTGAATGGGAGTTCATTCATGATTTGGCTCTCTGTTTGTCTGTTATTGGTGTATAAGAATGCTTGTGATTTTTGTACGTTGATTTTCTATTCTGAGACTTTGCTGAAGTTGCTTATCGGCTTAAGGAGATTTTGGGCTGAGACAATGGGGTTTTCTGGATATACAATCATGTCATCTGCAAACAGGGACAATTTGACTTCCTCTTTTCCTAATTGAATACCCTTTATTTCCTTCTCCTGCCTAATTGCCCTGGCCAGAACTTCCAACACTATGTTGAATAGGAGTGGTGAGAGAGGGCATCTCTGTCTTGTGCCAGTTTTCAAAGGGAATGCTTCCAGTTTTTGCCCATGATATTGACTGTGGGTTTGTCATAGATAGCTCTTATTATTTTGAGATACGTCCCATCAATACCTAATTTATTGAGAGTTTTTAGCATGAAGGGTTGTTGAATTTTGTCAAAGGCCTTTTCTGCATCTATTGAGATAATCATGTGGTTTTTGTCTTTGGTTCTGTTTATATGCTGGATTACATTTACTGATTTTCATATGTTGAACCAGCCTTGCATCCCAGGGATGAAGCCCACTTGATCATGATGGATAAGCTTTTTGATGTGCTGCTGGATTTGGTTTGCCAGTATTTTATTGAGGATTTTTGCATCAATGTTCATCAGGGATATTGGTCTAAAATTCTCTTTTTTGGTTGCGTCTCTGCCAGGCTTTGGTATCAGGATGATGCTGGCCTCATAAAATGAGATAGGGAGGATTCCCTCTTTTTCTATTGATTGGAATAGTTTCAGAAGGAATGGTACCAGTTCCTCCTTGTACCTCTGGTAGAATTCGGCTGTGAATCCATCTGGTCCTGGACTTTTTTTGGTTGGTAAGCTATTGATTATTGCCACAATTTCAGAGCCTGTTATTGGTCTATTCAGAAATTCAACTTCTTCCTGGTTTAGTCTTGGGAGGATGTATGTGTCCAGGAATTTATCCATTTCTTCTAGATTTTCTAGTTTATTTGCATAGAGGTGTTTGTAGTATTCTCTGATGGTAGTTTGTATTTCTGTGGGATCGGTGGTGATATCTCCTTTATCATTTTTTATTGCGTCTATTTGATTCTTCTCTCTTTTCTTCTTTATTAGTCTTGCTAGCAGTCTATCAATTTTGTTGATCTTTTCAAAAAACCAGCTCCTGGATTCATTAATTTTTTGAAGGGTTTTTTATGTCTCTATTTCCTTCAGTTTTGCTCTGATTTTAGTTATTTCTTGCCTTCTGCTAGCTTTTGAATGTGTTTGCTCTTGCTTTTCTAGTTCTTTTAATTGTGATGTTAGGGTGTCAATTTTGGATCTTTCCTGCTTTCTCTTGTGGGCATTTAGTGCTATAAATTTCCCTCTACACACTGCTTTGAATGTGTCCCAGAGATTCTGGTATACTGTGTCTTTGTTCTCGTTGGTTTCAAAGAACATCTTTATTTCTGCCTTCATTTCGTTATGTATCCAGTAGTCATTCAGGAGCAGGTTGTTCAGTTTCCATGTAGTTGAGCAGTTTTGAGGGATTTTCTTAATCCTGAGTTCTAGTTTGATTTCACTGTGGTCTGAGAGACAGTTTGTTATAATTTCTGTTCTTTTACATTTGCTGAGGAGTGCTTTACTTCCAACTATGTAGTCAAGTCAATCCTAAGCCAAAAGAACAAAGCCAGAGGCATCACGCTACCAGACTTCAAACTATACTGCAAGGCTACAGTAACCAAAACAGCATGGTATTGGTACCAAAACAGAGATATAGACCAATGGAACAGAACAGAGCCCTCAGAAATAATGCCACATATCTACAACTATCTGATCTTTGACAAACCTGACAAAAACAAGCAATGGGGAAAGGATTCCCTATTTAATAAATGGTGCTGGGAAAACTGGCTAGCCCTATGTAGAAAGCTGAAACTGGATCCCTTCCTTACACCTTATACAAAAATTAATTCAAGATGGATTAAAGACTTACATGTTAGACCTAAAACCATAAAAACCCTAGAAGAAAACCTAGGCAATACCATTCAGGACATAGGCATGGGCAAGGACCTCATGTCTAAAACACCAAAAGCAATGGCAACAAAAGACAAAATTGACAAATGGGATCTAATTAAACTAAAGAGCTTCTGCACAGCAAAAGAAACTACCATCAGAGTGAACACGCAACCTACAAAATGGGAGAAAATTTTTGCAACCTACTCATCTGACAAAGGGCTAATATCCAGAATCCACAATGAACTCAAACAGATTTACCAGAAAAAACAAATAACCCCATCAAAAAGTGGGCGAAGGATATGAACAGACACTTCTCAAAAGAAGACATTTATGCAACCAACAGACACATGAAAAAATGCTCATCATCACTGGCCATCAGAGAAATGCAAATCAAAACCACAATGAGATACCATCTCGCACCAGCTAGAATGGTGATCATTAAAAAGTCAGGAAACAACAGGTGCTAGAGAGGATGTGGAGAAATAGGAACACTTTTACACTGTTGGTGGGACTGTAAACTAGTTCAACCATTGTGGAAGTTAGTGTGGCAATTCCTCAGGGATCTAGAACTAGAAATAGCATTTGACCCAGCCATCCCATTACTGGGTATATACCCAGAGGACTATAAATCATGCTGCTATAAAGACACATGCACACGTATGTTTATTGTGGCACTATTCACAATAGCAAAGACTTGGAACCAACCCAAATGTCCAACAACGATAGACTGGATTAAGAAAACGTGGCATATATACACCGTGGAATACTATGCAGCCATAAAAAATGATGAGTTCATGTCCTTTTTAGGGACATGGATGAAACTGGAAACCATCATTCTCAGCAAACTATCGCAAGGACAAAAAACCAAACACTGCATGTTCTCACTCATAGGTGGGAATTGAAAAATGAGAACACATGGACACAGGAAGGGGAACATCACACTCTGGGGACTGTTGTGGGGTGGGGAGGGGGGAGGGATAGCATTAGGAGATGTACCTAATGCTAAATGACGAGTTAATGGGTGCAGCACACCAATATGGCACATGTATTCATATGTAACAAACCTGCACATTGTGCACATGTACCCTAAAACTTAAAGTATAATAATAATAAAATTTAAAAAAGTTATATTTACACCGCACTGTAGTCTATTAAGTATGTAATAGGATTATACCTAAAAATAATGTACATATCTTATTTTAAAAGTACTTTACCTCTGGCTAGGTGTGGTGGCTAACACCTGTAATCCTAGCACTTTGGGAGGCCAAGGTGAGCAGATTGCTTGAGCTCTGGATTTCAAGACCAGCCTGGGCAACATGGTGAGACCCTGCCTCCATTAAAAATACAAAAATTACCCAGATGTAGTGGTGTGTGCCTATAGTCCCAGCTACTTGAGTGGCTGAGGCAAGAGAATCACTTGAATCCGGGAGGTGGAGGTTGCAGTGAGTCGAGATCATCCCACTTCACTCCAGCCAGGGTGAAAACAAACAAAAACTCTATTGCTTAAAAAAAATGCTAACAATCATCTGAGTCTTCAGTAAGTTGTTATCATTTTGCTGGTGGAAGGTCATGACTTGATGTTGATCGCTGCTGACTGATCAGGGTGTGGTTGCTGAAGGTTGGGTGGCTGTGGTAATTTCTTAAAATAAGATAAAAATGATATTTGGTGCATCTGTTGACTCATAAACTATTTCTCTGTAGCATGTGATGCTGTTTGATAGCATTTGACTCACATTAGAACATCTTCCAAAACAGTAGTCAGTCTTCAAACTCTGTCATCTGCTTTATCAACTAAATTTATTCAATATTGTAAAATCCATTACTGTCATTTCAACAATATTCATACCACCTTCACCAAGAGTAGATTCAATCTCAATAAATACATTTATTTGCTCACCTATAAGAAGAAAGTCCATTCATTGAAGTTTTATCAAAAAATTGCAGCAATTCTGGCTGGGTGTGGTGGTTCACACCTATAATCCCAGCACTTTGGGAGGCCAAGAGGCAGGTGGATCACTTGAGGCCAGGAGTTCGAGACCAGCCTGGACAACATGGTGCAACCCTGCCTCTACTAATATATATATATATATATGTGTGTGTGTGTGTGTGTGTGTGTGTGTGCATATATGTATATGTGTGTATATATACACATATACATATATACACACATATATATACGCACACACATATATACATATATGTATATATACGTATATATACACACACATACATATACATATATATGTATACACTCACATATATACACACATACATATGTCTATACACATATACACACACACACATATGTGTGTATATATATATCAAGACTTGATATCAAGACATATATATACACACATATGTGTGTGTGTATATATATACACACACACACACACACACACACACAAAATGTTATCCAGGCCTGATGGCATGCACCTGTAATTCCAGCTTTCTCAGGCTGAGGCATGAGAATTGCTTGAACCCAGGAAGCAGAGGTCACAGTGAGCAGAGATCATGCCACTGCACTCCATCCTGGGTGACAAAGTGATATTCTGTCTAAAAAAATTAAATTAAATTAAATTGCAGTAATTCAGTCACATCTTCAGGCTCCACTTCTAAGGCTAGTTCTCTTGCTATTTCCACCACATCTGCAGTTACCTCCTCCATGGAAATCTTGACCCCTCAAAGTAATCTCTGAGATTTGGAATCAATGTCTTCCAAACTCCTGTTAATGTTGATATTTTTACCTCCTTCCATGAATCATGGATGTTCCTAATGGCATTTAGAATGGTGAAACTTATTCAGAAGATTTTAAATTTACTTTACCCACATCCATCAATGGAATCACTATTATAGGAGCTATGGCCTTATAAAATGTATTTCTTAAATAACAAGATAATAGATTGGACAAGGGAAATGTACATATATGCTATGGAATACTACCATGAAAAGAATGAAAGTATGTCTTTTTCAGCAACATGAATGAGGTTAGATACCATTATCTTAAGCAAATTAATACAGAAACAGAAAACCCAATATCCCCAATGCCACATGTTCTCACTTATAAGTTGAAGCTAAACTGCATGAACACAAAGATGTGATCAACAGTCACTGGGGATTCCAGAAGGGGGAAGGGAAGGGGAAAAGTTGAAAAACTGCCTGCCTGGTGGCAGTGCTTGGGAAATAGGATTGTTAGAAGCCCAAATCTCAGCATCATACAATATCCCCATGTAACAAACCTGCGTATGTACTACCTGAATCTAAAATGTAAAAATAAAATAAAATAAAAAAGAAAGTTAAAATTGCTTCTTGATCCGTGGGCTGCAGAATAGATGTTGTGTTATCAGGCATAAAAATAACATTAATCTCCTTTTACATGTTTATCAGAACTCTTGGGTGACTAGGTGGTTGTTAATGTAATATTTTGAAAGGAAACTGTTTTTCTAAGCAGTAGATATCAATAGTAGCCTTAAAATATTCAGTAAACTATTTTGTAAGCAGATTGCTGTCATCCAGGATTTGTTGTTTTATGTATCAGGCACAGGAAGGGTAGATTTTGCATAATTTTTAAGGGTCCTATGATTTTTGGAGTGGTAAATCAGCAGTGGCTTCAACTTAAAGTCACCAGCTGCATTAGCCTCTAACAAGAGAGTCAGCCTGTCATGTGAAGCATTGAAGTCAGGCATTGACATTTCTCTAGCTATGAAACCTAGAACAGCATCTTCTTACAATAGAAAGGCTGTTTTGTCCACATTGAAAAACTATTGTTTAACATAACCACCTCCATTAATGATCTTAGGCCTTCCATGTGACTTACTGCTTCACATTGCACTTTTATGTGATGGAGATGGCTTCCTTTGCTTCAACTTTGTGAACCCAATCTCTGATAACTTCAGATTTTTCTTCTGCAGCTTCCTCTCAGACTCCATAGAATTGAAGAGAGTTAGGACACTGGTCTGCATTAGGCTTTGGCTTAAGGGAATGTTGTAGCTGGTTTGATCTTCTACCCAGACCATCAAAATTTTCTCCACGTTAGCAATAAGGCTATTTAACTCTTTTACCATTTGTGTGTTCACTGGTACTTTTAACTTTCAACTCCTTCAATAACTTTTGCTTTCTATTCACAATTTGGTTAACCATTTGGACGAGAGGCATGGCTTTTAGCCTGGCTCAGCTTTCTACATCCCTTCTGAGCTGAGCTGCATTATTTTTAGTTCTTGATTTAAAAGTGAGAGACATGCGACTCTTCCTTCCACTTGAACACTTAGATAACATTTTAAGGTTATTAATTGGCCTAATTTTAATGTTGTTGCACCTTATAAGATAGGGAGGCCCGAGGAGAGAAAGAGAGATGGAGGAATGGCTGCTTAGTGGATCAGTCAGAACACACATATGTATCAATTAATTTCACTATGTTATATAGCCGTGGTTCATGACACCCTGAAACAATTACAATAGTAACATCAAAGATCATTAATCATAGATCACCATAACAATCTAATAATAAGAAAAATATTTGAAATATTGTGAAAATTACTAAAATGTCACACAGAGACACAAAGTGAGCACATGCTATTGGAAAAATGGAGCTGATAGAATTGCTTGATGCAGGGTTGCTACAATCTTTTACAGTTGTAAAATTTGTAATATATGCCAAGTGCATTAAAACAAACTCAATAATATAAAGTACACCTATAAACTTAGGGAAGGACTTTCAACTTTCACAGGCCAATTTGGAGGCTTAAAGCAATTTTATCAGTTTCATGTATGTGGGTTTTGATCATAATCCCCAAAGACAAAACCCTAAATGCCATAATCCCAAATACTGAAATCCTGACACATCAAAATCCCTAATGTTTAACATGCCGAAAATCACAATCACAGGATAGTTGCATTATGTTAGATGGAAGTATTACCTCGTTATTGTCTTTATTTACATTTGGTGGAAAATTCAAATAACTGATGTGATATGGCAATGATGAAGACATGTGGCTTTATTCTAGAGGTGAAAATAGAACCTAAATCACTAGGCTTGATATCCAGTGGGAGGTACACATGAACACAAACTAAAAGTCCAAACAACATACAGCTCACAGGGACCCAAAAACAAAAATGGCTTAAGATCATTTCTTTGTAAAGAAACTCACTAGAAGGTGTAAGAACGCTCCTGTAATTTTATTTAGGTGGGTCAGTTCTGTAAGATAAGAATTCCTGTTCTCATTTTGTTAAAAAGGAAGCCAAAGGTAAGATAAGAAATTGATTTGACCAAGAAAACAGAAATAATAAATGCAAACTAAGAAATTGAAACCCAGTTTCTCTTGCATTAAAAATAAAGACTACACATCTGATAAACAATGCGTTCCTTTTCAAAGTGTGTTATATATTACACAAGCTGCTCTTAAGGTTGTAAAAATAGGGTCATTTTGTGCATAATGAAAAGAATTCCTCTGGCTCTCACTCCTACCCACTGTTGTGCAATCCCCAGTCCTTCATGGAGTCTTGTCCAGGTACTTCTGGAAGTTGTCCAGGAAAAGTGTACTATGCTCTCCTGACCAGCCTTCTCTGCCCTCAGTTAGAAACTAGCTGGGCAAACTGAAAAAGAAAAGAATAAACAACAGCAAAAAACCTAGAGACAATGAAAGGCAGCCTTAATGGGACAGGATGTGAATACAATGAAAATCAGACCCGTGGATAGGCAAGGAGCTGAAGGTCAAAGGTGGAGGACCCAGCTTAGGAAATATATCGTGAAACCCACTTGTGGTAAGTTTTGCAGCCAAGCATCCTCTACTGGATCAGAGCAGACACTATAACAATGACCATATAGCTATAATTTGCCAACTGTTGTCCAAATCTAGCCCTTGAGATTTTTTTCAGCTGAAATAAAAATAACAGCAGTTTCCCTTCCTTATTTTCCTTTTCTTCTTCCGTTCCATTTCCTGTTCATAGGCATCGGCATGTCCTGCTGCCAAGGAAAATGGATGGAGGTGGGAGTGAGGGCATCAGTATACCTGGCTGCCCAGAGGTGCTGATTCATATGGGCAGTGAGGAGAATATACGCATGTAGTGGTGTGGCCAGGGGCCAAGGAGGCAGAAGCAGGGAAGAAGATGAAGCCAGTGTGGTTGGGAGATTGCTTACATTAAGCAAATAAGTCAGATGATTGAGCAAATGAGTAAATATTTTAAGAATAATGAGAGCCGGTTTTCTTACTACTAGTAAAATAATTTACAAATATAAAAAGGAAGACATCTAGAAGAACACGAAGGTATTTCATTTGCAATTAGAGATTTTTACAGTTTTTTATTGCTATATGATAAACCATCTCAAAATTTAGTCGTGCAAAACAACTTTTTCTGTTTGCATATCCTGTGGGTCAGGGATCCGGGGGAGCACAGGGGGCACAGACAGCCTGCTCCATGACATCTGGGGCCTCAGCTGGAAAGACTTCCATGATTCGGCAGACCCAACTGCAGGGGACTGGAATCATCCAGAGTCCTTAGGGCAGTTGAATTTTTTTGATGCTAGCTCCATATACTTGTGCATTCTAGTGAACAAAGTGAAAGCTGCATGCCTTTGCTAACTGAGTCTCAGTAAACATGTGGCATCATTTCTCCCATCTCTATTGGTTATACATGAGTCACAAGTTTGTCTAGGTTCAAGGAAAAATGACATCAAGTCACCCATCAATGAGAAGAGTGAAAACAAATTTGTGGGCAGCCAAAGGGATTGTCATGAATTTTATGTTTATTAGGTACATTTGTATATACATAAATATAAGAATTTTGTGTATGTATACATGGATATACACATGCACACACATATATATGTGTACACACAATTTTGTATATGTATATATGGATATACACATGCACACACACATATATATGTGCGTACACACACACACACATACACATAATTTTTCTACCTCTGTCCATTGGGAAGTCCTTAAGCCATGACAGAGAAGTGGCAATGAGCACGCTGAATAGTCAAACAAACTTAGCTTCTAAATACCTTCTTCTACTAAAAGGAATGACAGGCCCTTGGATTAATGGCTGAATCCAGGACTGAAATTGTATGAGAGGTGCACAGAATATCTTGTTTTGCTAGAAAATAAAGAAATGCTCAAAGAATACTGAAACATGTCAAAAGAATTTCAGAGCCAGTTCAAAAGGTTCCTAATCACCACAGATGGGAAGATTTGAGCATCAAATCAGAAAGTGGTAGTAACATATATTGACCCATTAAATTAATTAAAATCCATGAGTCCATAGTAAAATAAATAAATAAGCCATTAATCATATCAATGAATGGGGTAAAAGAGAAATTTCTTCCCTGTATTGAGATGACAACTAAAAAATATAGAAGGAAATATAGAATGGAAATAGAAAAAAACGCCACTTGGCAAGCATCATAGTTGTGGTTGATTTAGGCAGAAGTCATGATGGCTGTTAGGAAAGTGGGTGGAGTTCTGACAAAAGTAAGACACTAAGGTAATATCTGAGTATCCACCCACCCCTGCAAACTACTCATCAGTTATAAAGAAGAAATGATTACTGTATTGTGGAGAAATCTGATCAAGAACAATATGACCAGGTGATAAAGTCTGACATGACCACAAGAAGGATGAGTCAACAGCATGCATTTCCTGATGGAACTCGTTGAAAAAAGCACAGTGTCACTTCTGTGGTACCCCTCTCAGAACATATAGGACTCTGTAGAACTATAAAGACTATATACTATATGATCCAATTATATGACATTCTGGAAAATTCAAAACTATGGGGATAGTAAAAAAATGAGGGGTTGTCAGAGGCTGGGGGAAGAGAGGGATAAATAGGCAGAGCACAGAGAATTGTTAGGGCAATAAAGCTATTCTGTATGATACTATAATGGTGAATACATATTATTACTTATTAGTCCAAACCCATAGAATGTTCAATACCAAGAGTAAACCTAATGTAAACTATAAATTTTGAGAGATCATGATGTGTCAATGTAAGCTCATCAGTTACAATAACTACCACTGATGCCAGTTACTGATAGTGGGGAATACTGTGCATGATGAGGGGGCAGGAGGAATATGGAAACTCTGTACTCTCCACTCAATTTTGTCATGAACCTAAAACTGCTTTAAAAAATACAATTTATTTAAGACTTTTTTTTAAAAAAAAAAAGAAGGCAAGGACTGTGTCAGGCCAACTTTAGAAATACTCTGGTTGAGGTTTGGTCTACAAAATGAATGGATTATACTCTTAAAAACTATCAAGAACATGAAGGCCAAAGAATGGCTAAGGTGCTGTTTCAGGCTGAAGGAGATTGATAAAATCGAACAGCTAAAAGCAACACGCATTCCTGAATAATATGCTTGGCCAGAACCGCCAGTGGGACACTGTTAGGATGGCTGGTGAAATTTGAATGGGGCATGTGGATTGGATGCTTGTACTGTATCAAGGTTGATTTTCTGATTTGGAGGCTTATACAGTGGTGATGGAAGAGAATGCCCTTGCCTGGGGTAAATACACAGTGGGGAATTGAGGAGTCATGGAGGCATATCTGCTGTTGATCTCAATGGTTTGGAAAAAGATTAATGACAATTGGGAGGTGGCAGAGAAGAGCAGAGAAGAGAGTAAATGTGGGGAATCCATATGTTATGGGTTGAATTATTGTCCCTAAATTAATATGTTGATGAACCTAACTTCCAGTAACTCAGAATGTAACTCGGAGAGGTTCTTTAGAGTGGTAATCGAGTTAATGTGAGGCCATTGGAGGGGACCCTGATGGAATATGGCTGGTGTCCTCAAGAGAAGGGGAAATTTAGTCCTTTCCTCTTTCAAATTTGTAGATTATTTGGGCCAGGAAGACAAAATAAGATGAAACAAAAGAAGCAATTATTTCTTTATGGCTGTCCTGGCATATGTGATCTTTAAAGTTTGAGATTTAAAGATATTGGTTTTAAAAAAAAGTAAGAGGAAATTTGGACACAGAGACATGAACAGAGAAAAGATGATGGGAAGATACACAGAGAGAAGATAGCCATTTCCAAGCCAAGAATAGAGGCCTGAAACAGGTCCTTCCCTCACAGTCCTCAGAAGGAATCAAGTTGGCCCATGCCTTGCTTTCAGACTTTGGACTAGATTTCCATCTCTCCAGAACTGTGAGACAGAAGTTATCTAGTTTTTGGTATTTTGTTACAGTAGCCCTAGCAAACTAAGACACTACATAAGACAAATGCAGAAGTTCTTCATATTGTTCTTACAACTTTTCTGTAAGCTTAAAATCAGTGGAAAATGCAATATAATTAATAACGATGTATTGTATACTTGAAAATTGCTAAAAGGGTAGATTTTAAGTGTTCTCACTGCAAAAAAATAAAGATAAGTATGTGAGACAAAGCATATGTTAAATAGCTTTATTTAGCCATTCCACAATATGTCTGTATATATGTTATATATCTCAAAATATTATTTTGTACACCATAAATATGTACAATTTTACTTGTCAATTTAAAAAGTGATAAACTATAATTTTGTATGCAACAATCTATTAATATTTTCATACGTGCCATCTCCTTTGATCTTAGGTACACCATAATGAGGTAGGTGAGATGGGCATTATGATTTGATCCATCTCACAGTACAATAGTCTCGGAATGGGTTGCAAATGGGTCATCACAGTTCACACTGATAAAGAAAAACAGATCTTAAAGAGGTGATTTCTGAGCCTGTAGTTGCCAGTGAGGGAAGCCAGTAGTTCACACATGTTAACATTTTAATAAAGTTATCAAAGAGAGAAAAGCAAAAGAGAGACTCTTTTAGAGTTTAGCTTTACAAATTTCCCTGAGCCCTATTTCCTTAAAGAAGGTTGGGTACAGTGGCTCATGCCTGTAATCCCAGCATTTTGGGAGAAGCGGGCAGATCACCTGAGGTTGGGAGTTTGAGACCAGCCTGGCCAACATGGTGAAACCCCATCTCTACTAAAAGTACACACACGAAAAAAAATTAGCTGGGTGTGGTGGTGCATGCCTGTAATCCCAGCTACTTGGGAGGCTGAGGCAGGAGAATCACCTGAACCCAGGAGGCGCAGGTTGCAGTGAGCTGAGATTGTGCCACTGCACTCTGGCCTGGGTGACAGAGCAAGACTCCATCTCAAAAAACAAACAAACAAACAAAAAAAAACAAAAAAAAAAAAACAAAGACCTAGAGGAAAGAAAGGGAAGAGGAGAGAGGAGGCAGAGAGAATTGGGATGCAGATAGAAGTGGATGGAGGCAGAGAGAGGAGCAGTGGTGACCACTGTCTGGTTTTGGTGCCCACCTGAAAGGTAATAGGCAGGCAGATGGGAGAGAGGCAAAGGAAGTCATCCTCTGCTCTCCTCCCAGGCAGGCATACTCTCTTGTTCCTCTGTCCTTTGACTTGTTCATAACATCTCAGCAACGTCACTTACCACATGGGATTGTCATTCAAGACTATTTGCTTCTCTACTAGAGCCTGAGATTTTCCAGACTCTTTTGCTTATTAGTTATGGAAACTTGGGTAAGGATGGCAAAAATGATACCTTCAAAATACAGTCATACAAATTCATTGTTTTCCTTAAGACCTGCTGGTGGCTATCAGTCTCATTCAGAGTTAAGCCCCAAATCATTCCCCAGACCCACATGGTCCTTCATGACCTGTCTACCTGTTACCTTCCTATCCCAGATCAGCTCACTCCAGCCTCCTGGCATTCCTTAAGAGCTCTCAGACTCACTGAGGTGAGCTCTAGGATTTGGGCTGTTTCTTTGCCTCCAGCATGCTTCCTTCCGATGTTCGTAAGGTTGACCTTACCTCCTGTGGTCTTTACCGAAATGTCACCTTCACAGGCAACCCTTTCTAAAATTTAAATACCCCCCACTTCCACATTTCCTACTCAATTATTTTCTTTAGAACTCATTACTATGTAAAATAGTATAGTTTTTACTACCCTGTAAAAAGAATTTATACAATTCTTGTATAAATTGCCTATCTTCCTCACTGGAGTATGTTTCACAGGCCAGATTTTTTTTTAATTTACTGCTGTATTTTTACCACATAGAATGGTACTTGGCATATACTAGGTGCTCAATCATTATTCATTGAGTGGCTGATAGGAGTTATTTGACCATCTTGTGCCTCAGTTACATTATCAAAAATTATAAATATCAAATGCTGGTGAGGATATAAAGAAATTGATTACTCACACATTGCTGGTAAAATATGACACGGCACAACCACTCTGGAAAACAGTTTAGAATTTTCTTATTAAACTAAACATGTGATTGCCATATGATTCAGCAATTGCACTTTGGACATTTATCTCTAAGAATGAAAACTTACGTTCTTGTGAAAAGTTGTATATGAATGTTCATAACAGCTTTATTTGCAATAGCTGAAAACTAAAAACAACTCAGGTGCCTTTTAGGGGGGTAATGGTTAAACATACTGTGGTACATCCATACTGTGGAATATTACTCAGTAATAAAAAGAAATACACTATTGATACAGCTTGAATGAATCTCAAAGTAAAAAGAGCTAACCTCTGAAGGCTATGTACTGTATGATTCAATTTACATAAAATTCTCAAAATGACAAAATTAAAGACATGAAGAACAGGTTAGTGGTTGCAAGTAATTAGGGATGAGGATGGTGGTAGAGAAAGAAATGTGGATGCATTTATTAAAGGACAATATAGAGAAATAAAATTTTAAAAAGGACAATATAAGGGATCCTTGTGGTCATATGAAACTTCTGTTTCTTGGTAGTGGTGGATACATGCATTACACATGGGATAAAATCACATGGAAATAAATACACACAGCACACATACACATGAGTACATCTAAAACTTTGAAAATTTGAACATGTAGGTGGATTGCATTAATGTCGATTTCCTCTTTGTGATATTGCAAGATATTATCATTGAGGGAAACTAGGTAAAGGGTACACAGGATCTCCCTGTATTATTTCTTACTAGTATATGTAAGTCTACAGCTATGAAATAAAAGTTTGATTAGAATGATAGTTTTTTATTTAATTCTGAAAATATGCAAAGAGTACTTAACATGCGCATGGCCTTTTCACAGCAGTTGTAAATATTAAATGAATATACCTATATATGTAAACATTAAATTGATGTATAACTATACATACATATTTCATATGTATGTACATATTATTTTATAAATATTATATTTATATGTATTAAGTAGATATATAGACACACAGGAGTATATGTGTGTATGTAAAGCACTTGGAATGCTGCTCAGCAATATAGGAAACATTCAATACATTTTAGCTATTTTTATTTCAATCTTCCAGGGCGCAGCCTGTGTTCAGTTAATCTCTGATTCCCAGTATGCATATTGTTTCTGATGTGCATTGCAAGTGTCAGTCAATGTGAGCTGAATAAATAACATTGCTAATTCCTTGCACCAACCTTCAAAGTCAGTAAGAGTGGTGCTCAGTGTAAAGATCCAGAGTTATCTAGAACCATAGACGGGAAGAAAATAGGTCAACCTAAACTGCATTTCTCAGCTTTGCCACTAATGTTATAAAGCTTTCAAAAGTCCCTTTTCTTCACTGGTTCTCAGTTTCCCCATTAGTAGGAGGAAGAAATGGAATGGCATTATTTGTAAGGGTCCTTTCCAACCTTTAAATACACATGTTTCTATAGTTTACAAACACAGAGAATTATCTTCCTAAAACCTGAGCATGTGGCTGGGAGTGCAAAAGTAATAAATATTGACTGCAAAATTCTGGCTTCTAGTTCCATTTGGGTCAAGTTGATTGTTCTGTTTTTGGGCCCCACTAAAGCATGGTTTTTAGCAGCTGGTTTCTACCTTTATAGTTATTTGAAGTAGACAGTGAGCAAAATATCTGTACATGATAGCAAGCCAAGGTTTTGAAATTCTTTAAGGGGTAAGAAATTGTAGAAATTTAAGCTATAATTATAGTATTATCACTACCATTGCATCATTATCATCCAAAGCCAAGGGGTGTTACCTTACTAAATTTAAAGACAATAAAGGCATGTTGTAATTTATGAAAGCATAAAACAGGCCTTTGAAAAATAGCAGCTTGATTATTTTAGCTAATATTTGTAATACAGCCTAATATATTCATGCAGTGTTTTTGAGAGGACCCCTGGGTAATTTTCCATGCCAAAGGTTAGCCAATAGCTGACAGATGTCCTTACTCAAGAAGACTGGATTTTACACTGCTTGAACATTATATAGAGTCAATTCTTGCCTGGCCTCTTGCTTTATGTTAGTGTATCTGGAATGTACAGCCACTTCACAGTTAAAATAGTTTTATATTTTTTAACTAGCTATGGATTCCTTGGATATTAAATTGAGTGCTTATTGAACACCTTGCTTGAAATAATTACAATGCAATATGCAAAGTTCTCTATTAATATTAATTTGTTGAGGAACTACCAAGAAACCTCATTTTACTTAGCTAACTCACCTAATTTAGCTCTCACATTCTTTCAAAGAGATACTAAAAACTTCAGTTTGCAGAGAGAGGGAACAGCATCACAGAGATTATATCATCATGCAAAAGCCACCCATTGATGAATGGGAGTGCGGAGATCAAAACTCAGTTTTCTTTTCTTTTTTTTCTTTCTTTCTTTCTTTCTTTTTTTTTTTTTTTTTTTTTGAGACAGAGTCTCGCTCTGTCGCCCAGGCTGGAGTGCAGTGGCGCCATCTCGGCTCACTGCAAGCTCCGCCCCCCAGGTTCATGCCATTCTCCTGCCTCAGCCTCCCAAGTAGCTGGGACTACAGGCGCCTGCCACCACGCTCGGCTAATTTTTGTATTTTCAGTAGAGACGGGGTTTCACTGTGTTAGCCAGGATTATCTCCATCTCCTGACCTCGTGATCTGCCCACCTCGGCCTCCCAAAGTGCTGGGATTACAGGCGTGAGCCACCGCGCCCAGCCCAAAACCCAGTTTTCTTACTCTCCAAATCCTGAGCATATCCAACGTGGTAGGCTGCTTCAATCAAAATTTTGAAAATTTTTTTAAAAAGTAAGAAATATGTGGATGACAGCACCTAAATTACAACGACAGAATAAATAGAAATTAACTAGAGTTTGAGTAACTGAAAAAGATGAGAAAAATATTTTCAAAGTGCAGAAAACATTGGTAGGCTTATACAGCCAGGAAAACTGCCTTTAAAGACTGAGGCTGGAGTAAAGGCATTTTTAGACAAATAAGAACTGAATGAAACATGGATAAATTCTCATAAAAGAAATTTCTGAAGGATGTATTTATGGATAAAGAATAACCCTAGAAGTAAGGTCTATGATGCAAGGAAACAGTCAACAAAAACAAATACTAACTCTCTGACCAAAGAATAATAGTGTCTAATTTGAGGTTAAAAAAATAAAAACAATCCAAGATGCAACTTAAATATTAGACAACAATAGCACTTGTATTGGGAAGGAGTGAGAAGTGTAAAAGAATTTTGAAATTCATGTATTCTTCAGCATGGGATAAATATTTTAAGTAACTGAGGACTTTGTTAATTATGTGTAATATTTTGGCATAACCACTGAAACACTAGAAAGAGGATATTAAATTAGAATACATATGTTAAAAGTCCTAAAACAAATAAACAAGCAAACAACAAAAACTACAAAAAACAGGGGAGTAAAATTCCCAGGCTAGAGCAAGGATAGATAAGGCAACAGAAAGGTGAATTATCAATGGACACCTAAAGAGAGGACCTTATCTATTCCAGAACTGTCCAAGGAAGATAAAATATTGGTCAACACACCTGCCATTGAAAAGATCCTCTACAGTGAAGCTTCCAAGCTCTCTTTGCTGAGGACCAGTTCTTAAAACTATTAAATAATGTAAATCTTCCAGTTAAAACTTAGCTAACCGAAGAGATCTGCCTACAACTATGGTTTTCAAATGTAGAACACTAGATTATATTCCCAAATGTACTGACTAAATAGGGGAGAGGTAGGGGCATTTTTATCACATACCCCAGTGAAGTGATAACCTGAGGACCACATGTTTGAGAATTACTGTCCTACGTGAGAATATTGCAGTCCCTTGGCGGTTCTGTTTTTCAACCAAGTTAATGCCAAGGCACTTCGTTTATATATCAATTTCAGAAGAATTTGAGAAATCAGAAAACAGAGTGTGCATTCATTTTTATAAAAGGTAACTCTTCACATTGATGAAATGGGTTTCATGGATTAAAGAACCAAGGACAAGTCCTTGGTAGATTGAAGTTAATATCTGAGAATCTAATATTTGATAAGAGGTAGCAGATTGGGCTCTCCTGGTGACACTCAGTCCACAGTCCCTGCCGTCTTTCTTGTTTTTTCTCATTTCTTCAGGGCCATGTAGGGGAAGAGGTGTTTGGGATAAGTTGAGGCCATCTCACTGAAGCACAAAAATCCCAGTCTCAGAAAGTATAGGACAGTCAAATTTCAGATGCTCACAGAACTAAACTCTTCCTGCATAGAAACACACTTCAGAATTTATGACATTGATAAAGGCTAAAATGTCTCACCTTCTCTAAACTCTAATTACTACAAAATGCAGGACCAGCATATATATTTTTTCTTCTAAAAATAGATTTAAAAAAATTCTCGTAATATTCATTTGGCCAGTCACTTATTTATTCACCCTCATATTCACTTCTGTTTCCATGCCCATATGTATTCCTTCACACATTGTGTACAAATTCACTCACATTTTATTGAGTCAGTCATTAACTCATTCACGAGTCTCACTCACTTGGTCATTCATTTATGCATTCACTTACTTATATCATCTTTCATTGTTGTCTCATTCTTTGATTCTCTAATTCATGTATTTGTTTACTCATTTACTTGCTCATTTATCCATGTACCCATTCATTTAAAATACACATACACAAAATCTTCATGGAAACTTCTTGTGCTAGAACCTAGCCTGTGCTGCAGTCTAAGGCAGAGATTGGTGACGAACCATGAATTCTCAAAGCCCTCTATTTATTTTGTTTTATTTTATTTTATTTATTTTATTTTATTTTATTTTATTTTATTTTATTTTATTTTATTTTATTTTATATTATTTTATTTTGAGACAGAGTTTGCTCTCATCACCCAGGCTGGAGTGTAATGGCATGATCTCGGCTTGCTGCAGCCTCCACCTCCTGGGTTCAAGTGATTCTCCTGCCTCAGCCTCCTGAGTAGCTGGGATTACAGGCACCCACCACCATGTCCAGTTAATTTTGTATTTTTAGTAGAGACGGGTTTTCACCATGTTGACCAGGCTGGTCTCAAACTCCTGACCTCAGGTGATCCACCCGCCTCGGCCTCCCAAAGTGCTGGGATTACAGGCATAAGCCACTGCACCAGACCTGATTTTATTTTTCTTAGGGTCACACCTCAATCATCTCAGAAACTTCAACCCAGCTTCCAGGTTCCCAGAGGTCCTACCACTATCTCAGATGAGTGGGTCTTAATCAAGGCCTTGATATATGCATAGTCACCAAATTCTATTATTTTCTTATACTCTAATTGTTCTATGCCATAAGGTGAATTTTTACCCACGCTCCTTACTCTATGATTGTAAATATGTTACAGTACAATCAGCACAAGTGACTCCTGGCTTAGTTAAACTCAAGGACTGTACTCTCAAAGTTCAAAGTACTTTTTTCAATAACCAGCGTGACTGGTCATTGTTTAATATTTGTCTTTATTTCTAGGGAGTAAGTTCTAAAATAATAGCAAGTTAGATGGTGCTGTTTATTAATGTATCCTCAGCTCCTGGCATAGTGTTTGGCTTCATAACGGTTTGTTAGCAGTAATAAATATGACAAGTGTTGCCATTGAGAAGGCACGAAAAGCTTAGGGAGAGAAGATATGGCATAACTCTGCATTTGAGGGGTTGGGGATAATGGGGAGGATACACAAATGATATGATATTTCAACTGTGCTTTGAACATAATAGGGGTTTGCTAGGCAATTTGTGTGTGTCTGTGTGTGTGTGTCCCAGCAAAAGAAAAATATTTGCAAAGACACAGAGGTCTAACAAAAGGGAAGTTCACTATGGTTGGATTATAATGCAAAGGGAAATAAGAATGGAAGCAGGACAGCACTGGATAAACAGGCTGGGAAGGCAGGCAGAGATCACATCAAACGTTTTAATCCATGTTAGGAAGTCTGGGCTTAATTCTGAGAGCAATGGGGCAGCAAAGAGGTGATTTATGCATGGAAGTACCTGGACAGAAGGACTTATGTGTGTGTGTGTGTGTGTGTGTGTGTGTGTGTGTGTGTTTGTGTGTGTGTGTGTAGTGGGGGATGGAGAGAAATCACTTATGACCGAAGCAGAACACTTAGAAGTGAAGGACAAGGTATATGGTTATAGCTCAAAAGACTATGTTGCTTGTTGGTGAATATTGTCAAAGGATTAAAAAAGCATTGTTAGAGCCATGCTTATATTTAAGAACCACATTTAAATAAGAAATACAGGATTCACACTCAGTTTTTTCTTGCCTCAACTATGATATACGTTAGTCAATGTATCCTATCAATTATACATCCTACATGCCTTTAAAACACATCCTCTTCTCTTTATTCCTACTGCCATGCTCCTGTTCAGACACCTATTGTTCTTGAACTAAACTGTGGCAGTCACCCCATCTCTATATTATTTGCCTCCTATATCTTTTCCCCCAATCTGTGTCCCTCACTTTTTGTCAAAGTGAGCATTCTAAATGACTTCTTTCCTGTTTGATTTTTATCAATAGCTATATATCATCTAGATGATCAAGTCTAAACTCTATACTGTGCCCTACTTTATGATGATGTCTCAGATGACCCATCATTTCTTCCATTATTTGACTGTTGAGTTTTCAAAAAAAAGGGTCAAATTACTAAACCTAGAATCTCTTCTTTATAGTCTACGGTAAGAAATAGTCAACCACTTTTTAATGCCATCTTAATATGGCGTAAACACCTCTAGTGTTATACTTAGTACATTGTGCTGATATTTATTTGTGTATGTCTGTCTTTACCCACTAACTGTGTCTTCCTTGGAGACAAAAACTGCATCTTATTTTTTAATACCCGGGGTCTGGTAAAGTGTCTGTATAACTAGCTGTTTCCCTTTCTCTCAATTTTTTTTAAGTGAGAAAATAAATGAAACAAACTAAAATAAAATGAATGAATTAATATAGAGAAAGAGAAAGAGGGTCAGGTCCAACTAAGATAGAAAAAAATAAACATGTTCTGATGTTTTGGAGCATGGTGATATTTTTCTCTCTCTTGGAAAGACACAGAGGATCTTTTGCTCACTATCACTGGTCCATTATGAGTTTCATGATTAAAAATATGCATATGGTATGATGGATTTAATATTGATCAACTCTATTAATACCTAGGGAGAAATTGACTCTGTGTTTCTGACTATGTGGCTAGAAAGTGGTTTGGTTGGCTGATCACTGGGGTCAGTCCTGGAAGAGCCAAGAAATCCAAGTGTTTTCCCTCTGTTTCACCAGCTTTCTGGCTGAGTCTAGTGGGAGACACTTGGGGCCCATCCCAGGTAAGCTAACTGAAGGTTCTCAAAAACCAGATTAGGTGGGAAACCCTTCACAGACTGGAGCTAATGACCTGAGAAATTCTGTGACCAGTTAATTGGAGACTCCTTCAGGTCCAATAGAGAATGTGAAAGCCAAATAGGAAATGAGGAAAAACAGCTGGAAGTAGTAAGACAACGTGAGGGAGGGGAGCGGTAATGGCTATGGGGCTGAGGGATTCTCTAGGGGAGGAATACAATTGAGATAATCAGGATGAAAAAGCAATTCAGGGAGGGAATTTAAAAACTGCATGCATGCATATTCTCTCAGTTGATACCCTATGGCATGCTGAAGATGATATTGGCCTCTAAAGGCAACCAATTCGTGAGGATGAGAAAATGAGTCAGAAAGGAGCACTTGTTAAATGCTTGCTATGTGCAAGGTGACGCATTTGGTATTGAAGATAAATCTGTGAAAAGACTTACGCTTTGCCCTAAATGAAGCTTTCAACACCATATGAGATAGCTACCATTATCCTCTATTTATCAAAAAGAAAAATTGAACGTCAGGGAGGTTAAATATCTTGTGTAAACGCATACTTCTAGGAAGAGAGAGCTAAACTTTCCAAGAGAGTCTGATCAGAATTAAAAACTAGGTTGGGGTGTTTTCAGGAACTAGTTACTTCTCCTGCCTGAGACGCAGGGAATCCTCCTAAAAGGATGCTACCTGTATCCTTTCTGAGAGACATTACAAGCTATAATAAGGAAAATGCAGAGAATCCTGTTGATCTGGTAGTTTGGGGTCAGAAACTAGTCACTTCAATGTTGATATTCTCTGTGGCTTTGAGCAAGTCTTCAACTATTCCCCAGATTCCCTTATTCTAGAAGTAGGCAACAATGTGTAATCCCTTCTATCTTTAAGGCTATCCCAAGAATTGGGATGGTCTCAAGTTTAATGTGGGCTTATTGAAGAAACGGAAGATTTTTATTTTGATTCATTCTTCACTCCATGACTGAGTTGACATCTTGTCTGTTATCACCACTCTGGCAAATGCAATAGAAACTTAATGAAAGTATAGCTGTGTGAGACCAACTGATAGGGACAAAAATATAGAATATTTGAAGCACCAGAGATGACTTTTGGTTTGAGGTGTATAATTTAATGTCTCAGAAAAATTGTGTTGTATCATTTTCAAATATTTCCATCATTGTGCACTATACATCTACAATGTGTATCAAATCCAAAGTACTTAATTTTTAAATAAACAGTAGATAGATCAATATAACTATAAAATAGACAAAGGGATCATATAACTTATCTGCTGATATGTAACTTATTTACTTATTGGTTATTGCCTCCATCGAGACACTAATTTTATTGAGATTTTTCTGCAGACCTTATCTGGAGACACTATTGATGTGAAACAAGTGTACCCATCAACATTCATAAAATCATGTAAAACATTTATGAAATTGATGGATACCTTTGTTCTCACCCATTAGTTAAGAACTTAAAAGTTATCACACCTCGTTTACCTATGGAAAATTTAAATCCCACAGAGCTAATATGATTTTCCACAAAGCACTTAGCAAATAATCACAGGATCCAGAATTTGAATGGAATTTGAGTTCAGTAATTTTTCAACTGCATTTTGTCTATATTCTTAACTATATAATTTTACTTTTTTAGCATTTTTTATTCCATAAAATTTTTGTCAATCTGAGAAACTTATAGAAAATAGTACCACAGTTAGGTGGCTGAGAGGCAAATAAAAATGATAATCAATTAAAAATAGAAGTTTAAGCTAGTAACTTAAGCTGTATGCAGATAATTGGCACATTAACACAGCAGTTTCTTGAAGAGTCTCACTTCTTCATTCTCTGGAAGGTCTGGGCTCAGTGTAAAATTTTAGAACAGTTACCATCTCTAAACGGCCATATATATACAACAAATACCTAACATTTGAGTGAAATAAGAATTCTGACAAACAGCCCAGTTCAAGATTTGATATTGTTTGGCTCTGTGTTCTCACCCAAATCTCATGTTGAATTGTAATCCCCAATATTGGAGGTGGAGCCTAGTGAAAGGTGATTGGATCATGGTGGTGGTTTCTAATGGTTTAGCACCATCCCCCTAGTGCTGTCTCATGATATCTGGTTGTTTCAAAGTGTGTAACACCTCCCCCTTCACTTTTTTTCCTCCTGCCATGTAAGCTGTCCCTCCTTTCTCTTCACCTTCTGCCATGATTGCAAGTTTGCTGAGGCCTCCCCAGCCATGGTTGCTGTACAATCTGCAGAACCATGAGCCAATTAAACCTCTTTTCTTTATAAATTACCCAGTTTCAGGTATTTCTATAGCCGTGTGAGAATGGATAAGTTGGGTATTGCTATAAAAATACCTAAAAATGTGGAAGCAACTTTGAAACTGGGTAACGGGCAGAGGTTAGAACAGTTCAGAGGGCTCAGAAGAAGACAAGAAGATGAGAGAAAATTTGGAACTTCCTAGAGACTTGTTGAATGGCTTTGACCAAAATGCTGATAGTGATATGGCCAATGAAATCCAGATGAGGTGGTCTCAGAGGGAGATGAGAAACTTATTGAGAAATGGAGTAAAGGTCACTCTTGCTATGCTTTAGCAAAGAGACTGGAGGCATTGTATCCCTGCTCTAGGTGAAACTGAACTTGAGAGTGATGATTTCAAGTATCTGGCAGAAGAAATTTCTAAGCAGCAAAGTATTCAAGAAATAGCCTGGCTGCTTCTAAAAGCATATGGTCATATGGTGAGCAAAGAGATTATCTGAAACTGGATCTTCTATTTAAAAGGGAAGCAGGGTGTGAAAGCTTGAAAAGTTTGTAGTCAAGCCAGGTGTGGTGGCTCACACCTGTAATTCTAGCACTTTGGGAGGCTAAGGTGGGCAGATCACCTGGGATCAGGACTTTGAGACCAGCCTGGCCAACATGGTGAAACCCCATCTCTACTAAAAATACAAAAATTAGCCAGGCTTAGTGGCATGTGCCTGTAATCCCAGCTACTCGGGAGACTGAGACAGGAGAATCACTTGAACTTGGGAGGTGGAGGTTGCAGTGAGCTGAGACCACACAATTGCACACTCCAGCCTGGGTGACAAGAGCAAGACTCCATCAAAAAAAAAAAGAAAAAGAAAAAGAAAAATTTGCAGCCTGGTCATGTGGTAGAAATGAAAATTCCATTTTCTGGGGAGGAATACAAGCAGCCTACAGAAATTTGCATAAGTAAAAAGGAGCCAAATGTTAATAGCCAAGACAATGAGGAAAATGCCTTGACCTTCCTGGTAGCTCCTTCCATCACAGAGCTGAAGACATAGGAGGGAAAAAAGGTTTTGTGGGTCAGGCCCAGGGCCTCACTTCCCTGTGCAACCTTGGGACACTGCTCCCTGTGTCTCAGCCACTCCAGCTTCAACTTTGGCTAAAAGGGCAAGAGTTGAGGATTGGGAGCTTCTGCCTAGATTTCAGAAAATGTACAGAAATGCCTGGATGTCCAGGCAGAAGTCTGCTGCAGGGGTGGAGCCCTCACGGAGAGCCTCTACTGAGGCAGTGCAGAGGGGGAAATGTGGGGTTGGAGCCCCACACAGAGAGTCCCCACTGGGGCATTGCCTAATGAAGCTATGAGAAGAGTGTCACCATCTTCCAGATCCCAGAATGGTAGATCCAGTGAAAGCTTGCATTGTGCACCTGGAAAAGCCAGAGGCACTCAATGCCAGCTTGTGAAAGGAGCCACAGGGGCTGTACCGTGCAGAGCCACAGAGGCAAAGCTGCTCAAGGCCTTGGGAGCCCACTCCTTGCATCAGTATGGCTTGGATTTGAAACATGGAGCCAAGGGACATTATTTCGGAGCTTTGAGGTTTAATGACTGCCCTGCTGGGTTTCAGACTTGCCTGGGACCTGTAGCCCCTTTGTTTTGGCCAAGTTCTCCCTCTTGGAACAAGAGCATTTATGTGATATCTGTATCTGCATTGTATCTTGGATGCAACTAAGTTGTTTTTGATTTTTCAGGTTCATAGGCAGTAGAGGCTTGCCTTGTCTCAGATGAGACTTTGGACTTGAACTTTTGAGTTAATGCTGGAATGAGTTAAAAATCTGGGGGACTATTTGGAAGGCATGATTAGTTTTGAAATGTGAGAAGGACATGAGATTAGGGAGGGTCCAGAGGTGGAACAAAATGGTTTGGCTCTGTATCCTCACCCAAATCTCATATTGAATTATAATCCCCACTGCTGCAGTTGGGGCCTGGGGAGAAGTCACTGGATCATGAGGGTGGTTTCTGATGGTTAGCATCATCTCCTTAGTGCTGTCTCATAATAGAGTTCTCAAAAAATCTGGTTGTTTAAAAGTGGGTAGTACATCCCCCTTCACTCTTTCTTCTGCTTCTGCCATGTAAGACATGCCTCCTTCCTCTTCAACTTCCACCATGATTGTAAGTTCCTGAGGCCTCCTCAGCTATGCTTCCTGTATAGCCTGCAGAATCATGAGTCAATTAAACCTCCTTTCTTTATAAATTATCCAGTTTCAGGTATTTCTTTATAGCAGTGTGAGAATGGACGAATACAAGCTTTATTCCAAAAACAAAATGAAAGAGAAAGAGAGTGTTTGCTTCATTATGGACTAATACAAGCTTTATTCCAAAAACAAAACAAAAGAGAAAGAGAGTGTTTGCTTCATTCATTAGTCAACTCTAAAACTTTTTAGACTTTATGTTTAGGTGTCTGTCACAAATTCCTTAACGATACTCTGGTTTAGTAGTTTCCTGCCATGGCTGACCATCAGCATGACCTAAAGATATTTCTCCTAATATGAAAGTCTAAGTCCCACCCATGAATATTCCATTCACCATATCTCAGTGAGCTTGAGCACATGTCTTTTGAAATTTTCTACAAATAACTTTGTTTTATAGATCTGATTGAGAAGCAATCCAGGAATACATCACTGTTTCCAAAATTCACAGAGTGACTTAGTCTATTGCTCAAGGACCTCCAGAACGTGAACTTTAATTATCACATGGCCCTTGATATTCTGGTTGCTCAGGATCATGTAGGAATACAGCATAATGTAGGTTTGTATGTATCTGCAACAAATGTAAATGGTAAGTTAGTGTAGGCTTACAGATATTTTTAGAGCACCTGCTTTGTACTGAGAACTTTGTGAGCTTTTTATCTGGTTTTCCATTCCTGACAAGCCAACGGTGGTGCTTAAATTCTGCAGGAATTTCCAGAACCAAATGTGGAGCTGGGAAAAGGCCATAATCTGAAGGGGAAATGAAGCCTGAGTCTTGCATGACATGTCCTCCAGAAAATAGTGATCATCTGGACCATGAAGTTGAGAGGGATGACCAGAGGCAGCCTGCTACATCAGGAGTGAGAGGTCATTATCAGTAATAAAGAAGCAAGTATGATTAAGAAACAGAATTTGGAGAAATTTCCTAGGTCAAAAGAAAAAAAGGCCTTAATAATTAAAATAGGTTGAAAGAATCAATATTGTTAAAATGTCCATACTTCCCAAAGCAATTTACAGATTCTATGCTATTACTATCAAATTGCTAATGTCATTTTTTTTTTCACAGAATTAGAAGAAACTATTCTAAAATGTATATGGAACCAAAAAAAGCCCAAATGGCCAAGGCATTCTTAAGTAAAAAGAATAAATTCAGAAGAATCACGTTACCTAATTTCAAACCATACTACAATGCTATGATAACTAAAGCAGCATGATACTGGTACAAAAATAGATGCATAGATGTATGGAATAGAATAGAAAATGCTGAAATGAAGCCACACACCTACAACCAACTGATCTTTGACAAAACTGACAAAAATATACAGTGGGGAAAAGACACTTTATTCAACAAATGGTGTTGGGAAAACTGGCTAACCATACGCAGAAGAATGAAACTGGACCCCTACCTGTAACCAGATACAAAAATTAACTCCAGATGGGTTAAAGGGTTAAATGTAAGACCTCAATAAAAATCCTAGTAGGAAACCTAGGAAATTCTCATCTAAACATTGACCTAGGCAAATAATTTATGACGAAGACTCCAAAAGCAAGTGCAACTAAATAAAAAATAGATAAATGGGATCTAATTAAACAAAAGAGCTGATGTACAGCAAAAGAAACTATCAACAGAGGAAGTAGACAACCTACAGAATAGGAGAAAATATTTGCCAACTATGCATCTGACAAAGGATTAATATCCAGAATCTACATGGAACTTAAACAAATGAATAGTATAGAAACAAATATGTCAATTAAAAAGTGGGCAAAGTACATGAATAGACACTACTCAAAAGAAGACATATAAGTGACCAACAAACATATGAAACTATGCTCAACATCACTAATCATCAAAGAAATATAAATCAAAACAACAGTGAGATACCACCTTACTGCTGCAAAAATGGCCATTATTTAAATGTCAAAAAAATAACAGATGCTAGTGAGGATTCAGAGAAAGGGGAACACTTATACACTTCTGGTGGGAATGCAAATCATTTTCACCCTTGTAAAAAGTAGTTTGGAAATTGCTCAAAGAATTAAAAATAGAATTACTATTTGACCCAAATGCCATTACTGGATATGTACTCAAAAGAAAATAAATTGTTCTACCAAAAGGACTCCTGCATTAATATGTTTATTGCAGCACCATTCACAATAGCAAAGGCATGGAATCAAACTAGGTGCCCATCAACAGTGAACTGCGTAAAGAAAATGTGGCACATATGCACCATGGAATACTATGCAGCCAAAAAAAAGAATGAAATTGCATTCTTTGCAGCAACATGGAAACATGGATGCAGCTGGAGGCCATTAGCCTAAGTGAATTAAGGCAGAAACAGACAACCAAATACCACATATTCTCATTTATAAGTGGAAGCTAAACACTGGGTACACATGGACACAAAGATGGTATCAATAGGTATGGGCCACTCCAAAAGTGGAGAGGGAAGGATGCAGATAAGTGTTGAAAAACTACCCACTGGTTACTCTGGTCGGTATTTGGATAGCGTGATTGTTAGAATAATATCCTAATAATACAACAATTATTATCTAATAATATCCTAAAATATAATTATTATATTATATATAATTACATAATAATGTAATAATAAGATGCTGATTATTAAATTATCAGCATCACACAGCATCACGCATGTAACATACATGCACATGTATCTTCTGAATCTAATATTAAACATAAATAAATAAAATCAAACACACACATACAAAAAGCCAAACCCCAAAATAAATAAAAGCTTCATTTTGACACTTAAAATGTATTAAAGCCTCATTTAATACTAGATTTGATTAAGGCCTCTCAACATTGGCATTATTGATATGTTGGGGGCTTTCCTCAGCATCAGTAAGATATTTAGCAGCATTTCTGGTCTCCACCCACTAGATACCCACACCATACCCCAGGTGTGACAATCAAAATGTCTCCATATTGCCAAATGTATCCTGGGGGATCAAAATTGCTCCTGGTTGAGAATTACTGGCCTAAATCTTTCTTCTCTGTGTGTTGTGTTCATTGAAATAAACCGTGCTTCTTCTCATTACAGAACTTCTAAACGCTCCAGCTCTTCTATGTGACATAATCTCCATATCCCACCTCTAAATCCTTAATGTCAGATTATTGCTCATATCCAAGTGTAATGGTCACTCCATCGGTGTAGCCTACCCTAATCCACCAATCACAGTATCATAATAACAGCCTTTCATTTAGGGTTAATTTGTAGCTGTATGTTGACCACTGGGATCAGGGAATAATTTCTGACTCCTCTTTCAGTCAGTATACTTCATAAGATCTGGGGTATTATCTATTTTACCCACTATTACATCCTCAGTACCTAGTATGAAGGCTGGCCCAGGATGGAAACTCAATGAACGTTTATTGAATGAATGAATGAATGAATGAAAACTGAACAAAAATTTACAGCCTCTGAAACCAACAACTATTTTCTGAGTACTGATTTTGCATCAAGCAGGATCCTGAGCCAGGGGACTCAGAGAAAAATAATACACAGTCTTTGCCCTAAGAGGCATAGCCTTGTTGAAGAAATTGATTTGTAAGTAAAAAGGAATGATAGAGCATCCTAAGTGGTCAGTGGAGGTCTCAACAACCTGAAGTTAACTATATACACAATTCCAATATCTGCCTGTGAGAATAAGAAAAGTTTTCTCAAAGAAGGTAATTATTGAGCTCAGATTAAAGGTTATATAGAAATTCACTAGATAGACAAGGATGGAGTGAGAAGACAGGTGGTAGAACTGGGTGTGAGAGGTGGGAAATCACTCTGCACAGCAGTGCTGAAGGCGTGCCACAATCCAGACAGCTAAGAATCACCATACACTTCTGTATGAGTGAAGAGTGGGACTTAAATTAGGCAGTAGTGGGAAATGAGATTAAAGATTTCAGCAAGGACAGAGCATGAGAACTTTGTGTGCCAGGCTCAGGAGTTTGGAGATTGTCCTGAAGACAATCAGTGGTCACAGAAAGGAAACGAGCAGTGGCATAAGAGTCAGATCTGTGATTTCAGACTGATAATCTGAATGTTGGCCAGTAGATAAAGAAAGACAAAACTTCAGAATGTCATAATGCAAGGTTTTATTAAAAATAAAAACCTTTGGATGACCATGTGTCTACCACACAATAATTTTTTTTTTTTTTTTTTTTTGAGACAGTCTCGCTCTGTCACCCAGGCTGAAGTGCAGTGGCATGATCTTGGCTCACAGCAACCTTCGCCTCTTGGGTTCAAGTGATTCTCCTGCCTCACCTTCCTGAGTAGCTAGGATTACAGGTGTGTGCCACCACATCAGGCTAACTTTTGTATTTTTAGTAAAGACAAGGTTTCACCATGTTGGCCAGGCTGGTCTTGAACTCCTGGCCTCAAGTTATCCGCTCACCTCAGCCTCCCAAAGTGCTGGGATTATAGGTGTGAGCCACTGTGCCTGGCTGCACATAGTAATTTCTCCTCAAAGAAAATCCGAAGGAAAACTAAGTATGAAGTTCAAAAATGCAGAAAGCCTCTTCATACTAAGAGGAAGGCCAAAGCTTACTGTGACTGGTGAGTCTTTCTAGCCTCTTCCCAAAGAACCCATATTTATTGTTACTGGAAATGTATGTATTAGAAGATATAGAGATCAGGAGACCAGCTCCAGGTTTCAGGGACGAAGAGACAAACAGGCATTTTTTGGACCCTGTGCCATTCTGAAACCAGATGATTGAGTGTTTGTTTTCCCATTGTCTGCATTTATGCCTTGTCCTCCAACACGAATAATTGTCAAGGTTTTGGTAGGCTGAAGTATATTCTAGGGAAATTGGATCTGCAATTTTGCAGAATTTCACAGTATCTTTTGCAGTTCTGTGTAAAATTGATTGTTTAAATCTAGTTTATTTTACCTTGTTGGTCCTGGACTTACTATCAGCTGAAATATTTATATCGCTGCCCCTTAGGAGTTATGCATTTCCCTTGTTCTGTAAAAACAATAATAAAATAAAAGTGCTGACCTGCTCTATGTATATGAGTAATTGTTTTTATTTTAATTGCTTGAGTGCTTGTGGAAGGAGATTGAATTGTCTGGCCTCTTTTCTCTTTGACCATTTCTTGCATTACTTTCGTTTTTTTCCTTTTGCCACCAAAAGTATTATGCTGGTCACCAACCATGTCTTTGGAGACTATTTGAAGTTGAAATTTTCATGCTAAATCTAGCCATTTAAAAGGAGATGTGGGAAGCATAGACATACACAATCATGCCTTGCTACCCAATGCAGAAGTCCTCCTCACCAAGACAGGCCCCGGGACACTGGAAAAAAAAGCCTAAGCATATTCTTGCTGTTGTTTAAGTCTTATTTTTGAAAGCAAGCCCCCCCTCCCCGCACACACACAAATAGACACACATATTTTTTCTTACAAATAACGTTGTCTTCCCAACACACTCCCCTTCTGACCGCATTCATTTATTCAACACAATTAATGAATAATCATTGTGTGTCAATCAGAGAGCAAAACAGTCAAGTATATGACTGTATAGTCTCTGGTTTATCATGGAAAGTGGACAACTTAGCATTTAACACTATCATGGGGCGATATACCATGGGAGAGTGTTTTTCGGATCCAGAAAGTCATGCAAGTTATGTCAGGAAAAGTGATATTCAAGCTGAATAAGAAGAATGTGTGAGAAAAGTCTAGCAATAGAAAGGAAAACTGTTACAGATTAGAGTTGAAGTGTCAGTTGGTAAGAGATTCAACTAGGGAGATGAGGACCTGGATGGTATCATTTTTAAAAATTATGTTTCTACAACCATGTGGTCAGGCATACTCTGTTCCATACCAGCTCCAAATCTTCATAGCTGTTTGGTCTTGAGCAAGTTTCTTTCTAAGACTTGAGCAAGGTAGAGCATATAAATTGTTTGTACAGTGGCTGAAATGTGGTAACTGCTCAATAAGAATTAATGTCTATTATGATAATAACTTGATTAGTATTATGATTATCATTATTATTATTGTTACATAATTTATTATGTAACACCTCAGTCAAGTTATTTGGGATCAACATTTTCCTGGAAGCCATCCAACACTCGATCACCTCTCTACCCATTCTACTCTTGTTCCCCCTCCATCTGTCCTTTTCTTTCTCTTGCCCTCTCACTCTGTAGCGATGCTCCATCATGATTGGGCTCCAGGAACTGGACAATTGATAATCTAAAGTAATGGAGTCCTGTTTGTTATTTCCATGCCAGGACCATGTCAAAGATCAGTTCCCATACATAACTCACTTGGAAATTCACATTAGCATGTTCTACCCCTTAAGGGGAGAGGGATGAATGAGCAGAGCCTAAAATATGAGTCAAATACTATTTCTCACTTGGTTGTCAACACTAAAGATACTCTTTGGTTTGACCCTGTTCATGTTTCTCAGTTTATCCACATTCCTATATCACTGCCATATGTGAAGTTAGGATTCATCTTCCATTTAAATGAGTGTAATATCATCCCCATTTTTCTTTCTCTTTGTTTCCAAACTGCCTGCTCCAATCCAGCTTCCACTGAGATATCAAAAGCATCTTTCAATAATACCACACTGATCATTTTATATCCACATTTGAAAACCTTCAAACGTTTCCTCTTTTCTAAATAATTAATCTATCAGGATACTTTTGATTGCAAAGAACAATAACAAACTCACAATAATTTAAAAGGTAATGAGAATATATTGTTTTATATCCCTGAGAAATCCACAGGTAATTTGCACTATAGACACAATTTGATAAGGTTTTACATGGTTTGGATCTGTGTTCCTACTTAAATTTCATTTTGAATTGTAATCCCCATAATTCCCTTGTGTCTAAGGAAAAACCTGGTAGGCTGTTTTCCTCATGCTGTTCTCATGATAGTGAGTGAGTTCTCGTGAGATCTGATGGTTTTATAAGGGGCCCCTTCCCGCTTCATTCTCTTTCTCTTTCTCCTGTTGCCATGTAGCAGGTATTGTTTCCCCTTCGGCCATGATTGCGAGTTTCCTGAGGCCTCCCCAACCATGTGGAACTGTGAGTCAGTTAAACCCCTTTCCTTTATAAATTACCCAGTCTCAGATATTTCTTTATAGCAGTGTGAAAATTTACTAATGCAAAGGTGTAAGCTGTTTCTCTGTTATTCTCTTAGTTCCCCTCCAAATGTCAGCTTTATTCTTTAGCCAGCCTTTCTCATGAATGGAAAAATGTTTAAAGCAGTCATGGGTATTCTATCTGCACTCCACACGATCTAGAGGCAGAGAGACAAACAAGAGTCAAGGGATTTTTTTCAATGGCTTCTTCTTAAGGTATGGACCTACCTCTGAACCAATCGTTGAATCTATAGCGATATTGGGAGTTGACTGCCTTAGGTTTCGGTTTAAAACCCATCTCTGAGTGGAACCCTGTGGGAAGATTTGTGGGACTGCTGTAATCTGTTAGTTGAGGAGAATCAGGACCAACTGTGGAAGCATGAATTAAAGGAATTTCTAGCCAAACAAAATGAGCCATTGTGGAGAGATGCAGTAGTGGATGCTTGGAAGGCAAATATGATGTCCTTCACCTAGGGGTGTCATTCAAGGCTCATCACAGTGTACCTCCAACTTGATTCCAGTTTCCCATTATGGCTCTTCGTATGTTACTGTTAACAGACTGAATTAATTGCCCAAAGTTTCTAGTTCTGTGCTTTTATTTCAGATTAACTTTCTGTGTGGAAAGCTAACCTTCTGCCTCTGCTCTTTCTTCAATAATGCCTACCCTTAAACCATATCTAGCCTTTAAGATGCACCTGAAGTGCTGTCTCCTCATAGATACACAGTATTTTTCTGCCTCTGTCTCCAGCTGTAATGAATTAAAAAACACTGAATTTGCCATCATCCAGTCTGGATTTACATTCAGGAGCTATCCCTTACTAACAGAGTGGTTATGTGATACTGCTTTCCTTGCTTGGCCTCTTTCTCATCTTATTGAAAGACTGGTTTTCTCTGTCTTTCTTTTTTTAACCAAGGAAGTACTGTTGGTTTGTCTTGGAGCATTCTTCTATAGGTAAATGATGTCGTTTCTTATTTAAATACCTAAAACACTGCTGAGTTAGATTTTTGAGCTGGAATTTTGAAAAGTCCAGAAGGCTACTTATTTTATTAGGGAAATATTTAAAGAATAACAGCCCAATGCTCTAAAAATTATTATTCAAGTGCATGAAGACTATTGAGGCAGCCTACAAAAGTTACACATTCCCCATAGTTCTGCCATGAGGCACCAATATATATTTTATCTCATTTGTAAGTAAGTCTTATTCTGTACAGCACCTATATTTTTGAGAAGTAGTTTGTAAATCAAATTTCATGTTCTCATTACCTATAGAGTAATCATAAAGATTAATTTTATAGAATTATTTTCAATTTTTAGTGGCCTCAAATACCTCTGCTGCATGGTAAGTTATTAACGAACTGTAAATACATATTTAACTTAACATTTTAAAGGTAAGCATTAATGAAGCAAAAACTCTTTGGATTATATTGGTAATAATCACTGATTCATTAGTTTTGGAAGTTTAAGTTTTGGTTTTGATGAGCTTTTATCTGTGTTGGAAACTTGTATTCTGACTTCCTTTTAGATTAAAACAAGGGCATAAATAAATGCTGACATGAAGGCATGAAGAAACAAAATTGCAGCACAAGATGTCAATTTCAATTGTAGAACAAGGGCATTTTTAGAACTGATATGGTTTCCTTTATGTCGATTTCAAACGTTAGTGGTGAATGGTTGTGAACATCTTTAATCAGACTTTTAAAGATGTGAGTATTCATATGGCTTTTAATATTTTTTCCTTTTGCAGACCACATTGTTTTTTTGATATATCAAGTTCACTAGTAATTCTGAGAAGCAACTAAGTATATGAAATATGATTCATGAAGGTCAGTGTAGCATTGGGTTAAGAGTGTAAGCACTGCCGGGTGAGGAAGTGCTCATCATATAACAGAGATGGGTGAGAAAGTGCTCATCATATAACAGAGACATGCAGAAAGGACAGAGGAGTCGATATGAAGAAAGCTGAATGGCTAAGTCTGGGTTGAGTCAAGCAAAAAATAGAAAATAAAAACACTGAATGATGTAAGTTATAAAATAAAATAAATATCCATAAATTTATGCTGATATAACAAAGGAATAAGTGAATGAATAAATGAATGAATGTCAGTAAATAAGTAGAGAGAAAAAGATACCCTTTCTTATGGTACAATCTATTAGTTTCCTATTGTTATTGTAACAAATTATGGTGACTCTTCACTTTACATAGTGGATAGATTTTTGAAAACTCTGACTTTTCAACTGGTTCAGGAAATCAATTTTACCATAGGCTAATTGATATAACAAGAGTTCATTTCCTAGCATATATTGCTGGTCACAAAAAAAAAAATTACCAAACTTCAAAATAAAGACTAAAAAATTGCTAACATTAAACACTGAAACAAAAGTAAGATAATTATTTACCCAATTATTCCAGTTCAGGGTCACCAGGGGCTAGACTCTATCCTGGCAACTCAGGAAGCAAGGTGGGAACCAATACTGGACCAGATGCCATTCTATGGCAGAGCACACTCACTCACACATACACATACATACATACAAACACATGCACACGCATGCACTCACACTCATTCAGACAATTTGGACACATCAATTAACCTGACATGCACATCTTTAGAATGTAAGGGGAAACGCCAGTGCCTGAAGAAAACTCATTCAGACATAGGAAGGATGTGGCTCTCTGGCCGAAAATCAGTTTAATTTTTTTTCTCATTACTATTACAATGAAATTATGTTGGGCAAAAATGATGTTTTTGGAGTAATGTTGTACTACAAATTTATTAAAGAAAACAAATTAATTCTTAAATTAAAAAATTATAGTTCTGGAGGTCAGAAGTTTGAAATGGGTCTCACTGGGATAAAATCAAGTGTGAGCCGAAGTAGATTTCTTACAGAAAGCTCTAAGGGAGAATACATTTTCTTCCCATTTCCAGCTTCAACAGACTTCCTGCATTCCTAGGATTGTGGTTCCTTCCATCATCAGTGTCAGGGATAATCAGCAGAATTTTTCCCATATGGATCTGACACAACTCTTCCACATCTCCTCCACTTAAAGGACCCTTGTGGTTACATAGGACCATCTGGGCAATCCAAACTGAGCTCCTTTTCTTAAGGTCGTCTGATTAGCCTATATAATTTCATCTACAATCTGATTTCCTCCTTGCCATGAAACATAGTATATACACAAGTTCTGGGGTTTAAGACATAGCTATTTTGGGAGGACCATTATTCTGCCTGTCAGATAGAATTACACTGATAAATATAAGAGGAATAATGTAAATAAAAATTACCACTTGGAAAACACCATTGTAATAATCATTGTATGCATCAATGTATACTACCATTAGGGATGATGAAAGGCATACTATTTAAATAGTTTCAAATTATCTCCACACATAATGCTTACTAATTACAAATACGGTAATTAAAATTTTGCATGCAGAAACATGACAGACATCACCACAACCAAGAAATCTGTGAGCTATGGGACAACTAGAAGCAACCACATATATGTGTAATTGGAGTCCCCAAAGGAGGGAAGAGAGAGAAAGAATAACAAGACAGTATTTAAAGAAATAATGACTGAAAATTCTCCACATTCAAAGAAAATTATAAACTCACATATCCCAGGAGCACAAATAACAAGCAGGAGAAACACGAGGAAAACTACAACAAGGCACATCATAATAAAATTTCTTAAACCAATGATAAAAAAAGTTGTGATCAGACAAACAAAAACAACTCATTATGCACAGAGGATAAAAGGTAATGCTGAATACTCATCAGGAAAAATGGAACTCAGAGGAAAGTAAAGCAACATTATTAAAGTATTGAAAAGAGACAAAAACAAAATTAAAAACAAGTCGATCTGGAATATTCTATCAACATGAATATATTTAAAATGCTAAAGCAAAATAAAGAATTTTACAGACAAAAAGAGAACCGAAAGAGCTTGTCTTTGGTCAACTAGCTCTAGAAGAAATGCTTTAAAAAAATCTTTCAAATAGAAGATAGCCAGAAATAATTTAGCACTTACACAAAGAAGTGGACAGAATCGGAAATTGTAAATATGTATATAACAATAAAATGCTTTTACTCTCTTTATTAAAACTTATTAAAAAATAAATATCTAACTTTGATTTCTCAAAAAAGAGTGACAGGGATCATATTTAGTCTCTTACTCCACTGAAACTACCAACAAACAAAATATATGAACCAATGGTTTTCAAGACATCAGGCAATGAAGGGCAGTGATCCCTGAGAGACAGGAAACAAGGTGAACATTGTAATTGCCACAGCTTATCATCTGGAGAGAGTTTCCAGGCCTAGCAGCAAGAAAAGGAACGCAGTCTGAACAGAAAAGGTTCCCTAAGTTGAGGAGACAGAAATGAGTCCTAGGAGACCAAGGAGGCTAGAATTCTCAGTACAGAGTAATAGAGAGGAGTTAGTTGCACAAAGAGAGAACTTTGAACATATACAGGGGGTGCCTCTCAATTTTTTTAGCTCAATATTACTAGAATGCTAATTCCTCCAAAATGGATCTATAGCTTCAATGCAAATACAATCAAAAACCTAGAAGAGATTTCTGTAGAAGTTAACGTACTACTTCTATAATTTATATGGAAAAGCATGGGGCCTAGAATAGACAAAATAATTTTGGAAAAAAAAATGAATAGGAGGGACAAACACAACTTGATATTAAGACTTGTTATGAAGCTGATATTTTTTAAAGGCATTTTTTTCGGAATGCAAGTGTTGCTGATGTTTTGCCTCACCAGCACACTTCTTTTGAGCTCATGTGAGCCAGGGACAGGGAGACATCTGTTTCCCTTCAGGGGCGTCTTCAGTAGCAGTTTCCTGCCACAAATTCACTCTCCATGTTCTAAATACATATAACCTTGTTCTAGTACTGCCTGTCCTCAAATTGTCCTTTTCTTTTCATTTATTTTTTAAATTCGGAGCAGCACTACAGAACCTTATAGATCAAGCTTATCCAACCCACGGCCTGTAGGCCTCATGCAGCCCAGCATGGCTTTGAATGTGGCCCAACACAAATTTGTGAACTTTCTTAAGACATTATGAGATTTTTCTGTGTGATTTTTTTTTTTTTTAGCCCATCAGTTATCATTAGTGTTAGTGTATTTTATGTGTGGCCCAAGACAATTCTTTCAGTGTGGCCCAGGGAAGCCAAAAGATTGGACAGTGCTGTTGCAGATGTATTCAAGAACAATAGATAGAAGGACTAATCAATTGATCCTGGAAAAACTGCAGATAATGGCCTGGAAAAACTACCACTAATCAGAGGATTCAGGCTACTGAGGACCATGGTTTCTAGAACTTATTAAGGCTGCCATGAACTTAGAACTCACATACTGTTCTAAGATCTTTTAAACCAAAAAAAAATCTGAGATAGATCTCAATCAAGTCAGAAGTTTATTTTGCCAAGATTGAGGACACTCCTGGGGAAAAAAAAAAAAAAAAAAGGAAAGAAAGAAAGACAAGTTTCAGTTGGATCTGTGGCCTGTGCTTTTTTCCAAAGAAGGTTTTGAGAACTTCAATATGTAAAGCGGGGAAAGAGGGCAGGAGGGGAAAGAAGAAAAAAAGAGGGAGGGTAGGCAATGAGGCAAGTGGTTACATTTTCGTGAGGCTTTGATTAGTCTCACTGAATCCACATTTTACATGTGAAAAGGGAGGAAGAGGGGGAAAAAGTCAATTATTCATTCATTCATCTGGCGCTCAGGAAATCTACATTTTATGTAAGATAAAATAAGCCAGGCTGGGTGCAGTGGCTCATGCCTGTAATCCCACAACTTTGGGAGGCCAAGGCAGATGGATCACAAGGTCAGAAGTTTGAGACCAGCCTGGCCAATGTGGTGAAACCCAGTCTCTACTAAAATATAAAAAATTATATATTTTTGAGTGGAGGTGTGTGCCTGTAGTCCCAGCTACTCAGGAGGCTAAGGCTGGAGAATCACTTGAACCCAGGAGGCAGAGGTTGCAGTGAGCAGAGAGCGCACCACTGCACTCCAGCCTCAATGACACAGAGAGACTCCATCTCAAAAAAAAAAAAAAAAAAAAAAGCATGTGAAATTATAGCTATCTGTTTGGGAACAAAACGAAGTCAGTTTTGTTGTTGTCACTGTTGTCGTTTTTCAAGTGAATCAGTTCCCAAGCTGAACTTTTCCCTTTGGCATAGTGAGTTTCATGTGCGTCCGTGTGAAGAGACCACCAAACAGGCTTTGTGTGAGCAACATGGCTGTTTATTTCACCTGGGTGCAGGCTGGCTGAGTCCGAAAAGAGAGTCAGCGAAGGGAGATAAGGGTGGGGCCGTTTTATAGGATTTGGGTAGGTAAAGGAAAATTACAGTCAAAGGGGGTTTGTTCTCTGGCGGGCAGGAGTGGGGGTTGCGAGGTGCTCAGTGGAGGTGCTTTTTGAGCCAGGATGAGCCAGGAAAAGGACTTTCACAAGGTAATGTCATCCCTTAAAGCAAGGACCAGCCATTTACACTTCTTTTGTGGTGGAATGTCATCAGTTAAGGTGGGGCAGGGCATATTCACTTCTTTTGTGATTCTTCAGTTACTTCAGGCCATCTGGGCGTATATGTGCAAGTCACAGGGGATGTGATGGCTTGGCTTGGGCTCAGAGGCTTGACATTCCTGCCTTCTTTTATTAATAATAAAAATAAAACAAAATGGTGTTGAAGTGTTGGGGCGGCGAAAATTTTGGGGGGGTGATATGGAGAGAGAATGGGCGATGTTTCTCAGGGCTGCTTCAAGCGGGATTAGGGGCGGCGTGGGAACCTAGAGTGGGAGAGATTAAGCTGAAGGGAGGTCTTGTGGTAAGGGGTGATATTGTGGGGATGTTAGAAGAAACATTTGTCATATAGAATGATTGGTGATGGCCTGGATATGGTTTTGGATGAGTTGAGAAACTAAATGGAATAACAGAAGGAGAAAAACAGGTATAAAAGGTCTAAGAATTGGGACGACTCAGGATATCTGATTAGAGAGTGCCTAAGGAGATTCAGCATAGTCCTGCCAGCAAAGATTATTTATTTACTTCAAGAGTTAAGAGTGGCAGTTTGGGGATAGCACCAGGAGATATCAGCTGTGATGGCTTCGAAAAACAGTGTAAACCGGCAGTGTAAACAAGAGCAGGGCATGTATGAGTAGTTGAGAACGGTGAATAGGAGTATGACTAGACAGAAGATAGTAGGGATGACAAGTTCTTTTTTGGGGCACAGTCTAAGTTGGTCTGGTGTCTGGAATGAGACTGGGGCCTAATAAAAAGGAGCATCTATACAGGAGCTCAAATGGGCTGTACCCTGTAGCATTCCGAGGACAGGCCTGAATTCTGAGAAGGGAAAGTGGTAAAAGTATTGTCCAGTCCTTTTTAAGTTGGTGGCTGAGCTTGGTGAGGTGTGTTTTTAAAAGACCTTTAGTCCATTCTACTTTTCTTGAAGACGGAGGACCGTAAGGGATATAAAGGCTTCACTGAATACTAGCAGCCTGAAAAACTGCTTGGTTGATTTGACTAATAAAGGCTCGTCTGTTATCAGACTGTATTGAGGTGGGAAGGCTAAACTGAGGAATTATGTCTGACAGAAGGGAAGAAATGACTGCGGTGGCCTTCTCAGACCCTGTAGGAAAGGCCTCTACCTATCCAGTGAAAGTATCTACCTAGACTAAGAGGTATTTTAGTTATCTGACTCCGAGCATGTTGAGTAAAGCTAATTTGCCAGTCCTGGGTGGGGCAAATCCTCGAGCTTGATGTCTAGAGAAGGGAGGGGGCCTGAATAATCCCTGAGGAGTAGTAGTATAATAGCAGATGGAACACTGAGAAGTTATTTCCTTGAGGATAGATTTCCACGATGGAAAGGAAATGAGAGGTTCTAAGAGGCGGGCTAGTGGCTTGTACTATAGCATAACCTGCCTTTGCTTTTGTGTGGCGATTAGGCCTGGTGGCACCGCCATCAATAAATCAAGCGTGATCAGGGTGAGGAACAGGAAAGAAGGAAATTTGGGGAAATGGGGTGAATGTCAGGTGGATCAGAGAGATACAGTCATGGGGGTCAGGTGTGGTATCAGGAATAATGTGGGAGGCCGGATTGAAGTCTGGGCCAGGAACAACGGTAATTGTGGGAGACTCAACAAAGAGTGAGTATAGCTGAAGGAGCCGGGAAGCAGACAGTATATGCATCAGGTATGAGGAAGAAAATCGATTTTGGAAGTTATGAGAACTGTAGAGAGTGAGTTGAGCATAGTTTGTGATTTTGAGGGCCTCTAAAAGTATTAATGCAGCGGCAGCCGCTGCACGCAGACATGAGGGCTAGGCTAAAACAGTAAGGTCAAGTTGTTTGGACAGAAAGGCTACAGGGTGTGGTCCTGGCTCTTGTGTAAGAATTCTGACCACGCTAACCATGCCTAGGAAGGAAAGGAGTTGTTGTTTTGTAGAAGGTGCTGGGGTTTGAGAGATCAGTTGGACACGATTGGCAGGGAGAGCACGTGTGTTTTTATGAGAATTATGCCGAGATAGGTAACAGATGAGGAAGAAATTTGGTCTTGATTGAAGTAATGGGGGCTGTCTGTGAAGCTTTGCGGCAGTACAGCCTAGGTAATTTGCTGAGCTTGATGGGTGTCAGGGTCAGTCCAAGTGAAAGTGAAGAGAGGCTGGGATTAAGGGTGCAAAGGAATAGTAAAGAAAGCATGTTTGAGATCCAGAACAGAATAATGGGTTATAGAGGCAGGTATTGAGGATAGGAGAGTATATGGGTTTGGCACCACGGGGTGGATAGGCAAAACAATTTGGTTGATAAGGCGCAGATCCTGAACTAACTTGTAAGGCTTGTCTGGTTTTAGGACAGGTAAAATGGGGGAATTGTAAGGAGAGTTTATAGGCTTTAAAAGGCCATGCTGTAGCAGGCGAGTGATAACAGGCTTTAATCTTTTTAAAGCGTGCTGTGGGATGGGATATTGGCATTGAGTGGGGTAAGGGTGATGAGGTTTTAATGAGATGGTAAGGGGTGCATGATCGGTCGCCAAGGAAGGAGTAGAGGTATCTTATACTTGTGGGTTAAGGTGGGGAGATACAAGAGGAGGACGCAAAGGAGGCTTTGGATTGGGAAGGAGGACGGCAATGAGATACAGCTGTAGTCCAGGAATCGTCAGGGAAGCAGATAATTTAGTTAAAGTGTCTCAGCCTAATAAGGGAACTGGGCAGGTGGGGATAACTAAAAAGGAGTGCTTCAAAGAGTATTGTCTAAGTTGGCACCAGAGTTGGGGAGTTTTAAGAGGTTTAGAAGCCTGGCCGTCAATACCCACAACAGTTATGGAGGGAAGGGAAACAGGCCCTTGAAAAGAAGGTAATGTGGAGTGGGTAGCCTCCATATTGATTAAGAAGGGGACGGGCTTACCTTCCACTGTGAGAGTTACTGGAAGCTCGGCGTCCATGATGGTCTAGGGGGCTCCCGAGGCGATCGGGCAGTGTCAGTCTTCAGCCGCTAAGCCGAGAAGATCTGGGAAGGAGTCAGTCAGAGAGCCTTGGGCCAGAGTTCCTGGGGCTCTGGGAGTGGCTGCCAGGTGAGTTGAACAGTCTGATTTTCAGTGGGGTCCCACACAGATGGGACGCGGCTTAGGAGGAATCCCGGGCAGCGGGCATTCCTTGGCCCAGTGGCCAGATTTCCGGCAAGTGTAGCAAGCTCCTGTGGGAGGAGGTTCTGGAGGAACGCCTGGCTGCTGCGGTTCAGGCGTTTGGAAGTTCTTGTGTGCTGGAGATGTGGCTGGGGTTTGTCTCACAGTGGAGGCAAGGAATTGCAACTTTTTTCTATTATTGTACACCTTGAAGGCGAGGTTAATTAAATCGTGTTGTGGGGTTTGAGGGCCGGAATTTAATTTTTGGAGTTTTATTTAATGTCGGGAGCAGATTGGGTAATAAAATGTATTTTGAGAATAAGACGGCCTTTTGACTTTTTAGGGTCTAGGGCTATAAAGTGTCTCAGGGTTGCTGCCAAACAAGTCATGAACTGGGCTGGATTTTTATATTTGATGAAAAAGAGCCTAAACGCTATCTGATTTGGGATAAAGAAAAAGGAGCATTAACCTTGACTATGCCTTTGGCTCCAGCCACCTTTTTAAGAGTAAATTGCTGGGCAGGTGGGGGAGGGCTAGTCACCGAACGAAACTGTAAGCCGGACCAGGTGTGAGGAGGGGAGGCGATAAAAAGATTATAGGGTGGAGGAGCGGAGGCTGAGGAAGCATTGGGACCTAGCTCGGCCTGGCGAGGAGCAGCCTGGGGAGGAAGGGAGAGGTCAGATGGGTCTGTAGAAAAGGAAGATTAGAAAGACTCAGCGATGCTTGGGGTTGGGACTGAGGGGACAGGCAGGAGGGAAAGAAGGAAGATTTGGGACGAGTTGCACTGGGCACAGAGACTAGGAAGGGACTGATGTGTAAAAGAATGCCTGGACGTCAGGCACCTCAGACCGTTTGCCTATTTTACGACAAGAATTACTTAGATTTTGCAGGATGGAAAAATTCAAAGTGCCATTTTCTGGCTATTTGGAACTACTGTCAAGTTTGTACTGGGGTCAAGCGGCATTGCAGAAGAAAAGGCATTTAGATTTTAGGTCAGGTGTGAGTTGAAGAGGTTTGAAGTTTTTGAGAACACAGGCTAAGGGAGAAGAAGGAGGAATGGAAGGTGGAAGCTTACCCATAGTGAAGGAGGCAAGCCCAGAGAAAAGAGTAGAGACAGAGAGAAGGGGTGGAGGGTTCTTGCCCTCCAGAAAAGCAGAGAAGGGGTTGGGGCACGGAAATAAGGGATTGGGGTACAGAGATAAGAGGTCAGGGTGCGGAAATAAGGGATTGGGGCACAGAGATAAGAGGTTGGGGTGTGGATATAAGCGATTGGGGGGTTCTTGCCCCCTAGGAAAGCGGGACTTGCCGCTAAGGGTGAAGGAGAAGGGGTTGAGGGGTACTTGCCCCTGCCCCAGGAAAGCAGAGAAGGGGTAGAGACAAGGAGAGAAGGGGTTGGGGTACTTGCCCCTTCCCCAGAAAAGCAGGACTTGCCGCTAAGGGTGAAGGACCAAGGCAGGCGTCCCTGCGTGCTCTGACACCTTTGAAACGTGGGTGAACAATCAGAGAGGCATCCCTGCAATGATTAAACACCAAGGGAAGGCTGCCATCCCAGTCCGTGACCGGCGCCGGAGTTTTGGGTCCACAGATAAAACGTGTCTCCTTTGTCTCTCCCAGAAAATGAAAGGAATTGAAATTAAGAGAAAGGAGAGATTGAAGAGTGGAAAGAAGAAAGTGGTTGAGGGACAGTGAGGGAAGTTGGAGAAGAGAGTAAGAAGAGGCCGCTTACCTGATTTAAAATTAGTGAGATGTTCCTTGGGCTGGTTGGTCTGAGGATCTGAGGTTGTAGGTAGATATTTCTCACGGAGCAAAGAACAGGAGGACAGGGGATTGATCTCCCAAGGGAGGTCCCCCGATCCGAGTCACAGCACCAAATTTCATGCGCTTCCGTGTGAAGAGACCACCAAACAGGCTTTGTGTGAGCAACATGGCTGTTTATTTCACCTGGGTGCAGGCGGGCTGAATGCGAAAAGAGAGTCAGTGAAGGGAGATAAGGGTGGGGCCGTTTTATAGGATTTGGGTAGGTAAAGGAAAATTACAGTCAAAGGGGGTTTGTTCTCTGGCGGGCAGGAGTAGGGGATGCAAGGTGCTCAGTGGGGGTGCTTTTTGAGCCAGGATGAGCCAGGAAAAGGACTTTCACAAGGTAATGTCATCCCTTAAAGCAAGGACCAGCCATTTACACTTCTTTTGTGGTGGAATGTCATCAGTTAAGGTGGGGCAGGGCATATTCACTTCTTTTGTGATTCTTCAGTTACTTCAGGCCATCTGGGCATATATGTGCAAGTCACAGGGGATGTGATGGCTTGGCTTGGGCTCAGAGGCCTGACAGTGAGTTTGGGGTTCTGAGATTTTATTTTTCTTTCACAATCTCAATTAATTCCTATAAACAATTAGAAAAGTAAGATTGCTGATTTTTTTCAAAAATTTTGTTATAGTAATGATATTATTACTTTGTATGTCTTTTTTCATTTTTCCCTGAATTATCATCTAAGCATATCCTCACTTTTATACATTACCATAATTTAAATCTGCCGCAATAATCATTATAAACAAACTCTGAAATAATCTTCTTTTTAAAAACAAAACTAATTTAGCTCAGTTCCACAAAAAGTTTTGAAGCCCCACTATAATTTTGACCCGAAGTTACAAACATAAATTTATATGCTCTCCTTTCCCAAAAAGGGACAGAATGAAAAGAAACGTGAATATTAACTTTTATTGCAATTTCTCCAGACTTCAGACATATCTCCATGTTGTTTCCCAATTTCAGAAGGTTGTTATGCGGAGCTAAATGATCCAAGTGAAATAATGTGTGACTGAACCTTCTTTTCTAGGATACAAGCTGTATAATGTAGAACATGGCTTTGAAAAAGAAAGTCCTCTGAGTCTTCCTAACTGTGGAACTTTGCCAATCTTTTTACACTTTCTTGGCCTCTCTTCTTACATCTAAATACTAGGATCATCATACCTATTTCACAGGTTTTTTATGAGGATAATATAAGATAATCAATATTAAGTTCCCAATTCAGGGCAGGACACCTGGTCATTGTTCAGGCAAACAAATTCCCTCCCTCTAGAGTGGAGGAAGGGACGAAGAGGCTGCTGATCATCAAGAGAAGGGCGAAAGCTGTCAGCAATAGAACATAACAATTTATAAATTTCGTATTTCACAACAAGCTCTGGGACATCCATGGAAATAAACAAACACAGAGTCTGGGGCCTATTCCCAGCCACAGAGTTCAATGCAAATGCACCTGAATGACTAAAGTGTGTTGCAGATGATTCACCAGCCTCTGACTGCAATCTGTGTCCATCTGCTGAACTAGCCTGGCCACTCCACCCAAAAGGGGCCCACATGGACTTCTTCAGATTATCTCTTAGAGGGAATTCTGCTTGCTCTCAAGGTATCTTAAGCAAAGCACTCATTCCAATTATTTAGCAAGATGTGTGAAAGAAGCAGGCAAGTTTTTCCATGCATCCTTAGAGTTCATCAAGATCCTATCCCTCTTTTAGCAAAAGGGAAGACAGATTCCAGGGAAGTGAGGAGTGACTTGTCCAAGGTGTCACAGACAGACAGACAGACATTCAAGTCTCACCTTTTGGTTTTCTTGTTTAACTCTAATGCATTTGTATTTTGCAATGTGCTGCTTAACAGGGTGTTTGCCAAAGTGTTGTCTTTTTCTTGAGAATTAGAAGAGTGATGGGATCATGTCCCAAAACCTTCCAAATACCACTCAGTAGCCTCACATGCTGGGAGTTTTTCTGTATTTGCAGACACATGCAGTCTGACCCTTGCTTGCTAAACTGCCCAATTGTGACTTTTCTCTCTCCATCTGCTGTGTTGTTTGAATCCTTCTTTACAAGAATTCAATTAGACAATAATGCAAATGCATATTTCATCTACTCATGCACATTTAGTAGACATGCTAGTCGATTGTGGCCATCTTTCTCGCTGAGTCTCTAACTTACTTCAAAAAATTGTCTTAATACAGTTCTCTGATTAGTTAACACATGTAGGAATTATTTCAGAAGCCATTCACTATGCAGTCACAGAGAGTAGGGTCTCGACAATGTTCTCTTTTGAAGGAAACTCACAAAAAATATAATTCCAATATAATAGTGCTAGTGGTGAGTCTAGGGCTTTGGCACAAAGCAGGAACTCAACAAATGTTTGTTGAATGAATGAATGACACAACTGAATAAATGTGATAGGCATTAGATAAGTTTTGCCAACTAAGAATTACAGAATTTCCTGGATAGAAAAGGATGGATGGATTGTTAGAGATGTAGAGAGGGGGGAAGCAACTTGACAAGGTTTTTATTAAGTGATTATAATCAAAGCTGAATAACACATGGACTTATTAATAGAAAGAAAAATTAAAACATCAGACACTGAGAAGGGGTGAGGATCCTACAAAATTGATCTCTGTTCATGAAACCAACATGCTTTATATGGATTTTTCATAGTAAATAACTCCTAATAGGTTTCCAAAATGGACACACACACATGCACCCTTTGGATCTCACATATCTGTTTGCTTCATAATTAATGAAACACTGTGAAGTGAAATTGTTCACTGTGCTCTGTTCTTTTTTGTAAAGCTTTAAAATATGCATATTTGTTATATCATAATGTGTTTTTAAAAAGTTTAGCTTGTTATGGCAATTGGTGAAATTGGCAGCTTCTCTTACTTTGAGGTGATTTCAGAAATCATGATGTCCAGGAAAAAGAGAGTGAGGGGAAAATATATTTTTTGGAAAATGCTGCTGCTCTTTCTTAAATACAGTGATGCTTGTTTGTACGTGTGGTAAAAAGCCAATGACTCAGCTTTGCAACAAAACTCACTAAGGAATCCCAGCTGACTCAAAGGTACACTGAAAATCCATGGATGTAGCTGTCTGGTTTTCCCATCAGACAGCCTTTCCACAAATGGTTGCCCTGTTTTGTTTTGTTATTTTAAAATTAATTCTACTTAGAAAACTTTTCTGCTGGATATGCAGAGAAGAGGAATGAATACATTTTAGGCATTTTACATAGAAGACCAATGAGAGAAATGAATGGGAATGTTATGAAGTGAATGATTTAGGGTAGGGGAGTAGACCATTGTTCTGGGAGGGGCACATGTCTTAGGAGAGCTGGCAGCCTGGGTTCTAGGGCAGGCTCAGCTCCCTCTTCTTTGGCAAGTTCCTCCCCCTCAAGAGTCTCCCTCTTTCCATTCCTATGAATAAAGGGATTTGGTACAACTACTTTGGAACATTCTTTGGCATTATCTCCAATAGCAGAAAATATGTATACCATATGATGAAGCAATTCCACTACTAAATATATACCAATAGACATGAGTGAAAATGTGTATTAAAAGATGTATGCACTTTGGGAGACCGAGGAGGGCGGATCACTTGAGGTCAGGAGTTTGAGACCAGCTTGTCCAACATGGTGAAGCCCTGTGTCTACTAAAAATACAACAAAATTACCTGGGTGTGGTGTAGCATGCCTTTAATCCAGCTACTCAAGAGGCTGAGGCACGAGAATTGCTTGAACCCAGGAGGCGGAGATTGCAGTAAGCCAAGATCGATCGCGTCACTGCACTCCAGCCTGGGCAGCAGAGTGAGAATGTGTCTTAAAAAAAAAAAAAAAAAAAAAGGTATGTTCAGGAGCGTTCTTATCTTCAATGCCTATAACAATAATTTAAAAAATGGAAATATGTGTTCATCAACACTAAGCTGTGTTATAGTCATGAAATATTTTATAACAATGAAAAGGAGTATGCAAAAACATTGATGAATCTCAAAATGTTGAAGAAATACACCAGGCACCAGAAAAAGATTCACACTATATGATGCTATTTATGAACAATTCAAAAATAAATAAAGCTAATTTATAGTGAGATAAGTGGTTTGGGATTCTATAGCTCTGGATTGGAATCTTGAATTTGCAAATAAGTGGTTGTAGGGTTTGGATAAGTTGAATTACCTCTCAAAGTCTGTTTCCCCACGCAGCTCGTAAAGCAATTAATATAGTGCCTTTCATATGCAAGGTATGTGGAAAATAATGATTCTCATTATTAGTGTTCCAAACTCTTAGGTCTGCTGTTCCTCTGAAGTATGTTATTCTAGATTTGGAAAGGAATTTCTGTTTGTGGCTTTAGGTCTCTACCATGCCCCCTATCACATACATCTTTGTTCTTCTTTGTTTCTTCAATCCCTCTTTCTATCCTTATGTCTTCCATTTTTGCTTTTTTAATGCCTTCTTCTCTATCTTTCCATCCTGTCTTGCTTTTGATTTTTCTGTGGCTCTCCAAGGACTTCACATCAATACTTGATCCTAAAACTCTTTCAATACTAAAAGCAGTTGCTGACATTTTCTCCTACTTCACTCTTTTCATCTCTCTCTCTCCTGTTTTCCATGTGTATGGTCACAGACACTGCCAGCCACATTAGTGTGTAATCATTAAAATTCCATGTGAATTCATTCCTGGGTTCAAGGCACAGCTGTGCCGTGGCACAAATGTTTCATGTCATGTAATAAAAAGTAATGGCATCAAGAAATCCAGAGGCTCCTCTGACATGTTCTACTTCCATGGAGTACAACTGTAAATCCTTCACTTCTCATTTAGTCAACAGCCTCACTCTCCCCCTACCCATGACAGTCTAAGTCCCGTAAATGTTTTCTTTCTACTGCTCATAGACACTTGTCCTCTATTTTTCCTCTTGCTATACTTTACTACATTTTCCATTCAGCAATGCATTTTTAAAGTATAAATTATGTCCTATAACTCCTTTGTTTAAATCTATCTAACAATATCCCAGTGTACCTAAAGTACATTCAAAGTAAGAACCGTAACCTCCCAAGCCTTTCATGATCCCTCCTCTCAGCACCTACCTATTATCGTTCTCTCTGTTTATTACAATGGTCCTACTTTTGTTTCTCACATATACTACACTTATATTCAACTCAGGATTTTTGCACATACAAAGGCTCTAGTAGGATATTCTTTTCCCAGAATATTTGATGGATAGCTCCTTTTCATCATTCAAGTTTATATATTACATATAGGGAGAGGGTTTTCCCAAGGCCAGTCTAGCTAAAGTAACCTTTACCCCACCCTAAGTTACTGTGGCATCACTCTATTTAATTTTCTTTATAACAACTCTCATTAACCTCATTTATCTGTCTTACTATTTTGTTGTTGTTTACATGCTTGTTGGTGTGGATGTTGTGGGGGCTTAATATAGTTATAGGTGAGGTTGGTTATATTTGTATTACAGGATGTGGTAGAGTAGCTATTCAATAATGTTGTTTCCTGTGGTTTGGGTTTCGTTATGCCTCCTCATGGTCAAATCCAATAACTCCATGATCCTGGCAGAAGAACTGGTGTGTTTAATGAAAGAAATGTGGGCTCAGATGTCTTTCTCTCTTCATCTCTGATTCCAACATAATCACACTCGCTGGCTTCCAGCCACTGGGGCAAGCCATTTTCCAGGCTTGACTTGAGAGTGAGAACTATACAAATTTCTCGACTTTTCTTACAGGCTTTTGCATGATCTTAGCTAACAGTTTTCTGAAAAGGAAGAATATTTTTGGCATGTTTGTAGACTATTAGCCAAAGCATCAACAGCTGAGTTCCAGCTGACTAATTTCTCCCCTGCTTGGTGCATCTAAGACAGAGTAAAAATACTTTTTGTATTTGTTTTGTTTTGTTTGTTTGTGTTCCAATCCCAAAGAACCCAAATACTCCCCAAAACAGCATGGAGAGATGACAATTGCTGCTAGTGTATTGTAGAAAATGTATAGAAGAAACACTGAATACTTAATAAATGTGTGTACCCCCCAAAAATTTGAACTTCCTTTATAAAAAGTTTCAATCCTATGTTTATTGATTATTTATTTTGTAAACAAACTCTTAGGCAGAGACTACACATAATAATCCCTTCAAACCCTCTTCCCTTCTTTAAAAGCAGGAATAGGTTTAGAAAACACACACACACACACACACACACACACACACACAAACACACACACAGAGACAAACACATACACGCACACAACAGATGGGCACTGGGATGTAGCTAAAACATTTTAGAATTTGATCTGAACTCAAGTCTTGGTTCAACACATAGTAGCTGTTTGATATTGACCACACATTTAACCTTCTTGAGCTACAGCTTCCTGTCTAGTACAAGACATGTAATAACTGCTTTACTTTTTTTCTTGTTGTTGAATGCAAAATGAATTTGTTAAATCCTTAGGAATTCAATAAATGTCAGTTTTCTTCATCAACCAAATCACCTTAACAATGATCTTTGCTAAGAGAGCAGTCAAGTGAAAGAGTTAGGTCTTTCTGATGCCCCTTAAGGAACACAATTGCTCTACTAAAATGATTGCAGCTCTTCTTCTGTTACTCTGGAGAGTATTAACCTCAGCTGAGTGCAGCTTGTGGGGTAAATACACACCCACCAAGGAGTAGGATGAGTTTATAAACAATTATGCAAATATGGCTTCATGCTTTTCTCCAGACATAACCACAAGATGAGTACAGATTAATCACTGTGGACACTGTTGGCAAACAGAGCATTTCATTCTGTTCTTCCTGAGAAATAGGAATTAGTGTCTAAGATTGAGACTCATTTCAGCTAAACAAGCAGGGTGGAAATGAGAGGTGGCTGAATTGTCTCTGTTCTCTTTCAAGTAATTCTCAAAGAAGAATCTGAACAGTTTAGCATGAAGGAAAAATGCTGGACTAATGGAGATGGGGGTAATCCTGAGCATTTGGGAGTTCCTACTATTCTGTGGTAAATATCAATACAAATTCCCATCCAGTACTGTTGGTCAAAATTAAGCCCCCAGACTACCTGTATCTTTTATCTCTTAGATCTCAATGGAAGCAAGAATCCTGCATAAGGGCCAAAAAGACACTTCTACATATGTGATTATCTATTAACCGAATAGGGTGGAGGTAGAAGGGATCATTTATATTTATATACAAATATAACATTAAATGCCAACTATTGAGTGGCCATGGTGAGTTCATCTCATTTCTGTTTTTTTGTTTGTTTTTGTTTTTGTTTTTTTTTTGAAACGGAACCTTGCTCTGTCACCCAGACTGTAGTGAAGTGACAGGATCTCAGCTCACTGCAACCTCCACCTCCCGGGTTCAAGGGATTCTCCTGTCTCAGCCTCCCGAGTAGTGGGGATTACAGGTGCACGCCACCACGCCTGGCTTATTTTTGCATTTTTAGTAGAGATGGGGTTTCACCATGTTTGTCAGGCTGGTCTCGAATGCCTGACCTTGTGATCTGCCTGCCTCAGCCTTCCAAAGTGCTGGGATTACAGGCATGAGCCACCATGCCTGGCCTCATTTCTGTGTTTTAATGAGCTTCAGTTCTCTCCTTTGCACAATGAGAATAAATTATACGAAAGTTGTCATTTAAGAGAAGAGACTTTTTTATAATTAATATTCTTATCAAAGCCACACTCATTTATTTGAAAAAGAATTTGACTTAATTTACTTGTTCAACAAATTTTTATTTAGTACCTATTATGGATCCAGTTCATCTAGGCACTTGCAATAAATTATTAAATTAAAGATACAAAAATCATTGCATTCATGGAACTTATATTCTAACATAGTTCACAGATAAGAAACACAGTATATTTATATGTAGAGAGAGATAATTTATTTGTACATATATATAATTTGTTTATACATATACACATGCATATAAACACATAATGTATAATACTATAAGTTTGATGAAACAAAATCTTGAACAAGAAGACTTCTTAAGGTGATGTTTAAATCAGTTGAGTCCATGAAAATATAAAGATACAAACAGACAAATATCTGTGTTGAACACATTGAATTCATTGTGCCTTTGTTTCTCCATCTGTCTAATAATAAAATTTATCAACTTTAGTAAAATTTCAAAACACAAAATCAGTGTACAAAAATCAATAGCATTTCTGGGGTACATAAAATATTTGGATACAAGCATGCAAAACATAATAATCACATCATGGAAAATTGGGTATCCATCCTTTCAAGCACTTATGCTTTGTATTACAAGCAATCCAATTACATTCTTTTCATTATTTTTAAATGTATAATTAAATTAGTATTGACTATAGTCACCCTGTTGTGCTATCAAATACTAGGTATCCACAAAAATTTTTAAAAATCGAAAATAAAAATCAGTAGCATGTCTATACACCGATAATGTTCAAGCTGAGAGCCAAATCAAGAATGCAATCTCATTTACAATACACACACACATACCTAGGAATACATGTAGCCAACAAGGTGAAAGATCTCTATAAGGAGGACTACAAAGCACTGCTCAAAGAAATTGTAAGTGATGCAAACAAATGGAAAAACATTCCATGCTCATGGATTGGAAGACTCAATATCATTAAAATGGCCATATTGCCCAAAGCAATCTACAAATTCAATGCTATTATTATCAAACTACCAATGTCATTTTTCACAAAACTAGAAAAATACTATTCCAAAATTCATATAAAACCATAAAGAGCCTGAATATCCAAAGCAATCCTAAACAAAAAGAACAAAGCCAGAGGCATAATGTGGCCTTATTTAAAACTATACTATAAGGCTACAGTAACCAAAACATCATGGTACTGGTACAAAAACAGACACAAAGACCAATGGAACAAAATAGAGAACCCAGAAATAAAACTGCACACCTATAGCCATCTGATCTTCAACAAAGACAACAAAAAATGAGCAATGGTGAAAGGACTCCCCATTCAATAAATGGTGCTGGGATTATTTGGCTACTCATTTGCAGAAGAACAAAATTGGACCCCGGCCTGTCATCATATACAAAAATTAACCAAAGATCCATTAAATATGTAAATGTAAGACTTTAAAATATAAGAATTCTAGAAGAAAACCTAGGAAACACCATTCTATACATAAGCCTTGGGAAATAATTTATGAGTAAGTTCTCAAAAGCAATTCTAACAAAAACAAAAATTGACAAAGGGGACCTAATTAAAGAGTTTCTGTGCAACAAAAGAAACTGTCAACAGCATAAACAGATAACCTACAGAATGGGAGAAAACATTCACAAACTAAGCATCTGACAAAGATCTAATATCCAGAATTTATAAGGAATTTAAAAAACTCAACAAGCCAAAAACAACTTTATTTAAAAATGGGCAGAAGACATGAAGGTATACTTTTCAAAAGAAAACATATGAACAGCCAGTAAACATGATAAAATGTACCATATCACTAATCATCAGAGGAATGTGAATCAAAATCACAATGATACACCATCCCACACTAGTCAGAATGACTATTATTAAAATATCAAAAAATATAGACACTAGTGAGCTGTGGAGAAAAGGGAATACTTATACACTGTTAGTGGGAATATAAATTAGTTCATCCCCAGTGGAAAGCAGTTTGGAGATTTCTCAAACAGAACTACCACTCAACCCAGCAATCCCATTACTGGGCATACATCCAAAAGAAAAACGAATTATTCTACCAAATGGATACATGTACTCGCATGTTCATCACAGTTCTATTCACAATAGCAAAGACATGGAATCAACCTAGGTGCTCATCAATGGTAGGCTGGATAAAGAAAATGCAGTACATATATACCACAGAATACTACACACCCATAAAAAGAACAATATTGTCATTTGCAGCAACATGGTTGCAGCTGGAGGACATTATTCTAAGCAAATTAACACAGGAACAGAAAACCAAATATAACGTGTTCTGACTTATAAGTGGGAGTTAGACATTGAGTATCCATGGGTATAAAGATGGCCACAATGGAAATTGGAGACTACTAAAGTGAGGAGAGACAGGAGGCAAGAGCTGGAAAACTACCCACTGGGTACTATTCATTCATACCCCAAACCTCAGCATCACACAATATACCGAGGTAAAAAACCTGCACATGTACATGTACCCCCTGAATCTAAAGTAAAATTTGTAAAAAAAAAAAAAAAAAGGAATTTGTAATCAATTTCAGTCATAAAAGTAAATCCAACATACTAAATTTTTAAAAAGTGTCAGTTTCTTCAAAGCAAGCAAATAGAATATTTAAGTTACTCTGGAGGAAATGTGTAATAAAACCACATCAGTACAACTTCAGTAGGAAGATAGTTGACATCTATCTGTGTTCTGGTCTCTCTCTAGGTGTAATTAGCTCATATATCTCAGATGAGAACTAACCTGATCTCAGTTTCTCAGTAGGCTTTTTTTTTTTTTTTTTTGCAAAGTTGAGATTATATCTATTCGCCTTTTTTTTTTTTTTTTTGCAAATTTGAGGTTATATCTGTTCTACCTATCTTAAAGATATCTATGAGAACCGTGTGGCATAAATGCACTCTAAAGTATGTATAAATTGTATGGAAGCAAGATGATTTAAGATAAATTATACATTTCTCATTAGATTGCAAGCATAAATAATATTTGTTTAACTAATGAGATCTCACATATTATAAGCAGTCTGTATCTCTTCAAAAATGTCTTATAAATTTACTGTTATAAGTAAGTACAGAAGCTCTTCTACTTAAAAAATTTCAAATTGTAAGTGTTTATAGATTTTAATAAAGCTGCTCATGAGAACAAAAGCAGATTGACTGTACCCACCACAAGCAGATAAAAACAGCATCATAAACTCTTTTTAGTCTCATCTATCCTTTTTTATTAGTTTATGTCATATTAAGTATTGAAACTACTAAAATTTTACAAACATTCTATGATAAAGAAAGACAAAATGCAAACATCTTTGGATATATTTTTAAGAGAGTTAACAAGAAATAAGAAGATTTAGAATTAATATTGTCAACGTCTACAGTTTTCCTGTGAAACTTAATTTTACATAGGTTTTGAGCAATATTTTAGACATGTTAATGCACTTGTGTGCAGCTATTTAGAATGTAGACTTTTCTAAAAGACTCATCTGTGCTCACTTTTATGACTGTTGTGAGAATCAAGGACATGCAGAAATAAGTAGTGTTTTTAGGCTGAGTGATGGCTTCCCCAATATGTCCTTGGCCTAATCCCTAGAACCTGTGAATGTAACCTTATATAGTTACAGGGATGGTGCAAATGGGGTTAAGAGTTAACCAGTTAAGAGTCTTGAAATGGGTAGATTATTTTATCCTGTATTATCTCAGTGGGGTCTAAATGTAATCACAAGTGTCCTTATAATAGGGAGGTGTAGGGAAATTTGACTACAAACACAGGAGAGAAGGTGATGTGATGACAAAATAGAGCAATTTGAAGATGCTAAGCTGCTTGCTCTAAAGATAAAGGGGCAAAAGGCCAAGGAATGCAAGGAATGCAGCTCTAGAAGCTGAAAAGACCAAGGAAAATGATTTTTCCCCCAGAGCTTCCCCAGGGAGAAGGACCATGCTGACACCTATGTTTGGACTCAGTGAAACTGAATTTGGGTTTCTGACATTCATAACTACACAGAATAAATGTGTGTTATTTGGAGCCACCAAGTTTGTGATAATTTGTTTTAGCAGTGATAGGAAATTAGTAGAGTGTGAACCTCAAATTATTGGTGACATCCCTCCAAAAGATACAATTTTATACAGCTAACGTTGTGCTGTTCTGTGTTAAACAACATTCAGATTCACTGGGGCCAGAATCTTGAGATCATCTGTTACATTTTCAGTATATCAAAGGACAGAAAGTTTCTTTTCTGGAAACAGATGAAACCAGATTAACATTCTGGAACTACCCAGAAAGATATCATTTTTGATAAATTGCTCAAGTTTTTGCCTCAATGTTCTCATCTATTAAAGGGAGCTTATAATAATATCTTTATTCATAAGGCTTAAGTTATGATAAAACAATACAGGCTTAGCACATAGCACAGTTTTGGCATCTATTATGTTTCAGGAACATATTAACTGTTATTGCTCTTGATGGCAGCAAACCCTGAGCCAGGAGGCAGCAATGTATTGGAAAGATCAACATCTGCCCAAGATAAAAGCGAAGTTGTGGCAAGCACTAAGTGTAAACTCACAGTAAAAAGAAAAAGATGTCAATTACCTTGATTATTGTAATTTATTTGTTTAAAAACCTGCCGAGATGACCCAACACTCTTTGTTCTTACTCCTGTGTGTTAATATAAACTCCAGTCCCATAGTTGTCAATGCAGATCCCAGGTGACCACACCTGTGTTGAAATCATCTTGGTAAGAATTATCTTTCAGAGTTGGGGACCTGGGCTCTATCACTGACTAGGAAGATGGACATTGGCGAGTTATTTTTCCATTATGTACCTCAGTTTTCTTACATGTAAAGTGGAGTATCATGAAGTTATCTGTGTCAGTGGGCTATTTTAGAGGTTGAGATCTATTTGGGTACATAGAATTTAGGAATTTAGGAAACTATTGTGCCTAGAATATAGCAAGTCCTCAAAAGATGACAGTTATGGACAGTATTAATTGTTAGACACTGGTGTCGGTCCATTTTGTGCTACTATAACAAAATACTGAGATCAAACAATTTATAGTGAACAAAAATTTAGTGTCTCATGATTCCGAGTCTTGAAAATCCAAGATTTAAGGAGCTTGTATTTGACATAGGGCTTCTTGCTATGTCATCTCATGGTTGGAGGACAAAGAATAGGAGATTGAAACCAAGAGATTGAATTTGCAGACTCCAATGCTATTATAATCAGCACTAATCCATTCGCATCTTGCATTAGGCTCCACCTCCCAATACTGTTGCACTGAGGATTAAGTTTCCAGCACATGCTTTTGGGGAGAAACATTCAAATAATAGCTCTGGGGATATAAAATGCGTTAAGATTTGTGAAATCTCCTCAAGGATTTTGTAATTCCAGGCATTAAACTTTGAGTGCTAACAGTAAATGCATAGATAGATAGTTGATAGATAGATAGATAAAATCACTCAAAGTGGCCTAAATACTAGACTACCTCTGTAGAAATATAATGTGAGCCACATGTAATGTTTCAACGTTTTTAGCAGCTGCCTTAAAATAAAGTAAAAGGAAACCAATGAAATAGTTTTAATGATATATTTTATTTGCTCAATGTCTAAAATATTATTCAATATCATTAACATAAAAATACGAAGGTAATATCTTATATTTTTTCATATTTTGTCTTTAAAATCCTGTGTGTTTTTATGCTTAAATAAATCTGTCATGTTTCCCTGGGTCTGTCTAGGTTTTAGCCCTGGAAGTCCCTCATGCAGGAAAACCCCTCAGTTTCAGACAAACTAGGCTGGTTAGTTACTGCATCTTTTTTTTTTTTTTTTTTTTTTTTTTTTTAACTATACTTTAAGTTCTGGGATACATGTGCAGAATGTATAGGTTGTTACATAGGTATACATGTCCCATGGTGGTTTGCTGCACCCATCAACACGTCATCTGCATTAGGTATTTCTCCTAATGCTATCCCGCCCCTTATCCCCCACCCCACCACACGCCCTGGTGTGTGATGTTCCCCTCTCTGTACCCATATGTTCTCATTATTCAACTCCAACTTATGAGTGAGAACATGTGGTGTTTGGTTTTCTGTTCCTGTGTTAGTTTGCTGAGAATGATGGTTTCCAGCTTCATCCGTGTCCCCGCAAAGGACACGAACTTATTCTTTTTTATGGCTGCATAGTACTCCATGGTGTGTATGTGCCACATTTTCTTTATCCAGTCTAACATTGATGGGCATTTGGGTTGGTTCCAAGTCTTTGCTATTGTGAATAGTGCTGCAATAAACATGTGTGCATGTCTCTTTATAGTAGACTGACTTATAATCCTTTGGGTATATACCCAGTAATGGGACTGCTGGGTCAAATGGTATTTCTAGTTCTAGATCCTTGAGGAATCACCACACTGCCTTCCACAATGGTTGAACGAATTTATACTCCCACCAACAGTGTAAAAGCATTCCTATTTCTCCACATCCCCTTCAGCATCTGTTGCTTCCTTACTTTTTAATAATTGCTATTCTAACTGGCATGAGATGTTATTTCATTGTGGTTTTGATTCACATTGCTGTAATGACCAGTGATGATGAAGTTTTTTTCATATGTTTATTGGCCACATTAAATGTCTTCTTTTGAAAAGTGTCTGCTCATATCCTTTATCCACTTTTTGATGGGGTTGTTTGTTTTTCTCTTGTAAAATTGTTTAAGTTCCTTGTAGATTTTGGATATTAGCCCTTTGTCAGATAGATTGCAAAAATTTTCTCCCATTCTGTAGGTTGCCTGTTCACTCTGATGGTAGTTTCTTTTGCTGTGTAGAAGCTCTTAGTTTAATTAGATTCCATTTGTCAGTTTTGGCTTTTGTTGCCATTGGTTTTGGTGTTTTAGTCATGAAGTATTTGCCCATGCCTATGTTCTGAATGGTATTCCCTAGTTTTTCTTCCAGGGTTTTTATGGTTTTAGGTCTTATGCTTAAATCTTTAACCTATCTTGAGTTGATTTTTGTGTAAGGTGTAAGGAAGGGGTCCAGTTTCAGTTTTCTGCATATGGCTAGCCAATTTTCCCAGCACCATTTATTAAATAGGGAATCCTTTCCCCATTGCTTGTTTTTGTCGGGTTTGTCAAAGATCAGATGGTTGTAGATGTCTGGTGTTATTTCTGAGACCTCTGTTCTGTTCCATTGGTCTATATATCTGTTTTGGTACCAGTACCATGCTGTTTTGGTCACCGCAGCCTCGTAGTATGGTTTGAAGTCAGGTAGCATAATGCCTTCAACTTTGTTCTTCTTGCTTAAGATGGTCTTGGCTATATGAGGTCGTTTTTGGTTCTGTATGAAATTTAAAGTAGTTTTTTTCTAATTCTGTGAAGAAAGTCAATGGTAGCTTAATGGGAATAGCAATGAATCTATAAATTACTTTGGGCAGTATGGCCATTTTCACAATATTGATTCTTCCTATTCATGAGCATGAAATGTTTTTCCATTTGTTTGCATCTTCTCTCGTTTCCTTGAGTGTGGTTTGTAGTTCATCCCTTGTATTCCTAGGTATTTTACTTTCTTTGTAGTAATTGTGAATGGGAGTTTGCTCACAGAGCAGAACTAAAGGAAATAGAGACATGAAAAACCCTTCAAAAAATCAGTGAATCCAGGAGCTGATTTTTTGAAAAGATTAACAAAATAGATAGACTGCTAGCCAGACTAATAAAGAAGAAAAGAGAGAAGAATCAAATAGACAGAATAAAATATGATAAAGGGGATATCACCACTGATTCCACAGAAATACAAACTACCATCAGAGAATGCTATAAGCACTGCTACGCAAATAAACTAGAAGATCTAGAAAAAATGGATAAATTCCTGGACACATACACCCTCCCAAGACTAATCCAGGAAGAAGTCAAATCCCTGAATAGACCAATAACAAGTTCTGAAATTGAGGCAGTAATTAATAGCCTACCAACCAAAAAGAGCTCAGGACAAGATGGATTCACAGCCGAATTCTACCAGAGGTACAAATAGGAGCTGGTAGCATTCCTTCTGAAACTATTCCAATCAATAGAAAAAGAGGGACTCCTCCCTAACTCATTCTATGAGGCCAGCATCATCCTGACACCAAAACCTGGCAGAGACACAACAACAACAACAAAATTTCAAGCCAATATCCCTAATGAACATCGATGCGAAAATCCTCAATAAAATACTGGCAAACCAAATCCAGCAGCACATTAAACAGTTTATCCACCACGATCAAGTCAGCTTTATCCCTGGGATGCAAGGCTGGTTCAACATACGCAAATCAATGAATGCAATCCATTACACAAACACAACCAATGACAAAAAACACAAGATTATCTCAATAGATGCAGAAAAGGCCTTTGATAAAATTCAACACCCCTTCATGCTAAAAACACTCAATAAACTGGGAACGTATCTTAAAATAATAAGAGCAGTTTATGACAAACCCACAGCCAATATCATACTGAATGGGCAAAAGCTAGAAGCATTCCCTTTGAAAACCGGCACAAGACAAGGATGCCCTCTCTCACCACTCCTATTCAACAGAGTATTGGAAGTTCTGGCCAGGACAATCAGTCAAGAGAAAGAAATAATGGGTATTCAAATAAGAAGAAAGGAAGCCAAATTATCTCTCTTTGCAGATGACATGATTGTACATTTAGAAAACCCCATCGTCTCAGCCCCAAAACTCCTAAGCTGATTAGCAACTTCAGCAAAGTCTCAGGATACAAAATCAATGTGCAAAAATCATAGTTACTGCATCTTTGCAGCTCATCTCAATTTGAACACCAAATTGTCATCAGAAATACCTAATCTATATTTTGATTCCATCAAATTTACAGAGAAAAACATTCACATATCAAAATCCTTTCAAAAGTACTTAAAAGATTGTTAATAACTGAATAGAGCATCCATCTTTAACTTTAAATTAATTAACATTTTAAAATATAGTTCCTCAGTCCTACTAGATAGATTTCAAATGTTCAAAGCTTACATATCTAGTGGTTACTGTATTGGGCAGTGAGGTTCTCTCGTTATAAAATTACATACCAAATAGTCTATGCCTTCTGGAGGTTCATTCTCCCATATAATTCAAGTTTCATCCCAGAATTGAGCTGAGGAATGTATTGTCATATTGTATACATTACTGAGTATTACATTATCCTATAATTACAGCACCCTGGGGAGATGTGACCACTGCCTTAAAGGTGTAATATTATATACTGCAACTTTATTAAGACTTAAGAAATATTTATTTGAAACGTATTTGGAAGGAATGGAGTGACAAAGGCAGAATAGTTGGAAAGCAGGAGTGAAAGAAAACTGTGAGGAAAGTACATACAAAATAAATAAAGCACGTGGCTATTGATCCACTCTATTGTGGAAATACAAAGCTATGCTGAGAGCCGGGAGATCTGGCTCAATGGTAGGCATGCTAAAGACCATGAGTTAGTCCTTCTCCTTTCTTGACCTGACTTCTCCACACTTCTAGCAATATCATGGATGGAGCCTTCAGAGACCCGCTGTTATTATGAACACATGGAAATGTGTTATAACAACAATGATATAGTAATGATATTGCAACAGTGGTATAGCGATACATAGCTAAGACTGAAAGAAAGAAGCACAAATCCTGAAGGGTAAGAATTAAGAGATGGATCTAAGCCAAATGCATACTCATTCAAGTTAATGCCATAGAGGTTAAAGACATAGCAGACAAAATGGAAATTGAATGCTCCTGTAGGAACAAAAAGTGTGGAATTAGGATTGTAGGGAACTGGAAGCTGTATATAGATGTTCTACATAACTCCAGGGCCATGAAAGATTGTAGAATCTATGTTATAAGGGGAAATTTTTTTCCCCACAAGTACAGAAAAGTTGCAAGAAAGTTTGTCTTCTGCCTATGACTAATGGGAAGAAAACATGTATCTAGAGTTCGAAATTGAAAAAATTAACATGCACCATACATACATATTGGGTCAGAATTTGATATTCGTACACAGTTGGGATCACAAATGAAAAAAAAATGCGAAATTTACTCCAAGACCATTGTAAGCCCCATGGTTTCAGAATACACTAATGAAAGAAACCACACTGTGGAGACACTTCCAAAATCCAGAGGATATGTGCCTCCCATTGACAGCAGGGGATGGAGTGTGGCGGAAGGACCACCACTGAAAGTAAACACATAGTCCAAAATTACAAATTACTTGAGGAAATAATCCACCATGTGGGAGATCAACAGAAACAACAAAGCAGAAAATTAATACCCCAAGAAGTTGAAATCAGAGAACAGAAGAATGAAGCTATCAAATAAATACATTTTAAATGATTAAAGAGAACACAGACAGAAACAAATTAAAGTGAAATAAGAAATTATAAAAATATAATTTAAAAAATAGATACTATAAAGACAAAATATATGGTCTTAATTTTTTTAAAACATTACTGACTGGGCTAAACAGTAGATTAGTCATAGTTGAAGAGAGAAGTAAAGAACAAGAAGATTAAAAAGATAAATTACCTAGATTGAAGTACAGAGATATAAATAAATGTAAACACATTTAAAATAGGTTAAGAATTATGAAGTAAGATATTAGAAGTTTCAATACTTTATTTTGTTAATATTAACCATATAAACCAATGTACAGCAAGTAGTAGTACTCAAAAAAATATTTGTTGAAAAGATGAATGAATGAATGAAGTTTCAGAAAGAGAAGATACATGATGCATGGTAATGGAGTGAAAATTAAAGATAAAAGAGCTGTTAATTTTTCAGAACAGAATAAAGATATGAGGTATCAGTTGAAAGAGATGTAACCAGTCCTGAAAAGTAAAAAAATCAAAATAAACACACAGACAAAACATAGTGAAACTGTAGACATAGTAAGAATTGTAAAAAGCAAAGGAAAATGCACAATAGCAAAAATAAAAACAAAAATATTAGATGTTTGGTAGACTTCTTATCAGTAATAATAGGGGCCAGAATGAAACAATATCTATACAAAGGAAAGTACTTTTAAGCTGGTGATTCTATTATACCAGAATATCATTCAAGATTGATAGTAAGGTGAACAAATATTCAGAAAAGACTAAAGACTTATAGACCATCACAGAAAGTGTTGCTAAAGAATGTATTTCAGAAAGAAGCAAGTTATACTAAAAAGGAATTAGAGATGTGCAAGTTATAGTGGTGAGGAAAGAAATAAGTAGACATGTAAGTAAATCTAAATAAACAGAAACAGTAACAATAATAACTAAATTGAGGTAATTAGAAACAATGTTCAAAGAAAGTATTCCAAACAATAAATAACATGAATGACAGGGTGGCAGTGTGAACAAGAGAAAATATTCTAGGCTCTTTGAATTGTTTGGCAAGTTTGGAGAGATTGACAAAACTGACTTTGTTGTCATGTATGCATCCTAACATTTAAACACCAAAAAAAAAAAAAAAAAAAGAGAAAGAAAGAAAAAAGAAATGCGACACACACACACTAATTGAAAGATAAATAAGCATCTCAAATATATTTTTAAAATGTTTCATCAACTAGGCCACACAAGAAGTCTAAGCAAATTTCAAAGAGTTAATATCATAGACCATGTTGTTTAACCACACTGGAAAAAAAAAAAATCAATAACAAAAAGATAACTAAAGTCTTTCATTTGAGAGACTAAAAGTCAATTAAATTGCTGATTAAGAATGGATAAGGAAAACTAAGTTATTTAAATCTGAATTACCATAACAACATTGCTAAATCTTATGTGATATGGCTAAGGAAGTTACTAGGGCCAATTTATTGCCTTACTTAAGAAAAGAAGATAATACTCTAGAAACCCGTACCTCACCATTACAATATATCCTTGTAACAAACCTGTACACTTACCCTATGAATCTATGAAAATGTTAAAAAGGAAAAAATTGGATTACATTATTTAAAAAGAAAAGAAGGCTAAACATAGATGAAAAATGATTAAATTAAATATTAGAAAAAACCGTAGAGGGAAGAAAATATGAGCAAAAAATGAGAGAAATGAAAATAAAGCAGCACATAATAGAACCAAACTGACTCAAGAAAAAAGGGAAAGAATGGATAAAACTCAAATCATTACAGAGATTAAATAAAAAATACATCTATATCTAAACATGCACACACTCCAACTGAACCTAAACATTTGCAGAAAAGATCAGAACTATAAGGCATATGCAATGCCTGTCTTATATACTACCTATTCCAGAGAATGTTGAGCAAAAAACATTATGCTCCCAGTCATTTCTTACTAAGATTAAAATTCAAAACTGGATAAGAGTACTACAAGAAAATTTAAAACAATATCACTTAGAAAGATTTATATAAAATCCTAATGAATGACTATCAATTGTTATTCAGTATTTCCTGGATATTTAATAATCAGATAAAAGTTATCTCAAAAATGAAATTTTAACTGTTAAAAAAAATCTGTTACTTTTAACTCCTACCATTAAAAGGCAAAAGGAGTAAAAACATATGGTCTTCTCAATAAATGTAAAAATGTGTTTAATGTAATAATCTCCATCCATGGTATACATAACTCTCAGCAACATAAGAAAATTAAAAAGCATTTTACAGATAAATTTATCCAGCAAAAAAACCAGCAGCAAAACTACTCAATAGAGACATTAAAAGCATTCCCTGTAAGGTCAGGACCAAGGCAGCAATGCCTGTTATTGCTGCATCTCTTAAATATGACATGGATGTCCAAGCTAGCACAATAAGATGAAAGGCAGAGAGAGAGACTGAGAGAGAAACAGAGAGACAGAGAGGAAGGAAGGAAGGAAGGAAGGAAGGAAGGAAGGAAGGAAGGAAGGAAGGAAGGAAGGAAGGAAGTAGGGGAGGGAGGGAGGGAGGGAGGGAAAGAATTTGAAAGGGAGAAATGATGATTGGTATTTCTACAAAATAATTTATACATAAGAATTCCAGGAGAATGTCTATATTTGAAATATTAAGAATTTAGACTGTTGGGTATAATATCAAAACATATGAATTATCAGTGTTCACAAGGAATAGTAGCAATTTATTAGAAAACATAAATGTCTTAAAGATGCAATTTATGATAGTAACATCAGCTATACAATATGAAGAAATAAGTCCAGAAAAAGATTTACATGAATTTTAAATAAGAACAAAATTATTAAACTTGTTGAAGTACACAACAGAACATTTGAGTATCAGGAGATTTATCACGTCGAAAGACATAAAAATGCAATGTTAATTTCTCCCAAATTATTGTACGAAATCACCAATTAATCTATAGTAATAAGTGCAATTTTAATAACAATCTCAACAATATGTATGAGTCTGCGTGTGTGCATGCATGTGTACATGTATGTCTGTGTGTGTGTGGCATGTGTGTGTGTGCCGCTTGTGCTTGCATGTGTGTGTGACCTGACAAGTTGTTCCAAATGATTGTATGAAAGATTTTAAGGCTAAGACTAGCCAAGAAAAGTTTGAATAATAATATAAGAGACAATTGCTTGGCAGACTATTAATAATTTATATAAGGCTATGGTAATTAAAATAATGTTTAATTAACTGAGGGGTAGACAAACTAACAATAGCATCAACTTTAGAGCTCAGAAACAGACACATTTATATATGAGAAATTGCTATATGAGAAATGTGGTGTTTACAATTAGTGTGAAAATAATTTGTTCTTCTGTAAACAGTGTTAAGTCAATTGACTATTCTTAGGCAAAAAATAAAATAAAATAATTTCCTACCTAATTCCAGATGAATTAATAATCAAAATAAAATTATTCCCTACCTAATTCCAGAAGAATTAACAATCTAAATGTGAATAGCATAACTTTAGAACATTTAACAAATAAGAAATTATTTCTATGACTTCAGGGTAAGGTGTATATAACAAATGAAATGCTAAACTTATGCAATGAAAAATACAAAAATTACTGAAATAAATCAAAGATCTAAATAAATGGAGAAATAGTTTATGTTCACAGATCTGACGACTCAATATTGTTTAGAAAGCAGTTCTTAAGTTTTGGTGTATGGATTCAACACATTTTCTGTCAAAATTTCAGCAGATTTTTAAATTTTTTTAGAAAAAATAACAGTTGACAAACTGAACCTAAAGATTATATGAAAATACAAAGAAATAAGAAAAGCCAAAATAAATTTGTAACAGAACAAGATAGAGGACTTAAACATCTTGATTTCAACTTATATAACTTACAGAACACAATACAGCGTGACAGTTGTTTGAGGATAACCAATGGAAAAAAACTGAGAGTACAAAAATTAATTTTTACTTTTATGGCTAATTGAATTTTGAGAAAGGTACCAAAGCAATTCAACTGCAGAAAGATAATCTTTTCAGCCATGTTTCTGAGAAATGAAATAATGAATTTTCACCCTTATCCTATACCACTCACAAAAATTAACCCTAATTAAGTAATCATAGATTAATTAATCATAGGTCTAATTAATCATAGATCTAAATGCAAGAGGTAAAACTATTAAACTTCTAAAAGAGAACTTTTGGGGAAATGATGTTAGGTTGAACAAAGTGTTCTTAGATATAATATCAAAAGCATAATCCATATAAGAAAAAAGTATTAAATTGGACTTTATCAAAATTAAAATAATTTTTACTGCAAAAAAATATTAAGAGGAATATACAAGTCACAGACTTGGAGAAAATATTTGCAAATCCTACTTGCTGAAGGACTTTTATTTACAATATATAAGGAGGTCATATAATTCAATAATAAGACAAACAATCCAATACAATGGCAAAATATTTGAAGATATATTTTATCAAATAAGATAAACAATGGCCAAATAGCTCATGAAAAGATGCTCAGCATCATTAATCAATAGGGAAATACAAATCAAAACCACAATAGGATAATGCTGCATATCCACTACAATGTCTATGATCAAAAAGACAGACAATAATGAGTGTTGATGAGGATGCAGAGAATGGAAATCTTCATACAATGCTGGAAATGTAAGATAGTACAGCCACTTTGAAAAACAATTTGACAGTTTCTTAAAAAGTTAAACATATACTTACCATATGACCCAGAAATTCTACCCTTAAGTATATACTCAAAATAAATAAAAACATTTGTCACATAGACCTGCATGTGAATTTTCGTAATAACATTATTAGTAAGAGCTCAAACATAAGAACAATGAAAATGTCTATCAACTGGTGAATGGATAAACAAAATGTGATATAGCCATATGATCAAATATTATTCAGCAATAAAAAGGAACAAACCATTGATAAGAGGGACAAAGTGGATAACCTCAAAAACATTCTAAGTGGAAAAAGACAGACACAAAAGACTGCATATTATATGGTCTATTTATATGAAAGTTTCAGAAAAGGTAAGCCTCCACAGACAGAAAATGGACTAGCAGTGGCCTTGGGGCATAAGGAGGAACTGTAAACTGAATGCAAACAGACACAAGGTTTCTCTTTAGAGTGATGGAAATGTTCTAAATCTGAATAGTGGTAATGGTTGCACAACTACATGAAGTTACTAATAATTATTGAATTTTACCCTGAAAAATAGGTGAATTTTATGGCATGTAATGTGTACTTCAATAAAGCTGTTAAGCAAACTCATAAAAATGACAATTATTATGAGAAAGATGATCAAATTTGGTCTTACAATATTTTTAAATAATGTAAATTATTTGATATTCATTAAATTTGATATGTATTAAAGTGTAAAACTAGTGTATAGCACACAGAGAAGCACATATAAAAACATGGTGTCATTTTCAAGGATTCTCATCTTCCTTTCCCATGTTCTAGGGAAGCAGAATTGCATAGTGGAAAAAAGATTTGGAAGTATAGGTCTAAGTAATTTCATTTAAGAGCTGTATAAATTATCAATTACCAGAGTTTCATATTTCCCACCTGTAAAATGGTCTCACATCCTTCTAACAGTAAAGAGTAAGTGATGCAATATATAACATAAATATTTTGAAAACTGTAGAGTACTGTACAAAATACTAAATTGCAATTGCTACCATATTGGGATACATTCTATGTGCCAGGGATTTTTTTTAGGCATTTTACATTGTTATCTCACTAAATGACAAAAAAATAAAACTTATGAGATAAGTAACAACCTCTTAGTACAATGAGGCTGAAAACTAACTTCTTCAAGTTTATGAGACAATGGATAGCAGGGATTGGATTCGGCTTAGATTTGCTGCAGTGAGAACCCTAACTACAAGAGTGCAGCCTCTATGAAGAACAGTATAGAAATTCCTCAAAACTACAAATATAACTGCTGTATGATCTAGCAATCCCACTAGTGGATATTTATTCAAAGGAAAGGAAAACAGTATATTGAAGAGATGTCTGCAGCCTCATGCTTATTGCAGCAGTTTTCACAATAGCCAAGACATTAAATCAACCCATGTCCAACAACAGATGAAGGGATAAAGAAAATGTGGTACATATACACAATGAAATACTATTCAGTCATAAAAAGAATGAAATCCTGTACTTTGAAGCAGCATGGATGGAACTGGAGGCCATTATTTTAAGTGAAATAAGCCAAGGACAGAAAGGCAATTATGGCATGTTCTTATTCATATGTGGAAGCTAAAAATGTTGATTTCATAAGAGAAATAGTAGAACTGAGGTTTCCAGAGGTTGGGAAGTGTAGGGAGAATAGGGGATAGAGGGAGATATGTTAAAGGATACAAAATTACAGCTAGATAGGAAGGATACATTGTAGTGTTTTATAGCAATGTAGGATTGCTATAGTTAATAATATATATTTTCAAATAGCTGGAAGAGGGGATATTGAATGTTCCCAGCACAAAGAGATGATAAATGTTTGACATAATGGATATGCTATTAGCATACTCTGATCTGATCACAATACGTGGTATTGAAATATCACTATGTTCCCCAAAAATACATAGTTATTATGTGTCAATAAAAATTAAAAACAAAGAACCCCAAACTACCTTGTCTTGTCTCTTTACAACCAAATAAGAAAATCAGACACATTTTCCATGCTTAAGGACTGATTCTCATGTGGAAACCCATCAAGAAAGTATTGGTGATAGGTGCAGCAAACCACCATGGCACACGTTTACCTGTGTAACAAACCTGCACATCCTGCACATCCTGCACATGTACCCTGGAACTTAAAAGGAAAAAGAAAAAGAAGGTAAAAGAAGGTATTGGTCCAGATGAAACAGGAGTGTTATTTTCTTTTTTTAATTAATTAATTTATTTATTGTTTATTTTTTCTAGATGAAATCTTGCTCTGTCACCCAGATTGGAGGGCGGGTGGGGCGATCTTGACTCACTGCAACCTCTACCTCCTAGGTTCAAGCAATTCTCCTGCCTCAGCCTCCCGAGTAGCTGGGATTACAGGCATTTGCCACCACACTTGGCTAATTTTTGTATTTTTAGTAGAGACAGGGTTTCACCATGTTGGCCAGGCTGGTCTCGAACTCCTGACCCCAGGTGATCCAGCACCTCTGCCTCTTAAAGTGCTGGGATTACAGGCGTGAGCCACTGCACTGGGCCTTATTTTTTAAATGTATGATTATTGTGAAAATTTCATTAAAATTGTGGAAATTTTTTTTTTTTTTAATGTATAGGTCACTTAAGAAATCCTTACTGGCCGGGCGTGGTGGCTCACACCGGTAATCTCAACACTTTGGGAGACTGAGGCAGGTGGATCACTTCAGGTCAGGAGTTTGAGACCAGCCTGGCCAACATGGTGAAACCCAGTCTCTACTAAAAATACAAAATTAGCCAGGCATGGTGGCGCATGCCTGTAATCCCAGATAATTGGGAGGCTGAGGCAGGAGAATTGTTTGAACCTGAGAGGCAGAGGTTGCAGTGAGCCAAGATCACTCCATTGCACTCCAGCCTGGGTGACATGAGTGAAATTCTGTTTCAAAAAGAAAAAAAAAAATCCTTATTTAGGCTTGGAAAGGTCCATACATACCCACCTATGTGGAGGACATTTCCACATGAGTCTCCTGCCAGCCTGCAGGGCTCAATTAAAACTCATCCTTGTCTTCCCAAATACACTCTTTTAAACTCTTTTATCTTCTATTTCCCATGGTACTTTTAGAATTCAAAGTCCAGAGATTTGAACTCATCTCTAAAACAACTAATAACATAGACCTGTTGAGTCTATATTTTAGATATTTCTCAACTGTGGTTTTCTCTTCCTTTTCAATATCGTAAGACTGGTTGAATCTTTTGATCCTTCATGCCCTCAGTATCAGAGATGCTTCCAAATCATTCTCCCCACCTCCAGTCTCTCCCTTATTTCCATCCCAGACTTTACGTAGACAAATAGCCCTAAAATGTCATGGCCATCATGCAGTTTTCTTGTTCATTGCATTTTCGTCTACCGAGGTTGAAAGAAATGTTAAAGGCTACTTACTATAATATTCTTTCTGAAATTTGAATTTCTAATTTCTAGAGTTCTACAGATTTATAACTGAAGCTTCTTTTCATTAGGGTAAAATTAGCTGATAACTATATAGCTGGTTCAGAAAGGAAAAGGATCGAATTCATGAAGGAGGACACCAAGTTTTTGGAAGGTGGGAAAGAGGGATATCATATCTTTGTCTAAGTGGGTCTGTAGACAGGAAAATCCCTCTGTCCATGAACTCTCTTTACCTAGATGAGTCTTGCTTATCTTCCAGACCTAATTTTAGTCTTCCCTTCCTTTGAGAAGAGTCATCTCACAACCTAAAGCAGGTGCCACTAAGACATGGTCTTATACCTCTCAGTAATTTTTCTCCATAGCCCTGTGAAGTGATTAACCAACCTCTCACTGTATCAAAGTCTTCAACGTGATACCCAACAGGGAGATTGTCTATGCCCTTTGCCATTTTCTCAGCAGTACTTAGCACAGTCCCTATGTGTTCAATACTCATTAAATGAATGAATGGATGAATGAATACATTAAGGGAAAAGGATAGACTAATTTTGGTGACAATTTGTCAAAAACCTGGGGAGCTCACAATTATTACATGCCCACAAGCAGCACGCTAAGGACTTTAAAAAGAATGCTTCCCCTTAGAGAGTGATTAATATCTCATTTTATAGAAGAGAAAACTGAGACTCAATGAGGCAAAGTAGCTGGTCCCAGATCGTTGACAGATGCTGAACCGTATGTGAAGACATATACACTATAGCACAAACCATCAAAGTTTACACCAAGAACAAGGACGAGCTGTTTAAAGCATTTCATCATAGAAAAAGAGTTTTCTGATAACCATGAGATTATTGCTGTGCTAGATATAAGAAAATGGTGTTTTTAGCCATTATTGGTGCCATCAATGTTACTTTTGATTTCACATTTTTAGAAATACTTGTTCATGGGCCCTTTTAATTAGAATAGCTAAAGAAACATCAGCAACGTAGCTGACCAGAAGTGCTGAGCATGCATCTCATTGACAAAGAAAGACCCAAACAATGGACAATTACGTGTCAAACAGAGTAAATAAATGCCTCCACTGTTACAGCTTCTTTTTTCCCTCCATATCTTTGAATTTAGAGAAATTTCCGTCCTTGCTCAGGCATGCAGGTGAACTGTAGGCTTTTTAGACCTTATGCCCAGAGGCAATAAGGGAAATCAGACTAGTTTCAGAGCTGTCTCTACATCTTGAGGAATTTGGGATTTGTTTCATTTAAGATTCAATAAAAACTCAAATGTATTTGGGCAAACACTCTCTCCCTTTAGGTTTTAATTCCCAGGTGCAATTTAAAGAAAACTTAATCCCTGGATTTGATTCACAAAATGTGATTTTATGTAAGATATTTGATATCTTCTTTTGAATTTTTTTCTTTCCTTTCAAACATCAAAAGATTAGAGTTGATACATTTTGGTTTTAAAAAGTACAAATCCAAAATTCTTAGAATTCTTAATGTGGAAAAATATATTTGGGCTTTGTAGGTTGATATATAGCTTTTCTGTTATCTGGGTGACCTTTTCCCACTTTCTCTATTTCTCTCTAATTTTCCCCATAACTCTCTAACCTCAGATTTAAAAAAAAAAGAAAAAAAAAGCTAAAACAGTACCACCACCAAACTGTGAAAATTGATTACTTGTAACATTATTTTTTATCTGTGGTATGTAAAGGCCTATACTTTAGAAAACCTTTTTATGTTCTTTTGTGTTTTATAAAAGTTTCTGAAATTAATTTTTTTTCGGCAGCTATAGTCCGAAATATTTTGTTTACACCTTGAAACTGGCTTTTTTTCCTGCATCGTCTTTTATTTGTGGGGGTAGGAAGTGGCCTCAGGTACAAAACATTCGGGTCCTATTTTAGAGGATAAGTGGTAGCTTACAGTTTTACTTTTAGAATAGCTTTCTATTTACATAAAAAATTTAAAAATGGTGCAGACAGCTCCTGTATATTCCTTCCTCAGTTTCCTCTGTTATTAACACTTTTCATTACTATGATACATTTATTATAAAGGGCTAACATGGACACATTGCAATTAATTAAATGCCAATTTATATTTGTTGCTTTATTCCATGAGTTATTGTAGTACAAGTGGTATTAGGTTACACAAGTAAGTTGTTTAGTGATGATTTGTGAGATTTTGATGTACCCATACCCAGGCAGTATACACTGCACCGTATCTGTAGTCTTTTATCCCTCACTTCCCCCTCCACTCTTTCCCCCAAGTCCCCAAAGTCCATTGTATCATTCTTGTGCCTTTGCATCCTCCTAGCTTAACTCCAACATATCAGTGAGAACATATGATGTTTGGTTTTTCATTTCTGAGCTATTTCACTTAGAATAATAGTCTCCAATCTCATCCAGGTTGCTGCAAATGTTAATTCACTCCTTCTTATGGCTGAGTAGTAGTCCATTGTGTGTGTATATATATATATATACAGTTTCTTTATCTACTCATTGATTGATGGGCATTTGGATTGATTCCATGATTTTGCAATTGTGAATTGTGCTGCTATAAACATGTGTGCACAAGTATGTTTTTTGTATAATGACTTCTTTTCCTCTGGGTAGATACCCAGTAGTGGGATTGCTGGATCAAATGGTAGTTCTACTTTTAGTTTTTAAGGAATCTCCACACTGTTTTCCACAGTGGCTATACCAGTTTACATTTCCACAAGCAGTGTAGAAGTGTTCCCTGATCACCTCATCCACACCAACATCTACTGTTTTTTAATTTTTTTATTATAGCCATTCTTGTAGGAGTAAGATGGTATTGCCTTGTGGTTCTGATTTGCACTTCCCTGATCTTCAGTGATGTTGAGCATTTTTCCATTTGTTTGTTGGTCATTTGTATATCTTCTTTTGAGAATTGTCTATTCATGTTCTTAACCCACTTTTTGATGGGATTGTTTGCTTTTGTTCTTACTGATTTGTCTGAGTTCGTTGTAGATTCTGGACATTAGTCCTTTGTCAGATGTATAGATTGTGAAGATTTTCTCCCACTCAGTGGGTTGTCTGTTTACTCTGCTGACTGTTCCTTTTGCCTTGCAAAAGCTGTTTAGTTTAATTGGGTCCCAACTATTTATCTTTGTTTTTATTGCATTTGCTTTCGGGTTCTTGATCATGAAATACTTGCTTAAGCCAATGTCTAGAAGGGTTTCTTCAATGTTATCTTCTAGAATTTTTATAGTTTCAAGTCTTAGATTTAAGTTGATTTTTTGTATAAGGTGAAAGATGAGTATCCAGTTTCATTCTCCTGTATGTGGCTAGCCAATTATTCCAACACCATTTGTTGAAAAGGGTGTCCTTTCCCCACTTTATGTTTTTGTTTGCTTTGTTTGCTTTGTTGATGATCAGTTGGCTGTAAGTATTTGGGTTTATTTCTGCGTTCTCTATTCTGTTCCATTGGTCTATGTGCCTATTTTTATACTAGTACCACGTTGTTTTGGTGACTATGGCCTTATAGTGCAGTGTGAAATCAGGTAGTGTGATGTCTTCAGATTTGTTCTTTTTGCTTAGTCTTGCTTTGGCTATATGGGCTCTTTTTTGGTTCCATATGAATTTTAGAATTGATTTTTTCTAATTCTGTGAAGAATGATAGTGGTGTTTTGATGGAGATTGCATTGAATTTGTAGATTGCTTTTGTCAGTATGGTCATTTTCACAATATTGATTCTACCCATCCATGAGCATGGGATGTATTTCCATTTGTTTGTGTCATCTGTGATTTCTTTTAACAGTGTTTTGTAGTTTACCTTGTAGAGGTCTTTTGACTCCTTGGTTAGGTATATTCCTAAGTATTTTATTTTATTTTATTTTTGCAGCTATTGTAAAAAGGTTTGAGTTCTTGATCTGATTCTCTGCTTGGTCGCTGTTGGTATATAGAAGAGCTACTGATTTGTGTTCATTAATCTTGTATCCAGAAACTTTGCTGAATTCTTTTATCAGCAAACTGGAGGAGTCTTTAGGATTTTCAAGGTAAATGATCATATTGTCAGCAAACAGTGACTTTTTTTACTTCCTCTTTATTGATTTGGATGCCGTTTATTTCTTTTTCCTGTCTGATTGCTCTTGCTAGGACTTCCAGTGCTATGTTGAAGAGGAGTGATAAGAATGGGCATCCTTGTCCTGTTCCAGTTTGCAGAGGGGATACTTTCAACTTTTCCCCATTCAGTATTATGTCATCTGTGGGTTTGTTGTATATAGCTTTTATTACATTGAGGTATGTCCTTTGTATGCCGATTTTGCTGAGAGTTTTAATCATAAAGGGATGCTGGATTTTGTTGAATTTTTTTTCTGCATCTATTGAGATGGTCATGTGATTTCTGTTTTTAATTCTGTTTATGTGGTGTATCACTTTTATTGACTTGCACATGTTAAACCATCCCTGCATCCCTCGTATGAAACCCACTTGATCATGGTGGATTATCTTTTTGATATTTTGTTGGATTCAGTTAGCTAGTATTTTGTTAAGGATTTTAGCATCTATGTTCATCAAGAATATCAGTCTGTAGTTTTCTTTTTTTGGTTATGTCCTGCCCTGGTTTTGGCATTAGGGCTATGCTGACTTCATAGGATGAATTAGGGAGGGTTCTTTCTTTCTCTATCTTGTGGAATAGTGTCAAAAGAATTGGTACCAATTCTTCTTTGAATGTTTGGTAGAATTTTGCTGTGAATCCATCTGGTTCTGGACTTTTTTTGTTGGTAATTTTTTAGTTACCATTTCAATCTCACTGCTTGTTATTTGTCTGTTCAGGGTATCTAATTCTTCCCGATTTAACCTAGGAGGGTTATATTTTTCCAGGACTTTATCCATCTCCTCTAGGTTTTCTAGTTTATGTGCATAAAGGTGTTCATACTAGCCTTGAATAATCTTTTGTATTTCAGTGATGTCAGTTGTAATATCTCCTGTTTCGTTTCTTAGTGAGGCTATTTGGATTTTCTCTCTTCTTTTCTTGGTTAATCTTGATAATGGTCTATCAATTTTATTTATCTTTTCAAAGAAACAGCTTCTTCATCTATCTTTTTTATTTTTTTGTTGTTCGTTCATTTGTTTCAATTTCATTTAGTTCTGCCTTGATCTTAGTTATTTCCTTCCTTCTGCTGGGGTTGCGTTTGGTTTGTTCTGGTTTCTCTAGTTGCTTGATATGTGACATTATAATGTCAGTTTGTACTCTTTCAGTCTTTTTGATGTAGCTGTTTAGGGCTATGCACTTTCCTTTTAGCACCACCTTTGCTGTATCCCAGAGGTTTTGATAGGTTGTGTCATTATTGTCATTCAGTTCGAAGATTTTTTAAATTTCCATCTTGATTTCCTTTTTGACCCAGTGCTCATTCAGGAGCAGGCTATTTAATTTCCATATATTTGCATGGTTTTGAAGGTTCCTTTTGGAGTTAATTTCCAATTTTATTCCACTGTGGTCCAAAAGAATGCTTGATGTAATTTTAATTTTCTTAAAATTATTGAGGCTCATTTCATTGCCTATCATATGGTCTATCTTGGAGAAAGTTCCATGTGCTGTTGAATAGAATGTGTATTCTGCAGTTGTTGGATGAAATATTCTGCATATATCTGTTAAGTCCATTTATTCCAAGATATAGTTTAAATTCATTGTTTTTTTGTTGACATTTTGTCTTGATGACCTGTCTTGTGCTGTCAGTAGAGTATTGAAGTCCCCCACTATTATTGTGTTGCTATCTGTCTCATTTCTTCAATCTATTAGTAATTGTTTTATAAATTTGGGAGCTCCAGTGTTAGGTGCACATATGTTTAGGATTGTCATATTTTCCTGTTGAACAAGGCCTTTTACAATTATGTAATGTCCCTCTTTGTCTCTTTTAACTGCTGTTGGTTTAAAGTTTGTTTTGTCTGATAAAAGAATAGCTACCCCTGCTTGCTTTTGGTGTCCATTTGTGTGAAATGCCCTTTTCCACCCATTTACTTTAAGTTTATGTGGGTCCTTATGTGTTAGGTGAGTCTCCTGAAGGCAGCAGATAGTTGGTTGGTGAGCTCTTATCCATTCTGGAGTTCCATATATTTTAAGTGGAGCATTTAGGCCATTTACATTCAATGTTAATGTTGAGATGTCAGGTACCATTGCATTCATCATGCTATTTGTTGCCCGTGTACTTTGTTTTTTGGTTTTGCTTCTTGTATTTTTGTTTTGTAGGCCCTGTGTGATTTATGCCTTAAAGAGGTTCTATTCTGATGTGTTTCCAGGATTTGTTTCAAGATTTAGAGCTCCTTTTAGCAGTTCTTGTAGTGGTGGCTTGATATTGGTGAATTCTCTCTCAGCATGTGTTTGTCTGAAAAATGCTGTATCTTTCCTCCATATATGATGCTTAGTTTCGCTGGATACAAAATTCTTGGCTGATAATGGTTTTGTTTAAGGAGGCTGAAGATAGGGCTCCTCTCTCTTCTAGCTTGTAGGGTTTCTGCTGAGAATTCTGCTGTTAATCTGATAGATTTTCCTTTATAGGTAACCTGGTGCTTCTGTCTCTCACAGCTCTTAAGATTTTTCCCTTTGTCTTAACTTTGGATAACCTGATGACAATGTGCCTAGGCGATGATCTTTTTCCAATGAATTTTGCAGATGTTCTTTGTTCTTCTATATTTGAATGTCTAGGCCAGGGGAGCTTTCCTTGATTATTCCTCCAAATGTGTTTTCCAAGCTTTTAGAATTCTCTTCTTCCTCAGGAACACCGATTATTCTTAGGTTTGGTTGTTTAACATAATCCCCAACTTTTTGGAGGCTTTGTTCATTTTTTAAAATTCTTTTTTATTTGTCTCTGTTGGATTGGGTTAATTCAAAGACCTTGTCTTCCAGCTCTGAATTTCTTTCTTCTATTTGTTCAATTCTATTGCCGAGACTTTCCAGAGTATTTTGCATTTCTATAGGTGTGTCCAATGTTTCCTGAATTTTTGATTGATTGTTTTTTCTTTGAGCTATCTATTTCCTTGAATATTTCTCCCTTCACTTCTCGTATCATTTTTTGGATTTCCTTGCATGGGGCTTTGCCTTTCTCTGGTGCCTCCCTCTTTAGCTTAATGACTAACCTCCTGAATTTTTTTTTCAAGTAAATCAGGGATTTCTTCTTGGTTTGGATCCACTGCTGGTGAACTAGTGTGATTTTTGGGGGGTGTTAAAGATCCTTGTTTTTTTTGTTTTTTTTGTTTTTGTATTACCAGAGTTGGTTTTCTGGTTCCTTCTCATTTTGGTAAGCTCTGTCAGAGGGAAGGTCTTGGGCTGAAGGCTGTTGTTCAGATTCTTTTGTCCCATGGGGTGTTCTCTGCTGTAGTACACTCCCCCTTTTCCTATGGATGGGGCTTCCTGTGAGCCAAACTACAGTGATTGTTGTTTTTCTTCTGGGTGTAGCCACCCAGCAAGTTTGCCCCGCTCTGGGCTGGTAATGGGGGTTGTCTGCACAGAGTCCTGTGATGTGAGCAGTCTGTGGGTCTCTCAGCTGTGGATACCAGCTCCTACTGGGGTGGAGGTGGCGGGGTTGGGGAGGGTGGTTGTGCAATGGACTCCTTGAAAGTTCTTAGCTTTGGTGGTTTAATGATCTATTTTTGTGCTGGTTGGCCTCCTGCTGGGAGGTGGCACTTTCCAGAGAGCATCAGCTGTAGTAGTATGAAAGGATCCAGTGGTGGGCGGGGCCCTAGAACTCCCAAGATTATATGTCCTTTGTCTTCTGCTACTAGGGTGGCTAGGGAAGGAGCCATCCAGTAGGGGCAGTGCTAGGTGTGTCTGAGCTCAAGTTCTCTTTGGGTGGGTCTTGCTGCAGCTGAGTATTTGGGGTGTGTCCCAGGTTCTGCAGGAGCAGTCCCCTTCCTTCATAGGGTCTGTGGGTCCTCTCAGGACTGCTGATTTGTTCTTGCAGTCCATCTGGAGCTAAAGTGAACAATGTGAGCCTTCCAACGCTGCTCAGTTGGTCCAAGTCGGAGCTGCAATCTAGTTCTGTTTCCCATCCACCTCATGTGAGAATCTGCTTTCCCCCATGTTTCTCTCCAGCCTCTTCCAGGCTTCCTACCCCACCACCCCCACATCGCTGCTCAGCCTCTCTCCTTCCTAGTGGGAGCTGAGGATCCTCAGACTCCATCCAGCACTTCTTTGCTTCAGCAATGGGTTCATGTCAGCGGCAGCTGTGGTCCCAAATTTTATTTGGATTTCATTAGTTTTCCTTAATGTCTTGTTCCTGTTCCAGAATTTCATCCAGCATACCACATTACATTTAGTTGACAAATCTCTTTAGATTACTTTGTACTGTGACAGTTTCTCAGACTTTTTTCTGCTCTTGACAGTATTGAGGAATACAAGTCAGGCATTTTATAGAACGTGCCTTAGTCTGGGTTTCTTTGATGTTTTCCTCATAGTGAAACTGGGGTTATGGGTTATAAGTTTATGGAGGGAAAATCTCAGAGACGAAGTGTCATTCTCATCACAGTATATCAAGGGTACATGCTAGCAACATGATTTAAAACTGAGGATGTTAACCTTGATGACCCTACCAATAGTGTTTGCCAGTTTGGAAATGGATTAATTTTCAACCAACTCTTTTTTAGCATTCAGAGAAGCAACAGGACAGAGGTTTGAGGTATGTGATCTGAAGTCAATACATGTAAGTTCTTATTTTGGCCTTACCAACTTCCTGTGGAACTTCACCCCTCCACGTCTCATCTGTATTCTACGGGGTTTAGAGAATTATTAAAAGGAAAAAGGAAACATCCTGAGTTCTTCTTTATTTCTTAAATTTTATGTTCTCACTTTGTTTGTTTATCCCACTTTTATCAGTCAGAGTCTCATCAGAAAGAACGATGTGTAATTTGAGGAGAATATAATAAAGGAAGTATTGACAATGGTGAGGGCTGGGCATAGGGAAACTCAAGGTTTGAGGGCAGCCTGCTAGGTCTAGTATGAGCAGGGTGCCTGTGCTGATGGGGTGAGAGGAAGATGTTCTGTGGGGACCCCAGAGACACACATGCAGCAGGTAAAAAGCTTCCTGGAAGGGGCTGTGAGAATCACCCAAAGAACACAGCCAGCCCTTGGCAATCCTGGAGGCAGGGAGCCGATGGGTTAAGTCCCCTGACCTCATGCTCCTTCCCCGCTCCTCCCTCTAATCTTCGGGATGAGTCTAACCAGAAGCCAGAAGGCAAGGAGGGGCATGGAGATCAGACACCTGGGTCACAGGGAAGGGTGCAGAAGGTTAGAAAGTGTATCTGGAGAGACCAGTCCAAGATATCCAGCACACCTATATTTTGAATGCTGTGAGTTACAACTGAATCAATTTAGCTCAGCATATAGCATGTTCAACATTATTTAATACAACTTTTACTTGCATATTTGCAGAGTCAGAGGACTCAAAGAATTCCCAGACAGCCCATGTCAATGTGGTATAGTTCAAATTACTGAAGTCTGCCAACTACGTTTTCTATTATTTAATCTCAGACAATAGGTCTGATTTCTCTTCCATGTCATAACTTGAAATATGTGCAAATAGCTCCAGCAGGCTCTCTGGAACAGCAGACACTCTGTTCTTCAGCTAAAAACCTCAAGTTCTTTCAAGATCAGGTAGGATATTGAACCAGTACTTTAAAGATTCACCCATATCTCAGATCTGTAATTCAGTGGAAGTGCAAACCACTTTTCCCAAAAGATTTATAACTATAAGTTTCATTGATGTTGCATTAAGAATTAACATAAAGAGAAAAAAGAAAGAATTAACATAAAGAGATTAACTGAAAGAAGATCAAAATCCTGAGGATATGGGTCAAAAAACGAGGATTAACTGCCTCTGTAAGGGCCATATATACGACAAAATGTCAATCAAAATAGCACCGGGAAGGGAGCGGGTAATTATTTGAGCCATGTGGCAAGTGAGTCAAGAACTTCCAGTTGCATCAGATAGCCAACGGTCCATTACACAGAAATGACACAATCTTGGATTTGATTTTAGGGAAAAAATACAAAAAATAAACTTTGAACATGTTGCTTTACATTTGACAGAGCCTGAATATGTCTTATGTCACTTGCAAGATGGTGATGTAGACATTATTATGTCCATCACAAAGATGAAGAAAAAGAGGCTTGACTCACTAAGCACCTGGTCCAAAGTCACACTGTCCTAGCACAGGGCCAGGCACATACTGGACACTCAGGAAACCAATCTGAAGGAATGAAGCTTAATTAGCTTAAGTGCTGAGCTAATCTTCTAGAAAGGGCTGCCTGACCAGTTTCTACTTCCTGGCACAATTGTTGGGCACAGAGAGAAGTCAGCCAGAGCTCTTTTTTCATATTGTAGCCAAAGAGACTCATTTGGACACCTGAATGAAAGTAATTTTTATATTCTCTAATGACTATAACTCACTTTCTATTACTTAATAAATGCGATGAATAAAAGAGTCCTTGTGAAGCTAGATAGCATTTGCAAATGGGCTGCTGTGACTTGACAGATGGATTTGGAGCCTGAAGCAGGGACCAGAGTTGCTGAAAGCTGCAGGTGTCGGCAGAAACTGACTTCCAAGCCATTCCTCTTTCCTTGGACGGTGATAATCTGGGCTTTTTAAATGATTAGAAAATCTTAAAAGTGCTGCTTAATTTTTTTTAGTTTGTATATGAGCATCAGCTAACTGTTGGAATACAGAAAGCTTTCTTTTCTTCACCCTTCCTAGCTAGTTCTAGCTTCTCTCCTCACTTTGAGAACCATTTAGCACTCTGAAAATAAGGTCATGAGGCCTAAAGGATTAGATTTATGTGAGAATATCCTGTATACCTTTGCTAGGACCTGGGGAACTCAGGAGAAGCCACAGTATTGCTTTTTTTTTTTTTTTTTTTTTTTTTTTACAAGCTATGCATTGTTTAGTTTGTTGAGTTTATGAGATATTTTAAGTATTCTAAGAAAAGATGGATTGGGTTCTTTAAATAGTATCCCATGGTCAGTATAACAGAAAAGAACCTGGGTTTGGAGTTAAGAATCCTAGGATTTTTAACATATCACTTATATCAGTTTTTTTTTAATCGGCCTGTTTTTAATTTTTAAAAATGTCTCCTTGTCCTTAATGAAAAAGGTACTTTGTTTCAGAGCTCACACTTTAGCACAGTGGTTCTCAATTTGGGCTGCACATTAGAATCTCCTGGGGAGCTTTTAAAAACTACAAATGCCCAAGTCAATTAAAGCCTATGTGTGAGACCAAAGTTATTAAAGATACAGCACTCGCATGCATCTAAATTAATAGGCTGCTGCTTAGCCAATCAGAATGGAAGGTTCAGTTTTACAGGGACACAGAAGTTTTCTCTCTCTTTTTTTTTTTTTTTTTTGAAACAGAGTCTCGCTCTGTCGCCAGGCTGGAGTGCAGTGGCTGGATCTTGGCTCACTGCAAGCTCTGCCTTCTGGGTTCTAGCGATTTTCTGCCTCAGCCTCCCAAATAGCTGGGACCACAAGCATACACCAGAACACCCAGCCAATTTTTGTATTTTTAGTAGAGACTGGGTATCACCATGTTGGCCACGATGGTTTCAATCTCCTTACCTCGTGATCCAACCACCTTGGCCTCCCAAAGTGCTGGGATTACAGGCGTGAGCCACCGTGCCCGGCCGGGACACAGAAGTTTTCAACGTTTACTCTAAGCCTCCCATAGATGGGAAAGTTGAAGCTCAGAGAGATTCATGAGCTTGCCCAGAACCATACAACTTGAAGCAGAATTCAGGTCTCCTGAAATTTAGGTCATAATATTTCCTGTGGTAGTATAACATTAGTCTGAGTTGCTCATAAGCTGCCCAGAGAAAACAACAGAGTTTGGGACAACAATGTCTTAATAAAATAATCTAGATGGAGGCTAGCAGTGAAGTTAGCCTCTGTAATGGCCTGCACTCTGATTACCAACACACAAAACCTTGGATTTGACATAAACCAAGAACCATGTAATCACATGTCCACCAGTGAGGTCAAGCAGACAACTGAGCTGCATAGGATAGCACAGAGAAATAAGAACCAGGATGAAATGGAGAGTCGTGTCCACCCAAAATCTTTAAACTTCCAATCTGTAACAGATTTCAGAGTAAACGAATCAAATTGTTGAACTGAATTCCCTTATAGGCTGCTGGTTTGCAACCTTTGACTTCAATGTCAATTGATATACTACAAATTTCAGTCCTAGATTTAGGAGGAACTTCACAGTATGATGTGATCCGGCATTTTGCCTTTAGTCTAACTTTGTATCATCTCCATTCTAGATCTAAGGAAACCAGAGGCTGAAGATGTGGAGTACAGGTACAATGTCTCATGACAAGTGGGTAAGAACTAGAAGAGAAGTCTTTGAATTCCCTGCTTCATGCTCTTTTGGGTGTTGGAAGAGCATGAAACCTGAAGTTGGAAAGAGATTCAAAATAATAGTGACACCACTTCCTAGCTGGGAGACTGGGGCCAAGTTACATTTGCCTTAGCAAGCCTTGGCTTTTTCCACTATGAAATTTAAAATAATAAAAGTAGTGACTTCATAATGTTGTAGGGGGTTAAATAAAACAACACATGTTAAATTTGTTTAGCCCAGTGCCAAGTGCAGCATGAGGATTTCTGAGCTGATGCTTTGTCATTGTTGTTTTGTTGTGCCTTGTTGCTTCCTGTTTCAAAGTAATGCATTCTTAGAGTTCCTGATTTTTTAAGGACCAGCTAATTTCAAATTGGCTCTCTCTCCCCCAGCAAGCCTAGTGTCTCTGCCACCAGAGTGCAAACACACTTGAGTTCACCATATTGAGAGCTCCACATGCAGTGTGTTCTAATTGGCAGTATGGTGTTTGGAACTAGGGCATCACAGTTTTAGGGCTGACTGGTATGTACCTGAGGTCAGGGACCTGGTACACAGCCACACCAAGATATGACAACCCCTTTTTGTAATGTATTCATGAGAAAACATATAGTTATATGAAGAAAGTAAAGGGAATCAGAAGCTTGAATATCTTCAGACCTCCTGGACCCTGGAAATGACTTACTTTTCCCATGGCCTGAGTGAGAGGAGTTTGGTCTGGAAAGTTGGCTTATCTTCGTTCCATCTCTGTCTCCAGTGTCTTGCCCCAGCCTGGTCCCATCTGTCATCATCTAGCAGACTTAAGGAGAGACATGTGAGTGTGGAGTGATGGGGATGGACACATTTTGCAAGACTCCAGGAAGCCCCAAACTGTGTTACTAGAGTTCACTCTTGGTGATTCTATGCAGGATGAGGCTTCCAAGGGTTATGGGATGTGGACTTGAAAGGAAACTCCTGTTTCCCATTTAGTGCATCCAGCCTCAGGGGTGGGAAGAATAAAGGGACATCTTCTGATGTGGGCTGCTGTGTTGCACACTCTTCCCTGTCCTTGGTGCGGTCCGTGTTGATAACCACAAGGTGGCATCGCAGATTAAAGTGAAATGCCACAAACTTGCTTCCCTGTTCCCAGGTGAGGCTGTGATATTCATTCCACACCTGGGAGTTAAGAGGATATTTATCACAATCTGTTCATTTTACAGATGATGATATTGAGGCCAGGAACAAGGCATAACCTGCCTGAGCGAGTTGTGGTATAGAACATAAATCACCCAAGTACTAATCAGAAAGGGAAATGCATTACCCATTATTAAGCACCCAGGTAATGGAACTTGCCCCTCAATTTAACAAAGTGTGAAATATGTCAATGTGTATTTTAAAGAATTATCAGTATAAGAAATTCAAATATATCCACCATGAGGGCAGGGATTGTGCCTATTTTGCTTGCCATGTAGAAGATCCTGGAGGTTTTTTGTCTGTTTGTTTGTTTTGTTTTTGGAGGATTGGTTTATTTTTCCTAACTTGCATAGATTTAGATTTTTCAGCTCTATATTAGAAGTTAATGGGGGCACAAACTACTTTCCCCCTTATCTCTCACTCACTCAATTAACAAGAAGCCAACAAATTTGGGGGCTGGGTTGTGCCCTTACTAGGACCCTGGCCCAATTTTTGGTACTCAGGGGATGACAAAGGGACACTGAGGACCCTGCCCTGCTCTTATATGTCCACTGTGAACTCACACATTGACTTTCAAGATTATAGAGGTGGAACAGGGATGTTTGGGCTGCCTTAACCCTTACCTTAACTCTCACTCTCCGGCTCCTCCACAGAAATCAGGGTCCAGCTTAGTTTCTGACTCTAGGAGAAGTCAAGTGGTCTCTGAAGTCCATTGGTAGCATCCAGACCTCTGGATGAGCTTCCTGACATCGCTCTGCTGCAATACTAATACACAAGGGTTCCTTCTCATTCCAGGTTTGTCACTCTCTGAGGTGCCTTAAAAAAAGTTACTTTTCTTTGGGCCTCAGTTTCCCGGTGTTTCTCAAAGCCAAACATCCTAATTTTCTAGATCATCTAATATCCTCCTGTCATGAAGTTTGTTAGCAATTGAATTGCCTCTCCTACTGCTTCTGCTTCTGTTCAGATTCCTTTATAGCAAAACGTTGGCTGTGCAATGAGGAGTCCCTAATGACTGAATGTGGAATGTTTATTCTTTGGAAAGCTCTGAGGTTGGGACTTCAGGGAAAAAGAAATGCCATCATACTGTTTTAGAAAAATGCTCTCCCATCAGAGGAAGAGTCAATGATTCTCAGTAGGAAAAGTTAAAAAAAAAAAAAAAACAAATCATGTGCCCAGATGAAACTTAGTTTTGTTTTGTATTTTAATGCTCAAATAAGCCAAGTGACCTCACTTGGGACACTGAATTTCTTAGAGTGATATTCAAGAGTAGATAGATTTTCTGATCCCAAATTTGAAAATTCCCACGGGTAAAAATCTCCACAGCAAGTAAAATCACCAATGTTGGGGAGGGGAATAAAATTAAATCATTATAGGTGTGGGTATTTTTTAAAGTGATACATACTAATCGTACCTATTTATGGAGTGCTTGTGATATATTCACACAATGTGTAATCACTGAAGCAGGGTATTTAGGATATCCATCACCTCTACCATTTATTATTCATTTGTTCTGGGAACATTTTAAATCTTCTTTTCTACCCATTTGAAATATATAATATATTGTTGTTAACTATAGTCACCCAACTGTGCTGTCAAACCCTGGAATGTATTTCTTCTATCTGCCTGTATGTCTGTACCCACTGACCAACATCTCTGCATCTTACTCTACTCTTCCCAGTCTCTGGTACCTATCATTCTACTATCTACCTCCATAAGATCAATTTCTTTGGCTCCCACATGTTAATAAGAACATGCCATATTTGTCTTTCTCTGCTTGGCTTATTTCACTTAACATAATGTCCTCCCGTTTCATCCATGTCGCTGCAAATGATGTGATTTCATTCTTTTTATGGCTGAGTCATATTTCATTGTGTGTATTTAACACATTTTCTTTATTCATTCATCTGCTGATGGACACTTAGGTTGTTTCCTTATCTTTGCTACTGTGAACGGTGCTGCAGTGAAAATGGGAGTACAGATATCACTTCGATATACTGGTTTTCTTTACTTTGTATAAATAACCAGTAGTGAAATTGCTGGGTCATATAGTAGTTCTATTTTTAATTTTTTGAGGAACCTCCATATGGTTTTTTATAATGGCTGTACTAATTTAGATTTCCATCTATAATGTATAAGAGTCCCCCTTTCTCTGCATCTATGCTAGCATTTTATTTTGTCTTTTTTTATAACAGCCATTCTAACTGGGGTGAGATGGTAACTCATTGTGGTTTTGATTGCATTTCTCTGATGATCAGTGATGTTGCACATTTTTTATGTACTTGTTGGCTATTTGTGTGTCTTCTTTTGGTTTAGTTTTAGCAAAATCCTTCGTTCGTGTAACTGAGCTCTGGATTTAGTCTCCCAAGGCACAAGGAAATTTAACTGACAGTTCTCATGCTGTCCTGCCATCCTCACTTCAGCTCTGAGTGTTCCAGTATTCTAGCTTAGAGCTCTTTTTGTTCTTTCACTAGTTGCTCATATAACATTGTTTCTAGGCCCCTTTCCATCTGCTCCAGTTGTCCAATGTCCTTTTTGAACAGTGGTGGCCAGAACTGCAAAATCCCCATGTAATTCCCCCATGCAATTTATTTGTGTCCATCTCTGTGCTAAGCAAAAACAACAAGGAGATGTAGAAGACATGGCCTGTGTTTTTGAGGAGCTCTTCTACAAAACAAAGCTATCAAGTGGCAGGTAAACACAGAAACAGAAACAAAAGGCAAAAGTTTTAAGGTGTTTTTCCACAGATGGGACAGAAATTAGCACAGATAGCAGACAAAAGGATCTTAGTACTCATTTGTGTTGTCAAGTTTCTGGGTGTTCTCATTTTATTCCTAATACAGTATGCCATTAAAATGCATGTCTACATTTATTGGCAATGAATGTTACCCACATGAATATTAAAGGGAAATAAATTCCCAGTGGAGAGCAAGGCTGGTTATATTCTTTCTTTTGTTTCCCCCGCTTTCTTCTTTTATTTCAGGGATAGCCAAGTGCTCAGAGTAGACATTTTGTTTCATTAATCCCTTTCTTTTTTGAATATTGACACAGCTGAGACTCAGCGAGAGAATGGTGTTTGCACCCAACCCAGAATGGACCAAAGTGCTAGATTTCCTTTGCAAAGAAACTCGTCTTTGCAGTAAATGTTTGTCTCTTTTTTTTGTTGCTGATTGCACTTGTGAGATCATCAGGCTCTGGGTGTGAATGCAGCTTAATGGCCTCAACCTTTGTGTCTTTGCTGACTGAGCACTGCTCTTGGCTGTTCAAGGCATAGGTGGAGGGAGGAATAATTCCCCAGCTAATTCAGAGATCCCTTTGTTTTCCCTGTAATTAGTGTAGAACCCACTTCTTGGCCACACATTTGTAGACCATGCTACTGGTTACAGAGCAAAGTCATATCCATCATTTTACTTCCTCCTCATCATTGTCCTGTGAGGCAGGTGAGAATACCACCATTTATACCTAAGGAGACCGCAACTTTCAGATTGCAAGAGATAGGTCATATACCATGCAGGAAAAACCAGGAAAAGGGGCAGAGGCTGAATTTGATCTCAGGGCTTTTGACCTCAAAGCCCTTGGTTAAATTTTTACACTTTATGGCTGCCTCCAAAACATTCACCTTTGTGTATAATGTGTAACCATCTGCAAAGCCCCTGACACGTAATTCTAGTTCAGTTATGCCTCACAACAGCCATATGGGTTGATGTGCCTATTTTACAACCAAGGTGCATTAGCTTTCCTTGAATTTCTTCACTTTGTGTTTGGGAGAAATAGGACAATTATATAAAGTTGAAGAATGGAATTTTTTGTGTGTGTGCATATATGTATGTATGTGTGTTTAATCAGCACAAATCTCCTTCCTGTGTTCTAGAAAACATAGGGGGCAAAATTAGAAGCAACTCAATTTCCTCTGCTTCTCTTCAGTCCAGGACAGTGAAAATTTTCATTCACAAAAAATGTACCCCAAACCATATAAGATACAAAATGTTTAAACAAAACTTACATTATTTTCAATATAATCCTCTCCCATGAGTAAAAACTGGAATTATGTGGATTTTAAAGATGCTAAATATGTTAATCAAAGTTTGATTCTCTCAGTTTACAATAACTTATGCTTGCTGTTAATTTACAATTGACCAAAAGATTTTGAATATAATGTATTTAATTCTTCCAGGAATCACACAAGGTAGATATTATCATTTCCACTTTACAGATGCAGAAAGCAAGGCGTAGAGATGATCACAAATTTCCCAACCATTGAGTGACAGAGCTCAGTCATGCAGAACTCAGGTTTGCATGACTCAAATTAGGCACAAGTTCTTGGAATTTTCCATAAGGGATAACTGCATCTTTTGCACCTTCACAACTAGAAACGACTCAGCGACTTTTTCTATGAGCAAATGTCGAGGTCTTAACTGCTTTAGTTCGAGGAAGTTCCTTTTTTCTTTTCAAAAATCAGGTTGCTGGAGATGGTACACAAAATAAGAGAAAGAAGGCCTGATTCATTCTGTCAGCTCAACTTGTAGTCACTTGACATGCGAAAATTACAGATGACAGCTTTTCTATCTGTGATTCTGACACACTAAATCATAAATGTGCCTCTCACGTCTTTGCTGAAACAGCAGGAACAATGAGTGTCCAATTGCTGCACTGGTAAGCAGTCAGGACCAAAATTATTAGAGGTATCAGTGTAAGTAATATTCATCCCACCCAGTACAAACCAGTTTTCAGATTTGGCAGTGAACTTCTGAGAGCCTGGACCTGGGTTGCACCAGACCCTGGAGTTAGAGTGGACTCTTTGAGGAATAACATAAAAATCATCAAAGCATCTCATCCTATAGTTTGATAAGTTCAATAACATTATGTAATTAGAAGAGACCTTAGTCACCTTCTAATTCCTTCATTCTGTGTCTCAGATAAAATTACAGAGGCCCAGGGAGGGAAATGATCTGCCTAATATCCCACAACAGGCCAATTGTGAAGCTGGACATTTGGCTCCTATAGAGACCTTTTCTCTTCCATTACACAGTAGAGATTCACTGAACTCCCATCCTATTTCTGGTCCTTGAGACACTAAAGAAATAACAAAACAAACACATGAACCTGCCCTTCAGGCTGATTAGAAAAACCGATCAGTTAATAGAATAATGATGCATGTAACAATGACTACAATAATTTAAAATAATAACACCAGTCATCATATATTGAATGGAATCTATTATTCTTATAGTGACCCCAAGAGGTAGATGTGTCATTATCTTAAAGAGGTAAAGGGAAATAGGATTGTGGAGGTTAAGTTTCAAACCAAAGTTATGGTCATCAAGTAATGGAGCTGGGACTATGTGTACAACTGGTGCTTTTGGTAATCAGAGAAGGGGAAACACCCATAGCATCCTAGGAAGAAGGAGAAAGTGATGCCTGCACTGGGTTTTCAAGGAAAAATAGAAATTAGACAGGTAAAGAAGGAAAAAGAATGGTAGAGACTGAGGAAGAGCATATACAAAGTTAGAAACGCTTGTGTCACATCAAGCAACTGGAGGAAATTTATTTTTATTGGAATATTGGATTTGTGTGGGAGAACAATGACGGCTGAGGATTGGTTGGCAAATTTGGGAATCTCAGATTATGAAGGGTCTTGGTAAACACTTCTAAAGAGCTTAAATTTTATTTTAATGCAATTTATTAAGGGCAATGGGGTGTTTTAAGCAAACGAGACAGCATGACCAGATTTCCATCTTAGATTGATATTTTTAATTGACAAGTAGAGGTAGGGCGGTCTGAAGAGCTTAGGAAAGAGTCAGGTAACCCACTGCAGGAGAATTTACATCAACAAGGATGTGCTGATGAGTACACCCCATGGATAGGAATTAAGAGTCAAACCGTAACTGTGTACACCTGGCATAATGTGTCTGCATGCATTCACACTCATTTCATGTATATATATACATATTGTGTGTATTATGATGTCATAATACATATGACATACAAATAGATTATATACATATAGATGTACAGGCATACGGTATAGATCGATTACAATTATTCCAGTAATGCATAGTCACTCTTCTTACAACAAAAATGAAAAAGGATACTTTCTAAACACTTTAATCCAACTCACAAAGCTTTTTGTGTCTGTACCTGTTCACCAATCTGGACTCATTCTTCACCAACCTACCCCCAGTCTACCCTCTAGGAACACTGTGCTTCATTTTTTACCCCTTCTAAGAAGCTATACTCTCTTTTATTTCTCCTCCCCTCATTATTTCCCACTCAACATTCAGATCTCAATGTAGATGTCACTTTCTCTAGGAAGCAAGTCTGCCCTAACTGTCTATATTAACTTTGGGGTCCCTGCTATATGATTTCAAAGTACCCTCTGCATTTATCCATTATAGCACCTATTGTACTCTATGATAAAGCCTGTTCTCAGCATTGTCCATGTCCTTATTTTTAGCTCCATGATTATAGCTATCTTTTGTCTTCTTTATTTCTTAATTCTTATTGCCTATGCCTAAACAGAGGGTAAGAAATGAGGTTTATATGGCCAATAGTAGGCAACCAGTAAATATTTGTTTATATTTACTTTAAATAAAGAAGCAAACTAATGAATAAGTAAATAAGGAAATGAATGGAGTACAGATACACCAGCCAATAAAACTAAAGTATTAGAGTCCTCACAGACTCCATTACATCTCACTATTGGCTGGTATTTGAAGTGATTCTGAAATTTCTACCTTCTTCCCTATGCTAACCTGCCACTGGGTTTCTAAGGATCCATTCTATGGCAAAAAACTCTCACTCGAAAATTTTTAGGAAGTCCTTGAAAGAGATGAACCTGCCTTTAGTCACCTGGAAATACTGGGTTGAGCTTTACACACTGGGCTCTGACAGGCACAGGCAAGAGGAAGCTTTTAAAAGTTTATTTATTTATTTTTTTACTTTATTAGCACTTTTCTTGGTTTTAATAGGCTTCAATCACTTTCAAAGAGTAGAATCATTGCTACTGCATCAGTCACGCAGTGGAGATCTTCACAAGTGATGACCAGATAGCAATTATTATTTGAATACTTGATATTTTGGTAATTTTCAAAAGTTAAAATTCCTCCAGAGTGTCTAACCAATTTTTTAAGTTATTCTATTGTATTACATTATATTCTATTCTATCCTAGACTCCCTGATTCTATTCTATCCTATTCTCTTCTAGTTTATCCATTTCCAATCTATTCTATTCTTTTTCATTTACATTTTCCATGCAATGACTAACACTAGGTATTAGCAAAAGTTGTGGTGGTAGCAAAAAATAAATAATCCTTGACCTCAATACTTCAGTAAAAGTATTAATTTACAAAAATATTTCAAATATATGTTGATAAGTGCTCTATTCAACCTTGTGCAAAGTTCAGATATACATACACAGAAGAATCCATTTATTTTTATAACATCAAAGTTATTTTTTTGGAGAAGATAATAAAAGAAACATTGTTTATAAGGGTGAGTAGGAGTTTGTTAAAAAAAGACTACAGAAGGTCATATTCTAGTCAGTGAGAACAGAATATTGAAAGTGATAGACAGGTGAAACACAATGATATGCTCAAAAATCTATAACTAATGACATTTTGTTAGTATACAAAGTGCAAGGTGCTTCTTCCTTCAGAACGATTTGGCAGCCATGTCCAGCTTCTTCCAAATTCATCAGTCAACCACATTCAAAATAATAATAGTATAATACCATATACAATGGCATGTACTTAGGTGACTTAACAAATTCAAATTCAAAGTGAAAGTGATGTCTTAGTACTTCAAATTTCCATGCATTTGGATCTTATATTTTTAATTTTAATCTAAATCCTTTAAGTACAGTGACTGCATCTTTAGTCATCTTCACAGCCATCAGATCAATATACACACTGATCTCAAACTGTGTGTAGGATTTTTTTTGCTATGTAAAAATCTACATGTATAAGATAATGGAGGATACTGTTGTAATAGTATGTTTAGCAACATAGACCATATAATTTATTTATTCAACTAGTAACAATCACTTAGTATGATCTAGCACATTTTAATCTAAAACACGTGTGCCAGACCACAATGACACATTGATATATGTTTGCAGAGGAATGGCTAAATGGTTGACAATGAACTTAGGAAACATTCCTGGGTTCTCTACTAATCCAAAGACAGCACTATTAAGCAGATGGAGTATCTAATTACAAGAAAAAAAAAACAAAAAAAAAACGAGGACACTTATCTTAACTAGGTCTCCTGCCATTAAAAAACTGAAACATCACATGTATAGTAAACAACTGTTTTCAGATATTGAGCAACAGGTAAAGCATAATGGTGATCACTAAGAAATGGGAAACAAATGTAGTGAATCCTCAAATCAACAGGCTTACAACCAGGGAATACATTTTGGCCCACAGGGCAGGAAGTATTACAATATGGAGCTGAAGGAATAGAACCTATAGTTCCAAACTGCTGGTCCAAGCTCTAGAGAAAGAGTTGTATGGAAATGTGGAAATGTCCATAACAGAAATTTGGATCTCCCTTTGAGTATTTGGCTGAATACTTAGTTGAACCTACTATATAGCCTGCAAGTTTTGGCAAGAAATAAAATAAAGCAATAAGAAGACAACTACTAGGGGGATATTAGCTAAACATCTATGAGCTATGAGATTCTTAAGTTTGTACAAAGCAAGCCAGAATGGAGAGGTATTATCCATCTTAGATGAAATTCTAAACAGCTTTCACCTTAGGAATAGGGCTAATCAATTCACAGAGTATAGGCTAATCCACATGAACCTAAGAACACTTACAAAAAAGCCTCAGATGAAGAAAGAGACTTACATAAAAGTCTCAGAAGAAATTAACTGCCTGGCAAAACAAACATCAACTATTTAAGTAAAGGCAATAAAATCCAGACACTCAGTAATGAAGTATCCACATGTTCATGTACATAATTCAAAATTACTAGACTGGGAAAGAAGCAGAAAATTTTGACTGACAATCAATAGAAACATTAGTCAACAAAAAATGCCCACAAATAATACAACTAATGGAATTACCACACAAGGACTTTAAATCAGTTACTATAAATATATACAAGGACTTAAAGGAAAATGTGAACATAACTAGAAAACAGATAGGGATCTCAATGTAGAAGTAAAAATCATATTTAAAAAAACAAAATAAATTATAGAGTAATAAGTCCAATATCTGAAATAAAGGCTATTAACTGAATGTATTTAACAGCAGACTGGATGCTGCAGAAAACATGATAAGCAGCCTTGAATGCATAGCCATAGAAGTTATATCGATAATCATTCTAATTAAAAAGCAGAGATTAAAATGACTTTAAGTTATGGATATACCTTCAATGATCTGAGGGATAATAGCAAGCAGTCTAATATATGTGTAATTGGAGTTTTAGAAAGAGGGAAGAAAGAGATCAAGAAGAGAATATATTTCTTTAAATACTGGCTAAAAATTCCCTAGTTTAATAAAAAAATGAATAAACCCATGTATTCAAGAATCTCAATAAAATTAAGAAAGACTAACACAAAGAAAACTACATTTAAGCACGTCGTGTTCACACTGATGAAAACTCAAGACAAAGAGAAAATCTTAAAAGCAGTCATCAGGAATAGTGATAACAATTATCAGTAACTTTTCATTAGAAACAGGCCAAACATTATCTGGAAGATAAAAGAACAACATCTTCAAAATTCTAAAGTAACATGGAATTCTGCATCCAACAATAAAATATTTTAAATAAAAAATATTCCTTATGAATGAAAAAGTCAAACACTAAAACAATTTGTCACCAGCAAACATGTTAAAATAATATATAAGAAGGAAGTTAAAGGAAGTTTTTCAGGCTAAAGGAAAGTGATGCTAGGTGGGAAACAATCTATACAAATGAACCACACTAGAAATGAAACTTTAAAATATGTGTTTTCTCATTCCATAATTCCTGTAAAGATAATTGGCTGTTCAGTGCAAAAAGCAATAACAATCTATGGTTGGATTTATAACATATGAAGAAGTAAAAAGTATGTAAACCAATTATTGCAGGCAATGTGTTTTAAGTTAAAAGACACATACAGGCTACAAGTATAAGAATAAAAAATATTTATAAAGCAGTCATTGATTATAAGAAAACTGGAATGCTAGGAGTGCTAGGTTAATATCAGTCAAAATAAACATCATAAAAATGAATATTTCCGGAGAAAAATAGAGACATTTTTTAATAATAAAGATGGTAAAGTCAATTCACTGGGAAGACTGAATAATCCTAAATGTGCTTGAACATAATAAGAGTTTCAAAATGAATAAGAACTAATAGAAATAAATGGAGAAATATACAGATTTGTTGAAAATTTTAAAATTCTGCTTTTAATAATTAATATAATGCATAGAAAATCAGTGAGAATGTAGATGAGACAAACAACTCTCATATGAACTTGTTCTAATTGGAATTTATGGAACACTCCACTCAGCGGGAAACACATTATTTTCATGTATACATGGACTGTTCACCAAAATAAACCGTTTACTGGGCAATAATAAAAGGGTCAATACATTTATTGGGGAAGAGTAAAAGCAAAGTATTGAGATCTGATTTCATTTTTTTACATAAATTGATTATAGCTGCATTGTCATTAAAGTATCCAAATTAATATTATTACTGTTCAAGTTTGTTGTTCTATTAACTCTTTGTGTGACTTGGCAAGTTTTTTTCGTATCCCTGAACCTCAGTTTTCTGAAGCATCAATGTTTGGTTTTAACTAGACAATGTTTCCTTAAATTAATTTCTACTATCATTTATGAAAAGAGCACCCATCACAATGTTTTGTATATGGAAGGGCACCTCAACAAATATTTGTAAAAAATGTTGAATAAATTAATAAAAGAGAGACTTTGACAGTACTCTGCTGCATTTCATCCTTTACATTTCTATCTTTAAAATATGCCTTCTTTCCAAAGTGCAATATACTAAGTCCAATAGGATAAGGAATTGGAATTTCTTATCCTTACTTAAATACTTGCCCTTTCCTAATGTATTCTAGATATGGAAATAGAGTACAATTTTCAGTCATCTGTTTATTGAAGTAATAGTATGATATCATTATGTAAATGACAGTATTTATTTGCTGGACTAGTACATAAAAACATGCTGGTTTTTCTGCTATACAAAATGTTATTAATGTCTGTGAAATATAAAATGGCAATAATGGAATTAATGCAAAAAATTCAGATTATTACTATCTTTGGCCCCTATCTATGTATAATATCTTGCAAAGTCCATTTTGCTGTTGAAAGTGTGAATTCTGGGCTGGGTATGGTGGCTCATGTGCATAATCCCAGCACTTTGGGAGGCCAAGGTGGGAGGTCACCTGAGGTCAGGAGTTTGAGCCTAGCCTGGCCAACATGGTGAAACCCCGTCTCTACTAAAAATACAAAAATTAGCCTGGCATAGTGGCCGGCGCTTGTAATCCCAGCTACTTGGGAGGCTGAAACAGGAGAATCGCTTGAATTCAGGAGACAGAGGTTGCAGAGAGCCTAGATCATGCAATTGCACTCCAGCCTGGGCAACAAGAGTGAAAAAAAAAAAAAAAAGAAAGAGAGAGAGAGAGAGAAAGAGAAAGAGAGAAAGAAAGGGAGAAAGGGAGAAAAAAGAAAATATGAATTCCACAGGATTGCTACTTAAAGCGTAAATAACAGTGCGTCAATTGTTTTAAGAATGAAAGAAAGTATGCTATGATTTTGCAACTATTTTTGACTTAATTTTAGGATTAGGAATATTTAATTCAATATTCTTCGAAGTGTACTTTGTAAATCATAGTCACACAGGCTATCAGTGTTATGAAGAGAGTAGAGAAGGAATGAATCCCAGTCTCAAATAAGTTTTGAAAATATTGACCTAAATAAATTCACGGACTTAATAGATCTTTTAATATATTAATGTATATTATAAATCTCTAAAATGTGGAAGGGAGATCATTGTATAAAGGGATCCCAAAACTTTTCACTGTGTATATTAGAGTCCTGTGGCTGTAGTAACAAAGTAACACAAACTTGGTATTTTAAAACAACAGAAATGTATTCTTTTATAGTTCTAATGGCTGGAAGTCCAAAGCTAACATATCAGAAGAGCCACAGTTTTAACAGAATAGCCTCAAAAAAAGTCTTCTGCTAATCAATAAGTGTGCTTTAAAAAATGCTAAGCATTCAGTAAACCATTTCAAAAAATATACAATGAATAAAATGTATCTTTTCTTTCACTAATTTAGCACATTTAGTAATTGGGCAAATGTTTTTAAGAATGTCATATTTTTCAAGAACTGATATATAAAAGTTGATAAGTAAGACATGGTCCTTGCCTTTATGAAGCGTAGATGTGCTTAGGAAAATAGATGTAAACATAAAAAGTCATCTTCAGTGTAATAAGATAGTCTGTTAGAAATATAAGGCAAGAAAACGAAATATGAAAAAAATCATGGAGATAACAGGTTAACAAAATAAAACAGCTAAAATAAAGTTCTTATGGCAAATAAATGAAAGCATGGAATCAATGAAGAGTTAAAGAATCAAGTGGAAATTCAGACTAATGTATATGGAAGATATTGGAAAGAAACATATTGATTAATGTTCTTTTAACTTAAGGAATGCAAAGGAGTAAAACAGAGTTGCCAATTTTTATATAATAGGAATATTGGAAAGAAGTTAGTGGGGGATGCATAAAAAGCATACTTGAAGAAATAACAATTGAGACTGTCCTAAAATAAAAAGAAGCAAAATTGCAGATAGAAAGGTCTCAGAGTGCTAAATCATGTGAATAAAGAAATCAAAACAAACAAGAATCAAAGAAGTAAACAAAAAAAGACTGTACAGTAAAATTAAAAACTTCAGTAAAGGAGAAAATTTTATCCAGTTCTAGAGAAAAAAAGACCTGATCTATAGAGGAAGAGGAAATCAGGTAGAAACCAACATTGTGTATGAAGCACTAGATGCAAGAGGATAGTGGAGAAATATTTCCAAAGTGCTAAAAAAAGAAGTATGTGTATAATCAACTCTAAATGAAAAAGCCAAGTAATCATAGTCTTAGGCTTAAAAAGTCCCAAAAGTTTTAATACAAAAATACCATTTTTGCAGACATTTTTATAAAAAATATTACAAGTAGACTATTAAATTCAGGAGAATTATAGAAGATCTTGCTAACAAAGTTAATTAATTACCTTAAGAAAAGTTACTGTCTTAATCAATGATCTCTCACAAGATAAAAAAAAAAGTGAGAAAAGAGAAATGTATAGGAATTCAAATTAAAACTCAGTATGATACTATGAGAGGGTGAAGGAGAAGAGGACAAGTAAGAAGAGAATGGGCTAAAGTGTTTTTGTTGATCATGGAAGACATACACATTGAAAGTCTTAAAAATTGATGAGAGAATGACAAAACAATATAAAATTCTTAATAAATTTTCTCTTATCATCAGAAACAATTCAATATAATTTTTCTAAACTGCACAATAAAATTTACTGCATTAATTGGAGGCAGGAAGGAAGATGAAAAGGGAAATAAGCATGGCAAATACAACTATGAAATAAAGTTACAGAAATAAGTACAAATATAATCATGATACATTAAATGTTCATGGTTTAAATTTACTGTTCAAGACTCAGAGATTCTTAAATTGTACTTTTTAATGCCAAAATCCACTAATTTGTTATCTTTAAGAGAAAAATTAAAAACACAGGTATGGTTTACACAAAAATAATAGAAACATATATATGAGGAAGATATGTACCACAGGTGTCTGAGATAGCAATTTTTATAACATATTAATATAATTTTAAGTAAAGTGAGAAAAATAGTAAAATAACAACATAGATAATAGAACAATAGAACAAAAAAAGAAACAATATTCATAAACATATATGCACATAAAGAAATACACACAGAATTAATAAAACAACACTATAAGAATATCAGAGAGAAATAAATGTGGCAATAACTTACAGGGTGAGATTTTTACATGTTCCTCTAACAGATCAAGTAGAGTTTCAAAATAAGCAAAAGTATTTTTAAAAATTACAAAAATATGATTAGTAGGTACTATCTAATAGATACATACAGACCCAACAAAGAATATACATTTTTTAAGGACATATAAAACAGTGACAAATATTAACATGTAAGAGATTACATAGTGCTATTAAATAATAAAAAGTAGGGAATGGGAATATAAAGTGTGGGAGTTGAAATTTCAAAAAGAGAATAAAAAGTTTGGGGTTGCAATTTTTTAAAGGGCTACAGTGAAGTCTTCATTTATAAATTGACATTTGAATAAAGACTTGAAGGAGAGGGAGTGACCCATGTGAATGTCTGGGGGAAGAATATTGCAGGCAGAGATAACATATACTATTTTATATTTAGCTCATACTTACAATTGTGCCTTATTGTATATGGGGTGAGTGAGCTGATACGGTTAGGCTTTGTGTCCTGACCCATATCTCATCTTGAATTGTAATCCTCATGATACCCATAGGTCAAGGGAGAGACAAAGTGAAGGTAATTGAATGGGGGGCAGTTTCCTTCATGCTGTTCTCATGATAATGAGTTCTCACAAGATCTGATGGTTTTATAAGGAGCTCTTTCCACTTCCCTCCACAGGTCTCTTTCCTGCCACCTGTGAGGAAGGCGACTTGCTTCCCCTTCACTTTCCACCACAATTGTAAGTTTCCTGAGACCTCCCAAGCCATGCTGAACTGTGAGTCAGTTAAACCTCTTTCCTTTATAAATTACCTAGTCTCAGGCAGTTCTTTATAGCAGTATGAAAATGGACTAATACAGGAGTGAAATGGGAACCCACTCCCTGCCCTACAGGTGGGAGCCTGAACTGGTGTGGCCAATTTCAAGGGCAAATCTTGGTAATACTAAGTGAAATTGCATGTGTATATGGCCATGGATGTAGGAATCCTACTCTTGGGTATCTACTCCAGAGAAAGCCACGCACAAGTCTATCAAGAGACATGCATGACATATTTATTCATAAGATACGTGTGGTAGTAAGGAAGTAGATTAATCTAAATGTCTATTACCAAAAGGTTGGGTAAATTAAAAAGAAGAGGGTGATCAATACAAAGCAGAATTATAGTCAGAAGACAAAAACTAGATGCACTTGGAAGAATAAGGTTAAATGTTAAAAACACAGTATTTATTGAATAAATTAAGAAATAAATAACAAATGTATAATTTTATTTGTGAAAATTAAAAATGTATATTTATATAAAACAACAAAATATGTGTTAAGCTTGACTGTATATCTAAGAAACATCAAATATGCTAGTCTGGATGTTTGGAGGAACAAAGGGGAAAAGGGGAGGGAGAGAAAATGAATAGAAGATAAAATACTAAGTAAAATAAAACAAGTATGAGGCCTTGAAAGAATCGGGATAATTACCATGAAACAGAGTAAGATTGACTCAATTATATGCTTCATCTAAGGTTGAAAACAAAAACACAAACAACAAAACAGTTGAATATAAAATTATGCAGGTAGTATATAAAGATGAAGAATAAAAAGTTCAGACTAAAAACTAGAAAGAGACATATAGATCATATTTGTGTGTGTGTATGTGTGAGTGTGTGTGTGTGTGAGTGTGTACATTCACACTTACACATACATTTCCGGTTGGTGCTATATAGGTGTTTTATACTGTTTTTAGAACTTTATTTATTTTGTATATTACCACATTGAAGCTCTTTTCTTACAATCAGAGACAAGGAAAAAAGGAAAGAAAAAGTGCCTAAAGGCATCTATATTTCATTATGACATTTTCCTTTTTAATGTCATAACATATAAAAATGTAAAGTGAATTAAAAAGATATCAAGCAAAGAAAAAAGCTGATGAAATTATTAAACCAAATAGTCAAGAAAAGGCAAAGGCCTAACTTGTTTACATGCATACCTCCTGATTATAAGACCAATACACAGGCAAGCTTGACTGCCTCTTAAAGCTAGTTTTTGCTGCATTATTAACTGTTTCTCTAGCACATAACAAATTCAACATTTTACCCAAGCTCATTAGTTGAAAGACTAAATATGGAGCCTTTGGTTCTCTCCTAAAAGGGCCTCATTACTATGACTAAAGTTTAAAAAGAGTATCATTACTAAGCCTGCAAAAATGGTCATGCCAATAATGAGATGGAAAAATCCAGACATGCGGTGCTTTCTAAAGAAATAATAATTTTTTAAAAGGGTAATTCCCTGATGTCAAGGCTTGGCCATTTTTAACCTCCACAAGCTATTTAAAAGATCAGACTTTTGATCCTAAATCAAGAAATCCAGTTTAGACCCTTGCAATTTTGCTGCCTTGGGTCACTAAAACATAGGCTGTAGCTATCCTGGAATTCCAAGAAATTCACAAGTATAGAGCACTTGGTCCTAAGAGATGTTGGCAGACCTTTGTAAAATAAGGATGAAAGCAACTTCATCCCAATATCTCTTATGGTACCCTTTGGTAGAGACAAAGTCTACCAGGACTGTTCTGGGCTGAAAACTCTAAAAATTATTTCAAACTGATGGTATTTCCTTTTTCTTAATAATACACGTATCACATTTTTTCTCATCTTTCTGTAACAATTTTTCTCCTCTTTCCCCTCCTTCCTCTCCTCCTCCTCTTTTTTCACCTTTTGCTTCTTCCTTCTCTTCATCTCCCTCATCCTTCTCCTCCTTTTCCTGCTCCTCCTCCCTTTTCTTCATCTTCTTTTTATGTCTTCTTACTTGTTTTTATTACTTTCTTCTTCATCAGAAAACTAGCTTCTAACTGACTCAAATATGTTTCAGGAAGTAGTGCTGGTTTTCAACAAAAGAGTTATTATGATGTCACCATTTTCATTATGTTAACAGACATATATTGAATATCAACTATGGCCAATAACTAGGCATACCATTTTCATAGACATAGCTACATCCTCAGATGCATTCTGTCCCCAAGATCCTAATTTTATAAGTGGAAAAACCAATTTGCATTGTGTATTTCACATGGGGTAGATTCTATGTTAAATTCTTTATTTAAATCATTTTATAAAATATTAAGAACACCCTACGTATTATATCTAGTTAGACCATGATACAGATGAAAGAATTGCACTTCAAGAATATACTACATTTCACAGTTCACAGAGTTAGAAAAAGATATATGTATATCAACTGAATCCAGATTCGTCTCATGCCAAAACGAGTACTCTTTCTACTAGTAATTGCATTGCCCCCAAGAGATTGAAGGGAGATAAATAAAGTGGCAGAACTAGGTTTAAGACCAACTTATATCAAGTATAAATGACTTTCTACTTTAGTGCATTGATAGTTCTCTATAATCTTATTTCAGCTTAACATGGAATCATATATTATTTTTGACATCCAGACTTTGAAATTTGTTCTATTTGTTTCTTCAGCTGGGCAATGTAGGAAGGCATGTTATAGTAGATAAATACCTTCCAAGAATATATACTTTGTGAAAAAAAATATTGTCAACATTAATATGAACTCATTATAAAATGATGGCTGGCAATTTTTGTCCCAGTGGCATATGGAGGACAATTCAGTTCAATTCAAGAAACATTTATTGGTTGGGTGCAGTGGTTCACACCTGTAATTCAAGCAGTTTGGGAAGCCAAGGCAGAAAGATTGCTTGAGCCCAGGATTTCAAGATCAGCCTGGGTAACTTTCCCAGACCCTGTGAGCTGTGTTAATGTCACTGCACTCCAGCCTGGGTTACAGAGAGAGACCCTGTCTTAAAAAAGATTATGGAGCATCTGTTATGTGAAAGGCACCATGAGTCTTTCAGGATACAAAAATAAATAAATACATAAAACTATCTCTGATCTCAAAAAAAATGCACTAAAACAGAATCACAATTAAATGTACCCATGCTGAGTTAAAGTTAAGCCCCGGGAGCTTTGCCAGCAAAGTAGAAGGGAGCCTAAATGTGCAAGGTGAGAATGAAGAGATGGCAAGGGTGATTATCTAGGGAAGACGGTTGATGTTGAAACATCAATAACAAGAAAAAGTCAACTGGATGGAGAAGAGAACAGAAAGCTCTCAGAGGAAGTACTGTGAGCAGAGGCCTAGGGGCGAGAAACACGTGGAGAATTTAGAGGATGGTGATTAGATTGGTTCATCTTGAGCTTAGAGGTCTTGTGGAAGACTAGTGTGAAATGATAAGTGGAGGTTTTTCCTGTAAGGCCCTTTAAGTGAGACTGAGGGACACGGGATGAATTATCTGGACTGAGGATGGGGTCATTGTGAATTGGGATCGCTATTGGGAGCCATGAATCAACAGTGTTCTCCTTTCTGTATTGTACATAAGAGAAATCTGCATCCCAGAGAGAGAAAGTGACTTTCTCCAAGTCTCACATCTAGTCAATTGGCAGAGCCATTTATTCAGCCATTCAATAAATATAATAGTTATTAAGTGCTGACGATGATAAGGATACTGCAAGACCCACAGTGTTCTACCTTCTAGATTTAGCTACCATTGAGCATTTAAAAATAACTACCATGTATTGAGCTTTTACAATGTCCCAGAAATAGTAATGAGCTGTTTAAGTGAATTATCTTAATTTTAATAGAATTATCTTAATACGTAATAGAATTCTTTAATAGAATTATCCTAATTTTAATATGAAAATTATCTCACATTCCCTACTTACCACTAGATTCTAAACTTGTAAGAATGGGCAACCTGTCTTATCTCATTTCACTGATGTATTTTCAGAGCCTAGAACTGTTCCTGGCATGTAGTAAGAGCTCAATAAATATTTCCATTAAAAAGGCCTCTATTAATTGGCCACTTTTGTTAAACCCATTTTTTCATTAAGATTAAATAATCCTTCTGACTCTCAGGCCAGGGTTCTTGGCTCTGAGCAAATCTTTCCTCTCCTCAGCACCCATCCCATCTCTCTTCACTCTCTGGGAAGCCAGATAAACAACTGCAAATATAATCTCATTTTCAAAGAGCTTGATCTTTCCTCCCAAGGCCCTGACATAATCCCCCAGATGTGCAGGAAGGCAAATATGCTTCCCAGAAGCCTCTTCTAAGCAGGAGGCAATAGTTCCATGGTATGGCTTGCAGGTGGTACCCATTCTAACATCAGGGAGACAGAACTTGGAGGGAAAGTTTCAGCTTGGGACAGGATGGGAGAGCCCTGTGGGGGAAGATTCCCAGGGAACTGTGGAAAAAAACACTGCAGATGAATCTGAGGGTGGTTACAAGGACCCACCTCCAGAGGCTGCGGACCTGATGTAGAGACAGAGATGTCATCAACCCTTCCAGAGTGAATGCTGTGTGACTGTAACTTTGTGCACATGCTACTCTTTAAGCCCTCTGTAAGATTCATCTGTGACCCATGGCTGCTTACAGAATTCCAACCCACAATTGGTACCACTTGATCTCCCCAACTCCACCCCTTACTGCATCCCACATATGCCCAGCCCACCCTCACAATCCTCTCCACCAATCCTTTGACTTTTCTTTGAATAGTATGTTTAAAATACTAAAAATGCATTTGGAATCTATGTAGTTATATGATCTCAAAGTTGGAAAGAAGCTAAAAGGTCGCTGAGCCCAATGTCCCATTTAGTGCAGAAAAAAAGCCCTTTGAAGTGGCTTAAATCCTGGATGGTTAAAATGATGTGAACAAAATCAATGTTTATTAAGGAAATGTTTAGTTTTTTCTGATACATGGAATAAGTACACCTCAGAGCCAAGATGGAAAAAGAGGGAATCTTTGGTAAACAAAGATTGACTGAAACAGCAAGGTTTTTTTTAATTTAACTGTGCATTAAGCTGGTCATTGAGTGAAAAATTTACAAAGCAATGCACAAGACTTCATAAGTAAATGGAATACTTTATATCATTATAATTATAATGTTCCTTGACCTCTTTCAACACACACAAAAAAACCCACAGAAGTTCATTAAAGTGGCTAAAATATACAGGACTAAAGACAATTAGAATTTATTGAATTATCAATAGAACACATTAGATATTTAATTTTATCAAGCTGTTAGATGTAAAGTGGTCTGTCACTGTTGTTACGTTTGTTTCTGTTTTGGATTGTTCATTTTTACTTTTCCCTTATTACTGATGAGGTAAATCATATTTTTATATTTTTAGGCCATTATAAGCCATTATGTTTTCTCTTCTGTCAATTGGCTATATATAACCTTGGCTCATTTAAATTGACATTTTTATTGATTTTTAAGGTTCTTCATATATTATGGGTACCAACCTTTTATCTATCTATGAAATACTTTACAATAAAAGATTTTTAAAAGACTTACCTGTAACAATCTCATTATTTATTTTGCCCAAGAGACGTATTCATTGTTACTATTTTCTTTTTTGTCATTGAAGAAGATGATGATGAGCAATAAGTAGCAAGTTCATTACATAGGTCACATCCCTGCAATCTAGATTCATGGATGGATGAGTCTGCATACACCCACTTTTTTCACTGAAGGAAGAGCCCCAGTTGCTGGTTCTAGAGATCTCCTTCATCTTATCATCTTTCTTTGAGGAGTACAGGTTGCTTGTGAATCCACTAACACAGAGCCTTTGGGAAGAGGAGTAGGAGAAATAAAACCAGAGACTAATTAAATTCAGCATATCTTTGTTTTTTGTCTGTTTTTTTTTTTAAATATAATTTTGTCTTATTTTTTGTTGAAGTGCAATCAATAAATATTGTTCAGTATATATTTAAGGTGCACAATGTGATAATTAGATAAATGTGTACATTGTGAAATGATCATCAACATCAAGCTAATTTATACATCTGTCACCTTCTTTCATGTGTGCGTGTGGTGAGGATACATAAGATCTACTGCCTTAGCACAATTCAAGTATACAGTACAGCCTTGTTAACTACAGTCACCAACATTATTACGCTGTGTTTGAGATCCCCAGAAGTTATTCATCTTAAAGCTGAAAGTGTGTACATTTTGAACATCTCCCTATTTCTCCCACCTCCTACCCTTTGGCAATCACCTTTCTACTCTGCTTCTGTGAGTTTGACATTTTTACATTCCACATGTAAGTGAGACCATGCAGAATTTGTCCCTCCGTATCTGGTTTATTTCACTTAGCCTAATATTCTTCACGTTCATCCCTGCTGTCGCAAGGCAGGGTTTCCTTCTTTTTTTCTGGCTGAATATATTTCATCGTGTATATATGCCACACTTCTTTTATCCATTCATCCATTGACAGACACTTTGGGCGTTTCCATATCTTGGCTATTGTGAATAATACTGCAATTAATGTGGGTGTGCAGATATTTCTTTGGCATCTTAAGTGCATTTCCTTTGCAATGGAATTAATAGCCATAAGTGGGATTTATGGAGCATTTTTTTAGTGGTTTTACTATTCATTTTTTGAGGAACCTCCAAACTGTTCACCTTAATGGCCATGCCAATTACACTCTTACTAATAGTGTAAGGGTTCCCTTTTCTTCATACCCCCACTAACACTTGCTATCTCTTGTCTTTTCAATAATAGCCATCCTAACAGGTATGAGGTAATATCCCAATGTGATTTTTATTTGCAATTCCCTGATGATTAGTGCTGTTGAGCACTTTTTAACATACCCATTGGTCACTCATATGTCTATTTGTGAGAAATATCTATGCAAATCTTTTGCCTATTTTTAATTGGCTTGTATGTTGTTATTTTGTTTTGTTTTCTTCTTAGAGTTTTGCTAAGTTGTATGAATTTTGAATATATTTTTGATATTAATTCCTTATCAAATGTGTAGTTTGCAAATATTTTCTCCCATTCTGTGGATTGTCTTTTCATTTTGTTGATTGTTTTATTTGCTGTGCAGAAACTTTTTAGTTTAATATAGTCCCATTTGTTTGTTTTTGGTGTCTGTGATTTTTTGTGTCATATTTTAAAAAATCATTGCCAAGACCAAAGAGATTTTTCCCTAAGTCAAAGAGCTTTTCCCTTATGTCTTTGTGTAGACATTTTATAATTTCAGGTCTTACATTCTTTAATTCATTTCTAGCTACGTTTTGCCTGTGATATAAGATAAGAGTTCAGTTCTATTCTTTTACTTGTGGATATCCAGTTTCCCAACACCATTTATTTAAATACTGTACTTTCATCATTGTGTATTATTGGAGTTTTTGTCAAAGATATGACCTTATAGGCATGGGTTTATTTCTGGGTCCTGTATGCTGTACCATTGGTCCATATGTCTGTTTTTTTAATGCCAATGCCATATTTTTGCAATTACTATAGGTTTGTAATATAGTTTGAAATCACAATGTATGATTCCACCAGCTTTGTTCTTGCTCAAGATTGTTTGGTCTATTCAGGGTCTTTTGTGGTTTCAGGTGAAGTTTAGGACTGTTTTATCTATTTTCATGAAAAAAAAAAGCCATTAAAATTTTTATATGGATTGCATTGAATCTGCAGCTCGCTTTGGGTAGTATAGATATTTTAACAATATTACTTATTCCAGTCCATGCACATAAACATCTTTCCATTTAGTTGTATCTTTTTCAACTTCTTTAATCAATATCTTATAGTATTCACTGAACACATCTTTCATTTCCTTGGTTAAAATTTTTCCAAAGTCTTTTATTTTATTTTTTGATGCTATTGGTAAATGACAATATTTTCTTAATTTTTTTCAAATAGTTTAATGGTATATATAAATGCAACTGATTTTTGTCAGCATCTCTTAATGAGGACACTGAGGAAGGGACAGAAGAACTGATATATAAGCAATAACTGCAATAAGAACACAAATTTTCTAGACAAATTGAGATTTATAATTTGCAAAGCACTTCATATTATTAGATCTTATCTCATTGGATCTTCCTAGAAATAGCCTTAGTATTTTCTCTGTTTCACAAAGAGGGAAATCAAGGTTTGGAAGAGTGTCTAACTAAGTTCATACAGCTAACAATTAGCAAGGCAGGGGTTCAAAATTATTATCTTCTAGTCCTAGATCCTTTTGTCTGTTATTTGAGGGCAGATATATTTTAATGAACTGGCATATAAGCTGCCTATGCTAGAGCTTCAATTCACTAACGGAACCACAAAATACATTTTATAGTGTAAATTGCTTGTCCTGTTAAAATTGCATTTACTTTCCCAACTTTTAAAAAGTGAAAGGATGAACACAAAAGCCAGTAAATTAAAAGTAAAATTCTCTGCAAGCTGACCTGATACATGAGAGTCCAGATGTTCATCAACTACTATTAAAGGCCATTTACACAAGAATTTCTTTGCTCCACACAAGCAACCACATGAATTATCATTGTAATAACAATAATAATAATAATAATAACACTTGCTTTATTCATTCTTCACTAACGAGCCCTGGTACAGAAGCCAAACAGAACATTTTACTTCCCTCAGGTACACATTTTGATATATGTATTTTGTTTTCTTAAGAGTTGTCATGAGTCCTTTAAATTGTCTGAAAGAGACTTCTAGGATAATGACAGCCAATACAGGCTAAATTTTGCATTGTTACATTCTCACAAACTGTCACCAAATGCCTGGCTCTGTGAGGCCTTTGTTGATCTTGGGGTCCACTCATAATGCTGCCCTTCAGAACCTGAATAAATTCAGATGCTCAGCCACAGCTTCCAGAATCCATTTCTCTCAAGTCCCATGGTCCCATGGTAAATATCTTTTTTTTTTTAATGTCCCCTTTTCATTTTATTTTTGCTTATTGAAATACCATGTTAAGATTTGGCTCAAATAAAAACTTAAAGCCTTTTTCCAATACTGTTCCTTCCCTTTTGCATGTGCAAATGTCACTCTGTAACTCATTGCCATCAGCACACTATACCAGCTGCTTGGGAATGCTTTACCTGCCCTATGAGCCTGGAAGTTGCTTGAGGGAAGGGACTGATAGATCAGAGACAGCCTTTTGTAAGCCTAGACTATGTTCATGTTAATGCTCTTGCTCTCTGTTAAGGGCCAGAGTCATATATGCTGCAGAGGATGTGCTGTGTTTTCCTGCACGTGGGTGCTGGGGCGGGGGGATGCAGCTTCTGTTGAGGCTCTGAGTAGCAAGCGATGACCATAAAGGCATTTTACCACACCCTTCTCATCACCTCAGCAATCGGAAACACTGATCCCAAAGGAAAGACAATCATAGAGCACTCAGGGCAAAGAGACAGAGTGCTCACTCATTCAACAAATATCTGTTGGGCATCTTCCATGTGCCAGATACTGTCTCAGGGGCTGGGGATAGGAGGCTAGAGGAGGGCACAAGACTCATGGTGCTTATAACGAGAGGATAGATATAGACAATCCATCAAATAAATAAGTGAAACGAGACACATGTTTAATGGGAGAAATCATATACAAAAAAAATTAAATAAGATGACTATAGTTAACATTAATTTGATTGTACCATTCAAACTAGCTAGAAGAGAATAAGTTGAATGTTTCTAGCATAATGAAAAGCTAAATATTTAAGGTGTTGGCTATCCTAATTACCCTGATTAGGATTATATGAAGGTATGAAATTATTACATGTACTCCCAAAATATGTACATCAAATATGTATCAATATAAATAAATAATAAAGCAGAAAAAGGAGACAAGAGTTCAGTGGGAATATTATATAAGGTGGTCAGAAGGGGCTTTCTTGAGAAGATGTCTTTGGAGCAATGACCTGAAGAGGTGATGAAGTGATCCAGGCACCTATTTATGGTACCTTACCTCTAGTCAGAGGAATGGCGAGTGCAGAGGCCCAAGGAGAGAGCAAGCGTAGCATGTTGGAGGAGGGACAAAGAGTCTAAGATAGTTGATGTGGAAACAGAAAGGAAAAGGTTATTGACATCATGGAGAGGCAGATTGGAGAGGGATTTGTAGGCCATTTTAAGGACAGACTTCCAGTCTGAGCAAGTTGCAAAATTTAAGAGAGTTTTAAGCTAAGGAGAGCTGTTATCTGATTTATGTTCTAAAAAAGCTGCTCAGTCTTCTGCCTTGAAACTAGGGGAATGGGGTAGCAGCAAAGATATTATTAGTTAGGAGGCTTCTGCACTAATCTAGCAAAATACGATGGCATCTTGCTGTGGAAGGGGGATAAATGGATTGATTCTGTATTCATTAACGGATTGGAGATGGTAGGGGGATGTTGAACAAAAGAGGTCAAAGGTTACTCTAGCAACTGCAGGTTAGAACGGGCACTTCATGAGGTGGGGAAAACTACTAGAGAGCAAGTTTGTTTATTTGCTGTATATGTGGAAGATAAAAGGTTGGGTTGTAGTCATGTTAAGTTTGGGATGCTGATTAGACATACACAAAGAAATACTGATCAGGCAGTTCATTTAATAAACAAATCTGAAAGTCCAAGAAACAAGTCTGGGCTAAAAAATAAAACATTTTATATTTATCTGCAATAAGAATGCTTTTTCACCCAAAAATATTAAGCCTAGATAAGAAAGTGTCCAAAGACGAAGACCTGGGCATTTCAATATTAAGAATTCCAAAGAAAACTAAGGTGTGAGCAGAAAGAACAAGAAAAACAAGGAGAGTTTGATGTTGTAGAAATAAGCAAACATAATATTTTAAGGGAAAGCCATTATAAGGTGGTTATAGCTTCTCAAGAAAACATAGTTGGTTGTTTGGTCCTTTAAGGCTGCTGCATCTCAAAACAGCGTGACAAAGGTAGGATAGAAAAATGGAAAAAGAAATGTGTCTATCAACGTCCTTCTCGTGTTCCTGTTTTCCATTGACAAAAGTCTTCCTGGTGGGTAGATTCCTGGTTTGACTCTACCAAGTATCATCCAGGTGAATGTGAAAAGGATTTTACCACCCAGCCTGTGTATGCGGCCAGAGGCTCCATGGATCCCATCAAGACTGGAGATTCTCGGGCTCTAACTGCAGTGGTCCTGATGGAGGCCATGACCAAAACTAGTCCCTCACCCAGGAAAAGGTGAAAGCTGGGCTTTGTAACCGTCAGGATAGTTTGAACCACCTGTGGTGCTATTCTGGATAGCAAACAAGGCAAGTGGATGAGCTTCAGGAAGCATTTAACACCAAGTAGATGTGGAATGTGTTTAAACTTGGTCAGTTTCCTCTGTGAAGGGAGGAGAAGTCATTCGCTGCATTGCTGTTTTCTTTCTCAATTCCACCAAAACAAACTCTTACTTGTCTTTCTTGCTTAGTCATATATCGTGTCTTTCATAAAGCGTTTCTAAACAATTTCAGCCTTTCTTCCTCTTTTCTATCTCAGTGCCCGAACTGATCAATCAAGGATTTTATTTTCAATTTTAAAATTCTGGGAATCCAGGTTTGATTCTACCAAGTATCAGCCAAGTGAATCTGAGTAGACCATTCTTCCTTTCTTTACATCATATCAATTTAGTACTTTGTGTAAGCTAGAGGAAATTATATTTGCTTGCAGTATCACCTAAGAAGATCATTAGGTTACCACAGGTGATAATACTTGATAAACCATAACATTGTGTCCATCATCATCATCATCATCATGATTCTATCTTTGTTTCCTGTGATTGAGACCTTGAGGCCAAGAATGACGCGTCTTCTTTTATCTGTCCCCCAAATTTCTAGTGCAATGATAAGCCACTCAGTGACAACTATTGGCCTAAACAAACTTGGAAAAGAAAAAAAAATACAAATCCTTTGCTTCATATTCTTTGTGGAACTTGGTTAGCCATAAATAAATAAATAAGCATATGAAAATAAATTACAAATCCAACTGTGTGCCTTGCCCTGAACTCTGTGTTTGACGTTAAAAACCAAGCCTCCCTCTTTTAAAATTGAAATATGAAACATTATGTGTGCTTATTTTTTCCCTTTTAAATACAGAGCTGTGGTTGCAGAAATAATTTAATATACTGCACTGCATTTCCCCTGCAAGTGTGCCAATTCTGATTACATGTTTCCAGATGCCCTTGTTTGTTGTGGTTCTTTCACTAGTACCTGGCCAAGGAGCTGAATGGCTTATCTCTATAGGTAGCTCTGGCCAGCAACACTCAGCCAGTAGGTGCTCTATGTACAAAGAGCACCCGCGGGATCATTCACCCTGAGGTCAGCATTCTGGAGTCCTCTGGACTCCCAAGCTCAGCACCTGTACTTTATGTTTAAGAGCCAAGAAATTGAGGAAGAAGTTGAACTAGCCAAGATAGTCCAGCAGCCAACAAGCCTAAAACAGATTTAATAAAAGATCTCATTCCTTTCCACCATGTTTTTGTGAGATATTTCATGGGAATTGCCACTTGGGAGGTGCATGCAGCCAACCTGGAGCATGGCCAACCACAAGCTTAAGGCTTTCAAAGGCTGACTCCTGGTCTATATGCAGAAAACCTCAAGGAGTGGAGACTGCTCCCAAAATTCTCCAGCCCATGACCTTTTTGCAACAGTGTGAGAGTGGGCACTAGAAAGTATATTGTTTGAGTACATAGATTTACATTCTAATTGAAATGCAACAATTTATTCACTATTACCTTGGACAAGTCCATTTTTCTCTGCAGGCCTCACTCAGTATTCCCATCTCTAAAATGAGAGGCCTCAGGTATCTAAGGCACTTTGCAGTTATACTCTTTTGTAATATGCTCTGTGGAGTCAAACAACTGTGTTATATGGCAAAAACAAAAAAAACAAAAAAAAGCCCAAAAAAAAAACAGGGCTCAATTTTGAGCCACACATCCTGGGTTCCTATCGGCTGTAGTTTTTACTACCTTCTGGCTACATGATTTTACCCAAGTTTTCCCCTCCCTGAGCTTCAGTTTCCCGAAATATAAAACAAAGAAGGAACTGAGCAAACACACCAAGCTCCATTTTGATATTCTGGCATCCTAGTTCACTGTACTCCTTGGTTTTATATCGGACAGCAAGGCTGTATCCTATACCCCATCATCTGCCACATCTAGAGAAAAAGAAACCTGTGAAAACTTCCAAGGGGCAATCAGAGATGCTCTCTTTAAACCCTCTCACCTCAGAAACGCTCGAAGTTTGAACTTCTCTCCCATAGTCCCTTTGCTCAGGAGAAAAGATTAAGGCATAGTCCTAGCTATAAGGATGCAGGAAAATGAGCTGCCTTGAGGTGTATCAAAATCTTCGCCTTCTACTTTTGGTTTTGCACTTACCAGTGTGTACTGGGGAGTGGCGGTAGGGTTAAGACTCAACATTTACTTCCTGAGTTTTGCAATTATTAAGTGTTGTCAGCTTTACACATGCATTCAGTGTCCCAGTTACATTTGGGTTCCAGCCCAAACACATTTGCTCTGGTTGCTCCCATTGCCTAGAAAACCTATGTGTCTTCTCTTGCCCAGTGCTCTTCAATAGCAGATAATCATGATCATACGATTACTGCTAATAATAATAACAATAATAAAACAGCTATCATTTATTAAGTCATCATTATGTGCATAATAGCGCAGTGTGATTTACATACATATCTCATCTCTCCTAAAGTTGGACTCTATGTAAAGATTTTTTGGTATCTCTCACCTTGCCTAGGACAAGAAGAATGATAGGCACTCAAGAAACGATAGATTCAATTATCTCATTTAATCATCACATTGGATCAGAGGAAAATATGTCAAGAGATGCTCAGAATCTTCTCAAGGTCACACAGCTAATGTAAATGTCAGAGCTAAGATTCAAACAGAAGTCTGCAAGATCATAAATTTCATCGGGATCTGTATTGCAACAAAGTACCTGCATAAACTTCAAGCTTTTTTTTTTTTTTTTTCATCTCTCAGGGAAAAAGGCATCAGGTTGTAATGAGAGCTGGACAAACTGGGAATAGCTAGTAAAAGTAACCTGGACATCGAAGTTTCTACGTGTGTGTTTTGTTAGAGAAATTGGAGGGAGCAGTGTACATGGTAGCAGAGGAATTGCTGGTCAAATACCCTTTTCTCTTCCACTTGAAAGGCCTCTCTCTTTTAAGTACATATTGATTAGAGTCCAAATATCTCAATTCTATTCTTAGCCCAGCACCTTAATTACAATGGATTCTCAGTTAAACCTGATGGTTCAGTTCCCCACCATCCTCCACTCCAAACTCCTTTTAACACAGAGATCAGAATAATGCATCAGAATGGCTTTCTTTTTTAAAGAAGTGATGATCTATGAGAAAAGTGTATTAATAACATTATATTCATGTTAAACATTTTAACCTTAATGACCCAGAGTCATTTTTCTTGGCAGACAAAATCTCAATGCCTAATTTAAAAAACAGAGTTATATAACATTTATGGTTAAATAATAATATTAATAACAACAGCAACAACAACAATAATAATCAATTTTAAGGCATTTGCTATGTAGCAGGCACTATGCTAAAATAATTATATGCATTATTTCATTAAATACAATCAACATCCTATATAGTAATTACCATTATTATGTTTACTTTGTAAAACTTGGCCTTAGAGAAGTGAAGAAATGTATCCATGGCAGCTAGTGAGTGAAAGAATTTGCAATCTTTCTGGCCCTGGAGTCTAAGTTCTTAATTATTAACATAAACTGATCCTCCTAGTGAGAAACAGGATGGTGTTTCAAGAGCTGTAAGATATAGATTTGGGACTCAGAGGGGTTAACTCCCAAAGGAAACAGACATAATATGAGTAGAATAAGAAAATGCACATGTGAGTGCTTTTGATTTTTTTAAAGGATTAGAAAAATCTAAGCAACTGCGCTGTATGTCATAGAATTTTACGTCAGGGACAAGGAGACCTCCATGACCACCAGCAGCAGACCTTAATGCCTCTTTCACTTGAATATCACTTTATAGTTATCCGGCAAAGCTTAATCCACAGTACAGTTGCATAGTTTCTTGTGAGTAGCTTAGTCAGACTTGGACACTGTAGTGCAGAATGCCTAAGTGTTTGGCTTCAGATCAGAAAGTAATACATGGAAGTGCTAGGTGTCAAATCTTTGTCATTCTGTTCCAGTTACAGGATTCTTTCTTACAGATAAAAAAGAGTTTGATGAATTTTAAGCATCTTGACAAAAAGTACAGTTATTTGGTAGCATTGTCAAAATGGTTTTTAGAGACACTGGGGAAAAATCAGAGAGCAAAAATGTGTTTTGGATAATTCATCAGAAATATTATAACAACATTTAGGTCTTTCAAAAGGAGCTGCACACTATTAAATGCACCAAATCATGACCAGCAAATATGTAGGTTTTCTGGCTTTCGAGGACTGAAATTATGTAGCTTTTACTGAACGTGGGGAAAAGGATCCAGAATTTTCCTTCTTCAGAAATACTCAGGAATAAAATCACAGAAGATTTGGAGGTCAACGACTTCAGTTAAAATCTTGAACAGTTTTCTCTACAAGATTGTGAGATCCATCACTAGATCCTTTTGGGATACTAAAGCTGAGTTATGAGTACGAATTTAAGCAATGGGAACCACCCTGTGTGTGTACATCTATGAAAATGTTCGATCCAAATGGAATCCAGATCACAGGGGCGGAATACGTCTGAGAGGCAGCATTGTTACTTATACCACAAATCATTATTTTTTTCTTTCCATTTTATAAATTCCACTCCAGGATGAAACATTCAAGTTGTGGAAACATTCAAGATCAGTTTCTCTTAGTGGCTATCATGCACATACTGAAGCAAGATGAAGACTGGCCTTGAGTCATCTTGTGGAAGCTCATTTGGGGTGTCAATTCCAGGCTTGTGTTTGAAACAGGATTTGGGGACGTCAGTTCCAGGCTTCTGTGTAACTTAGATTTTTTTGTGTGTATGTTTTTTATTCTATCCTGGTGATGTTTTCCAGACTGAGTCCACTATTGTGGTTTCTATAGAAAAAGAGGAGAGCTGGAATAATAATACTCCATGATGTACGTGGTTTCCTGCTCCATGTGTGGAGTTAGAAAGTGAAGAGGAACGAACGTAACATAGTGTGGCCTACTGCAGCAGAGCAGGGGCTTAGGGAGAGGCTTAGAAATGGCTTTGGGAGGGTAGGCCCTGAATTGTGTGTTGGCGGAGAGGCTAGGATAGTCAAAGCATCACACTTTGATTGCCTTCTCTACCTGTCTCCCTGCTATTCCTCAAATATGACAGGCATCCTCCTGCCTCAGGATCCTTGCACCAGCTGTGATCTCTACTCGGAATACTCTTCTTCAAAGCTGACTCCCATAACACCTACAATGCTCATTCAAATGCCATTTTTTTCAGTGAGGCTCACTCTGATCACCCTATTTCAAACTGCAATTTGCATCCTCCCTAAAGCCTTGTTTTTCCCATACTTACTCCTTTCTAACAAACGTGTATATTTATTTAAATTTGTTTTTAGTTCCCTTTTAGAAGGTATGCTCTGAAAAAGAGAGGATTTCCATCTACTTTGTTCACTGATAAATCCTAAGCACACAGAATAGGGCTAGCATAGGGTATAGGCACTCAAATATTTTTTAAATAAGTGGTTAATTTTTTTCATATTGTTTCCTTTAATTACTTTTTTATCACATTATGATAAAAAATGTCATAATATAAAGCCTGTCAATGTACTTCCTTTTAAAGTTATTTTTTTCTGCTGGGCACGATGGTTCATGTCTGTAATCCTAGCAATTTGGGAGGCCAAGGTGGGCCTATCACTTGTAGATCAGGAGTTCAAGACCAGCCTGCCAACATAGCAAAACCCTGTCTCTACAGAAAAATACAAAAATTAGCCAGGCCTGGTGGCACACGCCTGTAATTCCAGCTATTCGGGTGGCTGAGACCGGAGAATTGCTTGAACCCAGAAGGCGGAGGTTGTAGTGAGCCAAGATCATGTCACTGCACTTCAGCCTGGACTACAGAGTGAGAACCTGTCTCAAAATAAAATAAAATGAAGTTATTTTTTTCAAAAGGTACCAATTTAGTAAACATGCTCAAGGGATACAACTGTACCTACGCCCAAGTCATTTTAGTTTTACAAATATATAATTAGTCAAATCAAAAAAGGCATGTCTGACAGATGAATGAATGTTAAGACAATGCTAAATAACCTTTAAGGGGAAAGGCTGAGGAGGCAGAGGTGCTTGTATGTATCATCTTCCAGGAGCCAGGCATTGACAAACACCACTATTACAAATAAAAGCCTGAGATTCTGAAAATTTAAGTGACTTATGGAGGTTACACAGCTAATAAAAAGAAGCAGTATGATTTAGATTCATTATTCCTGACTCCAAATCCTATGATTTACTGCAACATAGTGTACTATCTTCAAACTGTAAATTCTTCAGAAATGGTTATTGTAGATAATTTACATGTTGGATGCAGTAGTGTGCCATGCAGTTACCTTTCTTCAGGACTAAGGGGCTCCTTTTCCCTGATGTTGGGATTGCTGTTCACTATCAGCTCTCCAGCTACCAACTGCCCTCTACTTCAGGGAGCCTCCTCACCCTAGGTCACACCTCTTCCCAGGGCCAGCCCATATCCAGTACTCTTCAATGTGGGGTACAAAAACATGGCCCCCTTGCCTCATGTGGAACAACTCTGAAGGCCATCCCAGCTCCAGTGATTCCAGTGGGACTGATGGAAGTCTCTGTTGTGACTGCATGAGACCCAACTCTTCCCTTTGCCCAGCCCTAGTGCCTTCACACTCCCACAGGTGTATCTTACAAAAGCACCCCTTGATGAACTTCTGACACACAAATCTCAGCCTTGGAGTCTGTTTACAGGGAGCCTGATCAATGTCAATATAGTAGGTGGTATTGTGGAGTTCAGAGATTAGTGAACTCAACAATACGGGTAGCATATACCTTAGATAAGGTCCCAGACCATGCGCAGTGTTGGGAACGCCTAGTTTCACAAGATTTGAGGCACTCTCTCCTAACTGCCAGAAGCACTTTGGCAAAAACAACTATGATACACAATTTCACCCTTTTGAGATCACCTGTTAACTTGACTACCTTGGTAGTACATCACCAATTTGACAGTTCTATTTGTCCATTCTCACATCGTGATAAAGAAATACCTGAGACTGGGTAATTTATAAAGTAAAGAGGTTTAATTGGCTCATGATTCTTCAGGCTGTACAGGAAGCATAGCAGCTTCTGTTTCAAGGGAGGCCTCAGGAAACTTCCAATCATGGCAGCAGGCAAAGAGGGAGCAGGCATCTTACACGGCAGGAGCAGGAGCATGAGAGAGAAGGGGGAGATGCACACTTTTAAACAACCAGAACTCACAGGAACTCACTCGTTACCATGAGAACAGCACCAAGGGAATGGTGCTAACCCATTCATAAGAAATCTACCCCCAAGATCCAATCACCTCCCACCATGTCCCACCTCCAACATTGGGGATTACAGTTCAACAGGAGACTTGGTGGGGGGCAGGAGGGGATGTGGACACAGATCCAAACCACATCAACAGTCATCACAGCCAGCAGGTAACTTACTCTGAAAGCTCCTACATTCAATAAATAAGACCAACTGTGAGCTGGGAATTAATGATGCATTACAAGAAAGTCAAAGATGCATAAACTTAGTTCTATCCTCAAGTAGCTCTTAGTTTAGAAGATGATTCTCTAACTTTTGTTCACCAGAACCACCCAACAAGCTTGTTAAAAATTCTCATGCTTTGTCTTGGAATTGGAACTAAGAATGATTTCTGCTGGGTTCTAATATTAATATTGTGATACAAGTTATTCATGAACCACTTGTGGAGAAACTGAAATCCCAAAGATGACATAAAACATACATTGCTAGGTCTAACCTTACTAAGCACCAGATACTGTGCTAGAATCTGTGAAGAATTTTATTTTTATTTTATTTTTTTTACTATTATTATACTTTAAGTTTTAGGGTACATGTGCACAATGTGGAGGTTAGTTACATATGTATACATGTGCCATGCTGGTGTGCTGCACCCATTAACTCGTCATTTAGCCTCAGGTATATCTCCTAATGCTATCCCTCCCCACTCCCCCCACCCCACAACAGTCCCCAGAGTGTGATGTTCCCCTTCCTGTGTCCATGTGTTCTCATTGTTCAATTCCCATCTATGAGTGAGAATATGCGGTGTTTGGTTTTTTGTCCTTGCAATAGTTTACTGAGAATGATGATTTCCAATTTCATCCATGTCCCTACAAAGGACATGAACTCATCATTTTTTTATGGCTGCATAGTATTCCATGGTGCATATGTGCCACATTTTCTTAATCCAGTCTATCATTGTTGGACATTTGGGTTGGTTCCAAGTCTTTGCTATTGTGAATAGTGCCACAATAAACATACGTGTGCATGTGTCTTTATAGCAGCATGATTTATAGTCCTCTGGGTATATACCCAGTAATGGGATGGCTGGGTCAAATGGTATTTCTAGTTCTAGATCCCTGAGGAATCGCCACACTAACTTCCACAATGGTTGAACTAGTTTACAGTCCCACCAACAGTGTAAAAGTGTTCCTATTTCTCCACATCCTCTCCAGCACCTGTTGTTTCCTGACTTTTTAATGATTGCCATTCTAACTGGTGTGAGATGGTATCTCATTGTGGTTTTGCTTTGCATTTCTCTGATGGCTAGTGATGATGAGCATTTTTCATGTGTTTTTTGGCTGCATAAATGTCTTCTTTTGAGAAGTGTCTGTTCATAACCTTTGCCCACTTTTTGATGGGGTTGTTTGTTTTTTTCTTGTAAATTTGTTTGAGTTCATTGTAGATTCTGGATATTAGCCCTTTGTCAGATGAGTAGGTTGTGAAAATTTTCTCCCATTTTGTAGGTTGCCTGTTCACTCTGATGGTAGTTTCTTTTGCTGTGCAAAAGCTCTTTAGTTTAATTAGATCCCATTTGTCAATTTTGTCTTTTGTTGCCATTGCTTTTGGTGTTTTAGACATGAAGTCCTTGCCCATGCCTATGTCCTGAATGGTAATGCCTAGGTTTTCTTCTAGGGCTTTTGTGGTTTTAGGTCTAACATGTAAGTCTTTAATCCATCTTGAATTAACTTTTGTATAAGGTGTAAGGAAGGGATCCAGTTTCAGCTTTCTACATATGGCTAGCCAGTTTTCCCAGCATCATTGATAGACCGCTAGCAAGACTAATAAAGAAAAAAGGAGAGAAGAATCAAATAGACGCAATAAAAAATGATAAAGGGGATATCACCACCAATTCCACAGAAATACAAACTACCATCAGAGAATACTACAAACACCTCTATGCAAATAAACTAGAAAATCTAGAAGAAATAGATAAATTCCTCGACACATACGCTCTCCCAAGACTAAACCAGGAAGAAGTTGAATCTCTGAATAGACCAATCACAGGATCTGAAATTGTGGCAATAATCAATAGCTTACCAACCAAAAAGAGTCCAGGACCAGATGGATTCACAGCCGAATTCTACCAGAGGTACAAGGAGGAACTGGTACCATTCCTTCTGAAACTATTCCAATCAATAGAAAAAGAGGGAATCCTCCCTAACTCATTTTATGAGGCCAGCATCATCCTGATACCAAAGCCAGGCAGAGACACAACCAAAAAAGAGAATTTTAGACCAATATCCTTGATGAACATTGATGCAAAAATCCTCAATAAAATACTGGCAAACCGAATCCAGCAGCACATCAAAAAGCTTATCCACCATGATCAAGTGGGCTTCATCCCTGGGATGCAAGGCTGGTTCAATATACACAAATCAATAAATGTAATCCAGCATATAAACAGAACCAAAGACAAAAACCACATGATTATCTCAATAGATGCAGAAAAGGCCTTTGACAAAATTCAACAACCCTTCGTGCTAAAAACTCTCAATAAATTAGGTATTGATGGGACATATCTCAAAATAATAAGAGCTATCTATGACAAACCCGCAGCCAATATCATACTGAATGGGCAAAAACTGGAAACATTCCCTTTGAAAATTGGCACAAGACAGGGATGCCCTCTCTCACCACTCCTATTCAACATAGTGTTGGAAGTTCTGGCCAGGGCAATTAGGCAGGAGAAGGAAATAAAGGGTATTCAATTAGGAAAAGAGGAAGTCAAATTGTCCCTGTTTGCAGACGACATGATTGTATATCTAGAAAATCCCATTGTCTCAGCCCAAAATCTCCTTAAGCTGATAAGCAACTTCAGCAAAGTCTCAGGATACAAAGTCAATGTGCAAAAATCACAAGCATTCTTATACACCAATAACAGACAAACAGAGAGCCAAATCATGAGTGAACTCCCATTCACAATTGCTTCAAAGGGGATAAAATACTTAGGAATCCAACTTACAAGGGACGTGAAGGACCTCTTCAAGGAGAACTACAAACCACTGCTCAATGAAATAAAAGAGGATACAAACAAATGGAAGAACATTCCATGCTCATGGGTAGGAAGAATCAATATCGTGAAAATGGCCATACTGCCCAAGGTAATTTATAGATTCAATGTCATCCCCATCAAGCTACCAATGACTTTCTTCACAGAGTTGGAAAAAACTACTTTAAAGTTCACATGGAACCAAAAAAGAGCCTGCATCGCCAAGTCAATCCTAAGCCAAAAGAACAAAGCTGGAGGCCTCATGCTACCTGACTTCAAACTATACTACAAGGCTACAGTAACCAAAACAGCATGGTACTGGTACCAAAACAGAGATATAGATCAATGGAATAGAACAGAGCCCTCAGAAATAATGCCGCATATCTACAGCTATCTGATCTTTGACAAACCTGAGAAAAACAAACAATGGGGAAAAGGATTCCCTATTTAATAAATGAATCTGTGAAGAATTTGAAAAAGCATGTGGAATGTAGTCCATAACCATAGACTATAGTCCAAAGTATTTAAAGACATTTAATCTACTAGGAGTGATAATATTCCAATAAATCTATATCTGTTTTATAAAAAACCATTACATATTAGATAACATGCTAGCCTCCAAGGCAGCACAAAGGTAAAAATACATGGTTCTTCTCCTCAAAAAGTTTCATTAGCGTTAGGTAAGAATAATTAATTTCTGCCTTCACTCATTTACCTATTTGACCTATTTGTTGCATCAATTAATTCATTCCTTTATGCATTTAATAAATATTTACAAAATAGCTGCTAAGTGAAATGTGCTATCATGATGGCAGGAAAATATATGGTGAGTACCTACAGAAAATACCAATATCACCAACATCATACTATGGGAGGGTTGACACCTTAGCTTGCATACATTTTTCAATATCTAAGTCTTGAATAACTAAAATGCTTCCTATGGCAATGAAATGCAGTCATCTTAAGGTAGTAATCACTGTTAATATATGTGTAATTGGATAACCCTAATTCACTTTAGCTTGAAAAATCTGTGGCAGGGAATTGGTGGTAAGAGTTTTCTTTGGTTTGGCTGATTCAAATGAACCATTTTTGAATTTGGAGAATTTCGTAATCACTAGCCTGACTGGCCCACACTAGCAGTTTTCTGGATTTCTAGGAAAATCTCTGGTATGCGTCATAGTGAAGAAGTGTTCCAACAAAAAAAGGGGATAAATGAAGAACCATAATCATTTAGAAAGAATTCACCGAGAAATAGAGGTCTGCGTGGTGTAACTAAGAATTGCACAATGCTGTTGCAGGGCATGCGGGATGCATGACAGGTGGGGCTACCTGCTCTTCCCCCTCGCCCTCCCGAGGCATCACGGTGAATCAATCTGAGTTCTCATTTCTTTAGAGCACAGTTGGATCACAGACTGAAAACAGACTACAGACATCCACTACCAGTTAATTAGAATTGGCATAAAAGATGTTATCTAGTTTCCATTCCTACTGCTGCCATTTGGATTTAAGAGTGTGGAGATTGGCCAGGCATGGTGGCTCATGCCTGTAATCCCAGCACTTTAGGAGGCCGAGGTGGGTGGACCACCTGAGGTCAGGAGTTCAAGACCAGCCTGACCACAATGGTGAAACCCCGTCTCTACTAAACACAAAAAATTAGCCAAGCCTGGTGGCAAGCACCTGTATTCCCAGCTACTTGGGAAGCTGAGGCAGGAGAATCGCTTGAACCCGGGAGATGGAGGTTCCAGTGAGCCAAGACCACGCCATTGCACTCCAGCCTGGGCAACAAGAGTAAAATTCCGTCTTAAAAAAAAAAAAAAAAAAAAAAAAACAACAACAACAACAAAGTGTGGAGATTTTGAATTTAGGTCCAGTTCTACCAACCGGATATTTCCAGATATTTTCAACTGACTTAGTTTCTCTTGATATCAGCTCATTAGTCTTTCTAGTAGATTACCTATCTAACTAATGCCCCTGTGTGTTTATGAAGATCAGGGCAGAAAATAGGTGATTCAGCATTGAGGAAAGAAAGCGGGCAAAGGCTAACCTGCTCATGAATAACAGGGCTTTGTTTGACATGGTCCCTGACTTCCTCACTTCTGTGCCTTCTCTCCACTGGATGCCCCTGCCCACCTGCAATCTACCTTTTGGCCATTTTGAACTACTATCATTTTCCTGAACTTCTATTATTTTCCTTTCACTTTATCACTTAAATGCTATAAAAAATGCTGTTTTCTTTGTCCAAATAAACATCTCCCTATTCTCACCTCTTTCTTCACCCCTTGCCAAATTCAGGACTACTTATCACTTGACTACACAATGTACTGAAATTCATTCTTTAGCTTTCATGTCCCGTCCTCTGACGTTCTCGTTGGTGGCATCAGTCTGGGTCATACCACACATACCACATCCTTCCACCACTCCCTGTAGTACCCTTATCTCAGCAAGAGCCTTTAACTGTATCTCTTTTGTAATACACATTTTATGTAATAAAATTACATGTTAGATTTTATAGAGCAAAGAATAATTTAAAAGAAACTCATAAAAAACAATGAAGGTTTGGTTATACATTTATCCCATTACCATTTACTAAGTCACTTCTGTATGCCATGAAATGGAAAAATTAGGAAGAAAATAGCACCACCTCTCCCATCAAAGTGTTCACAGCCTAGTTAATAGAGACAGACTCAAAATATTTGACTTTAAAATAATGAGGAATTGGGTACTAATCATTTGTTCATATTAATGGGATACCTACAGACTTCATCTTTTCAGGCTGCTATGACAAAATATTAATAGCTTAAACTGGATAATTAATAATCAACAGATTTTGCTGCTTATATTTATGGAGGCTGGGAAGTCCAAGGTCAAGGCACTAGCAGATTCAGTGTCTGATGAGGGCCTGTTCCTCTTAGATGGCACTTTCTGTATCCTCACATGGTGGAAGGGGCAAGATACCTTTCTTGAACCTTTTTTATAAGGGCACTAATCCCATTCATGAGGGCAGAGCCCTAAGGACTTAATAACTTCCCAAAAGGCCTCACCTCCTAATGCTATTGTATCATGTTGGATTCTAACATGAATTTTGCAGTTTGGGGGAGTCACAAACATTCAGACCATAGCAACTACTATATGCCTGGCACTGTTCTAGGCAGTGGGGTGTACAGGTAAGCAAAGCCAAGCCTCACACTCAGTGAGCTTCTATTACAGATCTTTCAGTGAGGGAAATCTGAAAAGCCATGAAGTTTACAGGAGGAAAAGCCTTATTCTGCCTATGGTGGGAGTTTAGATCTGGCTTTTATGAGGATATGACATGTTCACTGCGCCCAGTAGAGCAAATGCAGTACTAACTCTTAAGGGTGAAGGAATGTTCATTTAACTATGGAGCATCTAATGCATGATGAATGTGGTTGTAGGAGCAGAGTTCCTGTCATGAAGTAGGTATTTGATAAATGTATCATATTTGGATCAATAACCCAAATCCAAAAATGAGTACTCATTTGAGGGTCCCTTCCCTCAAGGATCATGCAGTCCAGTGGAGAAGTTCATTCACTCTCATTCACTTATAACATTATGGTGCATGAAAAGAGAAGCCAAGAGTGGAAAGAATGGAAACTCTAAAACTCATACATTCCTCTCCTATCACCATCCTCCCAAACATCCGCTAGTCCCTCTGTTTCCTCCTCTGAAAACTTATACTGTTCTTGGGAGTTCTGAGTTGTCTGGTGTATCTGTTTCTTTTGCTGGGTGCTTCACCTTGGCTTCCTCCCAAATGCCTCCAGCAACTGTTTATTTTTATAAATGTTGTATACACAGGGCAGAAGATAGAGAAAGGGGTGAGCCAGAGTCATTTACGAAAGCACTTTGGCATTCTGCTCTGGAAATCATTTCCGCAGGAGGCTGCCCTGGACAGAGTGCACTTACTCTCAGACCTCCCATCCCCACTTCCAAGCAGAAGTCAATGCAATTTTTATTTACAGTCAGAAGCTCCATGAAATTCTGAGCCAAAAGGCTTCTTTCCTGAAAAGCTGGTAGTGGCCTCCAACATTCAGCTATCACCTTTAACAGGAACTCTTTGTTGTTTGCACCAAACAAATAACCAGACACCTGGGTCAGAAGCAGAATTAAGGACCTAATTCGTCTCCATCCATGGACATTTAATGGACACCTACTCGTGCAAATACTATCACAGCCACTGAGAACACAAGACATAGGATCCTAAAAGAGCAGGAAGAGGCTACTTTTATTGATGACATATCATATATTGTCATGATTTACATACATAAAAAAGATACTATCATTCTGCTTTACAGATTGGGGAAAGGAGGAAAGAAGGAAGGGGATGGAAGGGAAGGGGATGGAAGGGAAGGGAAGGTAAAGGAAGGGAAGGGAAGGGAAGGGAGTGGGAGAGGGAGAAATGGAAGGAGGGAGGAACAGAGGGAGGGAGGAACAGAGGGAGGGAGGATTTGAGGTTCTGTAACTTGTATAAAACCCATAGCTGATGAATAAGCTTTCTACTCATTTTCTCTTCATCACTCTTAAATCACAGTTTCACCTTCACTCTCCACCAAAATTGTTGTTATCAAGGTTATTATATATAAACCTAATTATTATAATGATTGACACCCACATTGCTAAACACAAAAGTCAAACATCAATTCTCATCTTGGTTTGCTGATTAGCAACATATAATACAGTTGACTGCCTCCTTGTCCTTAAAATGCTTTCTTCACTTGGCATCTGAGACATCTTACATGATCTGTTGATTTTCCTGGTGCTTCACCACCAGCACTTTCTCAGTCTCTTTAGCTGGCTTCTGCTTCTCAGCATCATCTTCTGCTATTGAAGTATCTCAGAACTCAGCCCTTGGACACCCTCTTTGCTTTATATACATTCACTCTCTTGGTGACCTCATTCCGTCTCATGCTTCATATCCCACCTGCATACCAATAGCTCAAATTTCCTCTATTCTGTACCACTTCTTTAAACTTCAGCTTGATATATACAACAGCATACTTGCTATCTCTCCTTGGGTGTCTCAAACTTATCATTTTCAAAATTGAAGTCCCCATTTTTCTCCATTAAACCTACTCCTCTGATGGACTCCCCAATTTCAGTTCATGGCAACTTCATCTTTCCCGTTGCTCGGAACAAAAAGCCTCTTTTGATTACACCCCACACCCAATCTGATGGCAAACTGGTTTGTGTTACCTCCCAAATACATCCTGGATCCAGCAATTTCTCATCATCTGCCCTGTGACCAGCCTGCTGCAACTCTCAGTCTTCTCTCACCCAGATTACTTCTTGGAGGCTCTTCCTTTGTATTTGCCCCATACAGCCTGGTCTTAACTCAGTCACCAGTGTGATCCTAATAAACCTGTTAGACTTGTGGTTCCGGAACTGACAGCTCTCCAAAGGCCTCTCGTTTTATTCAGAGTAAAATCCAAAGACCTTAAAACAACTGACAGGACCATACTCCCTGTTCCCTCCCTGAACTCACCACTTATACCCCACCCCCATCCCTGCCACTCTGCTCTGGCCACACTAGCCTGCCTGCTGTCCCCTCTGTCTGAAATTCTGTCCCCCAGAAACCTACACGGCTGATTTCCACATCTCCTTCAGGTCTTCACTCAGATGAGACTTTCTCAGCAAAGACGTACCTGACCCCTTTTCTTAAAATTAAAATCCTATCCCAACGTTTATTTTCTGTTTCCCTCTCGTGTTTTCTTTTTCTCCATAGCACTTACCTCCATCATGTATTCTATATATCTTATTTATTTTGTATATTTTATCTCATTTCCCATACTAGAAAGTAAGCTCCTACGGGCAACACTGGTCCTCTCCACTGATATATATGTAACTAATCTAATAATACATAAATAATAAATATTAATTGACAGCGAATAATTGTGAGACATATATCTCACAGCACTTTAGAGAAGCATATGTCATGAGTATGGGACCTTCAATTAATATTGATTAAGTAAATAAATCCACACAAGAAAGAAAAAGAGAGGCATCACTGAGGCTTGGCATAAGCAAGGAGGGCTTTGTGGAGAAGAAAATAAAAATAATTTTTGAGTACTTACTGCGTGCCAGATACTATGCTAAGTGTCTTAGAGCTATTATCTCATTAAACCCTCTTAATGACTCTGTGAAATAAGTTCATAAAATTATTGTGTCCATTTTACAGATTAGAAAACTGTTGTGTCAAAAGGCTAACTCACTTTCTCAAAATCAGTGCAACAATTTATATAAGAGGCCAGGAGCCAGACCTTTATCTCTCTGGTTGCCAACCATGGGGTACCATTTTAGAAATCTCTTTTAGATATGAAACTATCCTACTTGAATTAAAGAGAGAAAAAAAATCAGACAGTTACATTTGAAAAGAACAATTAAGTGTTTATTAATATATTTCTTTGTTTATTCAATAACTGTTATTATTAGTTCCTTATAGCAATTTATTATACTGTGTGCTGTACCCATAGGACGGAAAAATGAATGAAACATTGCCTGCTCACAGTGAGCTTACAATCTAGCGCAGCCTAGTTAGCGTAAAATTATCAGTATTTTAACAGCTTTGTGCTTTAAGAGCACAGAGGAGGGAGCAATTGATTTCCTTAGGGATGTAGTTATACAAAGAATATCTCAAAGACAGATGGCATCTAAACATAAGCCTACAGAATGGATTAAACCATTGCTAAATGCAGAAAGTGGTCTTCAGGCAGAGGCTGTAGCAAGAGTATGAGATCTACTCAAGGAAAAGAGCTTAGCAGGTAAAAACAAGGAGATGAAGATGCCTTAAGGGTGGTAGGAAGCCATTGCCACGTTTAATCTAGGTTGTGGGTTGGTCAGATCTGTGCTTCATTGAGGTCACTCTGACAGCCATCAGGGAAGATGGATGGCAAGGGATAAAAAGGGAGACAGGATGCTGGGTTAGGGGCCTTGTGACATCTGGGAGAAAATGGTGAAAACAGTTGATATGATTAGGCTTTGTGTCCCCACTCAAATCTCATCTTTAATTGTAGTCCCCATAATCCCCACATGTCAAGGGAGAGACCAGGTGGAGGTAATTGAATTACGGGGGCAGTTTCCCCCATGCTGTTTTCATGATAATGAGTGAGTTATCATGAGATCTGATGGTTTTATAAGTGTTTGATAGTTCTTCCTGCATTCATTCTCCTTCCTGCCACCTTTTGAGGAAGGTGCCTTGCTTTCCCTTTGCCTTCCGCTGACTGTAAGTTTCCTGAGGCCTTCTCAGCCATGCAGAACTGTGAGTCAATTAAACCTCTTTCCTTTATAAATGACCCAGTCTCAGCAGTTCTTTATAGCAGTGTGAAAACGGACTAATAGAAGTGCTAAGTCGGAAGAAGTGAGAATGATGACTCAGATATCCATGCTTAGAGAATTAATCAGTTATTCTCAAATTTGGATGTCCATTGAATGACCCAGGGAGCTTTAAACAACTCTGGGACCTCGCACACAGCCCAAACCAATTATATCAGAAATTTTGGGCATGGAGCAGAGTATCAATAGCTTGTAAGGCCCCACAGGTAATTCTAATGTGTAGCTAAGTTTGAGAATCACTGGTTTATGAATTACCGGGTCTGGATGACTAGTTGGCTATGACTGGGAAGGAAGGAGGACATAAAGATAGATTTTCTAGCTCACATGACCTGGGGAAACGCTATTGGTTTAAGGTCTTGTCTCTGGAATCAGAGTGGCTACAACAGGTGCTTGATGGTAGCCTTGGGCAAATGACATACTTCTTGCCTAGAAATAATAGTAAACTCACTGTATAGAATTACTGTGAGGATTAAATGAGATAATGCACATAAAACACATAGCATGGTGCCAGAAACATGAGTGCTCAAAATTTTTATTGTATAAATTAATTATGGTAGGCAAGAACAAGTCTATAGAAAAAAGTGTTTTTCAGATGAGTGATATTAAGTTTGGTTCTCAACATGTTGATTTTACAGTGTCTATAGGATATCTAGTAGTTGTTTGGAAATAATAATTGGTGTTCAAAAGGGAGTTCAATACTAGAGGTACAAAATTGGTGTAGTTCAGTGGTATTGTTTAAATCACATAAATATATCATTCAGGGAAAGGGTATAGTGAGATGAGAAGGTGAAAGACTAGTATATCAGTTAGTTCTAATTGTTCTAAGCCTCAGGTGTCTTTGCTGTAGAGTGAAGATAATAGTATCCTGTTTTACAGCATTTGTGTGGTAATTAAATGTGATGATGCAGGTAAAAAACATTAAAAATATGAGGCATCCAGAGTGCAAGAAGCGAGATGAGAAGAAAGGGAAACAATTTTCAGAAAAGTAGTTGTCAAGGAATAAGAGTTTGAGACTTGAGGGAATGATCTTTCATGTTAAATATACAAAATAAATAATTCTGGGACTTGGTGTTCCCTTTGGTCTTACGAACCCTTGAATTAAGGGGTATTTAGATAAGTATTAATTTATAGTCCAACTTTAAATATGAGCTTCCTAGCACAGAAAACAAAGAGGGAAATGCAATTAGTTACATGATTAAAATACTGCTTCCCATGAAGAAACAGTTATTTGCCTGTTTTGAAGCTGGAAATCAGTTTTGTTCCTAGGTCCTAATTGAAGGAAAAATGTGCAATATAATGGCGCATACCCTCTTCAATATCTCTAAAAAGCTTTTAAAAATGAGCTTTATGAGGCTGCTTCTCATAAAGTCTCTCTGTTTAACACTACCCCATAAATGCATATTTACTAGGGACCAAATGATAATATTGTTTAATAATACCATAATGATGAAATAAGCTACCATTTAGCGAGCATTTATTATGTGTCAAACACTGTGCAAAGTATCCTATTTACATTGTTCTGATGCATCACCAGAAGAGGAGAGAGGGCAAGTGTTATCCATGTTTTCCATATGGAAAATCTGAGGTTCCATGAGACTAAATGACTGCTCAAGCTTAAACCACCAGTAAGTAGTATGGCCAAGATTTAAAACCAAGTCTACTCACCTTCAGGGCCTGTGCTTTTGATACTGCTCTGCTCTAGCATTTAACCTACTGTTTTGTAAACATGGTTTTTTTGTCTGTTTGTTTGTTTGTTTGTTTGTTTTCTGAGAAGGAGTCTCACGCTGTCGCCCAGGCTGGAGTGCAGTGGTGTGATCTTGGCTCACTGCAACCTCTGCCTCCCGGGTTCAAGTAATTCTCCTGCCTCAGCCTCCCGAGTAGCTGGGATTACAGGCATGTGCCACCACGTCTGGCTAATTTTTTTTTTCTTTAGTAGAGATGGGGTTTCACCATGTTGGTCAGCTGATCTTCTCCTGGACCTCCTGACCTTAAGATCCACCCGCCTCGGCCTCCCAAAGTGCTGGGATTACAGGCTAGAGCCACCACGCCCGGCCTTGTAAACATTGTTTTTAATTAGAGTGGTTGAGGTGGAAATCTACTGATTTTATTGATAAGGAAAAAGAGGCTCTGAGAGGTCGGAAGTTCTAGGATCCTGTGACTTTTTTGACAGCGGGTACCATATGCTGAGCCCCTTCCAGCTGCCATTTTATTACATTCTGCCCTGTCGGATATAATGTTGGTTGACATGAACACAGAACATAGGTTCTTATATTCCAGCTTTGTTATGGACAGAGGACATTTTCAAAAAAGTATGGAAAATGCCAAGCAGATGATTTAGTCATAACTCCTGACCTCTATGCTATCAAAAAGAAAAAAAAAGATACTACTTTCTAGTTTTCTTTCTGAACAAAGTACTAGTTTTACTTTTTTTTTTTTTTTTTTTTTTTGAGACAGAGTCTCGCTTTGTTGCCAGGCTGGAGTGCAGTGGCACAATCTCTGCTCACTGCAACCTCTGCCTCCCGAGTTCAAGCGATTCTCCTGCCTTAGTTTCCCCAGAAGTTGGTACTACAGGCATGCGCCACCGCACCCAGCTAATTTTTGTATTTTTAGTAGAGATGGGTTTCAGCATGTTGGCCAGGATGGTCTTGATATCTTGACTTTATGATCCGCCAGCCTCGGCCTCCCAAAGTGCTGGGATTACAGGTGTGAGCCAACGTGCCCAGCCCAGTTTTACTTTGAAGATGAGTCAATGGCCAATGAGAGAAGACTAAGTGGAGGAGTCTTCACCCAGCCCATCAGTTCAGCAACACACAATAAGGGCACTTTCTCTCCAGGGGTGCAACACCAGCCATTGCTGTCTTGAATCATTTTCCCTTAGCTCTCACAATTTATATTCTCTGTCTCTCTTTGGCTACAAAGAAAATCCCCCCTGCACTTCAAACAGCAGAGGTCTGCCAGATACTCCACCCTCATCAATCTTCATTTAAATGCCAGCAACATGACCCTATGAATAAAGGTGGTGAGTTAATAAATCAGCATCTTTTTAAAGAATTTTCTTTTAACTGACACAGGGAATTGGAATGACCACCTTAGAGGAAGAGGAAGTGATGAAATATAGCAGATTGTTTAGACCTGAGGACAGCCCAGCTTCAAATCAGGGCCCTGCTCTTTACCAGCCCTGTGACCTAGAGCAAGTCCCTTACTGGATGAGTCTTGGGTTTTTGTTTTTGTTTTCTTCTTTGTAATAAGGGAAAATTAATTGCACTGTTTCCTATGGTAATTGAGAGTACTGTTGCCAGCAGGGGTGGGGGGCTGTGTTTTCATGTGGAAGATGCCTATAAACAAACACTTCTAGGTCCTCTCCACCTCTCAGATAACTTATTGGAACAAGGAGCTATATTCATAGCTCAGCACCATCCCTTTCCTCCTAGGAATCTTTCTGTCTTCACAGAACCTTTGCCTGGGTGTGCCCCCTGCCATGCAATGAACCAGGCAGTAAAGGTCCTGGCCGTGCCAGAGAGACCTGAGGACATCCATGATTGCTGTGACCAAGTGGGCACATCTGACTAATTCCAGAAGAAACCCACTGCACATTTTATACAGCTCTTTCAGTAATAAAGTCAACATTTGGCTTTCTATCCACTCAACTCATTTGTGTAACTTGGTTATACAAATTCAGAACTTGAGAAGCTCCCTAAAATCCCAACAAGTTGTAGATCAAGTGATTAATACAATGCTCCTGGTGCTATTTGGAGGCATACTTTCAGATTCTCTTCCTTCTAATGTAAATTTTATGTGTCATTCTAATTGATGCACCTGCTTCCCATTATTAACAGTTAATAACTAATTATTAAGATTTTGTCTGGTACAAGGTTCTGTATATCAGACTGTGTACAATGTAGAGGTAAAAAAATAAAAATTAAAAAAAAAATGGAGTCAACCTCATTTCCCGGGATTTATCAGGCTAGAGATGAGAAAAAGAAAAATGTATACATGTTTACACAAAGAGGTAGAAAAGAAATACAACACAAGAAAGAGTCAGGTGAACTGCTATGAAGGTTAGCACATAGCAAGTACAACTGTTTTTATTCAGTGAGGCAGCAATTTGGTTTTTTTTATTTTATTTTTATCATGAAATTGATATGAATAAGCTCCAACCCTTTTTTGGGCCTCTGGTTCTGCATCTGGAAATAGAGGAAGGCTATTGAATGGCATGGTCTATTAAGATCTTCCCTGGGCTGACATGCTGTGCTCCATTCTCTTCTATATCTCAGGGTATTGTAAAGACAGAAATCAGAAATGCAGGTTTAAGGTTCCTTGTTGGGACTAGGAGGCAGGGTGAGGAAGATCCCTGACTCCCAGGGCCCACCCTACCTCTGCAGAATTTCATTTTCCCCCAAGGCATCACCCAAAGAGATTCATGCACCTTCTTGAAGACATGCCACCACTCCCATCCTACTGAGTACTGTCTGCACTTTGTCTTTAGCCAAAACTGAAACCAGTTTCAAAGGTAACAAGATCTGTCCCTGGTCTTGCCTACATAAACCATAATGGGGAACACCAAATTTTAGCTCCATTTGTCTACAAGCAAAGGCTTTCCAAAACAGACAGAAGAAGTCCCACTTGGGGTGAAGTTTGCAATTCCATATGTTTCAGTGGGAGAGGGGGAAAACGATGGGATGAGGGGAGCAAAAACTGGATTCAAAAGAGAGGAACTATTTAGTTCAGTATCCTAAGACCTCAATGCTAAGACATCAGGGAATCCATCCAGCCAACCCCTCTCCTCAGTAAATGCAAAATATAAATAAATGACACTCACTCTCATTCCCACCCCTCATATCAGAGACCACATTAATGTAAGAGAACGAAAAAATACTATGATGACGATAACTATTCTTTATTGAATAGATTCTATGTGCCAGGTACTGGGCTAAGTGCTTTATATATTGTCCCATTGAGTTCTTGTAATATTATGAAGTAGTTCTATTATTGTCATAATTTTATACCTGAGGAAACTGAGGCACACAGTATTGTAGTAACTTGCCCAAGGTCACCAAGCTGGGATGGAATATTTGTCTGTCTCCAAAACGTCTACTATGGCATCCCTTCCACAAGATCCGTGTATGACAGGACGATTTTTCTCCTGTTTCCTTGCCTGAAAATTGGCTCTTTTCCTTTTCTATCTGCCTTCTTATCGCCATCATACTGACATTTCTCTGGTCCAGGGCATTACCACTTTCATCCCACTTACGTCTGCCCCTTATCTCCACTTCCTCGACATCACCCTGGTTCAAGGCATATTCACCTCTCATCTGAACTGGACACTCTGGGCCTGTCTCTTGCCAATTCATCTTCCATCATGTAGCATATGGGATCTTTCCCAAAACCAACATCGGCCATAGGTCTGACCCTTACTTTAAATGTTCAGTGGCTCTATTAGACATGGCCCCTTTAACATGTAAAACAAGGCTTTCACATTCCAATTTGTGTACCCCTTCTGCCTCACTTATTGCTAGTCTCTCTATCTCTTTCTCTGTGTGTGTGTTTTACACTTTATTCTCCACTCACAATAAGTTTCTGCTGCCTCCATTGTCATAATTTTTTCTTGACTCTTTAATTGAGCATATGCTGGTCCCAATTCCACCCACCTCTGATAATTCTTTCTTATCCTTCAGCTGTGAATTGGTATTCATGGAGGGCATCCCTGTGTGCTCCATATCCAGATTAGATACCCTTTCCACGTGCTTCCACTTCATGCCACACAGACCTTTGTCATAGCATCTCTTCTGCATCCATATTTACATCCCTTTGTGTGCTTCACCCACTTGTCTGCTCCATTACAGGAAGGACTGTCTCCTTTTTATCACTGTGTCCCCTGTCCCTGCCTTCATTGCATTTGATGAATAAGTAAAGTAATAAACAAAGGAATAGATGAGAGAAATTTAAGTTGGAAATCATGAAAATTAAAACCCCGTACCATTGTTTCCTTTGTGCTCCGAAGGTTCTTGACAATTCAAAATATAAAAGCGGCAAACACACAGAGGGGATTACAACTTGCGTTGAAGTCACTAATATTATTAGTGCTTCTCCTTATTGGACATTTGCTTCCCAAAGACAGTGAAGCTGGATGAATTAATGCTTCATCAATAGACCCACTGTAAAATACCATAAGTAGTTTAGATAACAGAAAAGAAGGCTTTTTGCCCTTGAATGCACTTTGATGTTCACTGAGGTGGTTAAGAATCTCTCAAAAGCAAGGGGAAAAATAATCCTCAAAGTTTCTTAAAACAAAGAGATTGAAATTCGCAAACTCTACCTCATTAAAAATACTGTACAGTTTCAAGTCCTCTGAAGACTCTCAATAAATATTAATTGAATTGAATGTGAATTGAATTAAGCAGAACACCTATGAATGACTCATTTTTTTCCTCAGAAAAATTTAAGGAGCTGTAACACCTGCTTATTGCGCTAAGATAATGGAAATTTCTAGGCATCAGCCATGGAGAGAAGAGGAAAGAGGTGAGAGGAGAAAGATAGATTACAATTAAACAGACGTCACTTCACATACCATTACATAGCTGTGTATCCTCAGGCAGCTTACTCAAATGAGCCTTGATTTGCTTGTCTTTAAACTGGAAATATTGATACTTATTTTTTGGAGATTACAAGTTTATTGTGAGAGTAAAACATATGTGTGTTTTAACTCTAAATTAGAATATACATTAAAGAAATTACTTATCAATCCATACAAATCATGCAATATATTGCCATGTCAATGTATTTGGACTTATTAGTCTCCGGAATTGCCTTTTGAGTGGTGTGGTAAACTCACTACTCTCTCTCTCACTCTCACTCATTCTCTCACTCATTTTCTCTCTCTCTCTCTCTCTCTCTCTCTCTCCATATATATATATATATTCCCTGCCTGATATTACATAGTACATGGAGGCAGGAGGCAGGATGAGGAGGGGAATTAGCATGGATTTGAGACACCAGAAGACTGAACTTCAATCCTGGTTTCCCTGAATTCCCTTCTGTGTGACCTCAGGCAAATCATCCACTTTCTCAAAGCCTTAGTATTATGGGAATTTAATATATAATGTATTTCAGTGGGTTTTGCAAAATACTGCATGAAAGCCTTGGTTCATATTATTTAAAGCAGGGGTTCTCAACTAGGGGCAGTTTTACACAAACACCCCTAGGGATATTTGGCAATGTCTAGAGGCATGTTTTTACACTGTAGGAAAGGGGAGTGCTACTGGCACCTAGGAGGTAGAGGCCAGGGATGCTGCTCAACATCCTGCAATGCACAGGGCAGTCTCTTTTCACTCCTCAGCAAAGAATAATCTGGCCCCAAATTTCAGTAGTATGGAGTTGAGAAACCCTAATTTAAATGTTGATATAATGAAAATTTAAAGGTGGTCTCTTAATAAGAACATTCAAGAACATTTGTTTATTTCTTAAATGACCAATTAATGATAGCCAGCATGATCAGCATCTCATGGTGTATTTTTTCTTCTCCAGCTTTATTGGAGTATCATAGACAAATACAAGTAATATGTATTTTAGGTGTTCAACATTGTTTTGATATACTCATATATTGTGAAATGATTAACATCATTCATACGATTTGGCTGTGCTCCCACCCAAATCTCATCTTGAATTGTAGTTCCCATAATCCCCCACATGTCATGGGTAGGACCCGGTGGGGAAGAGGTAATTTAATCATGGAGGAAGTTACCCTCATGCTATTCTCATAATAGTGAGTTCTCATGAGATCTAATCATTTTATAAGAGACTTTTCCCCTTTTTGCTTGGCACTTCTTGCTGCTGCTCTTCACTCTTCACTCTGCACTTCTCTTTTCTGCTGCCATGTGAAGAAGGACATGTCTGCTTCCCCTTCTGTCATGATTGTACATTTCCTGAGGCCTCCCAGCCATGCTGAACTATGAGTCAATTAAACCTCTTTTCTTTATAAATTACCCCAGTCTTAGATATGTCTGTATTAGCAGTGTGAGAATGGACTAATACAATCATCAAACTAATTAAAATATCCATCAACTCACATAGTTACCTTGTGTGTGTGTTGAGAACATTTAAGATCTACTCCTAGCAAATTTTGATTATTCAATACAGTATTTTAACTATAGTCACCGTATGGTACATTAGATCTCTAGAACATATTTCATCCTGAGTAACTGGAAGTTTGTACTCTGATCAACATCTTCCCATTTTCCCCACCCCCACACAGCTCCTGGCAACCACCATTCTACTCTTTGCTTCTCTGAATTTGATATTTTTAGGTTAAAAAACACACAACAATGAAATTATAGTCTCTCTATTAAATCGTAATGGGAAAACTGGATCTCCACATGTTGAAAGAAATTAGACTTTTATCTCACATCATATACAAAAGTTAACTCAAAAGGGATTAGACTTAAACATAAGATTTGAAACTGTAAAAATCACTGCAGAAAAACATAGGAAAAATTGTTTTCATATTATCCTGGGCAATGATAACACCCCAAAAAACAGGCAACAAAAGCAAAAATAGACAAATGGTATTGCAAGAAACTAAAAAGCTTCTGCACAGCAAAGGAAATAATCAATAGAGTGAAAATACAGCCTATGGAATGAGAGAAAGTATTTCCAAACTGTACATCATGTAAGGTGTTAATATCCAAAATGCATAAGGAACCCAAATAACTCAATAGGAAGGAAACAACCCAATTTAAAAATGGGCAAAGGTCCTGACTAGACACTTACCAAAGAGGACATACAAATCGTCAACAGGAATATAAAAAATTGTATACATCACTAATCATCAGAGAAATGCAAATTGAAACTACAATGAGATATTACTTCATACCTGTTAGAATGCTATTATTTAAAAAAAAAAAAAACCTAAGGGTTGGTGACAATATCTAGAAGAGAGGTCCTCTGCACATTGTTGGTGGGAAGGTAAATTGGTATAACCATTATGGAAAACAGTATGTAGGTTCCTCAAAACATTAAAACTAAAACTCCCATACAATCCAGCAATCTTACTCCTGGGTATATATCTAGAAGAAATAAAATAAATATGTTGAGGTATCAACAGTCCTATGTTCATTACAGCATTATTTGCAATTGACAAGATATTGAATCAACCGAAATATCCATGTATGAATGAATAGATAAAGAAAATGTGGTATGTATACACAATAGAATATCATTCAGCCTTTTAAAAAGAAATCTTGCCATTTATGACAGAATGGATAATCCTGGTTTTTTCAGATTCACCCATATCATGGGAGAAGATATTATGATTCTTTGATCTAATGGCCTTTCAAAAGAATGTGTTTCTGTGTGAAAACACACGTGTGTATGTGTGTTCAACATGTTCTTTGAGTGCTTTCTGCTTTTGCCTATAAAACAGAGCACTCCTGTGAGGTAAATAGAGCAGAAAGTATTACCCCCATTTAACAAGTAAGAAAATCAATGTCCAGAGGCCGCATGACTTGACTGAAGTCACAAAGCTATTAAGTAGTGAAGGATATTTTGTATGTGTCTGGACATCAGAATTTAATAGCTATATAGAAGCTGATGCAGGTGGGCATACATGCTGAGATTTAGTATTTGTTTTGATTCAACATTTCAGTTAAAATCAGCAAGAATTAGTTAGGTATTAACACTAAGTTTGTCATACCTAAATGACACAATTCCTGCCACCAAATTTTCAGAGACTAGGATAAATTTCTAATCTGAATATTGCATGAATATAATGATGTTAAGGAAAAGTTGATTTCTAAATTAGGGTGAACAGGTGTTCAAATAAATGTTCTAGGAAAACGGGGTAATCACATGAAATTTAAAAAGTTAATATAAATAACGAACTCTTTCCAACATAACATGTTATGTACTCCAACATACATATATACAAATATGTGTTATATTCCCAAATGGATTTTAAGTCCCTTGTAAATAGTGACTCTTTCTCATACCATCATTAAGATGGTGCTTGGCTCATATTTGGTTCCTAATTTAAAGAAAATGTTTGGGGAGGGGAGGAGGGCAAAGCATAAATATATTGAAAAGATCATCTAGAAAACCAAGGAAGGATTACATTGATGGAGTAATAATTATATTTAAAATATGTGGTGGATTATTATTTTTAAAGAGTTCTCTACTATAAATAACATCCCTCCAAATAAATAGGACTCCCTTCACTGAATGAAATGCATGCATTTCCATATATAAATTAAATGATCTGTCAGCATGGAATGGAGAAAAGTGAAACAAATCAAACTGAATTTCAACCCTGTACTGGACTTCATAGAGTTGTCCCTAAACCTCTTGGAACATTATTCAACTAGCCCCTAGCCCATTGAAGTGGATTCTGTTTCTTCGCTTCACTTAGAGGGCAGGATTGCTGTGAAATTCAAATGAAAACCCCTCTGTGAAAGCTGAACCATGAGGTAACTAGCATCCTAAACCTGCCTAACCTTCACACAGGCAACTGCCAGTCAACAGTTCTTCAAGAACTGATGAGCTCATGATCAAGAACATGCCAACCAGGCAGAAAAGTAATCTTAAATGAGCAGCTTCTTAAAAAAGGAGAAGAAATAGAAGAAGAAAGATGATGGAAAGGAGGAAGGGATATCCAAAACAGATTAGAGAGAAGAGAAAAAATACCTTCAATCATTTGACCCCTCTAATTTCTCCCTACCAGTCATGCCCAGACTTCCCTTTCTTTCCACAGCTTAGATCCTGGGTGCCCACTTTAAAGAATTCCTTTATCAATAGAATATTTTTACTTCCTCTACTATGCAATATTCACTGATTTGCTTTATTAATGTTACAATCTGAACACTGCTGCTGAAAACTGGGAGAATTAAAAAAAATGTCCAACCCTGTGAATTGGGGCTACAAGAAATTGATAGTCTCAGACCTTGAGCTCTCAACACTCTATGGATTTGTCTATTCAACACAGAGCAATCATTCATGTTTCTCCTACACGCTCCTCTCAAGCTTCCTCCCTGGCCACTATTTCACTGATCCCAAGTGAGTCTGGAAGCTCTACCAATTCTTGGCTCTCCACAGATAAAACCTTCCTTTATTAGTAATAGAATCCAGGACAGGAAATTTCTTCAGTGTTCTCCCACAAGTCTTTAAGATAAGCTTCATTTCCATCCATTTTCCTCTCTTTCTTCCATCACAATATATGGCTGTGTCCCTTGCTATCTAAAGTTTATCCCTCCATCTGTGCTCTGGTGAACTTCTCCAGAACTTGTCCCTTTGAGCTATCCCCATGCCATCGTGTGTCATCAACCCCATCCTTCCTTCTCCCATGAATCCTTTCCATCAGCGCTACACAGAGGATATGTTCACCCATGTTAAGATGCTGAAGTTTCTCCCAGATAACAAACCACAAAACAAGCTGAGTGTGTGTCCTCTTCCAGTTACTAACATTTTTGTTTTCAGCCCTTTGCAACCTAACTTCTATAAGAATTGTGCATACTCCTAGTCTCTCATTTCTCATCCCCTATTTTCAAATCAACCCATTATCATCTGGCTTTCTTCCCTTCATTCATATCTCATCCCAATGGCACATGCCATTGTGCAATATGTAATTCATAAATATTTGGTGAATGAATCAAACTTGTTTTACCCCACCTCTCCACTATCTTTAGCCAAGTTTATCAAAGACCTCACTGTTGCTATATCCAATAAATGTTGCTCATTTTATCAAATGGGCTTATTCACAGCGTATGACACTGCTGTCATCATGTCTCCTGGATTCCTTTTTTTTTTCCCTATAACAGCTCTATCAAGCTATAATTCACATGCCTTAAAATTCACCTTTTTTGAAATGTACAACTGAGTGATTTGTAATATATTCACAGAGTTGTGCAATCTTAACAACTACTTAATTCCAGAACATTTACATCACTTCAAAGAAACCCCATACCCTATAGCAGTCACTCCCAATTCTCTTCTTCCACCCATTCCCTGGAAACCACTAATCTACTTTCCGTCTCTTTGGATTTAACTACTCAGGACATTTTATGTAAGTGAAGTCATTTAAAATGTGGTCTTTTGTGACTGGCTTATTTCACTTAGCATAATATTTTCAAGATTTATTCATGTTGTAGCATGTATCAGTATGTCATTTTTAAATGGCTGAGTAATATTCCATTGCATATATATATCACATTTTGTTTATCCATTCACCTGTTGATGAACAATTGGGTTGCTTCTAATTTGTTACTATGAATAATGCTGTTACGGAAATGTGTGTACAAGTTTTTGTATGAAAGTGCATTTTTATTTTTCTTAGTTATATACCTAAGACTGGAATTGCTAGGTCATATGGTAACTCTATGTTTAACATTTTGAAGAAATGTCAAGTTTATTTCCAAAGGAGGTGTACCATTTAACATTTCTGCCAGCAATATATGAGGGTATCATTTTCTCCACCATTTTCATCCTTGTCAAACTTTTTACTATCTTTTAAAATTTTAGCCATCCTAGTCAATGTGAAGTAGTGTCTCACTGTAGTTCTGTTTTTAATTTTCCTCATGTCATATTATCTTGAACATCTTTTCATGGGTTTATTGGCCATTTCTATATCTTTGTTTGAAGAGGAATGTCTACTCAGATATGTGCTCATTTTTTAATTGCATTATTTCTCTTTATTGTTGAGTTGTGATCATTCCTTATATATTTAGCCTTTAGAATATATAAGGAATGATCACAGAGATAAAAGTACAAAACTCTTATAGAGACTCTTATGAAATATATGGCTTGCAAACATTTTCTCTCATTATCTGGGTTGCCTTTTCACTTTCTTGGTGGCGACCTTTGAAGCGAAAACTTTTTAAACTTGATCTTATCCAGTTTGCCTACTTATTCTGTCTTCACTTATGCTTCCAGTATCATATCTAAGAAACTTTTGCCTAACCCAAAGTCATGAATATATACTACTATATTTACTTACAAGACTTTCGTACTTTTATCTCTGATATTTAGGTCTATGATCCATTTTATGTTAGCTTTTCTGTACAGTGTAAGGAAGGGTCCACCTTCATTTTTTTCCAGGTAGATAGCCAGTTGTTTCAGCACCACTTGTTGAAAAGACTATTTCTTTTCATATCGATTTGTCCAGGCAACCTTGTCAAAAATCAATCAACTATATTGTAAGGATTTACTTCTGAATTTTCATTTCCACTGCATTAGTTTATAGCCTATCTCTCTGCAAGTACAACATTTTCTTAAATACCATACTTTTGTTTAAGTTATGAAATTAAAAAGTGTGAATTTTTAACTTTATTTTCCTTTTTAAAAATCATTTTGGTCCTTCTTGGTCCCTTACATTTTCCTATAAGTTTTAAAATCAGTTTGTCAATTTCTGCAGAAAGTGGCACTAGGATTTTGATAGGGACTGCATTGAATTTATAGTTCAATTTGGGAAGTACTGCTATCTTAACAATATTAAATTTTTCAATCTATAAATGTGGTTAAATTTCAATTTATTTAGGTCTTCTTTAATTTCCTTCAGCAATGTCTTGTAGTTTCAGTGTACACGTCTTGCATTTCTAAACCTCGTGGACTATGTATTTTTAAAAAATTAATTAATAAACTTTGGTACAGCAGAATTTAAACTATCTAATAATTATAATAAGTTACCTGAATATACTCCCAATGAAGAATCTTTGTGTTTTTATTATATTTCTTTAACATAGGAAACCCTTTTAATCCATGTACGATATTATTTAGTTTATAATTATGTGTTTGGGCCATACCTTCCTGTTTCTTAGTGTGTTTCACAGCTTCGTGTTGAAAACTGGAATTTTTCATAATCTAATGTGGCAACTCTGGAAATAAGATTCCTCACTTCCCAGGGTTTTCCACTGTTACTGTTTGTTGTTCCTGCTGTTTGAAGTTTGTTTGGTGACTTTACTCAACTTATTATTTAAAGTCTGCACTGTGTTGTGTGTGGCCACTGAAGTCTCTGCTGAGTTAGCTTAGTGGTCAGGGAATGATTGGATAAAAATTTGCATGAATGACTTGAACCCATAGGTCTCTCACACTTTACCATGGAGCCCTGAGTGGATGTGTTGGGGCACCATTTCAACACTGCCAGTTTTCAACTCTGCCTTAGCTTTCAGTTCCTGTTTATGCAGATCCTCAGTGTCAGCCAGCATAAGATATTGGGATCTTCTCAAGTCTTTCCCGAGCATTCTCACAGCCCTGCACATGTACATCATTTTCTAGATGCCCTTGAATATGTTGGAGTCTTTTAAAGCCCCCTGTAAATGTTTCATTTTTCAGCTTTTTCCTTTAAGGGTCTTAGCTAGCCTCTTATTTGCCCTAATTGATACAACTTGTATCACTGCTTCAGGCAGCTTCAATTTAAATGATGGACACTGTTCATTTTTCACAAACACCCTGGGGATACAGCATTTCCCCAGTGAATGAGCTCTGAGTCAGTTAAAATAAAGCCAGTCTCCATGAATGGGGCTTTCCAGGGAGTTGTCAGGCAGGTCAGATAGTGATAGTTCTCTAGGAATGGACTTTTGGGAGATCTCTAAACACTTTCTATCCCATCCAGTAGCTGTAAGACTGCTGGTTTTCACAATTACCATGCTCGTGAGGCTGTTGGTTTTCACTGCTACTGTGCAGGAAAACAGAAATAGAAATAGTGTGTGTTAAAATGCTACAAAGCTCTTTGCTATTCTTACAGAAATTCAGCTATTTTTCTTCAACAAACATTCTTCAGATTGTTACAAGCTTTTGATTAAGTTTTACAGCTCTGTAAAAGTTTATTTTGTCAATTTTTTTAGTGTTCTTTTTGCTGTTATGAAGTAGATTTTCAGAAGTCTTCACTCCAGCTTTCAGAAAGTGTTCCTTCTCCTAATTATCTCTATCTCTCTGGCTACTCTTGGAAGGTTTAAAGGCTTTTCTTCTTAATGCTTATGGCCCATAACTGGTTTTTGTTGTTGTTGTTAGAGTTCTATGTTCGAGGCTCTCCCCTGCTCTCTCACCTTTAATCAAGTCCTTGGATATCCTGATTCACTGCTATGGCTTCTGGTAGCATCTTTGTGAAGGTGACTTCTCATTTGTAACTCCAGCACATGTGCTTCTTCTGAACTCCACACTGTTTTATCTAAGTATCTGTAGATATCTCTTGAAAGACTCACAGACATCTTAAATCCAATCTGTTCAAAAGTAAATGCATCACAAACTTTTTCCTCCAACCCCATATCTGCATTTTGATGTTCCTTATCACAATTTATGGCACTACTATATACATAGTCAAAAAAATCAACCAACAGCAACCCTTCATACTTCCTTTCTCTATCCCATACAGCAGCTCAAGTGGTATTGTATCTGATAATCCCATTTTCCTGCATTTTGATAACATTACTTCCCATTTCTTGGCCACTTGCTACATTTACAAGGAAATTAAAGTGCTTTAATGAAATCTACAAAGAACTTCAAGATTTGGATTCTGTCATGCTCTCCAGGATCATGTTTTTATACTCTGCCAGCCACCTTGAATTTTCATTTTCATATTTACCTTATCTTTAGTATTTGCTGTCCTGAGAGAAATCTCCATGTGCTTATATTAGATCTCACAAATTTTTGTGTATGCTGCCTTGAGTTGGATTCTGTTACTTGCAACCAAAGAATCCTAAATAACAAAATAAGCTTCACAGCATAACTACAGCATTAGTTATCTTGCTTTACCCATTGTTCTAATTTTTCTTACCAATATATCTACTCTTAGCTGAGCTGATGAGGCTGCTGTCACACCCAGTGTGGTCCAGACTCTTCCAGTCTATCTTCTTGTTATGTTCTTGACAGATCTCATCAGCAAACTCTCTCCTCACAGCTCATATTATGCCAAGAGATCAGCCCTACCCATTAATTTAGTCTCTGAATAGAAAGCTGCTGTCTCTCTCTCATTTTTTTTTTCTCTTCTCAGACAAAATCCCCCTTCTGTCAGGAAGAAAAAAAAAATGGTGTGTTTACTATTTACAACTAGTATATGAACTGTTATTGTCCTAGGAGCAAAACCCAACTGGACAGTTTTCTCTTTTCTGTCTCCAGTATATGTAGATTACATAACCCCTTTGAGAACTGTAAAATGGCACACAATGGTTATTATTTATTCTAACTGCAGGGAGGCAGATTTAGGTTCTGGGATTATCATTTGTTTAAATTCATGTTCATTGATCATGGGGGCAGTTTAAGATACAAATTGGTCCTTGGCTCTGACAAGCATGTGTTGCTAACCTGTTTCCTCTTACTGGCTAGTTCCTGACTTTGAGATAGTGGTTTTACCATTCCATCTCCCTTTCTTTCCTTTTTATTCTTTTTTTAAAATTTATAAAATCTGGTAAAGTCCATCAAAACTTGAGGATTGTTAGGAGAATTAACTATGTGAATGGACACAAAAAGCCTAATATGGGATCTTGTCAGTGAGCCATTCAATAGATGACAGCTTAGTTTATTGTCATCAGCATGGTCATTCACCATGCAACCTCTGCTGTTAACAGATTTCAGACTGTAATCTTTTGTTTCTTCTTTCTAATCCTGCACTTCCTCTGACTGTTCCATTTTGGTTCCGAGCAAGCAGGCCGCTTGTGTCTGAATCTGGCCAATCCTGAAATCTCTGCTTGGCTTTGTCAGACAAGTTCAGGCATGCACAGACATGTCCATGAGTTTCTCAGAAGGTTGACTCTGCCAAAGCCAGAACACCACTCCCCCACTTTCCACTGGGTCCTGTGCTCCAAGCTATTGGACATAAGTTTGTGCTTTCGAAACTTCAGTATTTACACGGAATCTGTGCCTCTGATTTACCCAGTGTCCAGCTGCTGATACTTATCTTGAAATTTCTAAGTGCAGGGCTGCAATCAAAGCATCAGGGCACAGAAATGAACAAATAAAGATGTTTGGGGACTGCCTGCTTTTCTCATGCGATTTGCACATTTTTCTTGGCTTGCGTAATCTGAGGAGGCTGGGACCATAGGCCCCTTCATTCCTTGGCCCAGTGGCAGCACATGGCAATGTTACAAATACGGGAGCTGGACATTCAGGAGGGGCCTCACCCCTGCTAGGAAAGCATCCACCTCTGTGCCTCCCAGACAGCGTTGACGCATTCAGACAAGCTGGACAAAGAACGTACAGTCTACATTCCCTGGCCTTTGAAGGGAAGATGTTGCAATGTACAGGCAGTTGGAGTGTTTTGCCTAATTCATCAAAACATTCACATTTGCTAGTAATACAATGCATCTATGATGAGAAGGACTTAGGGGAAGGCACTGTGGATTAAGGGTAAAATGGCTCATGTCCCCTAATTTCTACCATTCGGCTAAGCTTTGAAGCAGCCTCCCTTCATTCATGAAAGTGTTGCAGGGTTGTTAAAAATGCATGGGCTTTGGAACCAGATGGATCTGTGGTTCAGACTTGCTAGCTGTGGGATCTTGGGCAACATACCCTTTCTAAAGCCTCTGCTCTCATCTGGAAAGTCAGGGCAGTAAAACAAAACTCTTAGAGCTTTTACAAGGATTCTTTGAGATAATGTATAGTGATTAGCAGGGTAACACACACAGTAAGTGCTATAAATGAACTTTTATCATTCACCTACTTTTTAAGTGCCTACCATGTGCCAGGCACCCAGCCAGGCACTTAGCATTTCTTTGCACCTCAATTTGATTGGACATTGCAATGGGAGTTGGAACACAAGGAGAAGCATATTTGAAAGAGGCAATGAAGACTTAACTTTAGACCCAGTATCACCTAAAATGAAACCATATGGCTTTGGGCAAGAGATATTTCTCTAGACCTCAGTTACTTCAGCTGAAAAGCAGAGTAACCATTTCTGTCCTAAGAACTAATGAGGAAGGCATAACAATTATTATTACAATTATAATAGATGGCATTAATATAGAGCTTATTTGCTTCTTAGCACTTTCTAAGCATTTTACATTTACTGATTTATTTACTCTTCACAACTACCCTAGGAGAATTATTACACAGATTCGACTAACAAAGGAATTAAGAGACCAAGAAGTTAAATGGTTTATTCATAGATAGTAATCAGAAATCAGCTAGTCTGGCTCCAGAGTCTTTTCCCTCAATCATCACACTTTGTACTTGGTGGACAATAAAACCTTGCATAAATATGAAGATTTATTACTATGCTGGAAAATTCTACCTAAAAAACTAGTATTTTGATCTAATCATTGTAGGCTCCAATATGGTTATTTTTAAGAGATCTGAATCAATTTCTCTATAATTTATTTTTTCTCAGGATTTTATTATAAAAATTTTCAAATAAACAGTATAGTTTAAGTATTTTTATAGTAAACATACATATACCTACCACTCAGATTCTGTAACTAACCTTTCACTATTAATATAATTGTCTTATCACATACCTCTCTCTAGATCTCCCCCCTCTCTCTCCATCAATCTATCTTATTTGTGACATGTTTAAAACTAAGTTGGAAGGCATCACTACATTTCACCCAATTCTCCAGTATGAATGTCATTAATTAGAATTTAATCTACTTTATGATCCATTTTGTTCTTTTCCAAAATGAATTTTAGGTTTCATATCTGCAATGAAGATTTGTAAATCTCAGAAAATACTAAGAAATTAATATTTCTTAGTAAGAAAATACTCAGAAATTGATAAATTAACAACAAACCATGGGACAGTCTACTTTTAATATTGTAAATTCATTAATATTATCATTATTATTACTATTGTAGTTGATTTTCACACCTGATTTTTCAATCCTAACAGCCAGTCTGCTATTCAGCTGCTATTTTTCCTGTTCAGACCTTCCATTTCATCCCCAGACATAATGACTCCTGCTCAATTTTTCCCATTTCCACCCTCACCCTCTTGTGCCCAAATTCAACCACAGTTTGCTCTCTGCCAGACCTCCATATATCCAGTGGGATTCCAATGCTGCCACAGAATTCCACATGGTATCCAAGTATCTGACTGACCCAGCCAATTATTACAATAGCACCTTATATTTAGTTGGTGCTGGTTCATTATTTCATTCAGTAAGTATTTATCAAGAGCCTATTTAACCAGGTGACCAGGAAGGGGGAGGGCAAAGAGTGAGCTAGGAGCATTGAGTAAATAAAGAATTAGATCAACTAACTCACATGTATGACGTAACTTCTGTGTACACAACATTGCCATCAAGGAGTCAAGTCAGGGGAAGAAAACAAATGCACATGAAACAATTGGAGACCAGCTGTAGAGAGAGAAACAAGCAAAATTTCGTGTAGTCATGTAGAATGGTTTGTTTGCATATCTGCCAAAGAGATGTAGAATAAAAATGCTTGTAGGATTCCACTTCCAGAGAGAAATGAGACTGTAAATTAATATTGGTTCGACCTAAGGCCATGTCCTAATAGACGGAATAAAAAAGAGTTTTTTTAAAAAAATAGAATTATTAAATAAAATGTTTTTTTAAAAAAATAATTATGTTGGGCAATTGATAAAATGTCTTAGAATATGTGAAGAGGCCAGCCGCGGTGCCTTACACCTGTAATCCCAGCAATTTGGGAGGCCAAGGTGGGCAGATCACCTGAGGTCAGGAGTTTGAGACCAGCCTGGCCAACATGGTGAAGCCCTGCCGTCTCTACTAAAAATACAAAAATTACCCAAGTGTGGCGGCGAGTGCCTGTGATCCCAGCTACTCGGGAGGCTGAGGCAAGAGAATCACTTAAACCCAGGAGGTGGAGGTTGCAGTGAGCTGAGATCATGCCACTGAACTCCAGTCTGGGAGAAAAAGTGAGACTCCGTCACAAAACAAAAAAAAAGAATATGTGAAGAGATTGAGCGAAGGAGTCAAAAACTTAAAGCTGGAGCCAGAGCCAGATGCCACAAGGATGAATTCGATACAATGAGAAAGATGGTTGTGATTCAGAGATAATATCTTTTCTAGTACTGTTAGAGCTGAAAGTGTTTGGCAGCATATTGTGTGCCCAAATCAGACAGAGATGAGTGGTAACATTCTACTTAATTGATGAAGAATTAGTAAACAGAGATTGGACCCCAGGGAAGTGACCAAAGGAAAATCCAACAAGAAGAAGCCAATGATTGTAAAGACTGAAAGAACTATCGGTAGCAAATTCAAGAAGTCATATGGAATGAATACAAGTTGGTGTCCTGATTCTGTTGCCTTCTAGGTACACGAACTCCAGTTTGATGAGCTCCAGCGTTCTAAGTTATAAAAGTAGAATAGAATTTGCTCTTAAGGGGTGTTGTATGGGTTGAATGAGATGCTAAACAAAACATGTGTAGCATAGGTCCTGGTTGAGACAGTTTGCTGATAATTTCAGTTTGTTTTCTGCACTTGGATCCTTTCAGCCTAGGGAGCATAGAATTGTGGGAATTCCCACTGAACATCATGAGCCTTTGTTGTGGCCAGAGTTAATGGATCTGGCCCATGTTCTACATTGCCTTTGAGCATGTGTGGTGACTTTGAGTGAATAACTTTTTTAAAAAAAGAAAAAGGCACCTTTTGGGGAATGTTAGTTGTTTAAATTTCTTCCTCAGATAAAAATAATAATAATAATAAAAATAAAGCCATCATTTCACCAAGCCTGGGCACATAGGTTGGTGAATACAGCACAGATTGGGTTTGAGCCCCCACTCATCCTCTCAGCCACGACAGCCCCTCCCTGTCCGTGGTTTCAAGCAACATTATTGGGAGAAGAGAGAAATTAGACTATCTGATACACCAAAAAGGGAATTAATAGGTACCATCAAAGGAGGCATTCAGAAACTAAGAACCGTCTATTTGGGTGACTGGAATTGACCGAAGGCATTAGAGAACTTCTAGTGTCTTCTCATCTCTAGGATTTGAGAACTAAGACTCTATATTCTATTGTAGCCTTAACCCCACCACATTATACTACCCTTTGTATATAAATAGGGTTACATTAAAGATGATAATCTATATTTTCTTTTGCATAACAAAGGATTTTAACTCTAAACCTCAATTTGTTAACTCTTTGAAGACTATAGATGCCATACATAGGTTCAAATGAAGCCCATTCACTCCAGGTACTTTATGATAGTCACTATGTTTTACATTTACATTTACTTCCCCATTTCCCCCTCTTTCATGTTAGATGATGAATCCATTTGGAGAGGAAGCCTCAGGACTTCCAAGGACACGAACTTGTCAGGATGCTCCCAGAACTGGTATTTCTAGATGTTCTGCATTTCCAGGCACCCTCAAAATGCCAAAGTTTGACTGCGTGCTCCCCAACAGTGAGCAGAAGTTTATTTGCATCCATTCAGTGCCATATTTCTCTTCCTGAATACCAAAGATGCCATCTTTGTACTTCTGTGCCTCACAGAGACCCTGTGTAATTACCTATAACCTCAGTCTCTGGGTCATGCCAGACATATCATAGGCATGTGGTTGTTCTCACCATTCCACTTTCCTCCTTCTGTAAAACCTTCCCCATTCCATCACCTCCAACCAGTGCAAAACTACGCATATAAATAAACATGTACCCAGACAGTTTTCAAACATGTATGAATCCCAGCGTTAGCCACAGTTTGGGCTCATATTACTACATAGTAAATCTATCAGGAGTATTTGTGAAGTCCTTCACAGGATGGCCAACTGAACTGTGTTTTGGGGATACATTTTAAATGGAAAATCGGTTGATCCTGCTGTGCAGAAGTGCAGTCAAATAAGGATAGGTTTACTTTTCAAACATAACTGACTTTTTTTTAACAGAATAAAATAGTCTCATTTTAAACATGTTTAAAATTTCAGATCAACAAAAAAGGAAAGATCAAAAGAAAGAGAGAGAGAAAGAAAAGGAAGGATGGAAGGAAGGAAGGAAGGAAGGAAAGAAGGAAGGAAGGAAGCAAACTGCGGAGAAACTCACAATCCAGACAAGACGTCCGCTCAATTTTGGATTGTATCATTCCAGAATTTTCCACAACATACTTAATTAGCCTCTAATTTTTTTAATAAAACATTTCTAACATTGTGCTATTTTAAACCATAAACATTCTTATATCTTGAAGGAGATTCATGATTATCAACTTACAATAAGTTTTTAGAAGTGGAATCAGTGCCATACAACCCCACAGCCAATCATTTGGCAATTTTTGCCACTTTCATTTAAAAAGTGTATCCCAGGTCGGGCGTGGTGGTTCATTCCTGTAATCCCAGCACTTTGGGAGGCCGAGGCAGGTGGATCACGAGGTCAGGAGATCGAGACCATCATGGCTAACATGGTGAAACCCCGTCTCAACTAAAAATACAAAAAATTAGCTGGGCATGGTGGTGGGCACCTGTAGTCCCAGGTACTCAGGAGGCTGAGACAGGAGAATGGTGTGAACCTGGGAGGTGGAGCTTGCAGTGAGCCAAGATCTCGCCACTGCACTCCAGCGTGGGCGACAGAGCAAAACTCCATCTCAAAAAAATAAATAAATAAAATAATTTTAAAAAATTAAAAAATAAAAAATAGTGTATCCCAAATCCCAGTACCACTCATTATTTCCCCCTTCACCACCCCACTGCATCTCCCCTTACTCCATCACCCACATTCACTACCCTAGCCCACTCCTCCCAGTCCACTCCTCTCCCTAGTCCACCATCTCCTAGTTCACCTCTTTCTGGTCCACTTTCTATAGTCCATTTCACCATCGTCTATCACCCAAGTCTATCATCCCAGCCCATCTCTCCTAGCCCACCTTTCTTTAGTCCATTTCCACTTCATCATCACCCTAGTCCCTCACCCTGTTTCATTTTCCCCTAGTCTCCCTCCCCCAGACTATCATCCTAGTCCACCTCCCCTAGTGAGCCTTTCTTTTGTCCATTTCTCCTTTGTCCATCACTCTAGTCCATCACCCAGTTTCACTTCCCCCTAGTCCATCACTCCAGTCCCTCGCCCTGTTTCACTCCCCCATCACCAACATAGCCTCACTAGCCTCGTTACTTGTTTCCCTGCCTCTACGTGGGCCCTTTCATTTGTTTTCCACTTAATGGAATGAGAAATATATAAAAAAGGCAAGTCAGCTCATGTCAATCTCCTAGAACACTTGGAATCAAATCCCCATCATGGGCTCACAGACCTTCAAAAAACTGTCTAATCTCTACTCCCATTCACAAAGAACTAAAGGGGATAGTTTCAACTTGACCTGGCCATATTATTTTTATGTTTATTAACATCATCACAAAATAATGTTCTTAAAAGTTCAATGACTAGATTTTCATCTAATTATGAGTTTTCCTAGAAAATGACTCAAAATAAGGATGATATAAAACTTTAACAGCAAGCACATGTTTCTCCATAACCGAACTTCCTTTTCTACATATATAACTGTTTAGAAGTAATGTGTGTGAAGGAAGAAATGAACATCTTTTTAAAAAGCCCAAGAAGGTAAAACTTGAGAGACTGCTTGGTATATCAGAAAAAGCTTAATCTCTGGAATGAGAACCATTTGAATTCAAATTATAGAACCATCATTTACTCATTGAGTAACAAGGTAAATTTTTAACACCTGACTGAGATATAGTATCCTCATATATAATATAGAAATAATTATCACTTCTGTTTCTGTGTCCTAGTTAGGATTAAATAAAATACCATCCATAAAATCCATCTAGAACTTTGTCTGATGTGGTCAATAAATGAAGACTGGTTTTATCTGCATTCTTATCATATTGGTGACTACAGCTCTTCATTCTAAAACCTTGTAGAGAAAGGACATAATGGAATAAAGAGCTGTCCTCCAATATAGGAGGTATCATTTTTATGGAACAACGGGATGCTCTTAGGACAGAACTAAAGTTACTATTTAACAGACCTTAACCACGAAAAACTTGGTTCTGCCAGGTAGCACTACCCAGCAAATAATGGGACTCCCCAAAAAGGAGTTTAAAACTGAAGCCCTCAAGAAGAGGCAGGAAGGACAGTCATAGGTAAAGCTAGATCCTAGATAATGTCACTCCTGAGGTGTTATTAATCCTTAAATTTCCTTTATCAGTGCACCTCTGTGTTGCTTGACAATGGCAGACATTTGAAGGAAGATTTTCCCAGAGTCTCGCAAGCCATAGCTCTCAATCTTCTTCTCCATTGAGATAGAAACTTGGTGTCCATGTGCAATTATGAAAGTTTATGAACTCCAACATGCATCTTTAATATCTCAGCAGTTTGCCAAGAGCATAAAAAATGCCAATATTCTGTGAACATTCTTGTTTACTAATATAATTTAGAGCTCCTAAGTCCTTTGATTGTCAGCAGATTATAGTAAGAATAACATCACTTCTTGTGTTCTGGTACTCCCTATTTAAGCCCAGTTTCTTCTTTTAACAGCTTTCCATCTTCAGTAGTAAAGTCACTGCAGTAAGCTGTTCGTTGGCTGGAGACTAAAAGGAAATAGAGGACTTACTGATGTCTACCCAGTAAATAGTGCAGTTTTTGCATGTTCTCTATAACAGCCGGTAGATATCTATAGTCTGAGTCCTATAGTAAGACATCATCAGAATTTAACTAGCCTGCTCAGCCAAAACACGTGGCATAAGAGAAAGAGATGGCTCCAGCCCCTGTGAAACTCTTGCTCACTATGCGACCTTGAGCAATTTGCTCTCTCTCAATCTCTGTTCATCCTGGTTAAGAATATAGGCTTTGAATTAGGACAAATATCTAATGCATGTGGGGCTTAAAACCTAGATGACAGGTTGATAGCTGCAGCAAACCACCATGGTACATGTATACTTATGTAACAAACCTGCATGTTCTGCACGTGTATCCCAGAAGGTAAAGTAAAATAAAATTTTTTAAAAAAGAATATAGGCTTTGAATCTCACTGATCTGTGTCCAAAACCTGGCTCTGCTACTCACTAACTTTGTGACATTGGTTGATTTTCCTAATCTTTCAGAGCCTGAGTTTCTTTGTTTCTAAAATGGCGATTATAGCAATGATTCATTCCCCATAGAGGAATTCCTCTAAACTATTATGGTCATAACTCATAACTGCTAATTGCAATACCATATGTACAGTGCTTAACCAAGTGCTAGTACACTGCACTTCTCTAATTATGATAATTAGAGAAATATATTCTAATCCTAGAGAAGCCCTATGCATATCAGCTAGTGTCCTCAATTCTGTGTCATTAGTTGAATGTCTGGCTGAGACATCGCTATTTCCCGGTCATTCAAGCTAAAAATGTTTATTTATTTAACAATGGGTCATTTGGGCTGCTATCATGAGTCAGGCACTTTGTAAATTGTTGCAATATTTTGACCCCAGGACAGATGTATTTCTTCCTCCCGTAGTTCTTAGCACTTGCAGAGTTGCCACACAGTTACCAAAATCAATTGATTTTATTGCCTAAATATCTTTCAATCCCACCTTCTCCTCTTACTCCATCTCACTCTCACTAGCTCCTCAGTGCTAGTTCATCATCTCTTTGCTGGATGATCACAGCAGCCTTTTCATTGTGTTTCCTTGATTCCAGCCCAACACTTCTCCAGTCACTCTTCCCAATCAGTCACAAAGTAGTGCTTTACTAAAATACAGGCCTCATGCTTCCCAGAACAAAACTCAAACTCTTTGGAATTTCATATGCAGTCCTTCCTTATCTCCCTCTGTTGACCTCTAGCTTGATTTTTGACCACTTTCCTTCATGGGCAGGCTCAGGCCACACAAAGCAACTTAAAATTACCTAGTGTGCATTTGCTTTTCATGTTTCATGCTTCCGTGTCATTGGAGATGCGGTTTCCTCTCCTCAGAATACCTCTCTCCCTTGCCTCCTGGGAAAATTCATCCTTTAATATTCATTTCAAATGTCACCTTGATTGTAACTCAGAGTTGGACACTTTATCTTTTGAGCTATCTTTTTTCTTTGAACCTACCTCCAGAGTAAAACTTACTACTCTTGGTGTGTATTTTTTTTAATTATTTAATAGTTATCAGCTCAAATGTACCTCCTCTGGGAAGATTTCACTGACCACACCCTACCCCCAAGGACCCCAAAGCCATCAATTTCCACACTATATTGTTTTTCATATGACTCTCTGCTATTTACAAGTATAGCTCAATGAATCTTATAAATAATCTTTTGCAAAATAACCATATATTTATATAACTATAAAGCAATTAGCAAATTTTCTCATACTAAAAATTAAGAAACAGTATGCATCTCATTATTTATGTAAAAACAAAACAAAAGCGCTACCATCTCAAGTAAATATTGGATTAAAAACGTGCTGACTATTCAAACCGTAAAATTCTCCACATTTTATCCCTAGGTTAAGCCAGATCAGCAGAGAGTGGTATCCACTGGCCATATTCTTTGAGGTCCCTAAAGAATTGTCTTTATGGAATTATGATTTAGCACTAATCTTTCAGTGTTCATCCAGACTAATGCTATATACAACAAAGAAATATTTGCAAAATATCTTTTGCACTCTGGACATCTTCCAATGTATTCCTCAGTATCCTTTGTGACAAGTTCATCTCAGAAGTGGAATCCAGGGTAACATGTGTATCTATCTATACTTTCTTCTGCTAGATGCCAAAAGATAGATACCCATTAGGTTTCTCTCCTTGCCTAGGGTTACAGGAAGCTCAATGCTAATTTTGGCACTCAATTGTTACAACCTTACTCAACCAAGATTTTTAAAAATATGCTTTTATCTTTCCTTTACTAACTTCCTTGCTTCTTTTCTAGCTCTTAATATGTGGCTTTTCTCACCTACTGATTAAAGGATTTGTGGCAAAAAGACAATAAAGAATGTGGTAGTAGAAGCAGCATTCATTTTGTTTTTGTTTTTTCCCTTTTGTTGTTTTTCATTTTATTTCAAAATGATTTCAAACCTACAGAAAAAGTTGCAAGAATAATATGAATTCCCATTCATACACACACATAACAATACACACACACATTCACACACACACACACACACACACTTTTTTCTCCTGATTGATAGTTAACTGCTTACATCATGGCCCTTTACCTGTGAATAATCAGGGTGTATATACTAAGAAAAAGGATATTCTCTTACATTACTTAGTTATATTGTCAAGTTCAGCCATGTAGTATTGGTTTATTATGTAATACACAGTTCATTCTCAGATTCTGCTTATTACTCCAAAATGAAGAAACATGTTTTTTTGTTTGTTTGTTTGTTTTTGAGACAGAGTCTCCCTCTATCTCCCTTGCTGTAATGCAATGACAAAATCTTGGCTCACTGCAACCTCCGCCCCCCCCAGGTTCAAGCAATTCTCCCACCTCAGCCTGCTGAGTAGCTGGGATTACAGGCCTCGCCACCATGCCCAGATAATTTTTGTATTTTTAGTAGACACAGGGTTTCACATGTTGTCCAGGCTGGTCTCAAACTCCTGTCCTCAACTGATCCACCCACCTCGAATTCCCAAAGTGCTGGAATTGCAGCCATGAGCCATGCGCCCGGCCAGAAGCATGCATTTTGGAGTCACACAATACTAAGTTTCAAGGTCATCTCTGTCAGTTGCTAGTTGTATAACCTTAATCACTTCTACTTTAAGTTATTTCACTCAAAATCATGCTAATAACATTCTCTAGGTGTGGTTTTAAAGATTATGTGTGGAAAAAATATGCACATAAGCATATCTACCACACTGCTTAAAATTTAACATGAAATAATTTATTATTATTATTACATGTGCCTCCTCAAATCATTTGGAAAGTAGGCAACAAATACACAAATGGGCAAATGATAAAAGGGTGAGATAACTATGAAGACAAGAAGATTGTTCATGATCAAATGTGTAACAAATTACAAAAAAATTGACTGTGATGGCTTAGAATGGCTTCATAGAGAAAATAAAATGCTGGGCTTTAAAGAATGCATAGGATAGAGATTGAAATTCTCTAAAGAATAGCCAGGCACAGTGGTTCATGCCTGTAATCCCAGCACTTTAGGAGGCCGAGGCAGGCAGATCATTTGAGGTCAGGAGTTTGAGACCAGCCTGGCCTACATGGCAAAAACCCATTTCTACTAAAAATAAAAAAATTAGCAGGGCATGATGGCAGGTGCCTGTAATCCCAGCTACTTGGGAGGCTGAGGCAGGAGAATCGCTTGAACCCAGGAGGTTGGAGGTTTCAGTGAGCTGAGATTGTGCCACTGCACTCCGGCCTGGGCAACAGCATGAGACTCTGTCAAGAAAAAAAAAAAAAAAATTCTGTAAAGAATAGAAACAGGATGTTGTGGATAGTGAGACTTAGCAGGAAAGAGTAAAGTGAGGAAACCCAAAGCAGGCAAACCCCACTGCAAGTTTATCAACAAAAGTACCCTGACATGTATTATAATAATAAAAGTTAAAAATTCTGAAGACTCCTGCTCACACAATTGAGAGTCACTGAGCACCCAATGAAAAGTTAATTTCCTAAAATATTAAATGGGAAAAGAAGGATGATATTTGATACATTTTATCCCTTCCCAGATTTCAAGTGATTGAAGATGTAAAAATGCAACCAGGAGTAGCTCTGAGAAACACCAGGATTATCTATCCACCCTTCTGAAGCTGAGCAGCAGATTTATGGAATCAGAACAGGGAATGGACTGGGTGCTTAACACCAATTAGAGCTGCACATCTGAAGAAGGGAAGAGAAAGATCCAAAAATCTCACAAGATAGGAGGAGAGTGCAGATCAGAACCCACCACCTTCTCTGACTCCAAATGCAATGCTCTTGGCTTGTCTGCGCACCACTTCTTCTCCATCTCCAGGTCACTGCATTTAATTCTATCCCATCTGAGTATGTGAAATGGAAGCTTGTTTAGAAAAATCTTTTTATCTGCCACCTCCTGAATCTTAATTCGTCTTAGTGCCAAAATGTATAGTAATCCACAAAGCTGAAGAAGGCTGCATCATGTTTGGGACTTGTTCCCCGCTCATTTGGATGGCTGGATCAGAAACAACAGAAGAAAGAGTGCTTGTCTCTTGTGAGTTTGCCAACTGAGTATTTGGATTCAGATGGATCACACGCAACACATCAAATTGTTTTTAGCTCAGTATCCAAACATTTGATTTTTTTATCTACACTAATTCCAAATTTTATAAAGTTGTTGAAAGTTGCTTGTGGATAAGTTCATACATATTTGAAAAAGACACAACCAAAATACGTTTCTACTTGTCAGGTGGGACTGGGACAAAGGAAAATATGTTTGTAGAATGAGGGTAAATACTTCTTCCCTGGCAACAGATTTTTAAAAAAGAATTTAGAAAAGATGTAAGTGATGATCTATCATGGAGATGAATAACAGATTTTAGCAGACAGCTACTCTCTAGTGGAAAATGTTATGAAGAATCCTGAAGCTATACTCCTGCAATGCATGAGAGAGGGTCTCCATAGATTGAGGATGTCTGTCATGAACATAGGAGGTATCAGTGGCACACACAGATCAGGCATAAACCGCCTCTGATCTGACCTAACGAAATACTTTTCTAATGACAGACAGGGACAGTGGCTAAACAGACTCTGTACTTAGGTACAGAGCCTAGGTTTCCTGACTTCACTTTCTTGACTTTCATCATTCTAGCACAACTTAAAACCTGGTATCTTCCAGTTTGACAAAGAGAAGTCTCACCACATACCAAGCAGTTTCTTCAAATGTTTTGTTCTTTGAAACAAAATCAAAACAATCAGTAAAATAAAGTTTCCTCCTATTCCTGAAAAAATGGTCCAGACAGGCTCATAGACATCAATGCGGCCTTGTCACAACATCTCAACTCTTAGCCACACTCACAAGAAGAACTTGTAGATTCCTCATAGATGTTCTCAAGTTAGAAGGCAAAGCACAACCCTTTTTGACTTTTTCTAATTGATGCTTGTTTGCAGAAAGAGTAAACAAGGCCCAGATTTTTATTCATCTGTGGGGCTGTGGGTAGCTAATTTTTCTTTGAGCCTGCCAGGTTCTACATTATATAAGGAAGACTTTTTAAAAGAGGAGCCCTGCATTAATTTAGAGAGAAACCAGTTAGACCAAACATGCTTGTAACATATGGGAAGAGGCACAGAAGGCATGAGTTGTTCCGGACAGATGAGCAGAGGAGGGAGAGTGGGGGAGCAGAATTCTCCTTTTGTGATCCCTCCTGCTGATCTCACCCAAACAAACTCGTCTTAGAACTTCAGAGCCACAACTGGACAGAAAGCTACCCATTCTCTCTGCCTCCCACAGTCTCACTCTCTCTCTCTCTCTTTTTTTTTTTTTCATTTGACAGGATCTGAGCCAAATGGCTCTACACTTTCCTTGCACTGATTCAGAGCATATTCAAGTCATCTAGGGAAATGCATCTCCCTACATATGCTCATGTGGAAAAATAAACATACTAAAATAAAAAATTTGGGATTTGACCCCAATTTCTAGGATCTACTGTGTCTTCCAGGAGGGGATAATGGTATAACCTGGGGCTACATAAAAAACAAGCCCTAAAAGTACAGCTTATAAAATTAAAATGGTAGAGGCTGGGGATGGTGCTCACGCCTGTAATCCCAGCACTGTGGGAGGCCAAGGGGGGTGGATCACCTGAGCTCAGGAGTTCAAGACCAGTCTGGGCAACATGGTGAAACCCCACCTCTAAAAAAATAATAATAAATAAAATTAAATTAACATTAAAATGGGTGGATAGTGAGCAGCCTAGTGATCTACCACCTAGATTGCACTTGACCTAGAAGATAAGAACACTAATCCTGTCTCTAACACACACAAAATAGCTGTATGTTCTTGGGTGAGTTGTTGTCTTTTCTGGGGCTAATTTCTTACTCTATAAATTATCTCTGCCCTCCAGCTTTGTTGCTCCCAGTCTCCTACAGAACCCTATATTTGCTTCCATTGTCCCATTGTTCCTGCTGCACTGGAATATGATTATGTGCTTGGTCTGCATGTTAAGGTGGAGAGAATCTGGGCCTTAGAAGCAGATTTGGATTGGATTGCTGACACCAGCCCCCAAGTGTATAATCTTGAGCAAGCCAATTAAGACATGCCTAATTTATATAAAGGGGAGAAAACACCATGGTATAATGTCTCCTCACCAAGGTTCTTCTAAAGGTTAAAAATCAGAGCACATATAAAAATGCCTAACTATGCATAATTCTAAGATTCGTAAATCTTAGCTTCCCTCATATTTCCTTAATGTCTAGCATAAGCCAAACATATGGTGGGTATTCCACAAATCCTGTTAGAGAGAATGGAATGGAAGGGAAAAGAAGGAAAGAAGAGGAAGAAAGAGGCAGACATGGAAGAAAAGAGGAAATGCCAGTTTTCAAAGGGAATGCTTCCAGTTTTTGGCCATTCAGTATGATATTGGCTGTGGGTTTGTCATAGATAGCTCTTATTATTTTGAAATACGTCCCATCAATACCTAATTTATTGAGAGTTTTTAGCACGAAGGGTTGTTGAATTTTGTCAAAGGCCTTTTCTGCATCTATTGAGATAATCATGTGGTTTTTGTCTTTGGTTCTGTTTATATGCTGGATTACATTTATTGATTTGCGTATATTGAACCAGCCTTGCATCCCAGGGATGAAGCCCACTCGATCATGGTGGATAAGCTTTTTGATGTGCTGCTGGATTCGGTTTGCTAGTATTTTATTGAGGATTTTTGCATCAATGTTCATCAAGGATATTGGTCTAAAATTCTCTTTTTTTGTTGTGTCTCTGCCAGGGTTTGGTATCAGGATGATGCTGGCCTCATAAAATGAGTTAGGGAGGATTCCCTCTTTTTCTATTGATTGGAATAGTTTCAGAAGGAATGGTACCAGCTCCTCCTTGTACCTCTGGTAGAATTCGGCTGTGAATCCATCTGGCCCTGGACTTTTTTTGGTTGGTAAGCTATTAATTATTGCCTCAATTTCAGAGCCTGTTATTGGTCTATTCAGAGATTCAACTTCTTCCTGGTTTAGTCTTGGGAGAGTGTATGTGTCGAGGAATTTATCCATTTCTTCTAGATTTTCTAGTTTATTTGCGTAGAGATGTTTATAGTGTTCTCTAATGGTAGTTTGTATTTCTGTGGGATTGGTGGTGATATCCCCTTTATCATTTTTATTGCATCTATTTGATTCTTCTCTCTTTTCTTCTTTATTAGTCTTGCTAGTGGTCTGTCAATTTTGTTGGTCTTTTCAAAAAAACAGCTCCTGGATTCATTGATTTTTTGAAGGGTGTTTTGTGTCTCTATTTCCTTCAGTTCTGCTCTGATCTTAGTTATTTCTTGCCTTCTGCTAGTTTTTGAATGTGTTTGCTCTTGCTTCTCTAGTTCTTTTAATTGTGATGTTAGGGTGTCAATTTTAGATCTTTCCTGCTTTCTCTTGTGGGCATTTGGTGCTATACATTTCCCTCTACACACTGCTTTGAATGTGTCCCAGAGATTCTGGTATGTTGTGTCTTTGTTCTCATTGGTTTCAAAGAACATCTTTATTTCTGCCTTCATTTCATTATGTACCCAGTAGTCATTCAGGAGCAGGTTGTTCAGTTTCCATGTAATTGAGCAGTTTTGAGTGATTTTCTTAATCCTGAGTTCTAGTTTGATTGCACTGTGGTCTGAGAGACAGTTTGTTGTAATTTCCGTTCTTTTACATTTGCTGAGGAGTGCTTTACTTCCAACTATGTGGTCAGTTTTGGAATAGGTATGGTGTGGTACTGAAAAGAATGTATATTCTGTTGATTTGGGGTGCAGAGTTCTGTAGATTTCTGTTAGGTCCGCTTGGTGCAGAGCTGAGTTCAATTCCTGGATAACCTTGTTAACTTTCTGTCTCGTTGATCTGTCTAATGTTGACAGTGGGATGTTAAAGTCTCCCATTATTATTGTGTGGGAGTCTAAGTCACTTTGTAGGTCACTAAGGACTTGCTTTATGAATCTGGGTGCTCCTATATTGGGTGCATATGTATTTAGGATAGTTAGTTCTTCTTGTTGAATTGATCCCTTTACCGTTATGTAATGGCCTTCTTTGTCTCTTTTGATCTTTGTTGGTTTAAAGTCTGTTTTATCTGAGACTAGGATTGCAACCCCTGCCTTTTTTTATTTTCCATTTGCTTGGTAGATCTTCCTCCATCCCTTATTTTGAGCCTATGTGTGTCTCTGCACGTCGGATGGGTTTCCTGAATACAGCACACTGATGGGTGTTGACCCTTTATCCAATTTGCCAGTGTGTGCCTTTTAATTGGAGCATTTAGCCCATTTACATTTAAGGTTGGTATTGTTATGTGTGAATTTGATCCTGTCATTATGATGTTAGCTGGTTATTTTGCTTTGATGCAGTTTCTTCTTAGCCTTGATGGTCTTTACAATTTGGCATGTTTTTGCAGTGGGTGGTACCGGTTGTTCCTTTTCATGTTTAGTGCTTCCTTCAGGAGCTCTTGTAGGGCAGGCCTGGTGGTGACAAAATCTCTCAGCATTTGCTTGTCTGTAAAGTATTTTATTTCTCCTTCGCTTATGAAGCTTAGTTTGGCTGGATATGAAATTCTGGGTTGAAAATTCTTTTCTTTAAGAATGTTGAATATTGGCCCCCACTCTCTTCTGGCTTGTAGAGTTTCTGCCGAGAGATCAGCTGTTAGTCTGATGGGCTTCCCTTTGTGGGTAACCCGACCTTTCTCTCTGGCTGCCCTTAACATTTTTTCCTTCATTTCAACTTCGGTGAATCTGACAATTATGTGTCTTGGAGTTGCTCTTCTCGAGGAGTATCTTTGTGGCATTCTCTGTATTTCCTGAATTTGAATGTTGGCCTGCCTTGCTAGATTGGGGAAGTTCTCCTGGATAATATCCTGTAGAATGTTTTCCAACTTGGTTCCATTCTCCCCGTCACTTTCAGGTACACCAGTCAAACGTAGATTTGGTCTTTTCACATGTCCCATATTTCTTGGAGGTTTTGTTCGTTTCTTTTTATTCTTTTTCTCTAAACTTCTCTTCTTGCTTCATTTTATTCATTTCGTCTTCCATCACTGATACCCTTTCTTCCAGTTGATTGCATCGGCTACTGAGGCTTCTGCACTCATCACGTGGCTCTCGCGCCTTGGTTTTCAGCTCTATCAGGTCCTTTAAGGACTTCTCTGCTTTGGTTATTCTAGTTATCCATTCATCTAATTTTATTTCAAAGCTTTTAACTTCTTTGACATTGGTTCGAATTTCTTCCTGTAGCTCGGAGTAGTTTGATTGTCTGAAGCCTTCTTCTCTCATTTTGTCAAAGTCATTCTCCATCCAGCTTTGTTCCATTGCTGGTGAGGAGCTGCATTCCTTTGGAGGAGGAGAGGCATTCTGATTTTTAGAGTTTCCACTTTTTCTGCTCTGTTTTTTTCCCATCTTTGTAGTTTTATCTACCTTTGGTCTTTGATGATGGTGACGTACAGACAGGTTTTTGGTGTGGATGTCCTTTCTGTTTGTTAGTTTTCCTTCTAACAGACAGGACCCTCAGCTGCAGCTCTGTTGGAGTTTGCTAGAGGTCCACTCCAGACCCTGTTTGCCTGGGTATCAGCAGTGGTGGCTGCAGAATAGTGTACATCGGTGAACCGCAAATGCTGCTGCCTGATCGTTCCTCTGGAAGTTTTGTCTCAGAGGAGTACCCGGCTGTGTGAGGTGTCAGTCAGCCCCCTACTCGGGGGTGCCTCCCAGTTAGGCTACTCGGGGGTCAGGGACCCACTTGAGGAGGCAGTCTGCCCATTCTCAGATCTCAAGCTGCGTGCTGGGAGAAACACTACGCTCTTCAAAGCTGTCAGACAGGGACATTTAAGTATGCAGAGGTTATTGCTGTCTTTTGTTTGTCTGTGCCCCGCCCCCAGAGGTGGAGCCTACAGAGGCAGGCAGGCCTCCTTGAGCTGTGTTGGACTCCACCCAGTTTGAGCTTTCGGGCCACTTTGTTTACCTACTCAAGCCTGAGCAATAGTGGGCGCCCCTCCCCCAGCCTTGCTGCCACCTCGCAGTTTGATCTCAGACTGCTGTGCTAGCAATGAGCGAGGCTCCGTGGGCATAGGACCCTCCAAGCCAGGTGCGGGATATAATCTCCTGGTGTGCCATTTGTTAAGCCCGTTGGAAAAGCACAATATTAGGGTGGGAGTGACCCGATTTTCTAGGTGCCGTCTGTCACCCCTTTCTTTGACTAGGAAAGGGAATTCCCTGACCCCTTGCGCTTCCCAGGTGAGGTGATGCCTTGCCCTGCTTCGGCTCACGCATGGTGCGCTGCACCCACTCTCCTGCACCCACTGTTCGGCACTCCCCAGTGAGATGAACCCAGTACCTCAGTTGGAAATGCAGAAATCTCCTGTCTTCTGTGTCACTCACACTGGGAGCTGTAGACTGGAGCTGTTCCTATTCGGCCATCAGTTGTCTTGATTTTTATGTTTCCCTGTGGCTTTGCAGAGAGCTGGTCTAATTATTATATATATGTATATAAATAAATAAATTATATATTTATATATATATATTTCACTTCACATATTGTTAATGTCACCTAGTTGAGGCAGTTGTGACCACCTTCATTTTAGAGATTAGTGTCTGCTGCCTAAAGCAATCCATAGATTTCCTGAAGCCAGACTGTTGTGATCCTAGAGACCCTTGCAGGGAAGTAAGAGGAAGTTCCCTCTTCCCCATGTACTTTTCCAGAACCAGGATGACCTTGGGAACTAGATCTCATAGGAGAGGATGCATCTCTAGATGGAGGTTACAGTCTGTGAAATTTAACCACAAGGGAGAGGGCGGGCAAGAGATATTTCCTAATGGTCAAGAGCATAGGCACTGGAACACTGTACCTGAGGTCTCTGGACTCACATCAGTATGACCTTAGGAAATTTAGCGATCGCTTTAGGCAGCAGACATTCCTTTTTTATTTTTTTATTTTTATTTTTTTGGAGATGGAGTTTCACTCTTGTTGCCCAGGCTAGAGTGCCATGGCACAATCTCAGCTCACTGCAACCTCTGCCTCCTGGGTTCAAGCAATTCTCCTGCCTCAGCCTCCTGAGTAGCTGGGATTACAGGGGCCCGCCACCATGCCTGGCTAATTTTGTGTGTGTGTGTTTTAGTAGAGATGGGGTTTCACCATGTTGGCCAGGCTGATCTCGAACTCCTGAACTCCAGTGATCCACCTGCCACTGTCTCCCAAAGTGCTGAGATTACAGGCATGAGCCACTGTGCCCGGCCACTAATCTTTAAAATGGAGGTGACCATAACTACTTCAGCAATGTGGCATTAAGAATATGTAAAATAAATAATATAAAATAACTAGATCAGTAATTAGCAGGAATAAGTTCTCGATAAATGGCTAATAACAAATACTATTGTCTGTGGTTTTTGCGAACAGAGCTCAGAATTAGGGTAGAAGTTTGACCGAAAGAGCTAATCTTTGCCCAGGAGACAATCCTACCTTACTAAAGGATTCCCTCCTTTCAATTCACTGAAATTTCTGAGCTCTTAATATTGATGAGGCATTACAAAGGTTATAAAGATTATTGAGGCTTGCCTGTTTTTCAATCATCGGAGCTCAAGATTCATGAGATGAAAAGACATATTAACAAAAATTCTGTGAGACAGAGCAAAGAGTAATTGCACTTGATAGTGTTAAGTACCATTTTGGTCATTCAAAAAAGGGAATTATTTTACCTGACTGGGGAGTTAGAATAGACTCTATGAAGCAGGGAGGTTTTTGACAGCACTGGAAGAAAGCATGGAGTTTGGATAAACACAGGTATGAGTAAGAAGGAAGGACATTTTTTGTTTGAGGAAACAGAAAGTGCAAAGATACATAGATTAGCTTATATATTATAAAAGGGCTGAGAAATGAGGCTGAAAATGTAGGCTAGAAGTACAGGGTAAAAGGTTTTAGGACTTTCTGAATTCTATAGGCAATGGAGAAGCATTAGACGTCTTTCTTGAGTGGATTGTAAATTATCTGAAGATGGAATATTTGAATATTTCAACATCATAATATAATGATTGGCAAATAGCACTCAGTAATTGTTTGAGTAAATGGTGGATAGTGGATGGATAAATGAAGACATGGATGGATGGATAGATGAATAAATGAATGAAATAATGGTTATGGAAGATATACACCCAGCTGTCTTGTACTCATCTGCTTGCCAATTAAATCATAACATTTAGTAAATATTAAATAAATTAATTGTTCACAGACTGTGCTATATATTATTTGTGCTTTGAACTTGGAGCAAATTCTCTCTTTATCATAGTAAGCCCAGGAAAGACTATCTTGCCCACATTTTGGAGAGATTCATTTTCTATGTACTGTACTCTACCTATTGGAAGTCAGGGATTTTTTTTCTTAGCCATTTTTGTTGAGTCATTGTCTTTATTTTGATAAGAAGGAGCACAGTTCTTTAAAAATTTGGACCCCCAAAGCCAATTTTTATGTTTCCCCAAGCACTGCAATTGAGGCCATTCTGCCTGGCTATTAATACTCTAATGGAACATTGTGCCCTCTTACAGAGGGGAAATCAGACATTGTGCTGAGCTGATTAGAAGTGATGGCATGGAGCTTCTTCCTGAGAACGGAAGTCTTGTAACCTCAAATACCAAGGACTATAAATCTCAGCAATATATAATGGTAATTGGTTTGAAAGGCCTAATCGACACAGAGAACGGAAGCCAAGTGCAGAATACTCAGGACTGGAAGCTCCAAGCCTCTGCCTCCTTCCAGAAGGAGATGTGTCATTTTCTCCCTCAGTGCTGGGAACAGCAATAAAGGATTTCAAAAGTTGAGCCTCGCTAAATGTCCAGGCTAGAAGCCCTGGGTGGTGGTCAGTAGGGTCTAAGAAATCTACCTGCAGCACATTAATCTGGGGACCTGGTAGAAACACAGATTCCTAGTTATCATGTTTGACATATTGAATCAGAATCTGTAAATTTGAGCCCAGTAATTCATGGGAATTTTAACAAGTTTCCAGCTGATTCTTATGCACAATTATGTTTGAGGACCATATTGGCAAACATCAATCCCTATATACTCCATGAGATCTTCCTAAGTCCCCTACCTCTATATTATAATGAAAACATCTCTGATCTTGAAAATGTTCTTCCTTCTTACTCATATCTGTGTTTATCCAAACTCCATGCTTTCTTCCAGTGCTGTCAAAAACCTCCCTGCTTCATAGAGTCTATTCTAACTCCCCAGTCATGTAAAATAATTCCCTTTTTTGAATGACCAAAACGGTACTTAACACTATCAATATTATATATTACAATGAAAACATCTCTGATCTTGAATTTAGCCAACCAATGCTTAAATTTTGTGTGAGCCACCTACTTAATATGCAGGCTTTAGGAAAGCTCTGCTTTCTTTCTTTAATCATATTTTCTTCATTTTGCAAATGAAGAAATTAATGTTCACCAGGCTAGATTCTCATCAGGATCCAAAATGATTCAATAGTATATGAAAATGCTGGGACATGGTAGAGATCCAATAATAGTAGTCACGAGCTTGAAAACCATGTATAACTTCAAAGGGCATTAAAGACAGATTTGGCTATGCACCTCTGAATTTGAAACTAACGAAGTCAAATCTGTTTTGAATATAGACACAATACAATTGAGATACGAAGAGTTGGAAAGAACTTGACTTGATTTCCAGTTTCATTGTTTATTAGCTACAGAGACTTAGGCAAGTCACTTAGTTTCTTTCAGACTCCAATTTGTCATCTGTAAAATGGGCATATACCACCTGTTTCTCATACCGTGAGAATTAAGGATATTTATGAAATGTAGTTGGCATGTGTATTAGCTTGTTCTCATACTGCTATTAAAAATACATGATACTGGGTAATTTATAAAGAAAAGAGGTAAAATTGGCTCACAGTTTCACAGGCTGTACAGGAAACATGATGGTATCTGTTTTGGGGGAGGCTTCAGAGAGTTTTTACTCATTTGGGAAGGTAAAGGAGAAGGCATCTTACTTGAAAGGAACAGGACCAAGAGAGAGGAGGGAAATATAACATACTTTTAAACAACCGGATATCATAACTCACACACTATCATGAGAACAGCACCAAAGGGTTGGTGCTAATCCATTCGTGAGAGCTCTGCCTTCATGATCAAATCACCTCCCACCAGGACCCACCTACAACACTGGGGATTACAATTTGACATGAGATTTGGTGGGGACATAGATCCAAATCATATCATTCCACCCTTGGCTCTTCCAAACTCCACGTTCTTCTCACATTGCAAAATATAGTCATGCCTTTCCAATAGTCCTCCAAAGTCTTAACTCATTCCAGCATTAGCTCAAAAGTCCAAAGTCCAAAGTCTCATCAGAGACAAGGCTAGTTCTTTCTGCTTGTGAGCCTGGAAAATCAAAAATAAGTTAGTTACTTCCAAGCTACATTGGAGGTATAGGCATTGGGTAAATACACCCTTTCCAAAAGGGAGAGATAGGCCAAAGGAAAGGGGCTACAGTCCCCATGCAAGTCTGAAACCCAGCAAGGCAGCCATTAAACCTTAAAGCTCCAAAATAATCTCTTTTGACTCCGTGTCTCACATCCAGGCACACTGGTGCAAAGGGTGGGCTCTCAAGGACTTGGGCAGCTCCACCCCTGTGGCTTTGCAGGGTTCAGCCTCCATGGTTTCTCTCATAGGTTGACATTGAGTGCCTGTGGCTTTTCCAGGCACGCCTTGCAAGCTGTCAATGGATCTGTCATGCTGGGGTCTGGAGGATCATGGCCCTCTTCTCACAGCTCCACTAGGCAGTGTCCCAGTGGGGCTTCTATGTGGGGGCTCCAACCCCACATTTCCACTTTATACTGCCCTAGTAGAGGTTCTCCATAAAGGTTCCACCCCTGCAACAGGCTTCTGCCTAGACCTCCAGGCTTTTCCATGCATTCTCTGAAATCTAGGCAGGTGTTCCCAAGCCTTGACTCTTGCACTCTGTGCACCCATGGGCTTAACACCACGTGGAAGCTGCCAAAGCTTATGGCTTGCACCCTCTGAAGTAATGGCCTGAGCTATACCTGGGACCTTTTTAGCCACAGCTGGAGCTGGAGTGATTGGGATGCAGGGAGCAGTGTCCAGAGGCTGTGCAGGGCTGTGGGGCCCTGGGCCTAGCCCAGGAAACCATTCTTCCCTCCTGAGCCTCTGGGTCTGTGATGGGAGAGGCTACTGTGAAGGTCTCCAAAATGCCTTTGAGACCTTTTTCCCATTGTCTTGGCTATTACCACTTGGCTCCTTTTTACTTATGCAAATTTCTACAGCTGGCTCGAATTCCTCCCCTGAAAAAGGGCTCCTTTTTTTCTTACCGGATAGCCAGAGTGCAAATTTTCCCAAGTTTTATGCTCTGCTTCACTTTTAAATATAAATTCCAGTTTTAGGTCATTTCTTTGCTCATCTATATGAGATAAGTTGTTAGAATCAGCCAGCTTACTTCTTGAACTCCTTACTGCTTAGATAGTTTTTCCTCCAGATACCCTAAATAATCATTCTCAAGTTCAAGATTCCACAGATACTTAGGGCAGAGGCACAATGCCTCCAAGTCTTTTGCTAATGTGTAACAAAAGCAACCATTAGTCCAGTTCCCAATCAGTTCCTCATTTCCATCTGAAACCTTCTCAGCCTGGATTCACTGTCCATATCACTATCAGCATTTTCATCACAACCATTTAACAAGTCTCTAGAAAGTCCCAAATTTTCCATCATCTTCCTGTCTTCTTCTGAGCCTTCCATACTCTTCCAACCTCTGCCCACTACTTAGTTCCAAAGTTGCTTCCACATTTTCAGTTATCTTCATAGCAATGCCCCATTCTGTATTAGTTCCTTCCTACACTGCTATAAAGAAATACCTGAGACTGGGTAAATTAATTTTTAAAAGAGGTTTAATTGGCTCATGATTCTCCAGGCTGTACAGAAAGCATGGTGGCAACTACTTTTCAGGAGGCCTCAGGGAGCTTTTACTCATGGTGGAAGGCAAAGCAGGAGCAGGCATCCTATATGCAGGAGTAGGACCAAGAGGGAGAGGGAGGGGCTACACACTTTTAAACAACCAGATCTTAGGATAACTCACTCACTGTCACAAGAACAGCACCAAGAGGGTGGTGCTAACCGATTCATGAGAATTCTAGCCCCCTGCTCCAATCACCTCCTACCAGGCCCTACTTATACCACTTGGGATTACAATTCAACATGAGATTTGTGGGGACACAGATTCAAACCATATCAGTATGTATGAATTCTAACAGACAAAACCAGTGATTATGCCACAAGCTGGCTTGAGGTGGGACTACTGTAGCTTCTCTTCACCTTCTTTAGCCACAATCCAATTCTTTGCTGTTGAACAACTGAAGTTTTCTCAATTACATATAATATTTCATGGAAGCTGAGTTTTAGGCTCCCAAGCTACCTTTTTCCAAACAGATGGCTACATAAATCCCTTGCTACACACACCTCAGTAATGAAACTATGGAATCACTACAAATTGTACCTATGTATTACTTAATACCTATGTATATTAGTCCAATACTGCATCACTGTAAAGAAATACCTGAGGCTGTGTAATTTATAAAGAAAATATTGAATTTTCTCATGATTCTGCAGGCTGTACAAGAAGCATGGCATCAGGATCTGCTTCAAGTGAGGGCCTCCTAAAGCTCACAATCACGGCAGAAAGTGAAAGGAGAGCAGGCAGTCACATGGCAAGAGCGGTAGCAAGAGAGAGAGGTGGAGGAGGTGCCAGTCTCTTTTAAATAGCAAGATGTTGCATGAACTGAGAACTTACTCATCACCAAGGGGATGATTCAAAGCCATTCATGAGGGATCCACCCCCACAATCCAATCACCTCCCACTAGCCCACCTACCCAACACTGGGAATCATATTTTGACATGAGATTTGGAGGGAACAAGTATCAAACCATATCACTATGTACACTTGAAGAAGTAGTTAACCTCTCTAAGCTTCTCTTTCCTTCTCTGTAAAATGGTTACAGTAATTGTACCTTTATTATGTACCTATATTAGCTAGGATAAGTAATGTTCAGTGTTGTAATAGATAAACCTTGAAATTCAAATAGCATTCTTATCACAGTAAAATATTATTTTTTTCTGATGATTTCTGATTACTAGCCAGGAAAAAGTCACTTAACTTCTCTGTTCCTCAATTTCTTTGTTAGTCAAATAATAACTGGCTGTTTTTAGGAGTTCTTTGTCCATGCCACTTTTCAATGGCCTGGGCTCCTTCCACTTTATTGCCTCTACCTTCAACACATTATCTCAAAGTTTACTGTAGAAAGAGAAGAGAGAACATGGGTATGGAATGCCAGAGACTCAAGTTCCTTGACCCAGAAGTGACACATCCTTTCTGCTCATGTTTTGTTGAACAGAACCATTCACGTTGCCCACCTAGGTGCAAGTGGGGGCTGGAAAAAGTCCCTGGCAAGGAAGCTGCTTACCAACAACAACTTTCCATTATGGAAGGAGAGCACAAGTCTCTGTCTCAGCCAACATTACTATCTTATAAGGTTGTTGTGAAGACTAAATGAGAAAACAAACATCGAATGCTTAGTACAGAGCCTGGTACATAGAAGATAATCAATAATTGTTAATGGAAGCCATCATCTTAAAACTGCAAGTTTAATTTCATTCTTTGAAAACACTGGTGGAATCCTTTGGATACTAATGTATTTATTTTTTATTATTTTTATTATTATTATTATTTTGAAATGGAGTCTTACTCTGTCACCCAGGCTGGAGTACAGTGGCACGATGTCTGCTCACTGCAACCTCTGCCTCCTGGGTTCAAGCAATTTTCCACCTCAGCCTCCCAAGTAGCTGGGATTACAGGCGTGCACCACCATGCCCGACTAATTTTTGTATTTTTAGTAGACACAAGGTTTCACCATGTTGGTCAGGCTGGTCTCGAACTCCTAACCTCAGGTGATCTGCCCACCTTGGCCTCTCAAAGTGTTGAGATTATAGGCATGAGCCACCACGCCAGGCTGGATACTAATTTAAACACCAGATTGGCTATCATGATGATCTATCTGATTTTTGTTTAATTTTTATTAATCTATTCAAAACACATTTACTGAGTGAACCAGACATTCCCTATGACCAGGCATTATGTAGAATGGAAAGAAAATGAGTATGAACATGCAGAGAATTACATAAGTGGTTATTTAAATTATAATTTTGATGCTACATGAAATGGAAATACAGAATTTTTTTAAAAAAATGTTTCTATCTAGGGGACTTATTTAGGATGTGGAATTCAATACAGTCTTCTCTGAGACCCAAAGAATAAATGGAAATTAGCCAAGTGAAGTGAGGTACAGGTTTTAGGCAGAAGGAATGAATGTGAGTCTTCACTTCTTACTAACTCTGTCCATCATTCAGTTTGGACAGCAGACCTGATGGAATATTCCAAAGCATCATCAGCTTTAAAAATATGAATACATTTTAAAATTCTGGTAAATGTCTACAAGGAAAACTCACAACTTACAAAGAACACATAACATCCAAACACTTTAGTAGCCCCAAGGAACTTACAAATATTTTCATCCACTTACAAACATTCTTCTATTCTTTGGAATTGTCGACCAGTTTTTCTGTACATAACTTTTCTCAGCCTGGTTCAAATCTCTGAGTGTGTTTGAAACAGAAACATTTCTGTGATTTATACTACCCTTGGACGAATATCCAATCGTCACCAGTTCTATCACAGCTCTCAAAACGCAGAAATAGTGTGTGCATGTAGATTCCTAAGCACACACACAACCACACACATGCATTGTATTAGTCTGTTTTCACACTGCTATACAGAACTGCCTGAGACTGGGTAATTTATAAAGGAAAGAGGCTTAATTGACTCACAATTCAGCATGGCTGTGGAGGCCTCAGAAAACATAATCATGGTGGAAGGGGAACAAAGCACCTTCTTCACAAGGTGGCAGGAAAGAGAATGAAAGCAGGGGGAACTACCAAACACTTATAAAACCATCAGATCTCACTACCGTGAGAACAGCATGGGGAAAACTACCCCCATGATTTGATTGCCTCCATCTAGTCTCTCCCTTGATGTGTGGAGATTATGAGGATTACAGGAAATTACAATTTCAAGATGAGATTTTGCGTGGTGAAACAACCAAACCGTATCATGCATGCATACACAGAGTAGGAAAGTGTCACTGGGGGTGGTAGAGAGAACTAAGTAGACCTAAGGAATTCAGGCCCAGGCTCTGCCACTTACTGGTTGTAGGGTCCAAATTTCTTAGCATGGCATTCAAAGCCATTCATGATTTGAACCCTACCAAAATTTGACAGCTGAGCTCCTTCGGCCATTCTCCCCTCTGTGTGCCCTTGGTTACAGACCGAGCAAGCCTCTAGGGGTCCTTGGTATTTTCTTTATGCATTTTTTTTATACATGGTGTGGACATCCACTACCTGAGATGCTCTCCATAAGCACAGGCTTCTGTCCTCACCACTGCCACACACACTTCTACTCAACTCCTACTCAGTCTTAAGATGGATATCAGCCTCTTTCATTAATCATTTTCCAAGTTTGATTTGCCTCATACGCACTGAACCAAGTAAATTAGGTTCCCATTCTATGTGGCCCTATCCCTGAACTTACCACACTAGTGCTATTTTCTAACCACTTATGTGTCTTCCTCTCTCAGTAATCAATACAATTACCATGGCATGGGCAGATTGTGTGTGTGTGTGTATGTGTGTATGTGTATGTGCAGATATATATATAGAGAGAGTTAATCTTGGCACCTAACATGGGGTCTTATACATGATATAGGCATTTAACACAAGGTTGTTAATCAAGTGCCTATTCTAGTCATTTGTCCAGTCCAAACCTCAGTTTTCTCACCTGTTGAAATGAAAAATCATATTTTCCCCACATAGTTCATCTGGCCTCATACTAAATGAAAAAAATGTATGTAAAATGCTTAGCAAAGATTCTGTCACATGGTAAGGATAAGTGAGTCATTGAGTCAGCAAACATTTGAGTGCCTACTATGCCCTGGATCATGAATGTAAAAATATTTTGCCAGTGATAAGCACTCATAAATAGAATCATACATTTAATAATCACAGTGTGATTGTTACAATATTAAGAAAAATGGGTACATATGTTTTTTGCCTGTTTAATTATAATAATGCTAATAATATGAATAACCCTGTTCAAGTTCTTGAAGAATAACGAGAAGAGTAAGAAATGTAGAGCTTGCAAACATTGGAGTTCTGAACAAGATGACAGCACTCAATGTATAACCAGTTATGAATTCCAGGGTTAGTGAATTTAATACATTTTATATCATTGCAAATGTTTGCTCTACTCCCAGGGAAGATTAAAAATAAAAAATTCCTGTGTTTGGCTCAGGAGCTTCCTTCTCTCCTGGCAGTATGCATCAGACTAAATGTCACAAGAATATTTCAGCATATGTGGGTAAATATTTACACTCATTTTAAGCAGATATTCCAAATTCCTTGTTGTTTTTCAGCAGAGGCCTAAACCTGGTGGTAAAAGTCATGAATAGAACTTTTTCATTCTCACTAAGTGAGAAGGGGATTTTCAAGCATTCTTTCCTCCAGGGTGCTCTATTTTTCTCCTCCCATTCTTTTTGGGTTGAACTATTGGAAGGGAGAACTGGCCCTCTGCCATGGATCTCTCTACCATGCCACTTTGAATTATTGCTCCGTGGTCCCTGGGAGCCACTAGAAGATTCAGCTGCAAGCTCAGGAAAAAAATTATATATATATATGCAAAATATATACATATATATATGCAAAATACAGTGTTTTGGCCTTGGATTACAAAATGTGGACAATGACTAAGCTTCTGACTCTATGAGTAATGAGAAATAATGGCTGGAGCAAATTAAAGATTGTACTTGTTCTAATGTGGAGAGCAGAAAGGCGTATGTATCAATGGGAGAACATTGCTGGGATGACAGGTTGATACTACACAAAGCTTGGGTGATAGACATTTTTGTGTTTATGGTGCATTGAAATGCTGTCTTTATATACGTGTGTGTGTGTGTGTGTGTGTGTGTGTGTGTGTGTGTGTGTGTGTTTTCCTGGATATTTCCTTTGCTTTCCAAAATCTCCCAGTAGTAGAAGCCCTCCTTTGCAGAAAAGACATAAAGATCTCTGTTAATAGAGCAAAAGAAGACAGTAGGCAAAGCTTCACCCTGGTCCAATAGGCAGGTGAATCTTCACTGGTGCCATAGAGTTGACCCGTCATAAGGCAAGATGACTCAGTTTTATGCCCTTGTATTTGTTGGTTATTGCCTGAGGGGTCCCCAAGAAGTTTGAGGGTGAGGGCTATCAGCAGTATGTAGAACTCCTTCAAAACTAGGTAGATGAGGATTGGAGACTTGATTCTCAAAACAATGGGTAGCCACGAATGGATTCTGAGTAGTAAAAATTCGTCACCACAGCTGTCCAGTGGGAGAGTAAGTCAGCAATGCATACTGCATACGTTGAAGCAGGAAAAGCTGCAAAAGGATAACGTAAATTACTTTATAATTCTGCAGACATCTGCATACCATTCAGGTTACATACCATGGGTTTGTTAAAGTAGTACAAGTGACACAAAGAGTGAACCCTAATGTGAACTATGAACTTTTAGTTAGTAACAATATATCAGTATGTGTTCATCAGTTGCGACAAATGTACCCCACAATTGCAAGATGTTCATAATAGGAGATACTAGAGATACAGAGAAGATGAAGGTAGTGTATGAGAATTTTCTTATATTCTGGTCAATTTTCCTATAATCTAAAACTGCTCTTTAAAAATATATTTAAAAAAAATTTTAAAGAAACCCAAGGCCAGGCCTGGTGGTTCACACTTGTAATCCCATGAGTTTGAGACTAGCCTGCTCAACATAGTGAGACCCTGTCTCTATAAAAAATTTAAATAAGAAATTATCCAGCCATGGTGGTACACACCTGTAGTCCCAGCTGCTTGGGAGGCTAAGGTGGGAGGATCACTTGAGCCTGGGTGCACAGAGCCATGATTGTGCCAGCGCACTGCAGCCTGGCTGACAGAGCAAGACTCTGTCTCAAAATAATTAATTAATTCATTTTTAAAAATCTAAAAGATGCTTTAACCTATCCACTTCACTTGGCCAATTCCTACTCATTCTTCAGAAATGCAGCTCAAATTTAGAGCATATCTCTCTGTCCTTCTAATGGTCTGGACCTTATCTACATTATTTTAACCATCCTGAAGTTATCCTTGATTTCATTATTAAAATTATAAGGTTGATGACTACTCTCATTGCCCTGTGATTAGAATGAAAAGTAAATTTTATTATACTAAACCACTGAGATTATGGTATTCCTAATAGCAACTAATGTGGCTTACCCCAACTAATACTTGTGTTCAAAAATATTAAGCATCTTCGAGGTCTAGACAGTATTTGTATTAGTTACCCTTTATTTTCTACTCCCTAGAGAGTATTTGACTCATAGGAGGTATTCAATAAATATTAACAGATTGCATGTTCTTACTACAAATTAATTTACCATAGCTATAGGGTACTGCTTAAGAATGTTGGTGGAAATAAGACAGCCCTTAGTTGAAGTACTAATTCTTCCTTTTGCTTTTACTTTGTGATACTGACCAATTCATTTTATATTTTTAAACCTTTCTTCTCCTGTGTAAATTGAGAATAACAATAGTTCCTGTGCCATAGGGTTATTGTGAGAAGTAGATATAATATTGTACGGTCTTAGCCCAGGTTCTCCAGAAAACAAACTTGTTGCAAGAAATAGGTGCTAATGCTTAATTTAGGCAGATACAATCCCAGGGTAGCAAAGATTTAGGAGAAGGAAAGTGAGGCATGGAAAGGTAGACAGAAATTCAAAGTGACACATTACTGTGCTGTTCACTGTTTCATGATGAACTGTAAAGAGACACAGCTGTACCATGAGAGGTGGACCCACATGGTCATATGAGCCATCTCAAAGCTGTAGTATAAAGAATCTACATCCCAGAGCATTCCATGTGACAGGATTTATTCTTTTGGTTTTTGTTGTCCGTAGTTAATACTCCATATTTCTGGACTGCTGTATCTATCCCTTTGGACAGTCGCTAAGAAAACTTAATTTCCCACCCCAACCCACACTCCATGCTATGCATTTCATTTGTATCTGAAAGTGGAAAAAAAAACCCCTGAAATTCAGGGCACGTAGTTGGTGAGTTTGGCTTTGCATGGAAATTCAAGGGGTAGGGGGCTGATCCTCCTGGGGAAGCTGCTGATCAGCTCCAAGAGGAGCCAGACAGACCCAAGCAGATCTTCTTGGCCATTGTATTAGTTAGGGTTCATAGAGAAGAGAACATAACAACATAACCAATAGGATACAGATATAGATATAGATGATATAGCTATAGATATAGATATAGACATAGACATAAATATGGATATAGTTATCATATTTATTATGGAAATTGGCTCATGTGATTATAGAAGCCAATAAATCCTACCACCTGCCATCTGTAAGCTGGGGAACCAGGAAAGCTAGTAGTATAATTCAGTCTGAGTCCAATGGCCTGAGAACAATGGATAGGGTTCTCCTAGTGGTGTAGCTCCCAATCTAAGTATAAGGGCTAGAGAATCTGTGAGTTGAGGTGGGGGGCCCCACTAGTATAAGTCCTGGAGTCTGAGGGCCCAAGAACCAGATGAATGATGTCCAACTGCATGAGAAAATGGATGCTCCAGTAGAAGAGAAAAGAAGAAAATCGCCCTTTCTCCAACTTTATGTTCTATCACGCTCTCAACCTATTAGTGCTGCCCACCCACATTAGTGAGGCTGATCTTCCTTACTCAGTCTACAAATTCAAATACAACATCCTCAATGACACACCCAGAAATAATGTTTTACCAGCTATCTGGGCAACCCTTAGCCCAGTCAAGTTGACACATAAAATTAACTATTATGGCCATAGAGGGAAGCTTGTGAACAACCCTTTAAAAATGATGGGATTTGCTGTAATTGCTGAGGTGCTACCAGCATTTTGAGGTCCAGAAGGGATTAGCACTAAGAGAACCCAATATGACACAGAAGACGTGTCCAACACAGTGTGCCAATAATTGAGCCACCCTACACTGGCATGACATTGGGGAGTTCTAATTCCTACACTCTAACCTTAAATGGCAGCAATAAAATATAAAACCTCCAACTACTGGTTGGGTGGACCAACATTAGAAAGCCATCTGTAACTCATTTCCATAGTGAAGGAAAACTTTGCCATTGCTTCTCACTGTGTATCCTCTCTTTTAAAGAATAACTAAAACACTAAATGAACCCGTTTTTTTATAAGATGTTAAAAATACATCAAAGATTGAACTCTGCCTGCCTGTTGCTGATTTGGAAATGGGCTTGAATGCATTCCTTACATCCAGATTGAATTACTATTACTTTTACTCTGCAATACTGCCAGACTTTTAAAACTTTTTTTTTAGTAGGACTTGCTCTGGGTCCAGAACATGGTAATAGGAATTAACTCTGGCATTTCTGCTGCTTAGTCTGCTCACCAGCTCCTAAATATCAACATGCGTTCTGAATTTCAGCCAGAATTGATTGGAAAATTGGCCTTATAATTCACTAGGGTTCAGATTTGAGATCAGTTAACACCAGACTTCTGGAAACATTGGCTGCCCCTTTGGGCCAATGAGTGGTGAGGTTATTCTCCTTGAAAACAGAGCTGAAAGTCATTCCTTTCTTCCTCGCTCTTCAGTGATTTCAGACTTTGCATCCTGCTGAGAACTGCTCTGAGAGTGGGAGTACACAATGCTTCATGCAGGCTTTACACAGAAGGAGAAATCTGTTCATACAGAGGGGGTGTTCAGACCCATGCCATCAATTCAGATTGTCAGGTTGAGCCACAGAGAGGGGGCAGGATCTACTGAGTGCTATAGACTGAATTGTGTCCATCCCACCAGTCCGAATGTATTTGTTGAAGCCCAGACCCTAATGTGATAGTATTTAGAGGTGGGACTTTTGGGAGATAATTAGGTTTAAATGTGGTAATGAAGGTGGGATTCTTGTGATGGAATTAGTATCCTTATAAAAAGAGAAGGACACTACAGGCCTCTTTTTTGTCACTGTGTGAGAATACAACAAGAAGGTGGCCATCTGAAAACCAGGAAGCGAGTCCTCACCACACAACGAATCTGTCATCACCTTGATCTTGGACTCTGCAGCCTCCAGAACTGTAAGAAATAAATGTCTGTTGTTTAAGCCATTCAATGTATTATATTTTGTTATAGCAGCCTGAGCTAAGAAACTGACACTATGAGTTAGGAAAGACTATAATCCATATTTCCTGAATCTCAGGCTACAGTTATTTTTTCCTCCTTTGCCATATCTCATATGCTATCACCCTAAATAGTGGGTAGTTGATAGATTAACCATACCATCACCTAAATGTGGCCTGGATCTCAGCAACCTGTAACAATTAATTTGATTATTCAGTGGGTGGACAATGTACATTCACCATCTTTCAAATTGTGGCTTCTCCATGAGTCCCTTTGGTCCTTTGCTAAGCCATTTTGCCATGTACAGAGAGCATAATGCCTCTTAGAAGTTGCAAGCCCACTTTGGAACACATGTTCCTGTTTCCAGTTGGATTGCCTCCTGAATGTGGAACTATTTAAAAATCAGAATACTGCTTTCCTGGAAGTGAGAGAAACATATGAGAAGATGCATGCTGGCAATGTTTTCTGTAATGTAGGCTGTGACCCATGCTAAAATTAGCCTTTCAAACTCTCTACATATTTTGAACATAATGGCTGCATAGCCTGAGAAGGGCATCTATGCAGAATTGTGGATTGAAATTATGTTAAACTAGGCAGCAGGAGTTTTATTGAAATTGGACTTCTGACATACATTAGGAGATCTTTTAATTACATGATCAATAAGATTTCAAAGAAGGCTTAGAAAGTCATCATCATCACTTGTGAAGTGTAGTAAAATATGATGGAAGGAAAAACTGAGAGTCCTGTGTCAAGAATCCAATGGACAGTCATTAGGTTTTATCTGTGTCAAATTTAAGAACATTTAACACCTGTGCCAGAGAAGTGCACAAGCAGTTATGTGAAACATCCAGCTGCTTCCCAGAACCCAAAAGTCCACTGAAGATCATCTGTAAAGAATACACAGGAGGCAGCCAGTGAAGAGAGCTCAACAACGAACTCATAAAAGCTTGCAAACAAACAGATTTCCACGTTGGCAAGCCAAGTCCCAAATGTTACTTACAGCTGGGTAAATTTGACCTTCCAAGTGTTTGTTCTTCTTTGTCACCCATTTTAAAAACAAGAGACTCAGCCCAAGATTACATGGAAGGAAGTGTAACATGACAGGTTGGTTAAGAGATCGGGCTGTGGAGTTTGACTGCCTCAGTTGGAATCCCATTCATGTTACTTACTAACTGCATGACCTTGGGCAAGTTGCCTAGCCTGTCTAATCCTTTGTTTCCTCACTTGTAAAATGAAGAATAATAATGGCTGTGCCAATTTCATAGGATGTGGTGAGGATTAAGTGTGTTTATCTAAAGAGCTCAGCACAGTGCCTGGCACATAGCAAGGACTCAATACATATAAAACTATTATTGAAATAGTTTCTTGCTTCTCACCAATAAAATATTCTGTATGTGTAACAACACACCTAATGAATCTGGGCACATGGCCACAAAGAAAGTTTTCAGGAGGTGAGTTGGAGAAAAGCAAAGATTGCTTAGCTATACATAATCATGATAGTTGCTATCTCTTATTGGTGCTGTATCAGGCACTTTATGAATATTATCTTATTTAATCACCATGAAATATTAAAAGGTAAATACTATTCTCACTTTTTGTACAAGGCAATCAAAACACAGTGAAGTTAAGTAATTTACCCAGAGTAAGACATCCAGAAAATAGGCTCAAATGTGAGGCATTCTGATTCTATATTTGCTCTTCTGAAGCCAACAACAAGGCCAGGCACACTGGCTTACGCCTGCAATCCTAGCACTTTGGGAGGCCGAGGAAGGAGGATCGCTTGAAACCAGAAGTTCAAGACCAGCCTGGGCAACATAGTGATACCCTCATCTCTGCCAAAAATATATTTTTTAAAAAAATTAGCCAGGTATGGTGGCATACACCTGTGGTCCAAGCTATTCTGGAGGCTGAGGTGGGAGAATGGCTTGAGCTCCGGAGGTCGAGGCTGCAGTGAGCTGTTATGGCACCACTGCACTCCAGCCTGGTGACAGAGAAGAATCCTGTGTAAAAAAAAAAAAACACAAAAAATCTTTACATTTCCTAAGATTGCTTGGTGCAGTTTTGGCATGACACACAAGGAGTTGTGTCACATCAGATCAGCATAGTCCTGTCTTATACTGTGGAGCATCAGTACACGCAGCTTATATGTTGTAATTGGAATGGAAGAGAGGGAGGCTTCTATATGTCCACTAGTTTTCAGAAAGGTGAAACAAGCAGAGCAAACACATAGAAAAAGCTAAGACAAATGGACTTCTGTTCTTTGAAGTTCTCTTTCCCCTGATGAGGCAAATTTACAGGGCTAACCTTCAAAATATATTCAGTTCAGGTGAGTATAGCCAGTATTTATAAACATAGCACATCATAGGTATTGTGGAGGGGAATCAGCACAGAAAGATGACTCATACACAAGAAAATCTCATGGAAAAATAAATAAGCAACTGTAAAACTGTATATTAAAGCAAAGTGATTGAGCCCGGGCTTGGGAATCCTGGCTTCATTATTCAGCATCTGAACTCAAGCAGATCACTTTACTTTTACATCTATAAAATGGGTCTATTATGTAATCCCTACAGAACAGGAGTGCTAGCGTAATGATATGGAATAAAGTGCATAAACAGCTTAGTATTTGCATCTAGAGTCACTCAACAATATTAATTACTATGATTAAATTAGACCACCTGCCTAGGTCTAGTACTAGTTCCGCCACCTACTGACTTTGTATTCTTGAGCAAGTTACTGAATCACTCTGTTTTCTCACATGTAAATTGGGATAAAAATAGTACCTCCCTCAGAGGGTCATTACAAAGATTAAGTAAGTTAATATTGACAAAGCACTTGGATAAGTATCTGGCACATAGTAAGGACTCAATGGTAGCTATGACTATTATTGCTGTGATTATTTTTGATAGAAGTAAGCACAAGATGCTGTAAGAAAATAAACAGTCACCTACAGAGGTTGTGAGGTGTGAGCAGGAAAAGCTCTCTAGAGGACAGGATGAAAGCATATACCAGGTGTGGGGGAGATAAGCAGGGAAACAGTCAGAGAAATGGGAGATTTAGAAACAGTACATCTTGCATTTCTTTATATTCAGACTTCAGTGGAGGCCTTGCCTCTCACATCCCTTGCTTTTGCTGGTTGGAGTTCATGAGTCCTACAGTTGGTTTGAAGGCAAATTCCAAACTCGAAAAGGAGTGAGGGGGGTAAGAGGAGAATGCAGTACCCCCTTTTGAAAAAGGGCTGCAATCATTTAGCCGATTAGTTAACATTGTGGAATGCAGTAAGGTCAGAGACTGGCTCACCTTTCAATGTAACTACGGTCCCAATGAGCAATTTCTAAAATTGCTTGAAGTCATTTATACCAGTGAATGCATATGCATTAGAGCCTGGTTAAAGATTTAGAGGATAAGCTGGTTAATAGAATTAATTTAATATATCCGGTATAATTCAGTGGAACACATGAGTGCCTTTCAGAGCCTAAAACTGATGGGAGAGAAACAAATCCTTGTACCAGCCATTAAAGAAGGATTAGTTGGCCTCCTCAAGGAGTAAGCCTATGACTTTCATTCCTCTCTAGCTGTATGCACAATGGATGTCTTGATAAATGGCTATAAACAGTTTACCAGAAATTTGGACTCTTTTCTTTTCTTCTCTTTTCTTTTTTCTTTTCTCTTCTCTTCTCTTTTCCTTCCTTCCTTCCTTCCATTTTTCTCTTTCTTTCTTTGGCCACTTCATATTCATGCCATGGTCATACCCGATCCCTTTGCCTTATTTCTGAAGTCAGGAGGGAATGCACAAAAGACCAGAGTACCATACATTCACCAAGGTCATCATCCTTTGTGAGACAGAGTGGATAGAAAAAAGCTACCTTTACCCCTCTCTGCATAGACTGAGTGAAGATCCAAGAAACAGTGGCTACCAGCCTTATTTAAAATATAGCCTGACTTAGTACTGAGGTTGCTGGTGGGAGCTCAGAAGCAAGCCAGCCAAAAGAATCTAATATTTACTGCAGTTCACCAAGACATGGACGTCCCCACATTTTGCAGTTGAAACATGATTTTGTAGGACCAAATGTCTGTTTTTCTGAAGGTGATTCAAAATAAGAGTATATTGTATTTTGCTATGGTAAATCAAAGCTGCTTCTTCCATCCCTGTCCAAGTTGTGATGCCAAATTAGGGAGACCTTTTGACTCAGAAATAATAAAAAAAAAAAACATTTGGGAAGATGTTTTAAGATGATGAGAGAGCTTCTATTTATGCAACTCTCAGTGATATAGTTTTTAATATTACTTTTATATAATTTTTTAAGTTTTCAAATTGAAACAGTGCTTTTCCAATCTGGGAAAAATAATTTGGGAGTAAATATTGATTATTCTTATGTGGCATGTTTGTCTATGGCCAGAATGACAATAGAAATATTCTGTGTCACTGATCAGGACATTCAAGGGGAATTTTAACAAAAAGAAGAAGGTAAAGAAAAAATATGCATTTCATATTTACATAAAAGGACACATGGCAAGGTTGTTTGGCTTTCAAGGATCATGAAAAGTGCCCAGCATGGTGTGTAGTAGATATGAACCACATAAAAACAAATGTGCTTGATTCAAAATGGTATAGGTATTTTATCTTATATCAATTCATGTTCATAAGTAAATTCCCATTCTACAGTATAAGCTCTTAGAAGACAGAAATCATTTTCTTTTTTCTCTCTCTACCCCTCCTCAAATCAACATAAGTGAAAACCCTGGGCCAGAGAGAAAGGAAGGCCTGAGCTGATAGTCCAGTTGGGATTGGTGTGGGCAAGTCCTATCACTTCAATATGCCTCAGTTTCCCTTAACTGTAAAATAGGGATAATGATGTTTACATTGTACCTTAAGGAGTGATTGTAAGGATTCCATGAGAATGTTGTGACAGCAACCTGCATGGAAACTTGCAGCTATATTTTCATTACTTGTACATCCCCAGCCCTTTGCTTTTTCAGCAAAGATCCTGTCTCACAAAAAGTGTGTCATTAGTGAGCATGAGCATAACTTTGATCAGGGATAAGTGGCTCTGACTTGATTGGTGGAAGTTTCTACATTGGTTGCAGCTGCATAGCTGTTTTTATGCAGGTTGTATGCAATTACCTAGCCGTTTGCAATGGTTGTGAAGAAAGCCAAGGGTCAGTGCTATAGCAAAGCAACCCCTCTTTGCTCTGGCTACAACAGGCCTTTTCCATGCAGTGACAGACACAATCCATCTTGAATCCAAACAGATAAAGAAATAAAGAAGGACAGAGAAAAGTAATAAAAGCAAATAGGGGGCAACAGAGGAATAAAAAGAAAGGGATGCAAATAAATGTGTTTTTGAAACACTCTTCTAATTCTTTGAGAAGAACAGACAGCAGTGTTGAGCTAATGACCCAAAAACAGATCTGAGCAAACATTTGCCAATGATCTGGAAAAGAATTTCTTTTTTCCTGACACTTCCCTAAGTAACAGTAGAACTTTGGATTCTGGGAAGGGAGAGTAGTGCTGAGGCCAGGCAAGGTATTGCCCACCCTTCATAAGGTTCTCTCAGGGACCCCTGCCAAACTTCAGACCTGGCTTGTGACAAGGGAACCTCTGAATGCTGTGGTTTGGATTTTGCTTGTGGCTTAATTTTCATATGTGAGGTCTTCTCACGCCCAAGAAACCAGGCCTTGCCCAATCGAAATCAGACAGAACGGCCACACGCATTTGCAAGAATGCATGCCATCTTGTCTTTCTTGATTATTTTCATGGGGCTTTCTTAACAAAAATGGGAGAAACAGGTAGAATAGGAGTCACGGGAGTTCAGTCCTTTCCTTATGTCTAGACCGACATTTTACAAACTGACTACTCTGAGGCATGGTCATTGATATTAACAAGAAAAGTGCTGTTAGGACAAATAAGTTTGAGAAGTAGGTTTAACAAAATGAAAGAGGTATTTTTCCTGCAGAGCACACTGATAGGCTAGATGGGCATTATGCTTATTCTCAAGCCTCCTGTTATTTGTTACATCAGCATCAATGGACACTGTTACCTACGCCCTCCTTGAAATACTTTCTCCAATTAACTCCCAAGTTGCTGCCCTCTCTTGGTTTCCTCCTACTTCACAGGCCTCCGTTTCTCTGTATCCTCCACTGACTTTGAATTCCTCTTCCACAACCTGAGGAGACTTAGCCTCAGTCTCAGGTCCTCTCCTACTTTAGCACACATATTCATTGAGTAGTTATCTTGGTTTATGGACTATTTATTTTTTATTTATTTTGAGACTGAGTCTCGCTCTATCACCCAGGCTAGAGTGCAGCAGTGGCATGATCTCAGCTCACTGTAACCTCTGCCTTCCAGGTTCCAGTGATTCTCCTGCCTCAGCCTCCCAGAAAGCTGGGACTACAGGTGCCCGCCACCATGCACAGCTAATTTTTTTTTTTTTTTTTTTTTTTTTTGTATTTTTTAGTAGAGACGGGGTTTTGCTATCTTGGCCAGGCTGGTCTTGAACTCCTGACCTCAGGCCTCCCAAAGTGCTGGGATTACAGGCGTGAGCCACCGTACCCGGCTGGATTATGGGCTTTAAACACCATGTATATGCTGATGACATCAACATATCTTTTCCGCTTAGTGTGACCTCACCAATTATCTTCAGGTTCATTCTTTCGATTATGTGTATGAACTTCAGGTTCGTACACACAAGTGACATATATGTAAATATATAAATATATTACATACATATTGAATAAACATTTTACATGTAATATCTCCAAAATGGGACTTCCTCATGGTTTCTACATAGTTTCCCACTTTCAATGAGTGAAATCACTGTTTTCTGTATTCCTCAGGCCAAAAATGCAGGAGTCCTCCTTGATTCCTTGCATTCCCTAACACTCTACATCCAATTCAACCCCATGGTTTAACCGCATTGCCTTTAAAATATGTCTTGAACCTGACTGGGTTTTACCCTTAATGTGCTTATTCCAAGCCATCATCATCTTTCACATAGACTACTGTGATCACCTTCTTACCAGTCTCCCTGGGACACACTCACTCTCCACAGTCAATTAACGACACTGTGTGATCTAAAACACAGAAATCTGATATTGCCACTCTCCTCTTCAACACCTCCTGAGATTTCCCATCATACTAAAAGTAAACTGCAAACTTTTCCCCATATCCTAAGAAGTTCCACATAATCGGACCCCTGCTGATCTCTCTGACCTCATCTGTTACCACTATTCCCCTTACTCACTTGTGTAATGACACATCAGTGTTTGTGCTACTAGAGTAGGCCAAGGTTGGCCTCAGGACCTTTACACTTGCTGTATGATTGGTCAGTACTGCTCTGCCTCACATCCTCAACTGGCTTTTTGCTAACAGTTCACGGAATCAATAAGTACTTTTCCCTCTTACCCTCAGTTTTCTCCTTCTACATAATGATCAAAAAGGAAATCTGCTATACTTTTATTATATGAGGGAGGTGCTAAATGGACAAGTGTGGCAAAACCCAGGATTTGCAGACTGCAAAAATGTCAGCACATGGAACAGTATTTTGGTCCCATGCAATAGGATTGATTCATATTATCAATAACCAGATCAAACTAAAGGACACATTAAACATTTAGCACTACAATTAACCACGGCCTTTGTCATTTCAACATGAAATGTCTTAGTCATTTCAAAGTGAAGACATAATGTATTGTAAATCTTGTTCGAGTCCCATGTGAAAAAGTTCCATTCCTTGGTTAGAGGTTTGAACCAAAGTTGAATCATTTATTTGAGCATAACATTTCAGAGGCTTTTCCAGGTAGTTCATTAGGAAACAGATATTCTCCTCATGACAACCTTCTGATGTGAGTATCATTATCCTAATTTTACAGATGAAGAAACTGATGATTGGTGAGTGAAACACTTCCCCAAGGAGACAGAGCTAACAAGTGACATAGATGGTTTTTGAAATCCACATTTTTAAGAAAAAAATTCACATTGTTTTACATAAGCAAAAATTCAATGTTTGCTCATGAAACAGTTGAGTTATGAGCTGTTTATACTTAAAAGAAGATTCCATCAATAGTAAGAATATCTGATTATGTGTGGTATGGTCAAAAGCCATGGGGCAATAACATAAACAAAGAAAAGTTTTAGGTTGCATCACTTTTTGTCTCTAAATCTCAGAGTATTTTCATAAGGAAGAATATACGACATTATGGATGCATTTAAAAACATAAACTAGGGAAAATGAGAGCCTTTCTCAAGGAAGCAAATTTTCATTGACAGCTGTCTTACATTAGAAAGATTTGCCTCACAAAAGTGGTATTCCCATCCCTGGAGGTACATCAACAGAGAATAGACAATTCACAGTAAGGGATGTTATAGACTAAACTTTGCTGATTCACACAAGCTGGACCAGATAATCTCACACAAGATGGACTAGATGTCCTTTAGGGTTCTTTCAACCTTAAGACATGGCTGCTCAGTCAATTCCATCAATATCAATTGTTCTGTGTTTAAGCTTGGTCTCCTCCCAAGGCAGAGTCTGAGGACTGGGTATCAGGCAGTTTAATTGGGAGATGATCCTAGGAAGTAGAGTGAAAATGGAGAGAGAGAAGCAGGAAATGAGGAAAAGCCAATCAACTGTGGGCTGTTGAATTTATAATTATTGTGGTCCTGCTGACACCCTTGGAGGAATCTTAAAAATTGAGCCTTAGTCCCTTGTTCCCAGAAGGCTGGGGGCTTCATTCATCAGCTTCCACCCAACCGGTCAAGGCTAGGCTTGCGTAAGAGTTTACTGCACTTCTACAGTTCCAGAGAAGGCCATGAGGAAGAAATGTGGAGGGATATTGTGGTTTACCACTGAAGGTGCATTTTATTACATGTTGCATTTTGAGCACATTTTGAATTGTCCATCACAGCTGCACTAAGGTAAGAGATAGGCTAAGCATATAAAATGTGGGGCACCAAAAGCATTTGCTCTACCTAGTCTTTGTTTTGATTTGCTTTCTAGGCTGGAGTCTTGAGCAATCAGCAAGAGCCCGATAAATAAATACTTCTTCCACTCTGCTCTTCTATGAGTACAGGGTTAGCTGTGGTTCCTGTGTTAAGCAGAATAATACCCCCTCCGACCCCCAATGTGGCCCCTTAATAATTTATGGAACCTGTGCATATTTAGGTTACAGATCAAAGAGAAATTAATGTTGAAGATGAAATTAAGATTGCTGATAGTTGGCCTTGAGATGGGAAGGTTATTATGAATTATCTGTGTAGGTGCAGTATCATCACAGGTGTCTTTATAACTAGAAGATAGAAGCAGAAGAAAAGAATCAGAGAGAGGGAAGCATAAAAAGAACATTGCTGGCATTGGTGATTGGAGGAAGGCCCAAGAGCCAGGAATGCTGTTTTTTTTTTGTTTTGTTTTGTTATTTTTTTTTTATTTTGTTCATTTGTTTGTTTTTTAAGACAGAGTCTCACTCTGTTGCCGGAGCTGGAGTGCAGTGGTATGATCTGGGCTCACTGCAACCTCCACCTCTTGGGTTCAAGCAATTCTCTGCCTCAGCCTCCCGAGTAGCTGGGATTACAGGAACCCACCACTACGCCCGGCTAATTTTTTGTACTTTTAGTAGAGACGGGGTTTCACCATCTTGACCAGGCTGGTCTTGAACTCTTGACCTCGTGATCCACCTGCCTCAGCCTCCCAAAGTGCTGGGATTACAGGCATGAGCCACTGTATTTGGCCTGCTGGTCATCTTTAGAACCTGGAAAAGACAAGAATATGGATTCTCTCTTAGAGCTTTCTGAAGGAATGCATCCCTGACCGTACCTTAATTTAGTCCAGTGAGACCTATTTCAAACTTCTGACCTCCAGAACTGTAATAAATTTGTGTTGTTTAAGCCACTAAATCTGTGCTAATTTGTTATAACAGCAATAGAAAATTAATGCAGTGCCCCATTTCACAGTACTGTAGGGCAATCTATGGACTCTAATCCAAAAAGGATTACTGCATTAGTCAACTTTTGGCTAAAATAATGTTGCTGCATGACAAACAACCCTTAAATCTGTGGTTTACAATAATAAAAATATATTTCAGGCTCACAGGTTGCTTAAATTCAGTTGTGGTATATATGTGAATCCGTATATTATCATATGACTGAGCTCTGCTAGGCTTGGCTGTGCTATACTGGGGTCTTGGCTTAGGAATGGGTTCAGGTCAGCTCCACATGTCTTTATTCCATGACCCAGGCTGAAGCAGCAATAACTCTATGGGGCATACTATTCTCCTGGTGGAGGAAAGAAGCTCCAAAAGGCTAACACACGCTCGCCATGTCTCTTAAGGCTAATTGACTAAGGCTGACACACACAGTTACTTCTGCCCACATTCTATTGGCCCAAGTCAGTGATAAGATTCAGCTCGTTATTGGAACCAAGAAAAGCACCCTGACCTACAAGAAGAATGTCAAGGTCAGGGTGGGAAGGAAGAATTGTGGACAAATAATACAATCTATCACCAAAGGGCATCTGTACCTGTGAAGATGTGAGCTCACCTGTCTCCTGCAAAGACAGGTCTCATCATGGTCTGGCCAACATGGTTGGGTCTCCCAGTAAATGATGCAAATCTATAGAGATCTATTAGGCTGCAGTGCATCTCAACAGACTCTTAGAATCCTAGCTTTAAGAATCACACAAAGAAGTGTAATCCAACTGCCATATTTTTATAGGAAAAAAAGTGTTCTAAGAGAGGATTTTCCCCAAACCAGACAATAGTAGAACTGATAATAGAACAAAGATCTCTAAAACAGTCAAGGGCTCAACCCACAGTCTCTTTAATTCTGAAATCCTGCTCCGTAGCCCACCCCAACTATGTTACAGCTCCAAGTCCTTCAGAATCTATATACTAACAATACGACTGAATTGACAAAGATGAGGTTGATTATACCAGCATCAGACTGACAAAGTCCTCATTTTTCTCCTCTAAACCTTAGGTTTGAACAAACCTTTATTTTGGATGGCACTAGGGAAATCCCATTCTGCCTCTGCCTGAGGTTCTGTTTGGGTGTTGTAGAGCAGTGATTCACAGGAAAAGCACCTTCCAAACCCACATGGGTTCCTTCTTCTTCTTCTTCTTTTTTTTCCCCTGATAGAAGTAATTTTTGGACTGCTGTGAGATGCCCAGATGGAGAGTGCTGTAGACACCAAGGCTCTCTTCTTGGCCATGGGTCAGGGAGGGTATCTTCAGGGGCTTTCTCAGCCTTTCTGTCGCCAGGAAGTTTCAATCCTCCAGACAAAGAAGGGTAGGTTTTTCCCTATACCTGAAAAGCTCTTTTGTTATCTTTTTGTTCCTCCCATCCATGGAAAGACCCCAGACTAGTTGTTATCTGCTCTAGGAAACCTTCCCTGATTTTCCTGAGCATAGTTAATTGCTCATTTGTCTGTGCTCACTAGCACTTTGTGCAGCCTCTGTCCTATCACTTACCACATTGTATTATGTTTTTTTTTTTTTTTTCCTTTGTACAGCTACTTCTGTCACCAAATTATGCCCTCTTCCATTGCTGGGACTTTATATTATTCACCAGTATGTCCAGAGCATTTAGTACAATATCTGCCATAGAGTAGGGATTTAGTAGAAACTTCTTGATTAATGATAGAAATTATTCTATTGTTTATTTTATCTTATTTTAGCCAACACGTCATAACATCATATAATGAAATACCGCAATATAATCATTTATTATATATCCCTGAATGTATGAATAAATGAAAGAGATGTAACAATTACTGAGTATCTTCTATGTGCTGATCTCTATTTTACACATCACCTCAACACATAGAAGCAGGCACAGAGTCACACACACACATGTTCACATGATGAATGTTTATTTTAGAAAAAAAAAAAGGAAAATGGAGGTAAGGATATGATGTGGTGTTAATGTTTGTGCCCCCATCCCCCCAGATTCATATGTTGAAACTTAAATGCTAACGTGACAGTATTATAAGGTGGGACCTCTGGAGGGTGACTAGTTCATTAGGGCTCTGCCCTCATGCATGGAATTATGCCCTCATAAAAGAAAGCCAAGAGAGCTTGTCCACATCTTCTGCCACGTGAAGACACACAGAAGGCACCATTTTCGAGGAATGGGCCCTCACCGGACATCATATCTGCTGGTACCCTGACTTTGTGCCCTGACTTCCCAGATTCCTGAACTGTGAGCAATAAACTTATGATGTTTTTACGTTTCCCAGTCTATGGTATTTTGTTATAGCAACCCAAATGGACTAAGGCAGAAATCTTAAATTGATTTTCAATTACTCACTATATTACAACTCAAAGATAATATTCTTTCATGTTTTGTTGAAAGTCATTCCAGAATTTTTGAAATACATGCATTTTTTTCTTGTAAGAATGTAATTATATCATTGTTGAGATTTATTGTTAAATTTGAATTGGTAATAGCTCTTTGTTATTTGTGTTTTAAGCATGTTGATGTTAGGTCTTTTCATTAGCAATAAAGTTAAAATTGATATAATCATAAATATCACGCCTTTTCCTTATGATTTCTACCATCGATGTCATATATAAAAATGTTTTGGAATTTCAAGATGTAAAAATATTAATCTCTATTTTCTTGTGGTTTCATTCATTCCAATGTTTTTTTTTCCCTTTTTTTCTGCCTCCATCCCTTCCTTCCTCCTTTTTTCTTACTTTTTCAGTCAAATCTTAAATCCAAGTGAAATTTTATTATACTCTGAAATTAGGCAAGGATCTACCTTTGTTTCATTTTTTCTAATAGTTTATCAAATTCAGTTTTATATAATTGGGGGAATTTACTAATAGTTTGTGGTAGTTTTAAAAGTTTTAATAATTTGAATTTTCTAAGAGAACAATTATATAATGTGCAAAAAATTTTTTTGTTCTCTTGATTAATAGTTATATGTTCTATATCTTCTTTTTGTATGGCCATGGCTGTAACAGTGTTAATGACAATGTTGATAATGGACATCTGTATGTCCTGTGAAATTTTAAGAGAAATGATTCTATTAAAGTTGCAGTACTGAAAGTGATAGTGGTTGTTACTGTAAGTTAGGTTACTTCAATAATGTGAAATAAATGTTCATATTTCCTAGTCTAAGGTTTATTTCTGTATTAGAGAACAGACAAGCATGAGCAAACAAAAAGTTAAGACAAATATAGAAACAAAAAATATGGCAGGGATATAGCTAAGTCCTTTTTAAAAGTTAAAGTACTACTAAGTTGAGTTTTAAAAAGAAGAAAGTTTATTAATATATAGTTCCCAAGAGTTATTCCTGAATAAGAGACTCAAAAAGACTAAAAATAAATTTTGAACAAAAGCATTTGCTAATGACACACACACACATACACACACACACACACACACGCACACACTCAGCAAATGAACAAGAAACAAGAAAAATAAACAATTTCTTTATTATTAAATAACTCACTTATTACTATAAGCTATTCTTTTCTTTTGAGACTTTTGGCGAAGTCTCTGTCGCCAGGCTGGAGTGCAGTGGGGCAATCTCAGCTCACTGCAACCTCCACCTCCCGGGTTCAAACAATTCTCTTGCCTCAGTCTCCCGAGTAGCTGGGACTACAGGCATGCACCACCACGCCCAGATAATTTTTGTATTTTTAGTACAGATGGGATTTCACCATGTTGGTCAGGATGGTCTCCATCTCTTGACCTCATGATCCGCCTGCCTCGGTCTCCCATAGTACTGGGATTACAGGCATGAGCCACCGTGCCAGGCCCCTAAGCGATTCTTTCAGTTCCTAGGCCTGGCACTTAACAACTTTCCCAAAACGTAACTACTCACTGCTCCTTAAAAACAATGTAGGACTTCTTGCCCCCATTCCCTCCACTTAAAATGTTTTTCCAGTTCTCTTGGTTCTCTTCTTTGTTCATGACACCCAAATGTGTCACTCTTCCAGAAGTCTTCTACAGTCACTATTCACTTTGGTGATTATCCTTTCCTTGGAAGCCCTTTGCTTCTTCCTGCTTGAGTGGTTCTGAAGGAACTCAGAAAGTTCCACTTGTCCCTATGTGTGCTGGTCTTGGGCCTCGGCTCATCATTTCTCTCCTGGATTACTAAGGCAGCCTCTAACTAGTCCCCGTGTCATTACAATTCTAAATAACTCCTCCCCTGCAGTCTAACTGACTTGTATATGATGAACATAAGATTATACCACTCTTGCTCCCAACCATTCTTTGCTTTTATTAGTTATTGAGATTAAGTCAAAGTTTCCTAGTGCGGCCTTCAAGGCTCCTTATAATTTTGGTTCTGCTTGTTTTCCCAGTCTCATCGCATTGCTTCAGACATGATAATTCCCTTCAGTTCCTCACATTTTCCAAGTCTTCTCTCATCTTTGGATCTTTTTTATATCTTTTTCTCTGACTGAAACATCCTTCTCACTTTTTATTGAACTTCCCCTTGAGGTTTCATCGTAAATGTTGCTTCCCTGATTAAAACCTCTCCACCACCTCCTGGAATGGTTAGGTAACCTTACTGTGTACTCTCCTGGTACTGACATAATCCCCTCTTTCTAGAACCATAGAAAAATTGTTAGTTACATTTTCAAAGGTGCATCTCCATAGACACCTAGAAGAGATTGAATAAGGTGTTCTTAACTTATATTTTTCTAGGATCTAACATATCCCCTGGCATATTGAAGTTAATTCAATAAATATTTGGTGAACAAAACAATAAAGCAGTGCTCGGTGAATACCTTAATTAACCTCTTTTCTTAATAATGTAGACAGGGGCAAATTAATAAACACTTATTTGGAAGACATCTTTTTAGAGCTGTAGCTTCCAAATAATTTGTGTGAGCCCAGCAGTTAGTCAATGAGTTCTGTTTTATTGATCTAAAAATAAACAAGGAGTACTACATTGCCAGAAATGATTTCAGCTCACTTCTGGGAGGTTAAGTCTTCATTGGAGGCATTTTTGTTGCTCAGCTGCAGAATGGAGGTCCCCTCCAGCAATATCCAATTAGCTAAAGGGGTTTAGGGATGATTTTGGCAAACTCAACTCAGCTTTGGGCATGACTTTGTTCCATCCCTTACTGTGCACATCTTGCCATTTCTGAAGCTGTGAGTCAGGCTGATGGCAGCCAAGCAAGTAGCTGAACCAGCATGTCCAAGGAGATCCGAGGTGTCCTTGGCTAGGGTCTTTGATGCTATCCACTAGGGGCAGATGTTCTAGAAGTGATGTCACTCTCTTCCTGTTCCAGTCATAGCTATACAATGGGATTTGTGCAAAGAAGATGTCAAAGTGAATTATAAGTGGCCTAAAAATGCTTTTCTAGGGAATGCTTATGTACGTATGCACGCATGTATTTTTGCCTATTTAATTACTAGAGACCCAATGGTTGCGAATTCTAGTCCTTGCTTTGTCATGATTCACCGTATGACCTTGAGCAACTTACACCTCTTCTTTGGGTGAAGCTCTGTTCTCCCATCTACACCACAACTGTGTTAGGAAGGTAATCTATCAGGCTCCTTCTAGCAACTTTGTTCTCTTAATTATCATGGAGAATAGCAATATTTATTTTATTGTGTTTAAGGAACTGATAAATCTTTCTGAATGCATGGCTAGCAACTCAATGGTCCATTTAGTCTTTTATTACCAGTGCCTCAAACAGGTCTGCATTCATAAAAATTCAATACTCTTGCCAATATGTAGTGGAATTTTGAAAAGAAATTGGGTTGCCTTCTGCTGGTTGACTACGGCCAGGTTTAAGAAGCATGGAATTCAGAACCAGAATCCAATGGGCAAAGTGGAGTTTTTGAGATGGCTAAGTTATGTAATGAAGTTCAAGATCCTAATCTGGAATTAAATTTTTTGTCACTTTAGGTCTTCTGAAAATGAATTATCAAGAATGTTATGACACTCCAGACCTCTTCAAAATAAACTTTTCTTAAACACTTACAACTTAAACACTGATGACCTTAGGAAAGCCATCTCCAGTCTCTAAACCTGTAATGTGTGGCTTTTGGATCAGGAAGCCTCTAACATTCCCTTTCGATGAACATGAATAATCATGGAAAATTTACAGGTCATAAAGCATAATCTTGTTGAATGCTTTTTCATTTGGACACATTGCAATATCGTCACCATTATCTGTTGCTATTATACTATCCCTGAAATGTCACTATTGGTCTGAACGTGGAAATGAACAGAAAATAATAGAATAAAGGCACAGGAACAAACATTGACTGAATGCTTTTCGTGAAGCAGGCCAAGTGCACTGTGCTCAAACACTTTATCTCCTCTAACCCTCGCAGCAGCACTGTTATGTAGGAATTTTATTGATGAGGAAAGCGATAACTCAAATTATACTTAGGAAGGCTATATTGGATAGGTTTATCATGGGGAAAAAGATAATTCAAAGGCTTTTGATGAAAGTAACATTTTATTTTCTTGATTTTGTTTTAAATCTTTCTTTTTGTTGTTTAGTTTTAAAACGAAAATCTTCAATATTTTTGTCTAGTATTGATTTAGGCAATTGGTGATATTCAGTATATAAATCTTATTCTAATCTTTTTTTAGATGTTCTTAACTTTGAAATGTTAAATGAATTAATCTAATGTAAAAAATAAGCAAGATATTATTTATTTCAGCAACTGCTTTTGACATTGGTGCAAAGGAAGTTGAACTTTAACGAGGAAATATCATGGGCATTTTAATCACTCCTTTGCTTATGCTTTCACCTTACCCCTGCAATGTCTTTATAGTTGGTTAAAGGCAAATTAGTTTGGTCTTCACAGCCTGGGAGACCTGGGTGTGAGTTGTGCTTGAGCTCCTTCCAATATGTAATCTTGGCCTTGCTCCATCAGAATACTGAGCTTCTGTCACCATGTGGATAACCAGGCCAACCTAAAGGGTTGCTGTTAAGATTCAATGATAAAATGCACTGCGCATTCCTCAATACCAGGTCAGAGTTTTCCTCACAAAATTGTTCCTTTGATTTGAGAATCTGTGATGCTCTCTCAATTACTGTATTTTGAATAACAAATTTTGTTTGGGAAAGGTATATTATCTGGAAATGTTCTCAGCCAATTCTAGGGTTAGATTCTTACAGAAGTCATCTAATAGAAGCAGAATTTCTTTTTAAAGGCAGTTAAATGTAATCAATATTTCATAACAGCCTCATGTCTGGGGAAAGAAAGAGAAGGAAAGAAGGAAAGAAGGAAGGAAGGAAGGGAAAGAAGGAGAGAGAGAGAAAGAAAGAAAAAAGAAAGAAAGAAAGAGAAAGAAAGAAAGGAAGGAAGGAAGGAAGGAAGAAGGAGGGAGGAAGAAGGGAGGAAGGAGAGAGGGGAAGAGAAAAGAAAGAAAGAAAAAAGAAAAAAAGGAAGGAAGGAAGGAATGAAGAGAGAGCCTTTAGATTCTGTGGCCCTTGTTAGAATTCCAAGGAAGACATTATGTAAACGTTCTGAAGCCTTCCTAATTTTGACTAATACAGAGCTATTGGTATAAATCTGTATTGCTCTGAATTACACAAAGTTTATATTTTTACACAAAGTTTAAAAATAAATGTAGATTGTCTTTTAAAAAACATATGTTAATTCAAACAAATTGCCAAGTAGGTGTCTCTAGGGACAAATCTTAGTCAATAAAAAAGAGTGATTTTTTATAAGTTTATCAGCTGATATGTAAAGTGTTTGAGAATAGCTCATTCTCTTACAGTGTTTAAACATTCTTTCAAATGATATCAAAGTTGTTTATTTATTTGATAAGCAAATCCTTTTTTCTCAAAATAATGTAGTGGTAAACTTCATTCATTTATGTGTCCTTACTGAATATTTTATGTTCACTTTTCTAAGATTTAAAATATTAAGAAAATTCATAAAGTTATTTTTATTAAGCTACTTTAGAAGAATAAAAACAGATTTAAGAAAGCTATTGATTCATTTTAAAAATACTTGGTTTCTCATCAATTTTAGAAATTTCTACAGGAAGAACTTTACTGAGGCTAGAGTGGGGGTAGGTAAGAAGAGGGTTGCAAGTTTGGGAAAATCTCTACCAGATGTTTGATTTCTGTTAAACTTTTCACCACCAGTCATCTGGCAGGATTTTCAAAAGACAGATATCAATCTCTTTCTTACAACTTACACCCTATGTTCTAATATTTCTAAATATTAACACACCATCATAACTCAGTTTTTACTGTCAAGAAAATATCAGTGAGATCGTGTTTACCCCTCATGTGCACACCATCACATAGTGCACTCTTTCTTCTACAAAATCCCCATTCTCCTTCGTGACTTTCTCTCCTTCATCCACAAGGATCACATCTCTGCCATACATCCATGGCTATGTTCCTTGAGTTATTTATTCCCAGACTGTAGGGAAACTACTTCTAAAGTAGAATTATAGTTCACACTGTGGTGAGCTATAAAAGAAACAGATTATGAAGTTGAATAGACCTGGTTTTAAATCAAAGTTCTGGCATTTTCTAGCTATATGATCTTGAACAAGCACTTAATCTCTCTGAGCCTCTGTTTTCATAGCACTTTTGAATGAGTTAAGTGAGAAATATAGAGAAAATCCTTATCTCAGTGCCTAATACCTAGTATTAGATATAAGGGGCAAAATAAAGGGTAGGTGATCATAATTTTCATCATCATTATCATCTTTGTTATGGGATAGTGTAATGTACTGAGGCTCCTTGGAACTGAACTCACGTCTTTGACTGCCCAAAGTCATAAAAAATGTGGTAAATTTTCTTTTAGCCATTCAGCAAATATTTACTGACCACACTGTTGCGCAATCTCTGGGAAGAAGCAGTGTACATAACATGGGCATTGCCCCTCCACCCCCACCTTGCATGCAATTAAACAATTAGTCATAGAAACTAGCATACAGTTATAAATGGAAAGTGGTCGACCAAGTGAGAGGGAGATGCCAGGTTATTGTGAGAAAAGATGTGTGTGTGTGTGTGTGTGTGTGTGTGTGTGTGTGTTTAGGTGAAGCATGTATTAGAATTAACCAGGTTTGAGTAAGGAAGTGAACATTCCACATGAAAGGAACAGTAAATGTGAAAGCTCAGAGATATAAAAAGACCATAGAAATGTGTCTTTCTTAAAGACACATGGCTTCCTTGTTCACTTTAGCCACATTATCTTTTAACTTTCAAGAAAATTAAGGAGAGATGGGAGAGGTAGATGAATATCAGAAGACACAAGGTATAATAGGCCACGCACAGAAGGAGCTTGGTCTTTATTCAAGAAGTAATGGGCAAACATTTAAGTGTTTAGGCAAGGCAATAACAAAAATGAACTCATAGATACATTTTTTTCAGAGGGAGGGGACGGGGACTCACTATAGTCCCCAGTCTGGTCTGGAACTCTTGGGCTCAAGAAATCTTTCCATCTCAGCCTCCCGAGTAGCTGGGACTACAGGCGTGGTCCACCATGCCCCAACTCCCCAACTAATATTTTTAAATGCCAACTGACTATTAAAATTGTACTGGAGGTGAGGAAGTAAGTTGATAGGAAAACCATCACAAGATTTCTATAGTAGGTTAGGAGAGAAGTGACAAGTGGCTTGGAGAAAGAAGGTAACAGAAAAAAATGCCCTTTGCCAGTATATCCTTTGACTGTGCTTAGCTACGATGACCAAGTCATAAATATGTGTGCCCTCTTGCTGCCAGTCTATCTGCGGGGCAGGGGAATCACCACAGAATATTGGAGTTGACATGAAAGAGGTAGTGATCTGTGCTTCACAATTAATTACATCATAATTAATTACAACGTTCAACCTTATGCATTCATTCTTTTTTTTTAACTTATCACACATTTATAATTATGAGGATCTATGAGAATCCCTAGGTAATGGTTCATGTTAAGTGAGTGACTGACTTTTCATAACTTCAGCATTCTCTCATTTATCCTTTTTTAAACTAGAAGGGCATGTTTAGCAGACACACAAAGGAGACAGGCCCACTTGCCACTCTGCCTGTTCTGATGGGCTGGGAACAAGTAGGCTCCAAGACTCAGAAATGACTGTGGTTTCTGCTCTACTCTCTGGATAATCTAACTACCCAGGGGATAGAAGATTTGTGCCTACCAGATTAAAAAAAAAAATCCTTATTTTTGGTTCTACTGCTACCAGCTTCTTTGACTAATTTTGAAATTATGTCTCCTTTCTTTCAGCCACATTGTTACAAATTTATTATCTAGGCTGATGATATCATCTGGAGAGGGTCCAGGACTGTGGTCATTCAGCTCCTTTTTCCACATTACATAGGCAGCTTCTTCTCTCCCCTTTCAGGTCATTAATTTTTTAAAAGAGGGCTTGCTTTAAATATCTAGAGGAGTGCTTTCAGCTGTGACACAGAGAAGGTTTCCCCTTTCATAGCCTGCAACACGTGCCTGCTTCTGATTGAAGGCTGCTTGCCCAAGTGGGCATTTGAGATCCCTCAAAGTGTCTCATGAGAAGTCTTTGGTCAAAGTCATGCTAAAGGCACTTGTTAACTTTGTTTTCAAACTGGAAACAAACTGGAGAAGGAGTAGGAGACCTGACCTGGAATTGTATGTAATGGGCTATAGGCCAGGAGATTGGAACAGCTTCTCCACAGATTTATTGTGGGGTGTTAGTAATTCCTTTATGGCTCAGCATCCTTCTGTGTAAAATGAGAATGGCTTCATCCCTCATCTCTAATTTTCAGGAGTGCAGGAAGCATTGGAAGAGGTACCAAGTTTTCTAAAAGCACTTTGAAGCTCATACATTCTACAAGTATGTATTGAGCACCGAATATATGTCAAATACTGTGCTTAGCACCAGGTATACAGTGGTGAATAAAACAGGCCTATATGCCAACATGCAACTTATAATATAGTTGGATAGGCAGATGATATACAAGTAGGCAAACAATAAGTATATAGTTACAAACTGAAAAATGCTCTGAAGGGGTTGGGCTATAATGATATTGGGAAATGGGAGTCTGTGTAGAGTGGTCCAGGAATGCCTATCTGAGCAGCTAACCTTGAAATTAAGGCTTAAAAGTTGAGAAAGAGGCAGCCATGAAGGAGGTATGTGTGGTATGTGTGTGTACAAGTGCACACATCAGGGGAAAAGACAGATGTTATGAGCAGAAGAACCAATTTCTGTGGAGTATATTAAGTATAAAAGAAAGTTTGGTGTATTTCAGGAACCACATACAGAGTGATGTGGCTGAAGGCTGATGACAAATGGGTGAAAAGAATTACCCACATATAAGATATAATAGTACTACATTTTGCAAGCTGTTGAGTGAGAATGCTGATATTAAAATGCATCCAAATAATAGATTAAATTTTCCAATCAAATTACCAAATACTGAGGACATGTTGCCAGCTGCTGCAAAAATGAATGAGTTGTGGTACTTTGTCCTCAGATAACTCATAGTGTGCTAAAGGATGGAAAGACACAAGAATAAGCCAATCACTATAAATACAAGAAAAAAATAAATAAAGGTACATATAACGGGTTATGGAGAACAAAAAGGAAGAAGCGACCACAACCTTTCATAGTGGTTTTGCATATTGAAGCAAAGCTTCTTGGAGGAGGTGAAATTTAAACTTGTCCTTGAAGATGGGTCATATTTCCACCAGTGATACTGTCATTTGTAACCACCTGATCATCTGCTTTTTAATTTTCTATTAAGACATCTTATGTAATTAGCTGGAATTTAAGAATGATTATATGGTGTGAGGTCAAGATCACATTCCTACCATTGTTTTTGCCCTTCTTGGCTGTGATAGATCAAAATGACAGAATGCCAAAGAGTAACAGGAGGAAAAGAAGGAAATCCGTGAGGCTATTTCTATGCTATTTGCTCATGTGATCCCTTTAACCTGGAAAAATGTGATTCATCCCATTGCACTTCCTGTACATTCTTCAAATAAAAAAAAATGCCTAATTCACTTCGTGCCTATTTATCTACCCATTATGTACATACTAACACACTATGCTTTAGGCCCTGTACTGGACACTAGGGATACAGAAGTGAATTAGGATGTCTAGCACATAGTCTAATGCATCATAAACACTCAAAAATAATACTTGCTAAATGAATAAAAGGCATGAGCTAAAGTATATTTTAGACAGAAACAGCATATGCAAAGTCATATAGGCATGTAGCACGTTATAAGAAATGAAAATTATCATGCATAGCTAGAAGAAAGAACATAAAGGAGAGGCCCATAAAAGAGAAGCCTAGAGTGATAGATGGGGACCGGATCATGGTGGACCTTGAGGAAAAAGTTGAGGATTTCGAACATTGACCTTGCAACTATGGAGCATCTGTTGAAGGGTTTTAAACATCTTAAAACAATAACAACAAAATCCAATGAAACAGTGAACGAAAACAACAACAAAAGCAAAAACACTAGAAGAAGGGCATGATCTGTATTTCAGCCTACCTCTGTATAGTGCTTGTACAAAGAAGAGAGAAGTCATTCTTCTTTTCCGAACACATTTTTAACATAGGTAGAATGTGCATAAAAAATTGTCTGATTTTGGTTATGAAGGCAAACATTTTATGGTTCTCAATATTTGTATTAATTATTTTCCCTTATCTACTCAAGGCTGATCAAATAAGAATATTTTCAGCTGAGATTCTTAAGTCAGATACCGTATATTTGGATACACCTTACAGAAGAGAAACATCTTAAATTCAGGTGACCAAATACCTTAATTCACCCGGGATAAATTATCCTATTGTCCCATCCAATTTACAATTTGTTCAGGGTTTTTTTCTTTTTAGTGAAGTATCATTATTAAAAGTTGCATTTTAATTAGGGAGGTGTGTAAGGCCTCCACATTATATTCAGACTTTACAATGGCCTCAGCTTGTAGTGTGTGAGACACATTGAATGCAGACGACTTCCTTTAACACAGACTTCCTTTTAGAGTTACACCTGAATGACAATCATCCTTAGTCCATTTTGTTATTGTTGTTGTTTTCAGACCCTTTCCACACAAAATAACCAACATTTTCCTTTCAGAGTCAGCACGTAAGCCGGACTGTCTAGGAAAACCTCCCCTTCCTGTGTCTGGAGGTGTTGAAAAAAATAATTCAACAATGCTGCCCCTGCTGGCCACCAGTGTACCATGCAATAATTCCATGGCCCCTGCCACAGCCCAGGAAATGGAGGAAATGGCCAGGCAGGTCAGTGAGAAATAAAGAGGTGATGTGTGCATGAAATATGGATGGGAAATAAAGGCTGAGTAGTCCTTCCACAGAAAGTGGTCTGAAGTGCCCTTGCTGCAGTCTTTTTAAAAATCATTTATTGTTTGATGTAAATCTATAATTATATATTGCTTTGTTTGGCAATGGTTTTTAATTTTGTGATAAAGCCTTCCAGTATTAATAAAATCAAATAATGAAAGTGCATCTTTAATAAAACAGAAATTAAAGACTGTGATTCTTGAAACCATTTCAAGAGATTTGTAAAGGTTATTTTGAGAAAACGACTAGATGACGGTGCTTGAATATGAGCAGTGGCAGAAAGTACAGTCGAATGCCATTTGGGGGCATCTAGTCGTGTAGCTACAATCTTTTAAAGGAGATCCTATTGTTAATTAGATAAATTTATATTTAGTGCTGAATTAGAATGAAATTGAGAAGATGTACAATTTGGTAGCACCTAAATTTAGCATCATAAATAGAGATACTTATTTTACAAGTTTTCGTCTTGTAAAAATATTTGTTGAAAGAGCCATCTGGTTAAATTGAGAGAAAAGAGTACTTGTAAAACATATTTGGGCTGAAATATTTACACATTTAAATGTGAAAAAACAGAGTTGATAAATTTTCCTACTTAGCATAAATTGCTCTGAGATTTGCAGGTGTCTTGGCATCTGTAGAGTGTATTTTCTCAATATTAAGGTTTACTAAGTAAAGTCAATTGAGGGTATCAAAAATTTTAAATTTCTTGACCATAATGCAGATCTCTGAGAAAAACTGCAGGCAATTTAGTGGAAATATCAAAACTAAAAGGACCATACTGAGAGCAAAAAGCATTAAAAAAATCAGTGATACTAAATTAGATATAAATATGACTAAGAAAGTCATTATATTAGCTAAATATCCACTGATAAAAGTTATCATTTCCTCTGCTCAAATAATCACTACACTAATTTAAAAAGTAAATTCTGTAAGTATATGTGAACTTAAGCTATTTTAAAAAATAATTTAATTTTTGGAAACAGCTTTTTTAAAGAACGATTTTATAGGTCTAACAGTATAATAAAACCAGTCTGTCAGACAACAAATAAATATTTGAAAAATTATATAATTATTTTAATAGTTTAAGTGCTTTGTCTGTGCTCAGAAGTGCCCCTGTGAGCACTGTGAATTATATGATTATTTCTTATAAAGCCCCTTTTACTTTTCCTTGATCTCTTTGACCAAGCGTACATTGTATCTTAAGGCAAGACTTTGTTACGGTCCCTCTGCTATCACAATCTTGAATGTAATGAAAGGCGTTTTTCCTCAAATCAATTCTAGAGGCTATCCTCTCACCCCATTCCCGCAGTCACTGGTATTTGGAGACTTGTGGTTGAACAGGATCTCTGGAATGAATATCTCAGTGGATGCCAGGCACGATGGTCCTACATAAAAAATTTGCTTTGAGGGCTTCCTAACATCAGAAATGGGTGCTTTTCCAGATTAATTCACCTTTTTAATCTGTCCATAGAGAGGAGTAATAGTTGCAAACTGCTTAGTTTCATTAGAAAAGCTTTCTCCTGTTTTTAATGGCACAGGGAGTCCAAGAAGGGCCTATTTTTAATTGTTTCATGTTTTACTGATATCCTGGCCTTCAGTTATCTATCATTTTCTAAAAACCACTATAAAATTTAGAGGCTTTGAACACTATTTTATGTGTTCACAGTTCTATGAGTCAGCAATTTTTGTTGGGTGTTTCTTGTGCTGGGTTCATTTTGGGTCACTTACAACGACTGAGGTTAGCTGGCAATTCGAGTAGAACTGGATGATCTCAGTTGGCCTCACCCGCAGGACTGGCAGTTGGCAGACTACTCTCTGGGATGCCTCTCATTCAGGTGAACCTGAGCTCCTACAAGTTGTGGTGTCAGGATTTCATCAGAGGCAAGAGTGCAAAGTGTGATGCATAAATACATTTAAAGTCTCTGCCATTGTCACACTTGCTAATATTTTTTGGACCAAAGCAACTCACAATTTGGCCAAGACCAAAATCAAAGTGGAGGGAAGAAACCTCTACTTTTTAATAGGAAGGGTGGCCAAGACATATTGAAAAGTGTGGACATACAGGGGCCGGGCGCGGTGGCTCACGCCTGTAATCCCAGCACTTTGGGAGGCCGAGGCGGGCAGATCAAAAGGTCAGGAGATCGAGACCATCCTGGCTAACACGGTGAAACCGCATCTCTACTAAAAATACAAAAAATTAGCTGGGCGCGGTGGCAGAGGCCTGTAGTCCCAGCTACTTGGGAGGCTGAGGCGGGAGAATGGCATGAACCCGGGAGGCGGAGCTTGCAGTGAGCCAAGATTGCCTGCACTCCAGCCTGGGCGACAGAGCAAGACTCTGTCTCAAAACAAAAAAACAAAAAAACAAAAAACAGTGGACATACAAGGACAGTGGAATTATTGTGATCGTCTTGGCAAGCAATTTACCATATTGTCTAATTTTTGCTCACATTTACATCACTTTAAGAATGCAATCATGGCTAAATGCCTATGTGAAGCACAAATAATACTGTAGTGAGGCACATCTGTGGGTGAATTCTTTCAAGGATCAGTTGCCCCCATTACAGTGGGGGTAATAAATAAGCCCTGTCAACTTCACAGTTTATTGTGAGCTAGATTGAACTTGTGAATACAGAAATGCCTTATAAATTACCAAACAGATGAGAAGGATTATCATTAATCAAAATCCAGCACAAACTGTGCTCCTCCCAAGACATCTCTCTTGATATTCCATCCATCACCAATTTCTTGAGTCTGCAGTTTATTGGCACTTGGAGTCTAAACCACATTTTATTGTCTCCTAATTCTCTGTTTCTTTGTGTAATTATTCCAATGCCACTTCCAATAATTCAGGATACACATGCTCAGTATCATCTAAGTGTCAAGTCTAGCTAATTACTGGAGAGACAGGAATGAATCAGGAATAATCCTTGATTGGGGGGAACTTAAAGTCTAGATCCTGATCTTGGCTAGCCAAGTAATCTCAAACATGTTTTATGGAAGTTTAAAATTAGGTGTCCAGACCAGACATCTGAGGACTGAGCCATGACTCTTGGGCATCTCTCTTGCCCTGAATAATGGTCCCCTTCCTCCTCCCAATTCTCTGGTCCCTATAGACGCTGTAAGTGTATTAGTCAAACTTCCTTATTTACTTTGGCTACTAGTACTCTCAGAACCACAATTCTAAACCACCTTGGCAGATAGGGGCAGAGGCCAGGTCTTACTTATCTTGGTGTCCCTAGCACTTGGGACAGGTCACTACTGGCAGATATGTTATATGTGCTGGATAGAAGATAAGTTGATTTGTGTATCGCACTGACACTAAGTCTTCTCTTGACTTAATTGTCTTTTTTCTGGACTTTTATTATTTTTGTTCTGGCTTCTTGTTATAGAAGAACTAAATATTAAAAAAATAGCTGTACTAGTACTATCAGTATTAAAACTGAAAGCTTCCAGTGGGTATTAAGTTCTGTCATTGGTGATATGCTAGCAATGACAAGTATGTATCAGATGGTGAGTGAGACTAAATGTCCTTGACTTTTGTCTTTTGTGAGGATGATATTTGTGATTATTAACTCCCTTTGTAATGGCCTGACTTCTGTCTCCAGTGTGATTTAATATAGCATTATTAGACTGTATGTGTGTTGTGTGTGTGTGTGTTTGTGTGTGTTAATGAGAGCACAGTGGCCTTTCTGATACCTCTACTAAGATCATCACCATTTTTATCTTTATGGGGCCATTTACCCCAAGAATCTTGTAATTGGAAACTTTTTATGAAGAAGCCATGTTTCATTTTAAATAAGACAACCACATAAAATATTACCAAGTGTGTGTCTTGAGTTTGCTTTGGGCACAAAACTATTTTGAAAAGCTGGCAACTAGAAGCAGACTAGTAAAGCAAAATCCTGGAGTCTTCAGAATGTACATGTGAGATCTAATTCAGGCTTAACCTTGCTGCAGCTCTGTGACTTTAGACAAATCACTTCCTCTCTCTGGGCCCCAGTTTTATCATCTATTTCTCTAAAACAAGAATGTCATTCTAAAAGAGGCAGTATCCCCTCACCATCCAGGAGCCCACATCAAGCCTTCCAGTGGGTGAATGAAGGCAACACGGTTTCCATGGCTTAGATGACCTCATGTCGTCCAAATCATTGATGAAATTGACCAGGATAAGGCTGTGTCAACTCTCCCACTAATACTACTTCCAGTAATAAATTTGGATACATCTCCAGTAATGGGTGTGAGCTCAGCTTACTGGACCTGTTTTTCTCAGAATAGCTTTATGGAGAACTGCTGCTCACAGGCAGATGCCTGCTTTTATCACAACATATATCAGTGAGTGAATGACTGTGAAATCCCTTCTTACTGTGCCAGCCAAATGGATAAACAGAAAAATATAGTCATCTCACAGCCAAATCACCACTGGTATTTATGATGCTTAAGGGGGAGAGGGATCGCATGCTTGCATATTGTTTCAGAATCCATTCATTCAAGCATCTTCTTTCATGCTACTTCCCTCCAGACATTGTAACTGGGAGACGAGAAGGGAGCACATGTGGATAAAATAGTGCATTTGCTGTGAACCAAGCCCTCAAGGAGTTTATAGACAAGTGGGAAGGATAAGATGTGCACAAAAAGAGTTTATTTTATCTTTGGACGTGGTCATTTTCACATCGCTTGCTATTTATTAATTATCATTTGCTCATCTAGAAAACTATGACTCTTTTAAGGCAGGGACAATGACTTGCTTATTTTCTGTGACTGTCCTAGTCTGTATCGGCTGCCCCTATTTCCCTACAAGAACACTTCTCCTATTGGGTGTTGAGTCGACCACATCCTCTCAGTGGTCCATGAGGAACAAGAGGGTGAAGACTGATCATGTCTTTTCTAACTTTGTAATCATCAATTTATTCAACAAGTAATTATAGGACTCTTATTATGTGTAAGGTATTTTTCTAAGCCTAAGGGGTTCAGCTAATGTTCTAGTGGCAGAATCAGTAAATAAATAGTAAAAACATAGAGTAAATCAGAAGACAGGCACTGGGGAGGAAAGTAAATCAAGGGGAAGATAGGAAGTGTCAGGATCGGGGGTGATTGCAATATTACCTTGTATGGTAAGTGAAGGCCTCATTGCAGAAGGGGCAGGTAAGCAAAACCTTGAAGTAGGTGAAAGATGAGGCAGGTTGGTACTAGAGAAAGATTATCTTGGGCAGGAAGGACAGGAAGGTATGAAACACAGAGATTGGACTACACCATGCATGTTCCAGGAACAGTAAGGCCACCAGTGTGGCTGGACAGGTCAGAGCAGACTAAAACATTGCACAGGGCTTTGTAAGCCATTGTAAGGCTTTGGCTTTTACTCTGAATGAGTCTCCAAGTTCTGGTACACTTCTTGGTACTCAATAAATATGTGTGGAATGAATGTTGAATACATATTCCTGATGCAGAAATAGGAATATCAAAATTTCTGGGTCCTATATTCAGTTCACCCAGACACTCAGCATGTTCTGTTTCTGTCTTGGGTGGGGGAGAGGACTGTAGCTAGATGTAGTAGTAAGGCAATCACATGCCTAAACTTTCCACTTTGGGGACTGAACAAAATGGAAAGAGCTGTAACAGAGAAACCAGCCATGTGGACTGGGGTTCAGAGATTATGAGACAGAATCAATGACAGAGTCTGTGTGTAAGGGCCATCTAAGAGATAACACTGGGTGTAGGATTTGGAAAAAAAAGTGGAAATTAAGAATGTAGAATGAAGAGAGGGACATCCCAGGGAAAAAGAATAGTATATGCAAAAGCATAAAGGATAGAGAACATGTTCAATGAACAAGGGATGGGCAAGGTTTGCTGAAACAAAGAATAGGTAAAGGAGAAACATAGATGGGGCATCATATAGAGACTGTGGCTTAGAAATAGATCACAGAAACTTTGAGTGCCAAACTTAAATATCAGCAGGGAAAGAGGAATCATGGATGGTTCTGGAGCAAAGAAGTGGAAAAAACAAGGAATTAAGCCACCAGCTTTAGTTTAGTATGTGAGGGAGAAACCAATCATGGAGTTGCTGTAATGAGGGCTCATCTAGATTTTTGGTTGAAGCAGCGGGAAAGCCATGAGAAGGGTACACAGGAAATATGGAGGAAGGCAAACCCCCATGGCTTAGAAACACATTGTATGGGGCAAGGAATTCTATCAGTTCACATTCTCTGTAGGTTTTCCTTATAATTGTTTATGTTCAAATATTAATCAGCATGACTGCTCCATTTTCTCTGTCTTATTTCCTTAGGTAGGTAATTTAGAATATTTTGAAAACTCCCACATTTTTCAAAAATGCACATCAAATGCATGCTGCAGCTCAAGTAGGAGCTTCTTAAATGCAAACTTCCAGCTAGGATAATTCGAACGTGGTGGGGGTTTGAACACTTTGCAGAAAGGTCTGGAGTAGCACAAATGTCAAGGCAGCTAAAAAATGTTTTCTTGTGTTAAATTACCTTTGATTTGTGTTACACAGAAGAAAATGAATGAGGTGCTCTTGAGACGTTTTAATTCAAAAGCAGCAGTGTAGCACAATAGTCAGGAGCAAAGAATCTGACAAAACACAATCTGAGTTCAAATCCCAGCTCTTATATTTAGTGGCTGTGTGACTTTGGGCAAGTTTATTAACCTTTCTGTGCCTCAATTAGCTGAGGAGTAAGAATGACCTCTAAAGCCTTGTGCACACTCAGGTAGGTCCACATGAACATGACTAGCCGTAATTTGGGTAGTCTATATACCTAAACACACATAATTATTACTGACACCACGAAAGCAATATGGTGGGTAGGACACACTTACATTCATGGTGGTGTGAACAGCATTGGTGTAAGCACCTCACCTGCAGTGAACCAGGCCCCAGGCTTGGCCTACCTTGCTATGCAGGAGGACTAAGCAGGACACGCAGCTAGTAAGTGCACAGCTGAGAGTTGAAGCCCAATTAAGCTGTAGCCTCTACACTAAGATACACTTTGAAAGTCACCAGGTACAACTTCCTCATTTCACAGAGGCAAATGGAATTCAAGGATATTAAATGATTTGCTCATAACCCCAGATCTAATCAAGGCAGACCTAAAACTAGTACTAGGTGTGTCTGACTTATGAATAAGGACCTTTTTTATCTTCCTCCCCATATTCTCTCTAAAACAAACTCACACCTGAACCTCTTCTTCATAGTCCTTTTCCCATTCACTGAAAGCCATGGCATCATTAAAGAATCTACTTTGTTCTCTGCATACCTAGACGTTGTCCTCAACACGGTCTGCAGAGTCTCATCCTTGATTCAGTGTGAACTTTATGTCCCATCAGTGACAAAATCAAGACCAAGGAAGTGCCCTAGCTGCCCCTTAAGCTCTCACCGGATGTGATTCACCAACAATAACATACTTTCTCCCAGCCGAATGCCACCTCTCACTTTCCACCTGTGGCCTGATTTTCTTGGGTCGGGTTTCCTGGTTAGACAAACTTGTGGTATGCAATGTGTGGGATGAATGGAGAAGGGTTAAAATAGCCCAGCCACAAAAGGTTACTTCTAAGCTTAGTCTCCTGAAGTTCCAACCTCCCCATCATTTTTGCTTTTGTATTGAAAAACATGCTCTGTCCAGAAAAATCCCCAGAGAGTAGGTTGCCAGGTTGTGGGAGTAATTACCTTTCCAGAATTAACATGAAGCCAGAAAACACCTTGTTGGGGGCCTGGCATATGATATATTCATCTTAAATTAGAAGCACAGCATCCCAAACTTGGCAAGTGATAGCCATCTTCAACCTGCTCTGGCCAGCCCACACAGAAAGTTTTGTACTTCATTTCAGGCTTTGCATTTATTTGTCAAAATGAAAATATGTTTATTGATTGCTTCTTAACACAAGAAGCAATTTATACTTATTTTAAGGCATTTAAGTTGTAACAAAGTGTGTAAGGTATAAACTGAAAGTCTATCACCCATAATTTCAACCCAGAAATAACCACAATTAATGGATTGATCTTAGACTTTTTTTTCTGGGTGTATATTAGCATTTTTTTCTTCAGGAAAATAGGCTTATACTCATATATATATAATGTCTTTGTCCTATTTTTGGCTTTAAAGTAGTTTGTACATTTTTTTCTTCTATGTCAGAGTGGAGTTTTTAAGGTAGTAAAATATACGTAACATAAAATTTTTATTGTAACAATTTTTAAGTGTGCAATTTACAAACAGTAAGTACATTTGTACAACCACCACCACCATCCATCTTCAGAACTTGATTCATCTTCCCCAGTTGAAACTCTGTACCCATTAAGTATAACTCCCCATTCTCCCTACTCCCAGTCCCTAGCAAATAGCATTGTTCTTTCTGTCTCTATGAATTTCACTACTCCTAGGTACCTCATGTAAATGAAATACTGCAATATTTGTTCTTTCGAGTATGGCTTATTTCACTTAGCATAATGTCTTCAAGGTTCATCCATGTGGCAGTATGCGTCAAAAGTTCTTTCCTTTTTATGGATGAGTAATATTCCATTGCATTTACATACCACATTTTGCTTATTCATTGATCCACTGATGGACATTTGGTTTGCTTTCACATTCTGGCTCTTTTGAATAATGCTGCTGTGGACATGGGTGTACAGACATCTGCTTCAGTGTCTGCTTTAGCTATTTTGGATATATACCCAGGAGTAGAATTGATGGATCAAGAGGTGATTCTATTTTCAAATTTTTGAGAAACTGCCATATTGCTTTTCACAGCAGCTTTATTATTTCACATTCTCACCAACAATGTGTGAGAGTTCCAATATATCATCTTCCTCACCAACACTTGTTTTCTGCTTTTTTTAAAAAATAGTAACCTTCAGAATAGACATGAAGTGGTGTTTTATCGTGATTTTTTTTCTTGCATTTCCCTAGGAATTAGAGATGTTGAGGGCTTTTCCATGTGCTTATTGGCCATTTGTATACCTTCTTTGGAGAAATGTCTATTCAAGTGTTTTGCCCATTTTTTTGGAAAGTTTTTTTTAAATTATACTTTGTTTTACATTCTAGGACACATATGCAGGATGTGTAGGTTTCTTACATAGGTAAACGTGTGGCATGATGGTTTGCTGCACCTATCAACTCATCACTTAGGTATTAAGCCCCACATGCATTAGCTATTTATTCTGATGCTCTCCCTTCCCTCACCTCTCCACCCCAGCGACAGGCCCCAGTGTTGTTCCCCTCCTTGTGTCCATGTGTTCTCTTTGTTCAGTTCCCACTTTTGAGTGAGAACATGTGGTATTTAGTTTCCCATTCCTACATTAGTTTGCTGAGGATAATGGCTTCCAGCTCCATTCATGTCCCTGCAAAGTACATGATCTTGTTACTTTTTATGGCTGCATAGTGTTGCATGGTGTATATGTAACACACTTTTTTGTCCAGTCTATCATTGACGTTTTGCCCGTTTTTTTTAAACCAGCTTACCAGCTTCTTTTTTTGTTGTTGTTGAATTGTAGGGGTTCTTTATATATTCTAGACACTAATCCCTTATCAGGTGTGTGATTTGCAAATATTTTCTCTCTTTCTATGATTGCTTTTAACTGTTGATACTGTCTTTTGATGCATGAAAGCTTTTAGTTTTGTTTAACTTCAACTTATCTAGTTTTTTTCTGATTGAATTTTAAATAAGATGTCAGGTCTGTGCCTGTGTGGAATTTATACGTTCTGGTGGAAGGGACATAAATTTAACAATTAACTACACAAATATTTATTTGTGTGGTAATTAAAGCTATGAATGCACTGACCAAGTTTACCTTACCTATTTGGTGAGTGAAGACCAACTGAGGACCTGAAGGTCTTCTATACAGGAGTTAGTTAGAAAGGGATGAGAGTAGTGTTGGAGACAGGCTTCCAGGATAAACATATGAATCTGTGAAGCCCCTGAAGAAGGTGAAGGGACCAGGAAAGGCTGCCAAATTTGGATGCAACGGAGTGAAACAGACCCAAAACAGATCAGACAGGGTGCTGAAGGCCATGCCTTTATAATCATGGCCAGCTTGTCGCAAGTTACTGAAAAAAATAATCTAACTTTCATGAGAATAAGAAAGTATGCATGGGAAAGGGGTGAGATGTGTGTGTGGGGGTGGGGGTGGGTGGGGGGAGTGGTACCAAGAAATATATTTGCTCATATTAAAAAAAAAATAGGAGTAACACTAGCCTTGGAAATAACCAGATCCAGGAACTCAAATCATGCTGCCTAGACACTCCTTAACTCTCATGCCTGTTTTTAATCTTTATTTCAGCCACATTCTCTCATCCTGCAGAAGGACCCTTCTAGGTGTTAGAGGTTGAGGGATTTTGGCTACATATGGCCCCATACATCTTCCTAGCTATAGATTCCAATGGAAGAAGAGAACTTTCTTTCCTCTACTGAGTGCATATAAACTTCTGCATCTTGCTTCTGGCCTCAACTTGATCTTCAGCATCAACATCAAGCAGAGCAGCATGAGATGCAGTGCAATGAATAAACAGTTCTTGGTCACGGGCTTGCCCTTGCAGTCTGGAAAGAAAATCCTGCAACTGAGAGAGCCACCATGATTTCCTGAAGTATTTGGTGAAGAACCATTCTCCAAACGTGAAGTCAGGAGATATGTATTGCTATTATCAGAGCTGAGGAAAAGACACTAGAAGTTTGAAATCTCAGATGTCCACAGCATCATGACACATAGTTAGGATTCCATGCTGAATAGAAGGGGGAACCTACTGAAGAGTTTTCAGCAGAAGAGAGACCCAATAAAACTTGCGTGTAAATTATAACCATTGCTTCTGTATAGCATTCTGATTGGAGAGTCAGGTATAGATGCACAGAGAGCAGTTAGAAGGTTATTATAGTAGTCTAGAAGTGACTGTGGACTTGTAGGGAAATGGCAAATATTTAGAAAACAAATTCAATAACACTCAGCAATCAGTTGGACTTGGGGTATGAGGAAGGGAGAAATGTCTGGTCTGATTCCATCACAAGGCCTTGTATATGCTGTTCCCTTTGCCTAAAAATTCCCTTAGCTCCTCTTTTAACCTGGCGAAATGTTGCTCCTTCATCAGGTCTCAGCTTGAGCATCTCTTCTCCAGGGAAATTGATCCTCTTGCCTTTCCCCTGTTTAATTTCCCTTCCCATCACTTATCACAGTTTATAACGTTATATTCACTCACTTATAAAGTACTTTCTTAAATATTTTAGCTCCTCTACAAGGATGTATAATCCTTGAAGCAGGAGCTGTTCCCACCCAAGAAAATGAAAATCTCAGTCATTAAGTACACAAACACGGGTCCAGATTGCTTGGTTTCAAATCTTGGTTCTGCTACTGGCCAGCTGTGTGATCCAAGAAAAGCTACTCGACTTCTCTGTGTCTTCATCTGCTCATCTGTCAAATGGATATATGAGTAGTCCTACTTCATGGAGTTGTTGCGAGGAATCCATTAGGTAATGTATCCAAAGCCTTTAGAAGGATGTCATGTTTATAGTAAGCACTAGCACAGTGATAGCTGCTTTAATTGTTCTCTTCTTCTTTGTCCCTAGTACCTCTCCTAGTGCCTGCAGCCACGCAATACATATTTGAAAAGTAAGTGGAAATCTGTCAAGTGTAAGTTACTGTGTGGATATTGGTGTGATGCACAGAGAAGAGGAAGCACTGGAAGATGATCATGGAAGGGAGAGAAGGCAAGCTTGCAAAATCAGCATTGGCTATTTAAATAATATCTGCCTATGATGCTGTCAAGGAAAAATGTTGTGGAGCCGTTGGAAATGTGACATTGAAGCTCAAAACAGAGGCCTGAGGGGATTGATTAATTTCCCAGAGCCGCCATAATAAGGTACCACAAACTAGGTGGTTTAAAACAATAAACATTTATTGTATCACAGTTCTGGTGGCCAGAAGTCTGAAATCAGGTATTGGCAGGATTTTGCCCCCTGAAGGGCCCTAGGGAAGGATTCTTTCTTGCCATTCCAGCTTCTGGTGGTCCCAAGTGATCATTGGCTTGCAGTAGCATCACCCCAGTGTCTGCCCCTGTCTTCACATGGCCTTCACTCTATCTGAGTCCAAATCTCCCTTTTCCTACGAGGATAGCAGTCATGTTGCATAAAGGGTCCAACTACTCCAGTGTGACTTCATCTTAACTACTTACATCTGCCACAGTCCTACTTTCAAGAAAGTTCACATTCTGAGGTATTAAGGCAATCAGTGTTTCAGTGTATCTTTTGAGAGGACATAATTTCACCCACAACAGAAGTGATATACATTTGGGGGTTACTGGCATTTGAATGCTATTTTGAGCCAAGGCTATAGAGAAGAGCAGCCTTGTAGCTAAGAGCTCAGGTCCTATCAATCCATACAGACCTGGGATTGACACTCAGTTCCATTACTGACTGGCTCAGATCTTGGTAAAGTTGCCTAACATTTCGAAGACTTAGTTTCTTAGCCTGTTAAAAAAGGGATAATAAAACCTCCAGGTTTCTTGTAAATATGAACTGAGGAAATGATTGTAAAGTGGTGAGCATAGCACATCTTATAGGGTGAGTCTTCAGTAAATGGTGTCTGTTAGTTAAGATTTTGTATGGAAAGAATCTAACCTGAGAAAGAAGGAAGAGTGAGGAATAAATTTTTAACCAAGAGGAAACACCCCATTTTAGTTAGAAATGACCCAAGAGAGCAACCAGAATAATGAAAATACTATAAATTATTTTCTGGTGTTTTGGATTTATATATAGTTCAAGAATTTAGCCCTGTGCCTGACCTAAGACAGATAATCAATATGCAGTTGGATGGCTAGACTGAATGAACATCAGGGACATATTTAGCCACCAGAAGAGGAGTATTAAGGGTACATAGGTAGGGAAAGAGGATTGAAAGTTACCTAGAAATCTGGAAGGCTCTGATGCAGAAGAGATATTATACCTACTCTGTAAATGTGGAACTAGAACTAGGGGATAGAAATTATAGGGAGAATCATTTTTACTCAATACTGAACATTTGCTGAGGTCCCCAATCCTCAATGTTTGCAAACAGAGATGGATAACACCTAGCCAAATCATTTATACAAGGTGTCTTTGTACTGGGGAGATGGTTGGATTAGAGGTCTGATAAATTTATTTCCACCTGTGATTCCAAATTGATGTTAAAGAGACTATAAATAAGAAACATTTATTAGATGAAAGGAATATGATAGACACAATTTAAGAAGAGACATTAAGCAGTATAAAATTCCTTCCTATCTAATTTAGTTTCTAACTCAGCTCTATTTTCAAAGGCCAAAGCTACCAGCCCTTGAATTCCCATTACACTTATTCTCCCTTATGTTAGATTTTATATGGAGGAGGACCAACAGTTTTTGAGAAGCACCTCTGGATCAAAACAATGATCCGTAATTCCTTAAGTAAAAGCTAGTAATCATATTAATGTTCTTTAGAAGAAAGAAAGCCAAGCCAGGATAGTAAAACAGAAAGCATTTCCCATCATTTTTGGATAAGGCAGAAGACAAAGTCCAGTTTCTTTCGAGTCTGAAGGGGAAGTTTAAAATTTTCAGGACTATAAAGGACAATGCAAGAGAGGCATTGAAGCGATGGGGGAAGAAAACAGTAGGGGGTTCCCTATTTTAAAACCACTTCTGAAGTGAATTCTAGCTTCATCTTGCCTTCATTCCCAGCTCCATCCTTGGGAATGAAAGATTTATTCTTCTAGCTGCCTGGAATTCTGCTGGCTGAGAGCTCTACATTGCCAGGCTTCTTCAGGAATTGCCCGAGTGGAACAGGGCCACCTTGCCCACAGGTATTCCCTTCCTTGAGCAACCCTCATTTAGTGATTGATCAATTAATGCATCAAAAGGTCTGACATACTTCCATCATCCAGGGACGTCTCTGAAGGCCATCTCAGCTTCAGAGCTCCCCATGAAGTTGACTGAAGTTTTTATTGGATTTTGTGTCAGTCAACTTCTTCAATCATTTTTTAAGATCACTGTATTTATTTGAAAAAATTGCCAAAGAAGATTGTTTCTTTGCGATTTTGTGTTATTATTATTATTAAACAGCTTTAGTGAGGTATAATGGATATAAAATAAACTGCACTTATTTATGTATAAATAGAATGACTTTGGATATATGCATATACCTGTGAAATCATCACTACAATCAAGGTAATAGGGAAATCAATCACCTCCAAAAGTTTTCTTCCATTGCAATTTTAAAAGATGTGTTTTATATACCATGTAGATAAAAATGGAAAATTGGAGCAAAAAAAACAACTTCTTTTTATGAGAACGTTAAAAAAAATATTTTCTAGATGTACCAATTAAAACATGCTTAAAATAATTGCACATTTATCCAATTTAGAAATATGTCCAGTAGCCATTATCATTCTGAATGTTCACTTTTAATTTTCGACATGGATCTACATCGGTATAGAAAACTGCACACTTTCCTTTTCTCTGCAAATACGGCACAATTTTATTAGTTATTATTCTCATGTTATACAATAGATCACTGGTCTTGTTCATCCTACATATCTGCCACTTTGTAACCTCTAACCTACTTATCCCCATTTTCTTCCCACCCCCAGCTCCTGGTGACAACTCTTTTATACTCCATCTCTGTATATTTTTACTCTTCTTTAAAGATTCCACATGTAAGTGAGATTATGCAACATTTTTTTGTGTCTGTCTTATTTCACTTAGCAGAATATCATCCACATCCATCTATTTTGGGACAAATGCTGGGGTCTTCATTTTTAAGGTTGAATAATATTTCATTGTGTATGTGTGTGTATATTAGGCAGATAATCAATAAGCAATTGAATGACAAAATTGAATGAATATTAAGGACACATACACACACTTTTTTATCCATTCATTTGTCAAGGCATACTTAGGTTGTTTCCATATCTTGGCTATTTGTGAATAATGTTGCAATGATCATGAGAGTCCAGATATCTTTATGGAGTGATTATTTCACTTCCTTTTGGTATATGACCAGAAAAGGAACTGCTGGGTCATATGATAGTTCTATTTTTAATTTCTTTTGGAAGCTCCACACTGTTTCCATTATGGCTACACCAATCTACATCTCTACCAACAGTGTACAAGGGTTCCCTTTTCTCCACATCAACATTTTTGCCAACATTTGCTATTTCTTGACTTTTTGATAATAGCCATCCTAAGGAATGTGAGGTGATAACTCATAGTGGGTTTGATTTGCATTTTCTTAGTGACTAAAATGTTGAGCACATTTTCATATATCTGTGGGCCATTTTTTATGCCTTCTTCTCTATTCAGGTCCTTTGCCCAATTTTTAATTGGGTTGCTTGTTTTTCTACTGTTGAGGTGTGTGAGTGCTTTATACATTTTGGATACTAACCCCTTATCAGAGATATGGTTTGTAAACATATTTTTCCCAATCCATAGGCTGCTGTTTCATTTTTTTGATTGTTTCCTTTATGTAGAAGCTTCTTGGTTTGATGTAGTAATATTTATTTATTTATTGTTATACAGCCTAAGATTTTGGTATAGTATCCAAATATCATTGCCAAGGCCAGTGTCAAGGAACTTTCCACCCATGTTCTCCTCAAGGAATGTTATGGTCTCAGGTCTTACATTTAACTCTTTTATCTATTTTGAGTTGATTTTTGCATATGGTATAAAAATCCAATTTTACTCTTTTACATATGGAAATAAAGTTTTCCTAGTGCCATTTACTAAAGAAACTATTCTTTCCCAATTGTGTTCTCTTGGTGCCCTTGTCAAAACTTAGTTGACCCTATGTGTTCTAATTGATTTCTGGGCTCTGTATTCTATTCCACTGGTCGATATGTCTGTTTTAATGGCAGTACCCATACAGTTTTAATTACTGTAGTTTTATAAAATAATTTTAAATCAGTAATTATAATGCCCCAATTTTCTTTTGCTTGCTTAGAATTGCTGTGGCAATTTTTTTAGTTCCTAAGAAATTGTGGAATTATTTTTCCTATTTCTGTGACAAATGCCACTGCTATTTTTACAGGGATTGAATCTTTATGTAGCTTTGAATAGTAAGAACATTTTAACAATATTGATTCTTTGAATCTATGAGCATAGGATGTCTTTTCGTTTATTTGTATCTTATTTAACTTGTTGCATCAGTGGGCTTGGTTACATTTATTCCCAGGTATTTATATGCTATCATAAATGTGATTGTTTTATTGACATATTTTTCAGCTAAGTTATTATTTATGTATAAAAATGCTACTAATTTTTTGGGTGTTGATTTTGTATCCTGCAACTTTACTTAATTCATTTATTAGTTCTAAAAGTTTGTGTGTGTGTGTGTGTATACACTCTGGGGTTTTCTACGTATAAAATCATGTCATCTGCAAATAGAAATAATTTTACTTCTTTTTTTTTCCAATTTGGGTGTCTTTGTTTTATTTTCTTCCTGTTTGATTAGTCTTGCTAATACTTCCAGTACCATGTTGAATAAAAAAGGCAAAAGTAAACACCCTTGCCTTGTGTAGGATTGTAGTAAATATCCTTTCAGCTTTTCTTCATTGATCATGACGTTAGTTGTGAGTTTTTTTAAATAAATGATCTTTATTATGTTGAGAAACTTTCCTTTTATACCTAAACTGTTGATGGCTTTTATCAAGAGAGAAAGTTGACCTTTGTTGAATGCTTTTTCTGTGTAAAGTGGGATAATTACGTGGTTTTAAGCTTTCATTCTGTTAATATGATGTATCACATTTATTGATTTGCATATGTTAAACCAGACTTGCATGCCGAGGATAAATTCCGCTTAATCAGGATGTATAATCTTTTTGTTACGTTGAATTTGTTAATATTTTATTAAGGATTTCTGCATCAATGATTCTCAGAGAAATTGACCTGTAATTTTCTTTTATTGTGATATAGCTGCCTGGCTTAGATATTAAGGTGATACTTTTCTCATCAAATGTGTTTGGAAGTACTACCTCTAGTTTTATTTTGTGGAAGAGTTTCAGGAGTATTAGTATGAATGAATTCTTCTTTGAATGTTTGGTAGAAGTTATCTATGAAGCCATCTGCTTCTCGGGTTTTCTTTGTTGAGAGGTGTTTTATTACTTCTTTAATATCTTTATTTGTTATTGTTCTGTTCAAGCTCTCTACCTCTTCCTGTTTCAAATCTTGGTAGGTTGTATTTTTCTAGGAATTTATCCATTTCCTCTAGCCTATTTAATTTGTTTGCATGTAATTGTTCATAATAGCCCTTTATGATCCTTTTTATTTCTGAGGCAAATGTTGTAATGTCTCTACTTTCATTGTTGATTTTATTTATTGTTTTTCATTTATCCTTACTTAGTCTAGCTAAGGGTTTGTTGATTTTATTTTTGTTAAAAAACTCTTAGTTCTATTTGTTTTTCTATGGTGTTTGCATTTTCTATTTGATTTATTTCTGTTTTGATCTTTACTATTTCTTTTCTTTTGCGAACTTTGAGTTTAGTATGCTCCTCTTTTTCCAGTCCCTTGAGGTGTAATGTTAGATTATTTACTTTGAATCTCCCTTCTTCTTATTTTGTTTTGAGACAGGGTCTCATTCTGTTGCCCATGCTGGAGTGCAGTGGCACAATCCTGGCTCACTGAAACCTCCACTTCTGGGGCTCAAGCAATCCTCCCATCTCAGTCTCTTGAATAGCTGGGACTACAGGCACGCATCACCATGGCAAGCTGATTTTTGTATTTTTTTTGTAGAGATGAGGTTTCACCATGGTGCCCAGGCTGGTCTTGAACTAATGGGCTCAAGTTATCCACCTGCCTACACCTCCCAAAGGGCTGGGATTACTGGTGTGAGCCACCATGCCTGGCCCTCTTTCTTGTTTTTTAATATAGACATTTATTGCTATGCACTTCCCTCTTAAAACTACTTTTGTTGCCTCCCATAGGTTGTGTTTTGCTGTGTTTCCATTACATTTGTCTCCATATACTTTTAGATTTCCCTTGTGATTTATTGTTTGACCCATTGGTTGTTTCTTTATCCAATCTTGCCTTCCCTTCCATAGATATTGATTCTGAAAGCACAACCAACCTTTCTGTACTCTGATCTCTGTCTTAAAGTCTCCTTCTTAGCAAACCAACCTGTGCTTTCTTCTTTCATATCTTTTCTCCTTTCAGCTACAATCTGATTTTTCTTGTGTTTACAGCAAAACTGAAAAGATTTTTTTATATTCATCATTTTCACATCCTTACCTTCCATTTTCTCTTGAACACACAACAATTAGACTTAGTTGCTGCTGCTCCATAGAAACTGTTCTTGTCAAGGTCACCACAAATTCATCCTGTCAAGTCCCATCATCCTCATGTTGGATTACCTCTCAGCAACATCTGCCATAGTTAAATAATCTTCTTCCCAAGAATGTACTTGGTTCCTGGGATATCACACTCACTTGGTTTTCCTTTCCTCACTTGCTGTTTCTTCTCAGTATCTTTTGCTGGGTCACCTTCATCTTTCCAATCTTTAAATGTCTGTGAACTCCAGAACTTCATCCTTGACTTTCTTATTCATCTTCAATTACTCCCTAGGTCAAAAATCAGCAAACTTTTCCCATAAAAGACCAGATAGTAAATATTTTAAACTTTAGGGCAATGTGGTTTCTGCTGCACCTACTTAACTCTGCCATTGTAGTGCAAAAGTTTCCATATAGAATATACAAAAACAAACATTTTCATGTTCCAATAAAAACAACCAATGGCCATATTTGGACTGATGGTTATAGTTTGTAGATCTCTGTTCTATGTAATCTCATCTGGTTCCACAACTTTAAATGTTATTACTGACTACCGTAAATTCCAGACTGAGATAGTTAAGCTGCTACTTGGCATCGCTCAAAAGTAGTATGTACTAAAAGGAAACTTTGGACTTTTGTTGATCTATTCCTCAACCTGTTTCTCTCCCAGTCTTTCTTACTGGCAATGCAAGACACATCACCATTTGCGCCTTATTGATACCACCTCATTACCTTTATCCTTCATTGCCAGCCAGGTTCAAGACATGAAATTCATTCATCTGGATTAGTTCAGTAGTATTGAGCAGGTCTTTCTGCTTTCCCTCTAAGCTCCCAAGAGCCTAGTCTTTGTAGAATGGCAAAAATAAATTTCTTGAACATTTCTTTTAAAAAAGAAAATTAGATTTTAACATTTCCTTCTCATTTTGAACAAATTTCAAGCTTCTTCCCAAGACCCAGAAGGTCCCAAATGATCTGGTCTTTCCTCACGTTTGTGGTTTTGTGGTCTGTTCTTCATGCTCATTCCCTCCCAGCCACACTTGTCTTTTTGCTGTTTTGAGTGTTCAGTTTATACTTGCCATGAGGCCTTTGCTGACCCCTCTATTTGGAAATATTTTCCCCCAATTTCTAACTTGCCTCATATCCTTAACTAATTTGGGTTTTTGTTTAAATATCATCTCTTCAGAGAAAGATGTTTTGATTCCCTATCTTAATAGATTCCTCCCATCATTACCCAGTTCCTTTTTACCTTGCTTTATCTTTTAAAAACGATACTTAATGAGTACCAAAAATTATTTTGTACATTTATTTCTTTATTTGTTATTTCCCTCTACTACAATAAAAATTTGAGAGGGCAGAGACCATGTGTCATTTGTTTCTTGCTCTATTTATGATGCATATAAAAGTATGTGGAATGTATCAGGAAAACAATAAAAATTTGTTATTGTTTTTCATTTAAGCATGATGTATTTAGAACATACATTTTTCTTAGAATCTTCTGAAATGCCATGATCATGCCTGTAAAGGAATAAACATGGTATAAACCCAGAAGTACCCAGTGGAAAAAAATAGAAGGTGTAAGTAAACAGATGAGGTATGTCAACAAAATTCAGGAAGATGGGAAGCAGATGGATTAATGAAAACCACATCATCAGTGGTGAGGAAGCAGAAACCCAAATGACTGAAGGAGCATGAAGAAGATCAAAAGAAACAAGATGATTCATGCCACAAAACTTTGCAAAGGCTCAGGAAAGTCACCTGGTATCTTACAAGGTAGGAATGAGGAGACAGTTGAAGAGAGGAGGATTCATTGAAAGTTAATTTTTAAAAAGTTTTATAATTCCAGATTATCTTCTCCTGGCCAGAATGCCAGGTGCTGCTCTTCCCCAAACCAGGCCGAAAGAACGTGGGAATTTTATTCTTTGGAGAAGTGAAACTAAAGATGCTCTTGATGTGGATACCCAGGACAAAGCTGAGGTTGAGATAAGACATGTATTAAAAATAGGAAACTTAAGCAAAAATCTACAACCTGAATGGCAAGATTGCTAAGCTCCCTTTTCTACAACTTGACTTCCTTCAAGATGGAAGCTGGTTTATATGCCCAAAGTCAAGGAGAGTGAAAGGTTTCTCTCTAAGAAATTTGACCAGACTAAAACTACAGATATTCACATTTGAGGGAATCTCCAATAATATGGTCAAGTCCCTGTTTTAACATCATTCAATGAGGCCCACCAATCAGAAAGTCCCACTCACACAACCTGAAATTCAAATTAATTTTTCGCTACCTTAAATCTTGTTGATGAATGAATACTCAAGGACTGGCAGATATTTGAGTAAATCCTCTAACATGAAAGGCAGAAACCAGAGCAAACTAAAAATGGAAGCTCAAAAAACAGAATTTCTGTAAAGACCAGAAGAAAAACTAAAAAGAAAAAAGAGAAAGCTAAACAAATATAGTGTTCTTATAGAAATAAGATAATATCCAGCATTCAAATAAAAACAAACAAAAGGTAGGATCTTATGAAAGAAGAGCATTCAGAAAATAAGAACAAGCTTTTGAAAATTAAATATATAATAGCAGAATCAAAATTTAAATAGATAGGATAGAAGAAAGATGTGTTAGTTAATTTTATATGCTAATTTAACTGGACCACAGGATACCCAGATATTTGGTCAGACATTATACTGGATGTTTCTGACAGGGTGTTTTTGAATGAGACTAAAGCAGGATGCCCTCCATAATGGGAGTTGGTCTCAACTAATCTATTGAAGGCCTGATTAGAATAGAAAATGCTGAGCCTCCCCTGAGTAAAAAAAAAAAATTCTTCAAGAGACTGCCTTTAAACTTCATCTGCATCATCAGCTCTCCCTGGAACTCTGGCTGCCACCTTTGGAATGAAACTGGATCATAAACCCTTTTAAGTCTCAAGCATGCTGATCCACATTTTAGATTTGGAATATAGAGAAACAGATGGATAGATAGATAGATAGATAGATAGATAGATAGATAGATAGACAGATACCCTCTCATCCTATTGATTCTCTTTCTCTGAAAATTCCTAATTAAATAAATTTGAAGATACAAAAGTACAAAAATATAAAAATATGAAAAATAGGAGAAAATACATAAAATCAAACTTTTTACACCATAATCTGTTTAATTGTAGTTCCAGAAATAGAAGACAGGTGAAAAGGAAGAAAGAAAAATGTCAGGGAAAAGTGACAAATCCCTAATCTAAACAATTTTCATGTTGAAAGTGCCCCCTAGGTCTACTACAAATAGATCAGAGGCAGGAAATTATGGAGCACAGATAAAATTCAGCCTGCCGTTTATACTTCTAAATAAAGTTTTATTGAAAAACAGCCATGCCCACTTGTTTAATATTGCCTGCAATTACTTTCACACTACAGTGGCAGAGCTGAGTAATTGAGATAGAGAATTTATGGCCTGCAAAGCTTACAATACTTACTATCTGGATCCTTCCAAAAAAGCTTTGCTAACTTCTGCAATAGATCAAAAGATATACACAATAAGGAACATCATCACAAACTTTCAGGACCCCAGAAACATAAAGGAGAAACCAAAAGTTATAGGAAAAATAAGAAAAGGTATAATAGGGCATAAACAAAGTATAGAAAAAAAGGAATATTATTAGAATTTTCCTATGCATGTAATGCATGTGATACACTAAAACTTCTAATGGAAAATGATTTGCAACTTTAATTTCTATATGGGAATTATCTCTACATGTTAATTTTCAAATGAAAACAGGTTTAGACATTCGTGATCTTGAAGAATTTATCTTTTATTAATACTTTTTCCAAAAATAATTTGGAGGATATGCTCCAAAAAAACAGACAGTAAACCAAGAGAAAGGAAAACAAGAACCCAAGAAATCTTAGGTTCCAATGTAGGAGAAAAGAGGAAATATAAATCTCTAGGATTGTGTAGAAGGAAAATCTCAGGATAACAAATGATTAAAAGGCTTAGGGAAAAACTAATCCACATAGAATCCAGAAGACAGAAGATGCTGGAAGAGATATATTCAAGTTTTAAAACCTTATAACTGATTGAATAACTACTAGTTTTGACCACACATTTTTTAATGGAAAAAGCATTATTGAAAAGGGTTCTACTGAAAATAAAGGTGTGATGTTTAATTTTATGTGTCAACATGACTGGGCTGAGTGATGCTCAGGTAGCTGTTAAAACATGAACAGGTGTGTTTGTGAGGAAGTGATATGATTTGTCTCTGTGTCCTCACCCAAATCGCATGTCGAACTGCAATTCCCAGTGTTGGAAGAGGGGACTGGTGGGAGGTGATTGAATCATGGAGACAAACATCCCCCTTGCTGTTCTCGAGGCAATCATTAACACCAATAACAACTAACACACACAAAAAGTATACCAAAATAGAATGTGATCATAGAGCGAAAACTGGTGGTTTAGTGTCTTAGTCCATTTATGCTGCTATAACAAAACATCCGAGACTGGGTAATTTATAATAAACAGAACTTTACTTCTCACCGTTCTGTTTTTATTTAAACTTTTATTTTAGGTTCAAGGGTACATGTGCAGGTTTGTTATATAGGTAAATTGCATGCTGTGGGAGTTTGCTGTACACATTATTTTGTCACCTAGGTAATAAGCATAGTATCTGACAGGTAGTTTTCCAATCACCACCCTCCTCCCATCCTCCACCCTCAAATAGACCCCCATGTCTTGTTCCCTTCTTTGTGTCCACAGCTACTCAAGGTTTAGCTCCCACTTACAAGTGAGAATAAGTGGTGTTTTGTTTTCTGTTCTTGTATTAGTTTGCTTAGGATAATGGCCTCCAGTTCCAACATTATCTTGTTCTTTCTTATGGCTGCATGGTATTTCATGGTGTGTATCACATTTTCCTTATCCAGTCTACCGTTGGTGGGCATTTAGGTTGATTCCATGTCTTTGCTGTTGTGAATAGTGCTGTGATGCACATACGCGTGAATGTGTCTTTATGGTAGAATGATTTATATTCCTTTGGCTATATACCCAATAATGGGATTCCTGGGTCAAATGGTAGTTCTGTTTTAAGTTCTTTGAGAAATTACCAAACTGCTTTCCACAATGGCTGAACTAATTTATATTCCCGCCAGCAGTGCATAAGCCTTCTCTTTTCTCCACAACCTTGCCAGCATCTGTTGTTTTTTGACTTTTTAGTAATAGTCATTTTTACTGGTGTGAGATGATATCTCACTGTAGATTTGATTTAAATTCCTCTAATGATTAGTGACATTGAGCATTTTTTCATATGCTTGTTGACTAAATGTATGCCTTCTTTTGAAAAGTGTTTGTTCATATCCTTTGCCCACTTTGTAATGGGGTTGCTTGTTTGTTTCTTGTAAATTTGTTTAAGTTCCTTATAAATTATGGATATTAGACAATTGTCAGATGCATGTTTTGCAAAAATTTTCTCCCATTCTCTAGGTTGTCTGTTTACTCTGATGATAGTTTTTCTTTTCTTTTTTCTTTCTTCTTTTTTTTTTTTTTTGCTGTTCAGAAGCTCTTTAGTTTAATTAAACACTATTGTCAATTTTTGTTTTGGTTGCAATTGCTTTTAGCATCTTTGTCATGAAGTCTTTGCCAGGTCTTATGTTCAGAATGGTACTTCTTAGATTATCTTCCAGAGTTTTTACAGTTTTTAGCTTTAGATTTAAATTTTTAATCCTTCTTCTGTTAATTTTTGTATATTGTATAAGAAGAGGTTCCCTTTTAATCTTCTGCATATGGCTAGCCAGTTATCTCAGCACCATTTATTGAATAGGGAGTTCTTTCTCCATTGCTTTTTTTGTCAGTTCTGTTGAAGATCAGATGGTTATAAGTATGCAGCATTACTTCTGGGCTCTCTATTCTGTTTCATTGGTCTATGTGTCTCTTTTTATACCAGTATCATGCTGTTCGGGTTGCTGTAGCCTTGTAGTTTCATTTGAAGTCCAGTAATGTGATGCCTCCAGCTTTGTTCTTTTTGCTTAGGATTACCTTGGCTATTTGGGCTCCTTTTTGGTTCCATATGAACTTTAAAATAGTTTTTTCTAATTCTGTAAGAATCCCATTGGTAGTTTGATAGGAATAGCATTGAATCTGTAAATTGCTTTGGGCAGTATGGCCATTTTGACAATATTGATTATTTGTATCTATGAGCACAAAATGTTTTTCCATTTGTTTTTGTCATCTATGATTTCTTTGTCCAGTGTTTTGTAATTCTCATTATAGAGGTCTTTTGCCTCTTTGGCTAGCTATATTCCTAGGTATTTTATTTTTCTGTGGCTATTGTGAATGGGATTGCATATTGATTTGTCTCTCAGCTTGGATGTTGTTGGTGTATAGGAATGCTACTAATTTTTGTAAGTTGATTCTGTATCCTGAAGCTTTGCTGAAGTTGTGTATCAGATCAAGTAGCTTTTGGGCAGACACTGCAGGGTTTTCTAGGTATACAATCATATTTTCTGCACACAGGGATAGTTTGACTTCCTCTCTTCATATTTGTATGCCTTTTATTTATTTCTTTTGCCTGATTGCTCTGGCTTGGACTTCCAGTACTATATTGAATAGAAATGGTGAGAGAGGGCATCTTTGTCTTGTTCTGGTTTTCAGAGGGAATACTTCCAGCTTTGGCGCATTCAGTATGTTGCTGGCTGTGGGTTTTTCATAGTTGGCTCTTATTATTTTGAAGTACATTCCTTCAATGCCCGCTTTGTTGACAGTTTTTATCATAAAGGGATGTTGAATTTTATTGGAAGATTTTTCTGCATCTGTTGAGATGATCATATGATTTTTGTTTTTAATATTTCCCACAATTCTGGATGCTGGAAAACCCAAAATATGGCACCAGCAGGTTTGATTTTCTGGGGAGGGATACATCCTCTGAAGAGAAGAAATATCATGTCCTCATATGGCAGGAAGGTGGAAGGGCAAGGGACCTAACAACGCATGAAGTCCCCCCTTTTTTAAGCACCTTAATCCTGCTCGTGAGGACCGAGCACTCAAGGCCTAATCACAGCCTAAGAGCTGCATCTCCTAATACTATCACATCAGCAACACCTGAAATTTGGTGGGGAAACATTTAAATCATAGCATTCAGCCAAGCACAATATTTACATAGTCAGAACTATACAAGTAATGAATGAAATTTTATCCGATAGAATAAAGAAAGTTTGTGCAGTTGCATAAACGTTATGCCCAGATATTTAATCTGGGTATTCAAGTGATTTAATTATTTAAACCAGAAATTGTGATATAATTAAACTTGTAAGATCATGATTGAAAGATGATGGGTGTGTTTGCAAAAAATATAAGTCCTTGTGCTCTGTAAGAACTCAAAAGAAAATTTAACAACAAAGAAATAAATGATATATTTTTAAAGAAAAGGTAAGAGAGTTAAAAAGTGCCATTCCAAAAATGATAATCCAAGTAACAAAAGGGGATTGCCACTTCTTTTTAAAATGTTTTGGTCTTTTAAAAATACATAATGTAGTGCTTTCATAATTAAAAAATTGTTTTAAAAAAATGGACTCGATCTATCAATCAAATGAGAAAATTCCGACTTTCCCTGGACCAGGCTGAATTTGGCCAACTCACCCCCGACAACCTTAAAAAAGAGTTAAATGATATCTACATTAATTAAATGTATCCAGTGCATAGTAAGTCTTCACAAAAATACGGCTAATCTACTCATTATAATAAACAAGGAGTAAAATTTGGTTAATATGATTTAGTTTGATTATAAGAATTAATTAGCTTATAAATATTCTGCTTTCATAAAATAATTTCTAGAGTTCAAGAAACGCAATAATTATTCTGCCAGCTTCAATAAAATGGTGACTAGACTAACTGTAGACACACCTCCTCAAATTCTCAGTCATCAGCTTTCTAGCCATCCATCACTTAATGGGCTGCTGAGAACCCTGCAGGAGTTCAGAAAACAATTGCCAACTGACTGTCTTGCTAGGATGAGCTACCACACCACTAGAGAGAAGGAAGTAAAATTGATTTATAAGAGGCCAACATTTACAAAACACAATTCCATTGGGTTAGTTACAACTATTTAATTTCCCAAATAAAAATAAAGGGCTTACTAAGTAACAAATTACCCTTTCAAAAGAGCAAAACAAAACAAAGCAAACAAATGACAACAACAAAAATATTTTGCTATTAGATGATATTGCAATTTTGCTTTATTTTATACCTTTAAAGAATCTGTTTTCCTAAGGTTCTATATTCTGTTTCAGAAATATGTCTTTTCTGTGATGGAATGTATTCTTCCATGAATTAAAGCAATTTTCCTCTGGAACTGGTTGATACCGAAGATATTTATGACTCATCAAAACATGATAGCTTGTGACTCTTGCTCATAGAAACCCATATGTCTGAGAGACATGTTTTTCCAAATATGGGTACAACTTTTTTTCTTCTGTTACTGATGAGCCTCACTGTTCATCCCAAAGACCAAAGGCTGTGGGTGGCCTTTCTTTAACTCAGGTTTCTAGGAAAAGGAGCCAGGAGGGGTGTTTGCATCCCCACCTATGATAAATGAAACCTGCAATTGAGAATCAACTTTTAATCATTTAAAATGTATTAAAGACTTACTATGTCTAGGTATTTGTAGAGATGAGAATAAAATGGCATAGTCTCTGACCTAATGGAGGTACAAGCACATAAACATATAATTGCATACCTCTGTGAGAAGGACTGTGATAAAGGGAGGCAAAAATTATAATGAAACGTCCAAGATGAGAGTCTAAACAGGCCTGATAGCTTCTCTGAGAAATGAGGAAGAAAGAGCAAGTGGGAGCTCCCTTGAGAAATATCTAAACCAAATAAGGCCTGTGGGAGGCACACTGAACATTTACTTACTGTTTCCAAGTAAAACCTATCAAATAAATACTATTACTTTTATTCCCATTTTTAAAAGGTGCAAACAGGCATTTAGAATGAAATGACTTACCCATAATGGTTACTTCCAAAGCATTAAAGTGCTTTTAGGAAAACAGACATAAAATGTCTCACAACAATCCCCAAGAAAATGGTCTCACACAAATCCTTTTTGCTGTGAAAACAAATCCTCTTGCTATGACCTGAGTTGTTTCTGAAAAGAAATAGAAAATATTTAGTTCAGGACAATATTTTAATTAATAGGAATTAAAATATAAATTCTTGTCTGGTTTTAATGAAGATTTATTGTTATTAACTTAGTGACTGGTTTAAATGCTTGGAAATATATATATATGGATGCACATAGCTTCTATCCTTGAAAACATCACAGGCTACTGGGGGTAGAGCCTGGAAAAATCATCGCGTTTTGTCAATTTTACCTCCATTCCCTTCATTCTATTTCCAATCAGCAACCATCGTTTTTTATCTACACTTTTGTTACAGCTTCCTTTCCCATCTTACTTTCAACCTGTTTAGTGTAGCTAGAATGATCTTTTGAAATTCTTTGGTTGCATACGTGAGTTTTAAGATGGAAAAGTAAATGTATCTCTAGTTTCTTCTTCTCTCCAATTTCAATGGAATTCAGTGAAAACAAAGAGGAGAAACATGAACCTTATGCTCCTGTCTCTCATTTTGACATTCCCTTCATGCACACACATACACATACTATTCCATATTAGAAGGGATTAGACTATGAGTTGGTGAGTTCTCCTACTACTCCTAGGACTTTTCTCCCACCACCACTAATTTTTTTACAAAACTGCTAAAGAAAAAAACTAATGTTATTCAATGAGGATTATAATACAAGGGGAGACAGCATAGAATTTAGACGAATACCTACAAAAAGAAAAGGTAAAACAAAACTTACAAAGGGATGGCAATTGAAGAATACCTTTGAAAATCTTGTCAGATGAAATTACATTTGTTACCAAATATTTGGCTGAATTTATAAAATGTGAACAATTTTTTAAATTATTTAAGGGATCAAAAAATATTTGAGGACACAAGGAAAAACAAAAATGTAAACAAACAAGCAAATAGCAAGGCAGCAAGCAAGATCAGTAATGAAATAAAAGTGAAAAATATAACAGTCATTTAAACCTGCATTAAAAGCACCATCTTTATTGGTGGAAATAAGGTCAGAGCTAGGCAGACTTAAGGAAATTGACCTAAAGAAATACAAAGCAGTTTAAAACCATTAGAAAAGAAAATGTGTATGAAAGACAGACAAAGGAGATAAAATATACATATAATTGGTGTCACTGTGAATACAATCAGGAAAAATGAAAGAAAATTAAAACAAATCAAATATTTGAGTATGTCTCCTCTTTTGTATAAAATGTCAAAATATTTCCAATTCTTGGCGAGGGGGTAGGGATGGCTCACACCTGTAATTCCAGCCCGTTGGGAGGCTGTGGTGAGCAGATCACTTGATGTCAGGAGTTCAAGACCAGCCTGGCCAACATGGTGAAACCCCGTCTCTACTAAAAAATACAAAAATTAGTGAGGTGTGGTGGCACGTGCCTGTAGTCCCAGCTTCTTGGGAGGCTGAGGTGGGAGAACTGCTTGAACCTGGGAGGCAGAGGTTGCAGTGAGCTGAGATCATGCCACTGCACTCCAGCCTGAGTGACAGAGTAAGATTCTGTCTCAAAAAAAAAAAAAAAAATGCCAATTTTCGACAAAAGTGCCCCAAACCTTTCTGTATTGACTAATTTCTTCATGGGATGCTCCTGTGTACTTTCCAATGGAGCCTTTCTTCTTTTTGCTTCTTACCTTCCATCTCCACTTACCCTCCTTCCTGCCTTTGCATATGATGGTGTTGTATTTACCAGAAATGTTCCCGTACTCTTAGCACTTCCATGAACATTATCTTTGGTGAGGAACATTGTTTGTGGTGGAGAACTTTCTATCTTTTGAGGAAATCTAATTTATTTTCAGAGCACTCCAAGTTATTAATTTAATAATAATTGTTATTTTCCCCCACTAGAGAGGAAGGGCACTGAAGAAAATTTGAGGATTCCATGTGTATTTGGAGATATATTTCAGCCTTAGTAAAGCACACATTTTGATGTATTAAACAAAAGAGTGATATAATCAAATGTTTGATTTATTTTATTTTTATATTTTATTTGTCTAGATCACATTTTCAGTGACACCAATTATATTTATGTTTTATTTCTTTTGTCTCTCATAAACATTTTCTTCTCTATTTTTTTAAACTGCTTTTCATTTCTTTTGGTCAATTTTCTCAAGTCTGCCTTGCTCTGACATTATTTTAGATACCCAAAACAAGTTGTTGACTAAGTGAAAAAAATCATAATTAAAGAAAGTAAATGAAATGATAGTAAGTAACCAGGCAGAATGGGGAAATAGTGGGAAAGAATTTTGGCTTTAAAAGAAAGGCATGTGAAAAGTCAAGAGAGTCCTGGGAATCTTCCAGGTACTGCAGGGAATTCAATCTGGCTGGGGAGTTAAGATGTCTAAGGAATGAGTGTGGTAGATATTGCTGGAGAATTAAGGGCCCAATAATGTAAGTCCTCATAATTCAAATATATGGATTCATGACACTGAGTGTGATAGAAAGTCACTAAGTATTCTAAGAAGAAAATGTCATGATCATATTTGTTTTACAGCTCCTCTGCCTTCAAATCAAAGCAGCTCTACTGCCTTTTTGAAGGACTTCTATTAGTCAAAAGGTGGGAAGTTTCCTCATATCCCATGTGGAGCTTCTGCAACAAGGACAATCTCTTTCATCTGTTTCACAATTCTAAGTCAACCGAGAGTCATTGCCCATTTTGCTTTGATTTCAAATGACAAATATTTTCTCATATGCATTTCAGGAAGTTAATTAAAATTATGTATGACTATACCATTGATAGATTGCTACAGCTCAAAGTCAAACTCATAATTTTGAGTTTGGTAAATCTTGTAAACCACTTGGTTACACTTTGCTTGCCCTCACGCTTGAAAAAAAGAAAATCTCTTGTGTGCTACCAGAAAATGTTGATCCATGGAGCCAGTGCTCAACTTCGGCTGCATCTGTTGCATCTCATCCTTGTATGTTGCTGCTTAAATGAAGGCCAGGAGGCTCCATAAATTTTTGCTTATCCTTGGCAGAGAATCCACACTGATCTTAGCTGAAACAGTAAGCACTATTTTCCTGGAAGCAATTTAAAATAGACTTGGTATGTTTAAACCCCATCACTTCTGTGATATAGATGACCAATTCCTTGAGGTTAAGAGCATCAATTAACTAATCACAGACTATACCACTTAGCTTTATGACTTTGGGCAAGTTATTTAACCTCTCTGAGCCTCAGTTTCTCCATCTGTAAAAGAGGAATAATAATAACGCCATTTTCATAGGGCTGCTGGGAGTACTAAATGAGAAAACTGTTGTAAAAATACTCAAGATAATTTTTGACCCATGTTTAAGAGCTCAGTAAAAGGTAGCCATTAATATTTAAAATAATATTATTGTTATTTCTGACCTTTTATCAATGTATAACTCGCATCCTGCACTTACAGAACATTTTTGTGGAATTTAATTTTCTAATTCCTAATAAAGCAGAATATATTTTTTATCCCAATCAGTAAAGACAGTACAAAATAGACCACAAACATTTATAATAATAAATGATTACTTAGCTAATATAATTTTTTTACACTTTAGTTTTTTAAGTTTTATATATTTTCAGAGTCAAGTGAAGATTTCTTACATGCATACATTGTGTAGTGGTAAAAGGGGGGCTTTTAGTGTACCCATCACCCGAGTGGTAAACACTGTACCCAGTAGACAAGTTTTCACCCCCAGCCCTCCTCAGACCCTCCCATCTTTTGTAGCCTCCAGTGTCTATCATTCCACTCTGTGTGTTCATAAAATAATTTTTGACAAGTCAATAGACAAATAATTGATTTTAAAATATATAAACATAATATTAGGTAAAAATATTTGGGAACATACAATCATAGTCCTTAGGTGAGGTTCTAGAACTTCCATAGATGTTTTTCTGTGAAATATTAATTTAGTATTTCTCAAAAAAGATAAATTCTATGGTCAAATAGTTTCTTTTAGACTGATAGTTTTCTTTAAAAGGACTTATCAACATTCTAAACATCCTGAAATGCAATGTGATTTCCTAAGAGGGGGCTATAATATATAATTTCCCAAACTTTTTGGCCTGGAAACATTTTGGTTTTTGCTTTGTGTTCGTTAACGTCTCTTACAATAGGTGTTCTGAGGAAGTCATATTGGGAATTACTACACTAGAAAATAGAAATAATTGTGCCTATTATTTTTATGAGCAGCTATTGTTAACTTCTGCTAAGTTAGGAAGCCATAGAGGATACCTAAGAAAAGAAAGAGTTTCTTTCCTTTCTCTGATGAAAAAAATGAACGTATCAGAACAGAAGCCAGTGAGAGTAATAACTTGGGTCATGGTGGTTATTTGAACTTGGAAGTTGTAATGATTGATTTTGGGTGCATACTGGCCTGGATTAAAGATTGCCCAGATAGTTGGTAAATAATTAATTATTCTCAATGCTTCACTAGGCACTGTGCCGGTCCCTTTTCTGCTAAAAGGGAAACCCAGGTATTTTGGCATTTGACTAGCATAATTGTGTCGCCTTAGGTGTTTCTGTGAAGGTGTTTCTGGAGATGATTGATGTTTGAGTTGGCAGACTGAGTGGGAATGAGCTGCCTTCAATGTGAGCAGTCAGGTAAGCCAATCAGCTAGAGGCTTGAATGGAAAAAATGGTGAAGTAAAGGTGACATTTTGCTTTCTTTTCCTGCTGCTGGACATCAGAACTCCAGGTTATTTGGCCTTTGGACCCCAGAACTCACATGAGTGGCCCCCTGAGTGCTCAGGCCTTCAGCCTTAGACTGAGAGACAACCCACCAGCATCCTTGGTTCTATGGCTTTCAGGTTTGGACTGAGTGACACTACCAGCTTTCCTGTTTTGAGGCATTTAGATTTGGACTGAGCCATAATCGAGGCTTCCTAGGTTCTCTGGCTTGCAGACAGCCTATTGTAGGACTTATCAGTCTTCATAGTGGAGTGAGCTAATTTCATTCATAAATTACTTTTCCTTTCTCTCTCTTCCTGTCTGTATGTACATGTATCTGTCTATCTATCTATCTATCTATCTATCTATCTATCTATCTATCTATTCTATCAGTTGTTTCTCTCTGAAGAACTCTTATTAAGACAGGAGTCAAATGTCAGTGCTTTGCCTTATGCTTAGAAATTGCTTGTTACATGAGGTCTTTATTTCTATAACCATCTCCATAAGATTATGGTGCATTCTATCATTCACATTGTTAACACTGATGAAGAGATAGTTATGAACCAGCTTTGAACTTACCCAGGACTTTTAGGAATCCTTCTATGCTCCATAAAGTATAGGATGCTACACAGATTGGAAAGACAACATTTATAAAATTTCATTCTGAACAATTCTTGTATTCCAGTTATTCTTATTGTCTTAGTTCAACTATATATAAGCTCTCCTCTAGCCAGATTCTCTTTTTGGCAATTCCTTCATTCTTAAATTTGCTGAATAATTTTCTAGGTTCAGCTCAGTACCCTCCCCTTTGGGGAAACACGGAAAGGCGGCTTCTCTCACCTTAGCTAAGTTTCATGACCTCTTGGATATACCTAGGTTCATCTCTACCAAAATTCCTGTGTCCTAGGCCCTTAGTTCTGTATTGGTGAATACGAAGGTATCAAATCAGATTAATGTGCTTATGCATATTCTTTGAGCAACCACATAAATAGGATTCCAGGCCAAATACAACACACTCACACTTGAACTTGCCATACTTTAGGTCAGTATTTTAAAATATTACCAAAACTCAGTGTTTACCAAAAATTTTCCAAAATCTCAGTGTTTACTGCCAACAGTCCTTACTGTCTACTTATAAATTATCAACCTAAATGGTCATCAATGGTAGATGGGATAAAGGAAATGTAATGTATGTACACCATGGAATATTATGCAGCCATAAAAAAGAACAAGATCATGTCTTTTGCAGGAACATGGATAAGGCTGGAGGCTATTTTCCTTAGCAACCTAATGCAGGAACAGAAAATTGGATACTGCATGTTCTCACTTACAAGTGGGAGCTAGATGATGAGAACACATAGACACATAGAGGGGAACATCAGACACTGGGGCCTATTGGATGTTGGGACAAGGGAGAGGATCATAAAAAATAACAGGTACTAGGCTTAATACCGAGTGATGAAATAATCTGTACACCAAACACCCAAGTCATGAGTTTACCTATACAAAGAACCTGCACATGTATCCCTGAACTTAAAATAAAAGTTGAAAAAAAGTTGCACCAACCCTCCAAATTCTGCATTTTTTTTTAATTTGGAGACAGAGTCTCACTCTGTCACCCAGGCTGGAGTGCAGTGGCATGATCTCGGCTCACTGCAACCTTCGCCTCCTGGGTTCAAGCAATCCTCATGCCTCAGCCTCCAGAGCAGCTGGGACTGCAGGTGCCTGTCACCACACCCAGCTAACTGCTAACTTTTATTTTATTTTATTTTTTTAGTAGAGGTGGGGTTTTACCATGTTGGCCAAGCTGATCTCAAACTCCTGACCTCAGATGATCTGCCCGCCTCAGCCTCTCAAAGCGGTGGGATTACAGGCATGAGCCACTGTGACTGGCCAATTCTGCATATCTTTAAGAGAAGCATTTAATCCCCAGGAAGTGACAAAGATTATTAAAGGTTTTACATGATACCCTCTGGGATCTCATTCATTAATTTAGCACATATTTATTGCATGTCTACAATATACCTGACACTGAACTAGGGATATAATGATTAAAAACAAAAACAAAAACACAAGCCTGGTCTTTAGTTTCATGAGAGCTTACAATTTAATGGAGGAGAGCAAATTAAACAGGCAATTACAATATAGCATGTTAAGTGCTGAAATAGATGTTAAGACAGGTCTTTGCAAGAGAGTGTGGTTGGGTGCTCCAGATTTTTCAATGAGTGAAAGAAGAGTATTTAGGCAAGGTTTTTCAGAGTAGGTAACTTCTAATCTGAGATATGAAGAATGAGAAGTTAGCCTAGCAAGTTTGGCCAAGAAAGTACAGGACTAGAGATGAGGATGAAGGGGAAGGGGAGCCCATTGACAGAGAGAGAGGGGGCTCAAAGGGTATTGCAGTAAACGGGACAATAATGTATGAAAATATCAAGGGTATAATTTGGTTTGGGAAGCATGGGGGTGGGGCCGAAGAAGAGCAAATGAAGCTGAAGAGCAATGTGAAGGTCACAGCAAAAAGAAAGCTTGGTGCTATAGTGAAATAGAAGAGAAAACTTGAAATGTTCCCAACAAATAGGATGATAGATACCCAAAAGACTCTGACTTCATCATTGTACATTCTATGCATGTAACAAAATACACGTGTACCCAATATAAATGTACAAATGTCTTGAATCAATAAAAAAAAGAAAAAGAAAAAGAAAGCTTGGTGCAATAGCAAGGTCCTTAATACGAGTATTCTAAGGACTTATTAGAGTATTTTAAAGCAGAAAACCAATGTGAGTGGGTTTGCATTTTAGAAATTCCCTCAAACCGCTCAAAATGAAAGATGAATGTCCAGTTTTCAAAAGAATGCTAATGAACCAAGGAAGATTTGTAAGAGGTTCTCTCCCAAGTCTCAGGTTTTCTGAGAGCAACTTGGTTTTCATCCTCTGGGCAGTTTTTAGTCAGTCCCTTTTGAGTGACCAGGCCCACCCACAAACCCAGCTGCACAACCTTGGCTTGTGCAGCTGGGTTTGTAGCATGGAAGAGATACAGTCAGACACCAACGATATATCTCTGCATGTTTCTCCCTTGTAGAAATCAAAACCCTTAAATCACTAGACATGCTGAAGAAGAGAATGTTGGGACTACATTATTTCATGGACAGAAGAAACATGAACTTTTTACTTGGGTAGTGGCATAACCAGCCTCTCTTGGCCTAGAAGGAATTGCATGGAGCAAGAAAGGTGGACACCTGTCTGAATTGAGTGATTGATCCACACAGGGGTCCCGTGGCTGGAAAACAAATGCCCTGGATATTAGCTGGCTCTTATCCAAAAGTTCTAAAGCCTTTTCCTATCCAAGGGAAGCCACATTTCTCCCCAGGTACAGCAATTTCCAATTACTTTAAGAGGAGGAAGAAATAGAGGAAATTTCACAAAACGACAGCCAGGCCTCTCTGGGAGGCTTGTCCTGAATGCTCCTCACCTCTGAGCTCCTTGTGTACTGCCCACCCACAGACTCCTTTATGAAGTTCAGCCAGCAAAGCCCCCAGCCCCCAGAGGGAAATGGCCTAATTAAAATCACACTTCACACTGCCAAATTGGATATGCTAGTCTCAGCTCCAAGAATGTCTTGGAAAAGTATCTGGAGTTGAGTGAGTCTTTCCCAGAAGGGATTTTTTTGTTGTTGTTGTAACAAATGGCAAATTCAGCAGATGGAGGGAAGAGGAATCTTGGTTTGAAATTTTCTGCTGGTCCATGGTTCACTTCTCTTGCTTTCTTTCTATGCCCCTGTTTCTTGTCATATGTTATTGGACTTCCATCTCCTCCTTTTACATGAATCTTGCCAGGATGACAAGATGAAATATTTATCATCAAACACCGCATCTGTGTAGCACAGAGATAAAGCATAAGAGAATTAGACACAGCAAAGCTTGTGTTTGATTTCTGACCTTTCTTTTGAAAGCTGGGCAAGGTACTTCATTATTGAAATCACATTTTCCCTATATGTGAAATGGGGATAGTAAATGCCCCACACAATTGTAATGTGGTTGACACATTCTGAGTAGTAGAGAAATGATAGCTATTATTATTATAATTATCAGATTTATTTGTAGTATCAGAGTATTATCAATAGATAACTTGAGCAAGACATTAAAATATTATCAATTATCCTTGAGTGTTTTGCCATTAGCTAACTATTGGATCTTAGAAAAGTAGTTTTGGCTCCATGAGCCTCAATGTTGTCGTCTATAAAAAGAGGAATTTTGAATAGCCAATATGTAAGAACTCTTCCGGCTCTAATGCTCTACAATTCACGCTAACCAAGATTGACATTCATTGTTCACTTACTCACTTATTCAAATATTTCAATAAAATTCAATGTTTATTCAGTCCATACTGTGTACTATACACTATATTCAGCAACCTACATAGATTAACTCACGAAGTCCTCATAACAACACAACTTATGATCCAAAAATATCTTTTGTTTCAAAGTTTGCTGAAAGTCTTATTCTCCTCTATTCAATCTATGCTCTTTGACATAAAGATAATAATTTTAAATCAAAGTTCTTAACTGCATAATAAAAGAGAAAATAATAACCAATATTTATTAAATTAGGTGCCTTTTATGTGCCAGACACTGTGCTCAATTATTGGCACACTGTGTTGGACACATCTTCTGTGTCATATTGGGTTCTCTTAGTGCTAATCCCTTCTGGACCTCAAAATGCTGGTAGCATTTTAGACCTCAGTAGCTCTAAGTGTCATTTCAAAATTTCATAATCCCCTTAATGATTACCAACAGTTGAGCACCTACTGTTTACCTGGAATAATGATGGTCATTTCACATAAAGCTTCAACTCCTTGAGACATCATGAGGAACTGTTATTATCCTATTTCATAAAGAAGGAAACTAAGACTCAGAGTAGCTAAGTAATTTGTCCAAGGGCTTATAGCTTTGGGATTTGAACTCAATTCTGTCTGATTCTGGAACACATGCTAATTGTCAAATTCGTAGTCACAAAAAACGGGTCACAGGTACACTCTGGAACAAGCGCTATAGGGTACCTGTGACCCATTTTCTGTGACTAAGAATTTGACACCTTGTAGTATTTGAAGCATCTCTCATGAAGCTTGCCTCTTCACCTTGTCATGGTGCAGAAATAAAGTAACTGGCCAATTAATTAATAAAGGTAGAATTCAGCATAAGAAGTTTTACTTCATTTAGACAACCTAAAATTTAGATCTGAAATAATGTTTTTTCTAGTTATAAAAGCAATATGTATTCATTTTTAAACTTTTAGAAAATCACAAAGAAGAGCGTAAAAGTTATGCATCATCTTACATCTATGAAAAACATAGCTAACATTTCTTTTTCTGAATTACTTAATGGTTAGGTGCTCAAATTATGGAGTCAGACAGGCTTAGGTTCAAATTCCAGCTCAGGCAATTAATTGCTAGATGGATTTGCATAGAGAGGATTCATTTTCTGTTTGTTACAAATTACTTCACTTTTAAAATTAAAAATAGTAGCCAACACTTCTATATTTACTTTGTGCCAGGTAATCTTCTAACGCTTCATAGATATAGCTTATTTAATTTTTACAAAAAATCTTATAGTGTGGAAATGAATGTTGTCTCCCCTTTGCCAATGAGGAAACTGAGACAAAGAAAAGTAAAGTAATTTCCAAAATCACATAGCAAAAATGTTGTAGGGCTGGAATTTGAATCCAAGGTTTCTGACTCCACAACCTATGTTCTCAAACATTAATGACACTGTTGCTGGTATTGTTTAATATTATTTCTTTAATGATTTTTATTTTACAAAATTAGAATCATATTGAACATATTGTTTTGTTATCTGCTTTCCTCATTTAACAATATGCCTTCAACTTGTTTCCAGGTCATTAAATACTTTTAGGGAATACAATTTTTTGATGTCTGTGTGGTATTCAGTGAATGCCTAAAATGTAATTAACTTAGCCAAATCTCTATCATTAAGCATTTTGGATGTTTGTGATTTTTCACTGTAATAAACAATACTGAGATGAACATCATTGTGCATGCGTTCTCTGGTTATTTCTTTTGGACAAATTCCTAGAAACAGAATTGCTCGGTCAAAAGGATACAACATGTTTTATATGGATATTGGTATTTTTTGTGATTATTGAGAAATTGTGGATCTCTCTCTGTAACCTTACCACATCAGGCATACTGCTGTGACAAGGGAACTATTAAAAAGTCACATAACTAGAGTTAAGACACACATTACACAGAATCTAGTATTTATTATATACAAAACCAATGGTTCATGAGACCAAACTTCTTGCTAATTCAGTTTGGAAAAATGTAATAACTACTTAACTCTACATGTTGAAACAACCCTACTTCAGGGTCTGGAGACAATAATCCATTGTATCCATTGTTCAATTTCCCATTGTATAAGGTTCACACCCTGCTGAAGGGACTAGTGCTTGGTTGAGCAATTACTATGTGTCAGGCACTTAATTAGACCTGTAATAGTGGTGCATTTGGCACTGGAAAATGTGCTTCACAGACAGGAAGCTGAGGGGTCATTTGATTTATCCAATGCCGTAAAGATAGTGAAAGGGAATTAGAGTGAGTCCCAGACCCACCTGTCCCTAGTTTGCTCCTTCTGTATGCCACCACACCACCCTAAAAGTTTAACATCCAGGAGGAAGTGCCACTGTAATCCTTCCCCTGCTTCTAATCTTAGTCTACTATGCAATTCTGGTCTCCCATCCAATAACTTTCACCTGAAATCTTACCTAACCTAAAAACTTCACTGCATCAATTTCTCCATGTTATCACTATCAATATCAAGAAAATTGGGTGTGTATAGGGCAATGACCTCATCCTCATTTGCCCAGGAATATTCTGGTCTTAGCACTGAAAGCCTCTTATTTCAGAACTTCTTGGTCCCAAACAAACCAGGAAAACTGGTTAGTCTTGGTGTGGAACTAAATAGTAAAACCTGGGTCAAATATTCACAGATATGTTTCTGTATGAATCAATTAATTTTTTTATGTTTATTCACTGTCTCCTTCATTTACACATGTTCACTGAGTAGCCATTTCATGCTTAACTTTGCACTCTAGCTGGGATTCAGAGAGTGGTAAAACTTTACTTTCTTTTTCCCCTGGGTTAACAGTTTCCAAGAGGAAAGTATCAGGAAAGCATAATTAAACTGTGGGATAATGCTACAATACAATATGGAATAGGCACTAAAGTAGCACTGGGAGGGATCACCATTTGGGAAGATCAGAGGCAGTTTCCCATAGAAGGTGATATTTGTGCTGAGTACGGTGGATTCTGTGGGATTTATGCAGTGAAAAGCATGGGGTGACAACGGAGGACAGGGTGGTCCAGGAGGAGGGAACAACAAGAATAAAGGCTAGGAGAGAAAGGAATGGTGCATTTAGGAAACTTTAAGTGGTTAAGTATTGCTGGGACATAAGTGAAGTACTTTAATAGCAGGATCCTGGTAATTGAGAGAAGGGAAGTAGAGGTAGAATGTGGTGAGCAAATTGCTGTCCATTACAGAAAAGGATAAGATTAGAGAAAGAGTGATGAAAGCCTATATTAGGACATTATGCAGAAAACAAGAGGAATTGGGGCTTGGTATTTGGGGACTTCATTCATTGGGCAACAGTCACCCATTTGTTCATTTATTCTCTGATTTGTTTATTCTATAGATATTTTTGAGCATCTGCTAAAATGCCAATAATATTCTGGGTGCTGGTAATACAAAAATGAATAAAAAAGAAGCAACAGTCCCCCTCTTATGAAACTAACATCCTAATAGAGATCTGACAAAGAACCAAAAGAATATACAAGTAAAGTTCATTCCAGAGAGGAATAAATAGAGCATAAAAATAAAAGGAGTGATGTGACAGCTAGTAGCTGGATAACAAGTTCAGATTGGGTTGTTAGACTAAGCTTGTCCGAAGAAATGTCATTTGCACAGTAACAGGAAAAATGAGAAAAGCTAGCTATGCTAAGGGAGTAGAAGATTGTTTTAGACATGGAAAAGAGCAAGAGCAAGACAAAACCTAGTTCAGCATATTGGAGGGATAGACAGAAAATCAGTGACACTGGAATATGGAAAAGAAAAAGGAGACGGGGCAGGGATACAGTCGGAGAGATCAACAAAGCCTAGTTGGAATAACGCCCGGTGCAATGGAAACTTATTGGAAGTTTATGAATGAAGGAGTGATGTCATTTAAGCTAGGGCTTTCTACACACAGACACAAAGTCACATACACCCATGTCGATCACCATTCAATTTCCCATTGTATAATTCTTCAGTTTTATGACTGTGGGGAAATCATTTAACATACCTACTATGTGCCAGGCATACTACTAGTTCTGTGGACGTAGTGATGAGGAAAACAGATACACTCCCGTGTCCACAGAGTCTTGTCTCTCTGAAGCTCAAGTTGCTGACCCAAAATCGTGGTGATGATAGCTCTCATGTTGTAAAGATGGTATGATGATCAAACAGACAAGACAAATGATAAGTAAGACATCTAGCTCAGTGCCTGATACTTAGAAAATGTCCAGTAAATGTTGAGCAGTTTCCACTTCCATTATGAACCCATCATTTATAAGGCCAGCTCAAGGCCTTTTCCTATTTTTAGCTAACGCTATCTTAGTTCAGCTCAGTTAAATTTTTCAATCACAGATCACCCATTTGGTGAAATGATATATCCATACTTTGGTACTCCGATTACTCCCTCAGAGTTCCAAGGGCTACTAATTCATTTCAAACCCCAGTTCTGATTATTCTAACTCTTTTTCTAAAGAATTTGTTACAAAGTTATAAATATAATGAGAATAACCAGAGGTCAGCATGTCACTAAATGTCCTGTGTAGCAATGATCAAGAGCAGTGTATGTTCAAGCAGTGTATGATCAAGAATACATGTATGTTCAAGGTAGAAGGTGAAGCTGAGGCAGATGCCATATGGAGAATCTCTTAGGCTCTTAATTTCTATTTATTAATTTATTTTATTGTTTATTTATTGTAGATTGCATTTTTTTAATTTTTAAACTATATTTTCTTTGAAACATACAAAACAACACCTACTCACTTCACTTCCTGGAACCAGCCTTTTACAGGGTCACGCACTATCTACTAGCTATCGGGGAAGTTTACTAATTACCAGCTCAGTGCGTGAACAGGGTCATAACATTTTTGAAGGAGCCATCTCTGAAGTTATTTCCTGTGCTTATTTTCGCATGTTAAAGATTTCTTAGAAAAGTGAATGTTGGCTGCAAGTTTTCAGAATTTCTTCCAACTTGCATCAACTCCAAAGGGATTTTGCAAGTTCCTCCAGCCATGCAGGTTCTCAGATTTGGAAATCTAGCATTATCAAGCAACCACTCCTCAAATTCTACTATGAGCCAGATATTACATGCCAGGAAGTGTTCATGAAAGGGACATGAACTAGAATTCTGCCCTCAAGTCATTTGTATTCCAGTAAACATGACTTCCCACTGCCTTCAGGCTAAAGCCCAGACTCTAAGCAAGGCCCCGGAGGCCTTTGGCAAGCTGCTTCTGCTCCACTTTCATACTTCCTCCTCCTCTGATCAAATAACAGCTCTTCTTCCTTGGACATTTCTTTTTTTTATTTTTTAAATTAGTTTTTAAAATTTCTGTGGGTATATAGTAGGTGTATATATTTACAGGGTACATGAGATGTTTTAATATAGGTATGTAATGTGAAATTAGCACATCATGGAGAATGGGGTATCCTTTCCCTCAAGCATTTATCCTTTCAGTTACAAACGATCCAATTACATTCCTTAAGTTATTTTAAAATATACAATTAAGTTGTTATTGACTACAGTCACCCTATCATGAGATCAAACAGTAGATTTTTCAATCACTGCAATCTTGCCTCTCTTTGAATTTGTCTCAGGTGATTTACCAGAAACAATTTCATGCAATGAAAAGAACACAAAAATCAAATTCACACCCTATAACTCATTTGTTGTGTGTTCTTCAGAGGTCAATTTCCCTTACTCAGTCTCAGTTTCCCTGGCTGTTAAATGAGTAGGTGTGGCTGTATTATCTCTGCTCTTACTTCCATCTAGGATTCTAGTGTCAAAAGTAGAATGAACAGAACATATCAAGAAATGTTACTAGATGTCTTCTCAGACAAAGGAAAATGAACTTTCTTCTGATCATTCAATCCCATTTTCCCAGAATGATGAAGATGATGTCAAGAGAGATGGCTTAGAACTCTATGCATGCTACTTTTCTCCTTCTGTTTCCTAGTGGACATCTAATAACACTGATTGAGGACTTGCTCAGTGTCAGGCATCAGCTCTCACAACCTCGCACTTGCTCAGTGTCAGGCATCAGCTCTCACAACCTCACATCAATATGGCGATGTGTGGACTAGTATTTCCAAGCTACGTGTGGCTAAATGGAGGCTCAGGCAGGAGACTTGACCGAAATCTCATAGTAAAGTCATGGACTCAGGATGCAAACAGGAGCTCAGTCTCCTTCCAAGGCAGCACAAAGTTTCCCCTATTCAGCCCATGTCCTGTATTTGGTCCTTATGCCCGAGCCTCCATGCAGATGTGACTGCTTAAGAAGACCACATAATAAGAATCTCAGTGACTAAGTGCTGTGCCAGCTCACGTTTACAGTGCCTGGCTGCCTTCTTCATGGTGGGTGGGGGAGAGATCTAGCTCTGTATGTGATAAAGGGAAACCACAACAAGGCAATCCTTAGAACTATAAAACCAAATTAAATCATGGGTTCTGGCTGGGATTTAAACATCTTAGCTGCTCTAATTTCTCTAGAGAAACTAGGAGATCAAGCCAAGTCCCATCATGCACTCTCTTCTCAGTTATAGAGTGTTTTGTCCTAGGTTTTCAATCTGGTTTAACTGTGTCATTTGGGGAGGTGAAAACTTTCCAGGATGGAAGAAATTAGTCTTCCAAGCTTGAGGAGGACTTTCATCTCTCAGTATGCTCTGCTAACCATGCTGGAAAACTAAGACCCTGGTGGGGTAAGTGAATAAGGTGGATGGCCCCTGTTTTCTGAGCATGGGCCATTCTCTGATAGCTTTACCCTTGTTAATTTTCACAGCAATGCCATCACATAAGTATTATCTTCATCCCCAATTTAAGATAAGGGAACTGAAGCTTAAAGAAATAAAGTAACTAACCTAAGCTCATGCTGCTAGCAGAGATGAAGCCATGATTCTAACTCTGGATCATCTGACATGAACACCTTTCCTTTTAAACCACATGACTATCTCACCTGCACCTCCTGTCTTAGAATGACGTGTGGGTCCCTGAGTAGAAATGAAAAATAACAGCCCAACCTGCCTCAAAGGAGACTTTTAGTTTTACAGTTACTTGGACTTGGGGAGCATGGGGAAATGCAGGTGGGCAGTTAAGACAAATGTTCAGAATAGCACTGGCACTCACACAGATAACAACTCCCACCACAAATCATTTGGTTGGAGGAAATGCACTACCAAAGCAGAACTTAAGAAGGGAAGAGGGCATAAAGATAGAGGTAACATGCATATTTTGTAATTGATAAGAGGTGATATACCATAGTAAATAAGCATGCAGATCCTGTATCGAGATTGGAATCTCAGCCCCACCCTTACTCAGATAACCTTGAACTAATTATCTGTTCTCTTATTCTCTCTATCTTTAAACAGAAAATAAAAATATTGCAACCTAACAGGATTGTAATGAAGATTAAATGAATTCCTATCTATAGAGAACTTAGAAGATTATCTGGCACATTGTCAATGATATACATGCCTGCTAGTACTATTTTGAACAATTGTATATACATGTAATTTATATACCACACAATTCACCCATTGAGGTGTAAAATTAAGTGCTGTTTGACGTATTCATAGAGTTGTTCAGTTAGCATCTCAATCAATTTTAGAACATTTCCATCACTCTGAAAAGAAATGCTGTGTCTATTAATAGTCACTGCTTATTTCTTCCTAACGCCCTTGCCCTAGACAATCACTAATTTACTGTCTCTGCAGATTGGCCTATTCTGGATGTTTCATATAAATTAAATAATACAGTATGTGGTCTTTTGGGATGGGCTTCTTCATTTAGCATAATGTTTTCAAGGTTCATACACGTTATCGTATATATCACTACTTTATTCTTTTTTATGACTGCATAATATTCCATTGTGTGGATATACCACATTTTATTTATTCATTTATTAGTTGATAGACATATGGGTGTTTCTACTTTTATGGCTACTATGAACAATAGTGCTTTGAATAACCTTGTTTTATTTTCATTTTTCTTCCATATATAATCAGGAAGAAAATTGTAGGGTCATACAGAAACTTTAACTTCTTCAGGAGCTTCTAGACTATATTCCAAAGTCAGTGAAATATTTTTGTATTCCTTCCAGCAATGAATGTAGGCTCCAATTTCTACACACCCATCTTAAGACTCGTTATTGTCTGCCTCTTTTATTTTAGCCATCTCAGGTGACACCATGGGTGGCTGTGATGGTAACTAATTATGGTTCTGATTTGCATTTCACCAATGGCTAGTAATGTTAAAGTTGACAATCCTTTTATGTAGTCATTGTATATCTTCTTTGAAGGAATGTCTATTGAGATCCTTGGCCCATTTTTAAAAATTAGATTATTTATTCTTTTACTATTGAGTTGTAAGAGCTCTTTATAAATTATTGACACAAATCTCTTATTAGATATATGGATTTGCAAATACTTTATTTCATTCTTTGGCATGTATTTTCAACTTCTTTATGGTGTCCTTTGAAATACTAGATTTACTTTATTTTGATGAAGCCCCATTTATCTACATTTTTTCTCTTGTCATGGGTGCTTTTGGTGTCACAGCTATGAAGACTTTGCCTAACCCAAGACAATGAAGTTGTACTCCTATATTTCATTCTAAGGGTTTTATAGCTTTAGAGCTATCATTTAGGTCTACAATTCATTCTGAGTTAATTTTTGTGTATGGTGTGAGGAAGGGAGTCTAACATCATTCTTACCCATGTAGATATCCAGTTTTCCTAGCATCATTGTTGAAAATGTTATTCTTTTCTCCACCAAATTGCCTTACACCTCTGTCAAAATTCATATGACCATAAATACAAGGGTTTTCTTTGGGACTTTAAATTCTGTTTCTTTGGGCTATATATCTGTGCTTATGCCAGTAGCACATTGTCTTGAATCCTTGATTACTATAGCTTTGAAATAAGTTCTGAAATCAACTTTGCTTTTCTTTTTAAAGTTTCTTTTGGCTTTTCCGGATGTATATATATCCGGAAACAAACAAAAACAAACAAACAAAACAAAACAAACAAAAAACCAAAGCAAACAAACAAAAGAAAGGCTACCTGGGATTTTGATAAGAACAGTGTGTTTAATCTGTAGCTCAAATTTGGTGAGTATTGCCGTCTTAACAACAGTGTCTTTTTATTCATCAATGCATGATGTCTTTACATTTATTTAAGTCATCTTTGATTTTTTTCAACACTTTTATAGTTTCTGGAGTATAAACTTTCTATTTCTTTTGTTAAATGCATTTATAAGTGTATTATTCTTTTATGAAGATATTATAAATTAAATTATTTCAATTTTATTTTGGATTATTTATTGAATTATTATAAAGATATAACCACCACACTGTTTCATCATTTTTAAAGTACTGCTAATAAAAAAACATATATTTAAAATATTCTATTACACACATATAATATTAGCTTGGAACATATGAAATTGCTGTTATTTTTTACCTTTTCTGGTATTCTATTGTTTTTGACTTTTAAAAATAGATGTTTCATATGGTCAATCAAGTAAGTAGTGTATTTTGGAAATTTATTCCAGACACTATGATGATAGTTAATTGCTTTATTTCATTTATTTCACAAAATAACACTGTGAGGTGTATTATATATGACCCGCCTGTTTAGGCTTTCTTATATCTGAGGTTCAGGGATGCTACATAACTGGCCCAGACATAGACAACAGGTAAATTCAGAGTTGGGACTCAAAATCGGTATGCCCACCTCCAAGTTCATACATTTGGAGTTGTCTGTATGGTAGAATATTATGCATATTACTTAAGATCGTGAATTGCTAAAAGAAAGGGGTTGTGCTTATTACTTTGGAATATGAGCTTTGGAATTCATTCTGAATTTGAATGTCTAATTTCATCATTTACTAGGTGTTTGACTTTGAATTGATTACTTAACTTTTTCTCTGTAAAGTGAAACTACTAATTCTTAAGCCTTGGGTTGTGAAGATTAAAGCTGATTACATGCAGTGTATATGACCCAGTACCGAGCATATAGGAGGCATAGAACAACCTGGATCTGTTATTACTGTACAATTTATCAGAGCATTCAAAGCGCTTTTGTAATAATTGACTCATTTATTTTTAAGACAATTAGGATGCCTAATAAAACATTGATAATTGCAATGGTTTTATAAGTTAAGTCAATTGTTTTGGGACATTAAGCTATAAATCAGGAGAGACAGCAGTTACATGATAAATACAAAATCCAAACTCCTATATCCTCTGACTTGAAGTTTAACGCTATGCTCAAAAGACTAGCTGTAATGCGCAGTGGTTTGTGCATGGCTGGAAAGTAAAAACCTCTGGGAATTAAAGTACTGGTCTAAATAGGCAGATTGCAAGCAAATACATTAACATATAATTAATAAATCAATCAAATTATTTCTGGCCACAACAACATCTCCCACCTCAAATGCTATCTTGCAATGTGGACTTGTCATTCTCTCATCAATAGGTAATGCTCTTTCCTCTTTAATTAAAGCTGAGCTGGTCATTTAATTTGATTTGACCAATAGAATGTCTCACAACTGACGTATAACTTTCAAAGCTAAGTTTTAAAATATATGCAGCTTCCACCTTCATATTTTGAAATGCTTCCTCTAAGAGAAAAGCCACCATGTTGTAAGCCCCAAGTAACCACACATATAGTAACCTACATGAAGGACGACCATGATCCTTGGCTGATAGCCCCAGATGTGCCTCTAACCAGTAGCCAACACCAACTGCTACCCATTTAAGTAAGACAGTTTTAGACTAAGCCCAGTCAATATCAATTGAAACAAAATAAAATGTCATCCAAGCCAAACCCAAAACTTTGACCCACTGAATCATGATCAACAAAATGTTTGTTGTTTTAAGCCACTGTGCTTCAGGGTAAATTATTACACGGTAGTAGATTGCCAAATAGCCTGAAATTCTCAGGTAAGAAAACAATGTAAGAATGTTATTTATTTCTAACTTGACACTGCTAAAAACATATACATTTTCTACTTTAACAACCATATTCATTCAACCATGCCTCCTTGCATACCTCTATCCTTCCAACAAATATGTTACGTCTGCCTGCTAAGTTTTAGAAACTGTGTTAGACCTTATGGATACAGAAATGAATAGGAAACGTACATTCCTGTTCTTGTATGTCTATATGACTAAGAAGAAGAAACAATCATTGAATAATAACTACAAGTTAATAACCTGAAATCAGATAGCTTATAATAGAGAGTGCTAGGCTTTCTACTGGTCAGGGTTGACTCTCCCATCAGGGGCCACTGGCTTGGAAGGATGAGCAGGTGGCTACTTATATTTCAGTTATTACTATTGGATAATAACAACCTCCTCCATCCTGTTTTCCCAACAAAACAATGGCATAAAACAAAAGTCCTATTATAGCGATGAATGCTGTGGGACAGGGCATAGAGAAGATAATGTGTCTCTGCTCTATGATGTCTGGGGCATTAGCTGAGCAGAATTTTAAGCAAGGGGTGACTTGACAGCTGGGGGCTGGAAAAGTCTGGAGACACCTTCACTTATCGGGCTTGCATTTGATGCTGGTTGTCAGCCAGGATCTTGAATGGGCTCCTCAGCCTTAACCCCTATATGGGCTCTCCATGTGGTATCTCCACATGGGCTCGTTCAGGCTTCCTCATGTCATGGTATGTGAATGCTAAGAGTAAATGTCTCAAGAGAAATTGTGGTAGAAGCTAGGGAATATGCCTCTTATGACCTAGCTTCAGAAGTTAGCAATGTCGCTTCCATCACAGTGACAATCCACTTATATATAAGAGGAGAGAACATAGACCTACTACTTGATCACAGAAATATCAAAGTTTCATTGTGAGAGAAACTCATGGAATGGGAGAAATTGTTGCAATCATCTTTGGAAAATATAGTCTGTTTAAAAATATATTAAAACACTATTTCTTTTAGATATCCATAAATGGGAAAAATAAATTTATAGTTCTTAATTCTGAAATGTAAAAGCCACTCACATGCTAAGCCACATGAAGGTTTAAGAGCTTCTGTATCTCTTAGACCCGGAGTGCCTTAGGAGGAAAGCACAATTCTCATCATTACTGTAACTCCTTCCTGAAAAAAGAATCAGGGGTCTGTCTCTTTATTCATGATGTGATGATGGAAAGACATAGATTCCTCTAATTGACTACAGCTTCTGAAGGAAAGCAACCACTAAAATTACAAGAGAGGATCCTTGAGAACGTATATTTGAAGAAACCACAAACTTTTATTAGATCAGAAGGCTCAAAGGAGTTACCATGGATATAAATTCCTCAATGCATTCATCAAGTTCATCTCCCGGACATCTTCTCTGCTTGAGTTACATGACTGTCTTTCATGTTCCCCTCTAATCCTAGAATTACCTACCTCCACCCTGGCATCTACTCGATGTATTATGGTTACTTGTTTTTTTGTTTATTTCATTAGACTGTGAGCTCTCTGAGAATAGGGCATAGTTCTTATAAACTAGTAGGTCCTCAACATCTAATTATCTTATTGTTTAGAACACATTACTTTTCTATAAATATTTGCTTCACAAGTGCATGAGATTTTCAAGATTAAGCAGTTGGAATTATAATAATGTGCATTATCTCTCGCTAGCTGCTTCTAACTAGCTATTGGGTACAAGTTCCACTACCCATGAGAACTATATACCCAGTGAGACTTTCCTCATTAGGACTACCTGAATCATAACGAAATTTCAAGAAAAAAATTGGCTGATTCTAGGACTGGGGAAAGAAATATAAAAGATGAGCCTGGAACATTCTGTAGTACCAAAAAGAAAGAACTCAAACAAACAAAAAAAAACTAGACAAACACATCTCACTGTGATGGGACATATCAAAAGGACACAGAAGCTAATTGAAAGAGTTTTCAATGGCCAAAACTGTAACAATTTGAGCAACCAAATAAATAAAACGGTATTGGAATATAACATTAAACATAAGATAAATATCCATGACTCTGTATTGATGTAAATAAATGATTGAATAAGTAAATTGGGGAGAAAAGACAAATGCCAAGATGAATTTCAAATAATTTATGTAGTTACTCTGCCCTCAAGGAGGTGGAGAATAATTTCCACTTCCCAAATATGGAAACTACATTTCTTCTTCTTACAGTGGCTTCTTCCAAAGAGTATGATATGGAAGGGGGAAAATAAAGAGTAATTTTTCTCATGAAGAACTTGACAAATGGTACCTCAGCCAGGTGTTCAAGGTTAACATCCATAGTCACAAACCAGGTTGATAGTATATATAATACATACTATGGTTTTAATGTGTCCCCTTCTCTAAAATGTATGTGTTAAAAATTTAATTCCCAATGCAACAGTGCTGGGAGGTATAGAGTTTTGGAAGATGTTTAGGTCATGAAGTCTCCACCCTGATAAATGGATTAACACTGCTATGAAAAGGGCTGATGGAATTGGGTTCTTCCTCTTTTGCTCTTCTACCATGTGAGGTCACAGAGTTCATCCTATCTTGCCCTTCTGCCTCGTGCCATTTGAGGTGAGGACATGGCTAGAAGGCCCTCACCAGATGCACCATATGCTGGATCCTTGATCTTGAACTAGCCTGCCTCCGGAACTGTGAGAAATAAATTTATGTTCTTTATAAATTTCCCAGTCTATGGCTTTCTGTTATAGCAGCACAAACAGATTAAGACAGTACTCTCAATATGACTTGATGAAAATGGTCCTTTATCTCTGTGATTTTCCTCCTCAAAATGCACAAGTCCACTCTAATCATGACAGAAGAGAACAAAAAGAAAAAAAAAGACTGAAGGACATTTTACAGAATATCTGAGCAGCATTCCACAAAGCTGTCAAGGTCATCAAAACCAAGGAAAGTCTGGAAAACTGGCACAGCGAAGACAAACCTAAGGAAACGTGAGGGCTAAATGTAATGCATTACCCTGGATGGGATCCTGAGACAGAAAAGGGACATTAGGTAAAAACTAAGGAAGTCTGAATAAAGTATAGACTTTAGTTAATAATAGTGTATCAATACTGGTTCATTAATCATGATATATTTATCACGTCAATGTAAGGAGTCAATAATAGGGGAAACTGGATGTGAGGTATATTGTAACTCCACTATCTTCACAATTTTTCTGTAAATTTATGCCAATTAGAAAGGAACGGTTTATATTTTTTTTAAAAAAATCCCAAGGAAACACATACTTTAAAACCCAGAGTTTTCCAGTTGAAAACAGAACCAATGTAAGCCATCAACACAGCAAAGCCAATAAGTGGAGGACTCTTTTAATCTTTCAATATGATGAAGCACTAGCAGACTTCATGTTCCGATTGTCCTCTTGGTCACTGAAGGAATTGCAGCAGGGGAGTATAGGAGGTGGGCATAAAATTATCTGAAAACTTTTGTCTTAAGATCTGGTGCAAAAGATTGTCTGAAGTCTAGAGCAAAACCAGTTTCAATCTATGTAAATATCAGGAAATTAAATTCCATATGTTGCATGCCAGATGCTTTTAGCTGCCGCAGCTGTGCACAAACAGTGAGCAGACAGTTTGGATTTCTCAAGCAATAGAGGTGTCATTCTTTGCAAAGGAGAAGGCTATGGCTTTCAGTTGGAGATTAAGGGGTAACGTGTATGAGTGACTTGATTCCAGCAATCTGACAAGTTAAATCACTGGACAGTTGGGAATTTCATGTAAGGCTTAAAGTTGGAAGAACCTATTAAGGGTGTCATAGTCTTTGGAACCAGAGATTGCTTTGAAACATGTTGTTTATTTTAGAAATTGTATTTAAAATGCACATGTATAACAAGGAAAAGATGGGAGGGAGATTTCCATTCTAATTCAATATGGATGATCAACATGGAAAAATAAGAACTTCATCAACAAGTAAAAAGAAAAAGATAATAAAATGTGCCTATAGTGGCTAAAATTGATTTATATGGGACAGCTTTTAAACTTTCAGCAGGTGTCCCAAATCTCTCCAATGCCTGTCCACTTGATTTAAATGCTTTGCAAAATCTGAAGATAGCACAACACCCGGAAGGGCTAAATGAAATAAATAATAGAGTAGGAACATTTAGGAATTAGACATAAGAGGTGACATAGAAAAATTAAAGGTCTTACCATCTCATGGGAGGATGAGGAGCTTGGAGATGTAGAAAAGGGACTGATTTTTCAGGAGGAGTTCACAGAATAGAGACTTCAGTTACACTTTCAGCTCTTCCTCCAGGCAGATTGTTTCTCCTGAGCATAAAATAGAGCTTAGACGTTGACATTAAATTTCTGAGTTTGAATCCCAGATTGTCACATTGTTAACTGTGTGACATTCGACAGTTAACTTGATCACGCAGTACCTCAGTCTCTTCACCTATCAAATGGGCACCACACCTTTCTCATGGATTGTGTAGAAAATTCAATTAGCAAATGCCTTTAAAGAGCTTACCGTTTGGCACTTACTCAGTAAACACCACTTGTTATTTTCTTTTCTAATACTGAAATGACATTCAGAGTGCCCTTTACAGTCTAGAATGCTAATCTGAAACCAACAAAGAAGGATTTTAAAAGAGTTAGTGTGAGATCCTGAATATAATCTCAAACAAATCAATTGCATAAGATTGGAATGGTTTTGTGGATTTGGGTAAGGATTTGTGGAATAAGAAGCCTAAGTCAAAGTCACATTTCCAAAGACAATGCAACCCGGTTAGACTAGCAGGATGTCCAATAACTTATGGAGTCAAAACACATTCAGAGCATTGATTTTATTTTTGAACATCTCATTTTAGAAGGATATTGACAATCTAGAGTCCTCAAAAAAGACTAAGTAAGATCATAAAATTCTGAAAATCATGTTGCATGGAACAGTTGGCTGAGAAGTTTGAAACCAAAGAGAACAGATACTTCATGGAGTACACAATTACCTTCTCCAAATACTTGGAAGGTATCTATGCAACTAACTGTCAGAACCATTGAAGGGCACTTCGAATGATAGGATCAGAATCATTTTAAAAAACCTCCATATCTGAGTTGGCCCTTGCTTCTGAAATCTCCAAACCCCTTTCTCCATCCTCATTCTCAGCTGATGCCCTTTTTTTTTTTCTTGCTATTTCTTTAAGAAAATGGAATCAATCAGAAGATAATTTCCACAACCTCTCACCTACCTCCCTGTATATATAAGAATAATCTACATTCTAACCTATGATGTGTTAGCTATCCAAGACCAAGATTTCCACCTCATCAGTAGACGCTACCCTCTCTCTCATCTAGTCAAAGACATTACTCAGGCAATTCTCCTCTCTTTTCTCATGAGTAATTACTTTTCTCTCTCTTCAGGATCCCTCCATTGAGCATGCAAAATTATTTCTCCCATTAACAACAACAAAAAAATTGACATAATTTTTCCTTGTATCGCCTGCATATTAGTTTTCTTTGTCTTTATGGAAAAAACTTTAGTTACCAATTTCTCCCCTCCTCTTCTCTTTTAAACTCTTTTTAGTGAAACTTTTACCCACACTAACCACTCTAATCAAAGTAATCAGTAATTGCCATGTTGCTAACTTCAATGGTCAATTCTCGTACTCACTTTACTCATCAGCAGCATTTAATAGCATGTATCACTCTCCTCTTTAAAGCACTTTCTTCATTATTTGCCACGACACTCCATCCACCTAGTTTTCTTTCTTCTTCTCTGGACACTCCTTATTCTCCTTTGAAGATTCTTCCTAATCTCTTCCGTTTTTAAACATTGAATGTCTAAGACTCAATTCCAGGCTAGTTTATCCTGATCTATACTCACTAGTTAAGTTCATCCCATTTCAGGCCTTTAAAATGCCATCTTGGCCAGGTGCAGTGGCTCACGCCTGTAATGCCAGCACTTTGGGAGGCCGACGCAGGCAGACCACTTGAGGTCAGGAGTTCGAGACCAGTCTGGCCAACATGGTGAAACCCTGTCTCTACTAAAATTACAAAAATTAGCTGGGCGTGGTGGCACACACCTGTAAACCCAGCTACTTGGGAGGCTGAGGCAGGAGAATCGCTTGAACCTGGGAGGTGGAGCTTGCAGTGAGCGGAGATCATGCCACTGCACTCCAGCCTGCGTGACACAATAAGACTCAGTCTCAAAAATAAAATAAAATAAAATAAAATAAAATAAAATAAAATAAAATAAAATAAAATGCCATCTTTATGATGACTCTTAGATTTTACCTACCGCCTGGCAATATTACACCTGAACGCCAGACGTTTATTACAATTGCCAACCCAACAACTGCATAGAGATCTCTCATTTTGCATTTAAAATGAACTTTTGAGAACTGAATTCATAATATTGCCCCACTACCCTTGCACTAAAACTGCCCTATCCATAATTTTCCACATTGTAGCCAATGAAAACTCCATCCTTTTATTTCCTAAGGCCAAAAAACTAGTAATCTTGTGATCATTCTCTTTCTCTCCCTCTCTCTCCAATCCATCAATCCTCTTGGTTGAACCTTTACAATATATCTAGAATAATGTCACTTCTCACCACTTCCATGCCTATCTCCTTGGTCCAAGCTACCATATTCTCTCACCTGAACTATTAATGGTCTGTTTAACCTGACTCCTTGCTTGCTCCTTTTAATATCTTCTCAACAAAGCAGCTAGCATAATTCATTTTTTAGACTTTTTAATTGACAAATAAAAATTGTATATATTTATTGTGTAAAACATTTTTTGATATATGTATACAATGTGGGATGGCTGAATTGAGGTAATTAACATATGCATTACCTCACATACTTATTTTTTGTGTGGTGAGAACACTTGAAATCTGTTCTCTTAGCAACTTTCAAAAATACATTAACCATAGTCAGTAAGTTGTACAATAAACCACTTGAACCTATTTCTCCTTTCTAACTGAAATTTTGTGTCCTATAACTAATGTAGCCAATCCCCCACCTCCATCCTCTGTAACAAACATTCTACACAGTTTCTACAAGTTCAACCCTTTTATATTCCACTTGTGAGATCACTCCATATTTGTCTTTATGTATCTGCCTTATTTTACTTAGCATTTTCCTCCAGGTTTATCTATGTTGTAACAAATGACAGGATTTCCTTTTTGGGGGCTAAATAATATTTCATTTTGTATATATGCCACATTTTATTTATCCATTCATTCACTGATGAACACTTAGTTTGATTCCCTATGTTGGCTATTGTGAATAATGCTGTAATTAATGTTGGAAAGTAAAGTAGTCTTTTTAAACATGAGTCAAATTGTGGCACTTCTTACTCGGAACATTCCAATGGTGATCCCTCTTACTCAGAGTGCAAACCTGTGTCCACACCATGGCCTGCAGGGCTCTGCATAGTTTCCTGTCGCACATTTGTCTCTTTGACCTTGTATCCAACTACAATCTTCATTTTCTCTCTCCACTTCAATGGTGTGTTAGCCTCTTCAACACAACAGTCGTTGTCTCACTTTTGAGTCTTTATATTCATTGTTATACCAATTTTGAGCTTTCTCCAAATAGCTTCATAGCTTTATTTCTAATATTAACATAATGATATCACCTCAATTTTACTTCTGCCTGTTTGCAGATGACATAATCCTATATGTAAGAAGCCCTTAAGACTCCCCTAAAAGCTATTAGAACTCAATAAGCAAATTTAGTAAAGTTGCAAGATAGAAAAGTCAACATACAAAAGTCAGTTTTGTTTCTAAAGAATAACAATAGCTTATCTAAAAAAGAAATTGAAACACAATTCCATGTACAACTGAGTCAAAAAATATGATACTTGGAAATAAATTTAACCAAGGAGGTCAAAGACTGGTACATTGAAAGGTCAACTGATCTTTGACAAGGGTGACAAGAGCACAATGAAGAAAAGAGAGTTTCTTTTATAAAAAGCATTGGGGAAAACTGGATATATGCATTCAAAAGAATGAAATTGGACCCTTATCTTACACCAGATACAAAAATCCACTCAAAATGGATTAAAGACTTAAGCATAAAACATGGAACAGTAATACTCATAAAAAACAAAGAGAAAAACAAACCTTTTAGATATTAAACCAGGCAATGATTTCTTGAATATGATGACAGAAGCTCAAGCAACAAAAGCAAAAATAGACAAGTAGAATGACAGTAAACTGAAAAGCTTCTGCATAGTGAAAGGAGCAGTGAACAAAATGAAAACTCAATCTGTGGAACAAGAGAAAGTATTTGCAGAACATATATCTGGTAATGGGTTAATATATAAAATATATAAGGAACTCCTACACCTCAATAGTAAAAATCCAAATGACCAAATTTTTAAAATCTAAAAAGGACCTGAATAGACATTTCTCAAAAGAATACACACAAATAGCCCACAGATATATGAAAAGGTATTAAACATCACTAATCATCAGGGAAGTGCAAATTAAAACCACAATGATATATCACCTCACACCTATTGGGCTCGTCATTATCAAAAGAACAAAGTACAACCTGCTAGAATTACTGTTATCAAAACGACTCATGATACAAGTGTTGGCAAGGATGTGGAGAAAAGGGAACCCTTGTACACAGTTGGTGGGAATGTAAATTGGTGCAGCACTATGGAAAAAAATGTGGTAATTCCTCAGAAAAGTAAAAACAGAATTATCATTCATTTCAGCAATCCCACTTCTGGGTATATGTCTTAAGGAATTGAAATCTAGACCTTAAAGAGCTATCTGCACTGAGGTTTATTGCAGCATTATTGGGAGTACCCTAGCTATGAAAACAACCTAAATAATCATTGATGGTAAATGATAAATAAAATATGGTGTATGCATATAATGGAATACCATTCAGCATTAAAAAAAGAAGAAAATCCTGCTACTTGTGAAAACATGGCAGGACTTGGAGGACATTATACTAAGTGAAATGAGCCAGACACAGAAAGTGAAATACTGCATAATCTCACTAATGTGTGGGATCCTAAAGTAGTCAAACTCATCACTTGCTAACCATGTGACATGGTTGCAAGGGGCTAAGAAGGTGTTGAAATGTGGAGGTACTGGTCAAAAAGTACAAAGGTCGAGTTATGCAAAATAAATATATTCTGGAGATCTGTTGTATAACATAGGGCTCATGATTAAAAATACTATATTGTATCCTTAAAATTTTGCTGAGTGGATAGATCTCATGTTAAGTGCTTTAACCACAAAAAAAAAAAGCACGTGGGAGGTGATTTTTGGAGGTGATGGATAAGTTTATGACATTGATGGTGATGACGATTTCTGGGATGTATACTTATCTACTTAACGTATCAAATTGTATACATTAAATATCTACATCTTTTTGAATGTCAATCATTCCTCACTAAAGCCGTTAATAAAAAGAAACATGATACATTGTTTACATCTTAAAATATCAAGAAATCATAAGTCATCCATTTTATGACTTGTGCTCTAGAGGTTGAAAGTAATCTGTTCCATGTCACATGGTTAGCAAGTGACAGCAAAGGAAACTAATGAAAATAACTCTTTCCATTAAACCACTCTTAAACCTTGCATGAAGTTTGTATTTGTGTAACATCTTGCCAGAAATAATTACTTTCCTTACCTATTCTCCCATAGTTGAAGTTTAAGTAAATGAAGGTTCACTTTATTGTGTTTCTAAGGATGTGTTTATTGTACTAGCCTCATGTGCCTTTTTAACCTAGGCAAAATTTTATGGGTGCTTTTTACTACAGTGTTTCTGAAGAAAGAGAAAGCATAAATCCTAAAATAATTTCACACTTTATTATATATATACATATACTTAAGTAGATAAGTATATATATATATATATATATATATATATATATATATATATGTGCATGAGTAGACAAGAGCACTTAAAAAAAACACTGTGCTTTATTGCCTTTAGCTGAAACGTAGAAACTAAGTCCCATACGGTTATATTTAGCAAGGGTTATAGATTTGATCACAGGAAGGTGAGCTAATGAGGGCCCAAGGTGATGATAATTCAGGAGCTGAGCCACAGACAGAACCTTAAAATCTCCTGAATTGGAGACCAGAGTGCTCAGTTTATTTGATGGTGACAAGGGAGTGACCTGGAGTTTGATTCATAAACATCTTTTTCCTTGGGATTGTGTAAGAAGCACATGCAGCTGAAGTCTTGGGTTAGCTGAACTCTGGCAAGGGCAGGAAAAACATCTTAGTCCTCCCTCATGTAGTTTGTTCCTTCCCTTAGGCACAATGTATATTCTGCTGGTGCTTTGAAATGAAAATAAAACCACACATTTCCAGCTACTGAAGGAGTTCCCAGAGGAAATCCAACAACCAGCATCAGGGATAGTCACATCCTAGGCGTGGCATCCAAAGTCTTCATGGAATTCAGCCTAGCCACCCGGCCTCCACTCCATCCCTCACTAACAGCCCAATGATGATTTTAAAACCTCCTCTCAACCTACATTCTCCATGTTGAGACACTGCATGTCTAGATTTGGTCCTACTTTCTTTACTTTTCCTTTTCTCCAACCCAAATGGAAAATTCTCTCAAAAAAGAAACATCATGGACCTCTAATGTCATTATGAACAGTGTATGTGTATCAGAGTGATGTGGATGGTGATGCATTTGCTTACAAAAGTTGGGAGGACAAGGGGTGTGTATGTGAGTTAGTCAACACAAGGTGAAAATACTGGTGGAAAAATCCAGCCACCTGATGACTAAAATTTCTTTAAATATAGTATCGATGACCCATGTTTCCAGGGAATTTAAAAAAGTGGTTTTCCATTGACCACACAATTCAAATTTCAAAGAATCACATACTTAAGAGTGCTTTTATGGACTTGACATGAGAAAAAGGACAGAGAGAAAGGACTAACACAGTTCAGAATGATATATAAATAGCCGAGGGACATGGTGTGTGTATGTGTGTGCGTGTGCGTGCGTGCCTGTGTGTGCGTGTGCATGCACACATGCATGCACTCTAAAACTTGTTGGCCTCAAGAAGAATATGAAATACATAGGGCCTGCCAAGATATATGGTTTCTTTTACATTACTTTATCATATTGGGAAATCTCTCTGCCTCTCCCAGCATTCAAGATACAAAGGGTTTAAAACTCAAGTTTGCCAAGAAAAACTACCATTTCCAATCTCACTCCTGTGGGGCCCAAATCAACACTACTTTCAAAGTAACTTCCCATACCCATTGCTCACCAAATATCTTTTGCTTTTGTAACATGCATAGATCACAGTTTTGGAAGCCAACATTTTCTAACTTTCTGTTGATGCTAGAGGGGAAAAGGACAACACAACCATAGATTTCCTAAGTGATTCTGAAGTTTTCGTCTGCAGTGGTTACAAAATCTTGGGACTCTTCAGCTGTTTTGTGCAATGCAAATTCCTCTTAGTCTTTCTCCAGTTATCTTTATCTTGTTGGATTTGGGTGTTCTGTATGACACGCATTCCCCATTTCCTCTTTCCTCCCTTCATTGATGAACACCCTAAAACTACTTGCCTTTTGTACTTACTCCTTGTATGCCATATTGAATTTGTGAAACTTTCTTATGGCTTTTTTGTATTCAACATTTTAGAATATATTTCTTTCTTTCAATCAGATTTTATGACTGTTTTATTTCCAGATTTTTTTAAGAGCAATTGAGGTGGTGTGGGAGGTACAGTTGATCTCTCTGAAAAATAGTCAGAAAATCCTGGTCTATAAATTTCCATTCTCCAACTTTTTTCCTGTTTTAGTCAGATTTTTTCAGGAAGTTGATCCTTGATATTTTTACCCTTACTTTAACCATAATTTAAATAAATATGTAAAGTTTTATTAAAGGATTCATTCATTTATGGAGTCCAATTATGAATTTAATTATTATTTTCTCCTCCCCAACATTCTGCTTTGAACAATTTTATCTCTTAAACCTACTGCATCTGACAAATAAAAAATTGTTTTTCTTATGCAGAGAGCCCACATCACTACAATTACTTAATATGATTATATTCTAGATACACAAATGTTACATTTACTTAGTCTTTATGACATGCTAAGAATGAATGCCTTATTCCACAGGGCTTTTTAGAGCAACAAAAATAGTTGGTAACTCCAACATAACTTTCAAGGATGTCCCAAGAGGTCCAGAGATAACCTATTGTAACATTCACGTATTCAGTTATACCACACACACAAAAAAGTTTTGAATATCTCAAGCCAAATCAACTTCAATGAGTCTTTGAATATTTTCACATTTAAATTTCTCACCTTCTTCTTTTTCATGAGCTCCACAACTACATATTCCATTGCTTATTAGAGAGCTCTTAGAGTCCCACCAGAATCTCTAACTTGGCATGAAACTGAGCTCATTTTATTTCCCTTCTAGTCCCTTATCCCAGTGAATTGTCTAATCATCCGTGAACCACTTAATCAGAAACCAGGAAGTTATTCTCAGCATACCTTTGTCCCTTAGCCCTCATGCCCTGTCATTCCCAGAATCCTAGTAAGACTACCTCTTCAGTCTTCCTCATATATGACACTCCCACTTGACTCTGCCTAAGTTAGGCCTTTGAACCACTCATCTCAATTTCAATGACCTTTTAACTCCTCTCTGTATTTACAATTCTGTCTCTTCTGCTCTACATAGTAACCAGCATGATATTTCTTTATCATTTATTTTACTGTATTATTTTACAGCTTAAAACTCTTCACTTAGAAGCTCCTCATTGCTCTCAAGTGAATTTCAAGCAATTCTTTTTATTAGATTCAGGTCCATCTATCTTTGGCCTCATTGTCTTCCATAAACATCCTCTGCTACAAACATATTATAAACCTCTTTTAATTCTTCATACCAGACCTGATCTCACACTCAAAGGTATCCAACCCTTTATATACACTGTTTCGTTTGCCTTGGGAACTCTCCTGGTGCACAAAATTTTTAACCTTTTTAATACCTACTGGCTCTATGCGTTTATTAAATAATGGTTAAGTCCTTTCTTCATGTCAAGCATTGTGCTAGGAAGTTGGGATAAAGAATCAGACACCAACTGTATTAATTCATTATCAAACTGCTATAAAGACATACCCAAGACTGGTTAATTTATAAAGAAAAGAGGTTTAATTGTCTCACAGTTCCATATGGCTGGGGAGGCCTCAGGAAACTTACAATCATGGTGGAAGGTGAGAGAGAAGCAAAGGCACATTTTATATGGTGGCAGGCATGAGAGAATGAACAAGCAAAGGGGAACAAGCCCCTTATAATACCATCAGATCTCATGAGAATGCACTCACTATTACAAGAACAGCATGGGGGAACTTCCCCCATAATCCAATAATCTCCCACGAGGTCCCACTCTTGACACATGGGGATTATGGGGATTACAATTTGAGATAAGATTTGTGTGGGGACACACAGCCAAACCACATGACCATTCTTTTGCTTCAAGAGTCAGAGTGTAGAAAAGGAATGAGAGAAAAGTATAAATAACTATGATAGTTGGTAAGCAGGAACAAAGAAAATAGCGTAAAGAAAAAATGTATGTTAGATAAAGAAATTTGGCTTTATAAATAAACAAAGCTAAGAGACACAGAGATAGAAACTGGGTGTCAAAGGTTTTACAAGTCTGAATAAACACTGCTCTTACATGCCAAAGATTAGTGCATCCTTGCTTAGGTGATGATTGGGGACCTTGTTTCATAATCACAGTATAAGCAGTTGTAGCAAATTCTGTTAAGGGTTTCTTTCTTACTTTTCTTGCTCTTTCTTTCCCTTTCTTTCTTTATTTGTTTCTTTCTCTTTTTCTCCTTTCTTCCTTCCTTCCTTCCTTCCTTCCTTCCTTCCTTCCTTCCTTCCTTCCTTCCCTCCCTCCCTCCCTCCTTCCTTCCCTCCACAATTACAATAATAGATAATCTTGGAATTAGACCAGAACTTGAGGTTATTCTACTTTATTTTTCAACAGATGTTTTCATCGTAATAAAATTCTCAACATGTGGTGTTCCAGTCTCAGCTTGAATATCTCCTGTGATAAGCATCCCCTTCAACTTCGAAGAAACAAATAATGCTGAGTTTAGAATTAAATAACATGTGTTCAAATCCTGGCTCAGTCATGGATGGATCATCAGAATGCAGCCACTTCAATTTATCTTTTGAATTGCCCCTCATGTATATTTTAGAAATGAACCCTAGATTACAGGGCTAGTGTTGAAAAATAGAGAGATAAAGTATATAAAAATTCTCAGCACCATAACTGACCATAGTAGGTGCACAACAAACAGCAGTTCCTGAAACTTTATGATGCTCTCCTCTTTGGCAAAATACCTGTTAAGATTTTACCCTTGCATGATATTTCTGCTTTCATACATAGCTAGTAGCTATAAAGTTTTCCATCTTGCTCATTAAATCTAAGACACACACACATACACACACACACACCTAGAGATGCATAAATGAGTGATTTTGGTTTGTAAAATAAAATACAGCAAATGTTATTGTTATGATTATTCAGCTGCCAGGGTGTTTTTTAATGGTACTCAGATGACAAGTGATGGAGGAAACTCTGAGGTAAATAAAATGAGATTTTGCAAACTTGTAAATGGTTCATTTAGCCTTATTCTTTAGAGAGAGAGAAGAAGCCTTCACTTTTCTCCTTCTTTAAAGAATGAATGTTAAAATACTCCGCAAAATTTTACATTCAGCAACTCATGAAGTGTTTTTTTGTTCTTTCATATATATATATATATATGTATTTCTAGGCCTGGACTCATTCAGAGAGATAGGAGAAAAAATATCGGAGTAATTCTATTGTCTTTTACAAGTCTTTACCAGTCTTTGCTTTCACTTGAAAGTTTTATAAAGATGACAACTTTATGTGTACTCTTCAATGTGGTATCAGCAGCAACCTGAACAGTGCTTTGCCTAGAGTAGTTGCTTGAGAATTATTTAATAAAATAATTCTTGTAAAATAGGCTGATATTCAAAACATTCTTAGAATGAAGGGTACCTTGTTAAAGTAAGATGCCAAAGATTTGTGCATCCTTGCTTAGGTCACGTACTTCAACAAGATAGCCTTCATTCTAAGAATGTTTTGTATAGGGTGGTGCCGTGAAACAGGAAAATAAGGGTAGTGTTCAGACACACAGGTATGTGGCTTGAATCAATTAATGCGGAAAATACATTTTTGATTGAGGAAGGGTATTAATATAATGACATGTCACTTTTTTTGTCTTGAGATAAAGGATTTTGGATAGTTTTGTTTCCTTCCCTTTGATTATCCTATGTTTATAAAGATTGGTGTTTTTAAAATATGTGTATTTTTTTACATGATGTCGATTAGAGAAGTCTTTCTCATCCCAAGAAAAATGTTCTGTCTTTCAATTTGTCATAAGTGTATTTGCAGTTGGCATTGCCTCACATCAATTTCCTCTAAAACATTTTATTGACATATACCTTGCTAAAATATCCACTTGGCCCCAGTCATCCTACTAACTTCTGAATATTTAGTTTTAAATAATCATTTTTATTGGGTGTGTGTAATACAGTTGTCCTTGGAAAACTTGATTTAAGCACATGTTAAGAAATGGTCTTGCATTGCTCTATCTAAACAATAAAATTCTCTAATTCTTTCTCTCACCCCAAGCCACCCTCATTCTTTAAAATGGTGTTGACATAAAATCCACATTGCTTCTAAGAAGAAGAAGTGGGGATGAGGGAGTGGAGTATCAAGCATTTCTTAGTAGAAAAAAATAACGTACTACAAAAATATCTTAAATTTGTGTTTTCATTATTCAAAGATACAAAAAAAGCAAAAAATTCTGATGATAATAACAAAATGTGATGTTTGTTGTTGATTATGTTAATTTTAAAAATCAATTCAACAAACATTGAATGACAAGGTTTGTGGGGCATATCGAGACAAATATATCATCATGGTCATTTTTCATGCAGTCATCAAATAGCATACTAAAGACAGAGCTATAGCCAAGCTTAATCTGGCACAAAATTGAGGGTAGTAAGACCAATAACATAAATACACAGGAGTCAGAGGAAGGAGGCTTGCCATCAGCTAAGAGCAATTATAGGATGGTTTAAAACAAAATGGTAGTTGGAGTAAATCTTGAAAGTTGGGTTCCTTTTAGAAATACAAAAGTGGTGAGGGAAATTTATAAACATATGACTTATGAAATAACATGAGTGAAGATATGAGTGCAGAAATGTTCTGGACTAGTTTGAGATTTCAAAAAAAAAGGAGTTGTTTTCAGTGGGTATAAAGTTTCAGTTATCCTAAATGACTGAATTCTAGAGATTTTCTGTAAAATATTTTTCCTGTAGTTAATAATCCCGTGTTGTGCATTTCAAAACGTATTAAGAGAGTAAATCTCACATTAAGTGTTCTTACCACCAAAACAACAACTATAAAGACAAAAACAAAGGGATACAAGGAAACTTTGTAAGGTCTTGGATATATCTATTACCTTGATTTTGGTAATGGTATCATGGGTGTTTGCGTATGTCCGAATGCATCAAACTACACATACTATATATCTGAAGTTCTTAGTATATCAATTATACCTCAATAAAGCTCTTAAAAGCAGAACCTTGAGAGAGTCTAGCATGGCATGTGGAGGACACAGGAGTATCGTGTGAAATGAAGCTGAAGGCACAGGTTCAAATGGGCCTCTGGAGTCTCGACACTCTTGGTAAACTTTAGACTTAATCATGTAGACAATAATGCACTTTGAAGGAAGTACATGCTGGAGATTTCAGAAGAAAGAGAGTTCAGAGGCAGGACAGCTATCTGGGAAGGAATTTCAACAGTGCACATGGGATGATGAAAGTTTGGACTGTGTCACATTCAATGATGGTGGGAGGAGATGATGGAAGATGTGAACCGTGGAGTGGAGGAATCAAGGAAACATCAGCAGAACTCAACCACACATTACTTTGTGTTATCAGTTGAATTGTTTCCCCTAAAAAAAGATACATTGAAATTCTAACTTCTGGTAAATCAGAATGTGATCTTATAATAAGAGTCTTTGCAGACATAATCAAGTTAATAATAGATCATTAGAGTAACCTAAATCCAGTAACCAATATCCTTATAAGGGACAGAAAAGGAGAAGACAGAGACACACAGAGAGGAAGTCCACATAAAGACAGAAGCAGATTATTTGAATGATGCATCTACAAGCCAAGAAACACCAAGGATTCCCAGTAGCCACCAGAAGCTACTAGAGAAGCATAGAATAGATTATGTCTCACAGCCTCCAGAATGAACCAACTCTGCTGACACTTTGATTTTGGACTTCTGGGTTCTACGACAAGAGAATAAATTGCTGTTGTCAAAGCCATCTAGTTCATTGTACAGCAGTGTTACCAAATTAATACAAACTATTATACCTTGGTATAAATTTTTTATCTTTGTACTCTGTCATTTGGCTTCTTTAATTTTCTACTCAGGGCCAGACTTCCATACTTCCCCCATACCGCAAAAGAAATAAAGACACAGAGTATTTTAGGTATGTAGTTAGGTTATCTAGTACCTTATAATACTTGCAATCAAAGCCCCATTGGCTCCTTTCACAACACAAGTCTGATTCAGGCCTCTGGATGGTGTCTTCCTATCGCACAAGGATGCTGGGACATAGGTTGGGTGCTGCTCGGATCCCCTTTCAGAACTAAAGGACTTTTTTCCTAGCTGCTAAAAATGCAAAGAAATGCTCTTGGATGAAGAGGGAAGCAAATGATCCTTTCAAGGGAGTCCCCCTTCCTAAGCTGCATCCAGTTATTGGTCTATGCAGGAGTATAAATGCTCAGCCTTCAGCCACAGCTCAGGACAATTCTGAAAGGCCATTCCAAATCCAGATCTATCTGTGGGGTCAGCTGAACCCTTGTCATGACAGCATCATTGCCCAACTTCTCCACCTGCCCAATTCTGCTTCTTTCTCTTACCCTACTTGTGTTGATCCCAAGAAACTCCCTAATAGATTTGCAGCACACTAGTCATCTTAGCGTCAGCTTCCTGGGGACCACGTCTGCAATAGAACCTGTGTCATACATAAAGCTCAAAGGGTCAATTATGCAATTGTGCAATTATGAAATGTTTTGAAAGTATGGCCATTCTCAAGATATTTTGATTCAGCCACAGAGAATTAGCACGTTCTCTCTGATAATCTTCATAATCATGCTTTCAGTCTATAAATGTTAACTGAGTGATTTTTTGTGGTTGATCACATGTAGAACCTAGGACTCTTGGTGTAATTAAGAAGGGGTCCTTGCCCTGCAATGGACCTCTTTTGAGATCTTTGATCACCCTTTTCTTTGAGAACTGTCCACCCAGACCACAATGGTGAAAGTTCCACTGAGGGATACTGCTTCCTGGCCATCACTGATTGCTTCACTGCTAGACACTTCACCTACATTGGACCAATCGGATTTTCCTTCACCAGTATTTGGAATTTTGAATTAAATTGCATAGAGATTGTAAGGTTTGGTTTATATTCTGAAGAGAATACTGTTTTGCCAGGATCATTTTATTTACCTAGAACCATAAAATGTGGTTATAATCTTCAGGCTTCACTTTGATTTTCTTCATATCCTTGGATATATCAAAATGTCTTCTCCATACCAGTTTATACAGGCACAAAGAACTTATTCAGATTATTCATAAAATGAACTAAAGTGTCATAACTTATAAGACCTTAGGAATGACTTAGTCCAAGAAATTTCCTTTCTTATTTTTCTTTGGCTGTGAAGTTTCTCTTTCCACACCCCCATCAGGCCCACCTCCCATCAACATGCACAGACACACACACACCACACACACATACAGTAGTACAATTTTACATGTACTTATATCATCTCTATAGTAGATATAAGCTACTCTTAATGAATAAGGAGTCAGGCCCAGGATCCTTCATAGGATCCTTCATAGTCTCCTAATGGAGACTACTATAAAAGTGCTACAGCTCTTTGGAATATACTTTGAAAAGCGAGAATATCATACATTCTTTCACTTTCCCAAACAAGGATAAAACTTCCCAGGAGGAAATGATGCCACAATTCTTGAGTGCTGAAGCCCAGACTAGAACCTAGTCTCTTCATTCAACATAGCAAAATTTATTTTCCTTTTGTTATCCTTTATTAGGCTATTACCAGACATAATAAAACAAAGCCTATTATGTCCTTCATATAGGTCAAAGACAAACATTACACAAATTTAAAACATTGATAAAATTCAAAGTCTATTTAGCCTTTAATAAAGGTTGCAAATATATCTATGTTTCTTACTTTTGCAGAATGTTCAATAAATCTACTAGTGTAAAACTCAACCACCAGAAGAAGAAAAGCAAACATATTTTAAACAAACAAAAAAAAATTGGAAAATTACCAACTGTTTCGTCTCCAAAAATAAAATAGAAACAATCCTATAACCTAGAGTAATCCCAAGTATATAGTAACATGCATGTGTTGCAATATAAAAAAGCATGGAAAGAAGATGATGGTGACAATAATGACGATGATTATAGTGGCGTTTTTCAAAAGGCTGGCTGAAGTGAAAACCAAGCTTGTGTTGTCAAAATGCTATTTGGGCTCTTAATTTATTATTATTATTATTTCAACCGCCAGCATCTAGACCCTGGCACATATAATAAGATTACCTCTGCAATCAGAAAGACTTTAAAACATTTACTAAATACCACCTCTGTTCAGTATGTGGCCCAGATATATGAACGCAGCAGCTATTTTTTGAAGCAAGTTGAAATGAGGTAGCTATATCAAAAAACCAGAATTTTATTAACAAGATGTGTTGGGGGGTAGGGAAGCTTGAGGAGCACATTTTCCCAGGATAAAAAGTATGTTGAAATCATTATTAGGATACAATAAAAAGTTGTTGTGAAAGATACTTTTTCAAGGAAGGGCTATGAGTTGAGGAGTATGTAAGATAGGAAAAGGACATGAGATTTGCAAAATTAACCTAAGTTCAATTTCTGCTTAACAGCTGAATGATCACCCCGTTTCCTGCCTTCTTTTCTCCCTCTCTGTCTCCACTCTGCTGTCTATCTCTTCATTTGCAAATGGGATATTTACTGCACAAGAGGGTCTTGAGATTTGAGCTAAAAGCGCCGCTTTTAGGTTAATCAGAGGCTAGGAGGTCTCTTTTAGATAGGGCAACCACCCATCCAAGCTTGCTGATACAGTTCTAGTTTATCTGTTATACTGATTTAAGTATTAACACTTCCTCTTTCACTGCCAAAAGCGTCCCAGTTTGGATGATAAGTTATATTGTCATCCTATTTATAGGGGATGTTGAAGAAGGGATTTATAGGTAACGAGACAGGTAATGTTATTATACTAGAATTTCAAATATGTTGGGGAAAGAAAGCCAGGGGAGAATGGTCTTTGCAAGAAAAGGACTTAAGGAAAAAAGGAGATTGTATATACTGAGATCTTTACAACAGGAAGCAGCATGGGTCTAAACCCAGAAGGAAGACATAGAAAGGACTACTGAAGGATAAAGATGTGGGGTAGAAGAAAAGAGGAAAGAGACATTTGTTGGAAAAAACTAACTGCTCTGTGATATGGAGACAAAGATAGGTTGGGAATTTGTGTTGTTTGTTCAGTGAAATAATTTCTGTTTTATAGGTTTATCAACCCAATCAAGAGAATGACCAACCCTACTCTGTAAACCTTTTGGAGACAGAATTTTCCTCTGGATGCAATGAAATTCTCAGACTTTCCTGTAAGGTTGTCCATTGTATTCAGATGACTTAGGGCTCAGAAAGAGAAATAGACCAGAGGGATTTTTATCAGTGCCAGGACTCACAGAAAAGGCATCATGATCTATAATCATGAAGAATGGAGCTATCTCTAGAATTCCATTTGGGATTTGGTGCTTCTGATATGTTCTAGCAAACAAAGCAAAGGCCAAATATGTATTTGAAGGGGCCCGAAACAAGACAGATTTTACCTAAACAGAAAAGCCTCAAAGTATAAAGGTTTAAAAGGCAGCTAACATTTTATGAACCTGCCATGTGCAAGATAATGTTTTAAGAATCTTTATGTACATACATATGGAGTACATGTGCTCCTCCAATAGCCTTTCGATATTAGGATCTAGATGCCATTACTAATTCTATTTTATAAGTGAGGATAAGGAAACAGGCCAGAGAAGAGGAATAATTTGCAAAAGTTCACATGATTAATAAAGTTAAATCATTATTCTAATTCAGGAATTCCGACTCAAAACACCAGCTTCTGTCTCTTTGTTATATTTCCTCTTGATAGAATCTACAACAGGAATGACTGCAAGAATCAGGACTATCTAGACTGAAGAAGAGAAGATTCAGGACAGACATAAGCTTTGTCTTTCAACCTCAGAAGAATTGCCATGGGAATAAAGAACTCAGGAAAAGACAAACAGAAAGCTATAGGAGAAGCATTGCTGTTCAATATGGGAAGCTCTTCCAGCTATTGAGGCTGTGGGACAGTCATCCAGGGAGTCTCCACAGGCCGACACTGAATGTGAAAATTGCCTGTCAAGGATGCAGAGATAAGCATTTTTCATTGAAAGAAATAATGTACACTTTTAACCCCCAAATTCTCAACTCTTAAAAAAATCCCAGAGAGCTATGATTTCTACAGATTCCTGTGATGTCTTCAGTAGGGAAAAAAAAAAAAAAAGAAGAAACATACTGGTAGACAAAATAAATATTCAACCAGTCAAATGCAGCATTGGCACTGAATATGGCTGCACAAAATGGATCATTTTGTGATTTCCCCCATTCTGGTTTCTGTCACCTTCTCAAACAATGTTTTCTAACCCTAGATTCTGGCAACAACTAAAATTAAATCATTACAGAAAGAGAGCTCTATATGTTTAGTTAATAATCTCTTTCAAGAAAAAACTCACAAATTTCCACAGATGCCTTTGGCAACACAATTTGGAATTATGTACCCTTTACAGTAATGTTCTTACTTAATGTGTAGCTGGATTTCACCAAACTCACTCTTTGTCCTAGGATTGCGTGTCTGCTGTGTGCTGAAATTAGTAGTAGAGATAGTAATGTGGGGAGTTTCCTCCCTTAAGGAGCTCACAGTCTCCTGAGGAAGAAGGGCACGTCAACAGGCCCCAAAAACACATGTAATAAGGGTTGTAAAAACAGTAAATACAAAGGCCTGTAAAATATCATCTCATCCTAACGAGGGCATGTTGCTATTACTATGGTGAGAAAAAAATTGTATTATAAAGACCAAGATGCTGTAGTGAAGAATCTAAATCTGAGTCCCAAGGACCACATCACAAAGAGGCAGGCAGTGACTCAAACCTGGCAAACAACATAGAGTCAAACAGGCTGTAGTCCTGTCCTGCTCCTTATTAGTGGGTGATTGGACAGAGTGTTGGCTTGAGAGAACTTGCTGTTCTTTCAGTGAAACGGAGTGTCTTTCTGCCCAACACCTCAAAACAGATGCAAACAGCATCCACACCAAACAAATAACTGTATGGAACCTTCCCAGAATATTTTTTTCCTCCTTACTTAGAGTGGTGATGTGGAATTCACACTACATTGTCATAACAATAAAATAATAATAATAACAAACTCCTGGATTTGATTCCAGCTCAGTCCTTAGTGGGTGATGGAAGGTGGGCATTACAATGAAACACTGTAAGTCTTTATTTACACACCTAGAAAATGAGAATTGTTATCTGATCCACATTTCTCAGGGTTGTTGGTAGGATTTAGTGAGATGCTGTCCATAAAACTACTTTCTAAACTGGGAAATATTGTCCCAGCAGTGAGACGGTACAATTGATACAAAACTAACTGTTAGCATTGTTCAAAGAAAAAGTCTGGTTTGAGAAAGCAGTTAATTACTGTTAATGAGGATCATATTCATAACAACTTTTTAACAGAATGAAATTAGTCACCAATCTCAAGATGCCCCCCTTGTCACACCCTATCATATCAGTCCTTGATTTCTGTGGTCACACTTTTCACTACTTGATGTTTCTTGTTTATTATTTTGCTGTGTTTACTTGCCTGCATTAGAACATGACTGCCTCATAAGTGCTGACCCTATCATAGTCAGTGCTCCATTCCCAGTGCCTGAAATAGTCATGATCATGGAGTAAGCATGTCATGTGTGATTATGGAGTAAATACATAGGTGCATTCATAAACAGACTGGATACGAAAGTCACTTGGAATTAGTCACTTTTACATTTTAGGGTCTGATTTTCTTTTTCAAGAAAATGAGATCATTGGACACACAGTTTTTTAAGAACCCTTTAAATTATAATAATAACACACCTAAAAGTCAGATAAACAAAATAAAATTGATTTTTCCCCAGAAAGAGTACATCAAAAAGTCCAAAATAAGTTAAAACCCAAATTTTAACTAAGAAACTAAAACAGTACCAGAAGCCTCTTGCATTTCTTTCTTTGTCCTCTCATTTACCTCTTTCACTTCTGTCCATGCCGTCACTAATCCAGTGACTGGATTCTAACAAGATTTAGAGTAGAGGCTGCATGTGAACAAGGCCCACTGGAACCAGGACCTGTGATGAGATTTTCCTCCTTAAGGTAGCTCTTATGTGCCATCTCACTTCCTTCTCCATTCTTAGTTATCTGCTGAATTCCCAAGATGTGAAGAAGAAAGCACTATCACTGGCTTGAAAGATTTCAGGGTCTAGGATGGAAGACAAGAATGGAAGAGATAAATGCAACAAAATACATACATGTGGCACCAAGGAGGAACAGAGAAGGGTCAGGAGGAATCCAACAATGCTCTCCAATAAAGATAACCCCTGAAAATAGACACTACATGAGCAAAGCCACAAAAACTTGAAGCGGCATGATGAATTCCACAGCATGATGAATTCGAGCAGGTGCCTATGAAAAGAGGAGACAGTCAGAGGTGGGTTGTGGTAAGACACAAAAAGGGGATAGATTTCTCACAGTCTACCCCACTATCTGAGATGTTCTGACAACTTTCACTACCTGATCCAGTTCTTGGATTCCTGTGAAACTTCTAAGTATTTTGCCTTGTCAGTCCCACCCATTCTACCATCTTTGTTCATGAACTCTCTATGTGAACACAGATTCTCCTGGTTCAATTTACAGTCCAGTCCCTCTACACCATTAATGAAAAAAACAAGTAATTGTTGCCAGGACAGAAAACCAATTTGAATTAACCTAGGCAAGAAGGAAGTTGTTTGTCTTTATCTTATGTAACTGAGAAGGATAGTAGTTGAACTGGGAAAACTGGAAAAATCATTTTTCCATGAAGCCCCTATCAGTTTTCAGGATTAAATCTTCTCTGATTTAACACCAAAGAAAGAAAAGAGAGAGAATTTCTTTTCCTCCTACTTTCAGTTTTTTTGTTTGTTTGTTTGTTGTTGTTGTCATTTTTAAGGTACAGTCAAGAGTCCTGGTTGGTTCAGCTTAAGTTACATATTCACCCTCTAAACCCATTGCTTGATGAGTGAGAGTCTGGTTTTAGTCCAAATTGTTTTGGGAACCCAACTTTGGAGGAGTCTCTGTGTTCCATAACATTTCTTCTAGAGCACTTACTATCTAGGGAAGGGAAGGTGGGAGTTGAAGCAGAGGAGGAATGTTTGAATGGTTGCTCAAAGAAGAGAGGAGGATAGCAGACGTGGACACTAGTACTTGAGCTAGGAAACCCTCCTAATTTGTGTCACCTCATTGTCCCTTCCAACTCCCATCAACAGTTATTGTCTCTGTTTACTTTTCTTATAGTGTGATCCGTGCCTCACAGACTTTAAACCCTATACATTTACCTTGAAAATGAGTCTAAATATGGCTACTCATCTGGGAATCTGGAAGAAAAAAGACTTACAATATAAAAAGGGATGTCAGAAGCCCATGCAAATGTTAATACCGTGGGTCTTCACAGAACCTATTCCTGAGACTCAGAAATTTTACTAAATCTTAATGAACATATATCACTGACTTTGTGCCCCACAATGAATGAAGAGAAGACCACCAGAACTGTGGATGGGGAAGCAGAAAGGGACATTACTTCGAGGCAGGCACAGACATTGAAAGACAGGAAGAAACCATTTGAAAAAGTAGAAGCATCTGATGCCCTTAGTGGAAAAGTAAATAAATCTAGACCCCTCAGGACGGCTCTGAGAGTATCACTATGGGTCCAGGACATCGCTACTCTCACTGCAAGAGTGAACATGCAGAGAGATTAGGCTCTTGGTTCCAGAAGAAGCACCTGGGACATCCCTTTTTCCAGATTATAGCATCTGTGATGGCTCTGATGATACTCCCCCATACATGTCAGGGAATGTATGTCAGGGAAGCCTTCTCTGTAGGGAAACACAAGGTCAGACTTGCTTATACTCGAGTTCAGACCAGGTTTTTGGAGTCAGGTGGGTGTGTGTAGATATTTTTAAGCTACAAGACTCAGTGTCACCAAAAGAGCCAAACAGCTAGCCTTTCTTCTAGTTTCCAGAAGACACGTCAGTGTACAGGTTTGAGTGAGGAGTATGTTCCCTTGGCCATCATCCCAGGCCCCTCTATGGCTCTGCCAGAGTTGGGATGCGTGGGAGGACACAGCTCATTGTGGCAAACCTCAGCTCCCTGGCATGTCTGACTCTGGCAACCACCAAAGGTTAAAATAATTTTAATAAAGTCTTAATGAGCAGCCCAAAGCCTCAGAGTTATTCCTGGGTCAATGGAGTTTAAGGCAAAATTCTGGCATCAGTCCATTTGTTAGAACCATTTGCCATCATGGTTCATGCTATCCACTCATCTATGAAATATTTGCAGAACACTAAAATGAGTATTTATAGTAAGTATACCAGGGATCACCATGTGCTAAGAACTGTGCTAAGCACTTTGCTGACATTATTTCATTTAGTCCTCAAAATAAAGCTGTGAGGTAGGTCTGATTATTACTCCTGTTTTACAGATGAGCAAACTAAGGCTTAGCAAGGTGAAGTCATTTTTCAATAGTTACCTGGAGAATAAATGACAGTGAGTAGATTTAAATCCAAATCTAAACAACTCCTTTTCAGGGAAAAGGCCTGGGAAAGAAAAAAAAAAAAAAAGAAGATGAAAAAAGATCTAACCAATTCCAAGCTTGTGTGTTTTCATGCTATGTATGTAACACAAAGTCCTCACATATGAGTCAGGCCCCATGTTAAATATGGGGACATAGAGATAAATAAAATAATGTTTCTATCCTCAACCTTTTCATAGTCTAATAACATAGACAAATAAGTAAATAATTACAATACAGTAGCTTATGAATAATGTCCTATGCAAATCTTGGGAGGCTATGAAAATACTGAGGAAAGGCAGTTAATCTGGTTTAGAGGATCAGAGAAGGTTTCCTAGCAGGGGTGATTCAGAATGGGATTTAGAAGAATGGGTAGGGCTTAGTCATTTGGACAAAGCAAGAATGGAGTGATCAGGACATGAAGAATCAAGAATTTGATATATTTAAGAGACTTCTGGGTAGTGCAGTAATGCTCAAATTTACATTAGGCAACAGGAAACCAGGAAAGGAGTTTATTTGGGGAGAGCTGATAGCTGCATATCCAGAGGCTCACTCTAGCAGCACCTTGGGCCCTGGGTTGGCAGTGGAGAGCCAAAGGCTAGAACCCCAGTGAAGAGCTGGGCAGGCATGTGTACTCTGTCTCTTTTGCCATTGATGGGCACATTGTTTGAGAACTGGCGCATGTGGCCATTTGTTTTCTATCTGTTCCTTCATATCTTAGGGGTCCTAATTAGTCTCCTGTAGGTCCCTGCAAAGCTATTCAGGCATAGAAACTGAAAAAAAATCCTAAAGTTTGTGATTTTTTTTGTGGTTACGGCTGATTAAAACCACATTTGACAAAGCGTAAGGAAGAAAATACCCTGTACTTGACGGCAGCATGTCAGAAGGGACATGAACGATTAGGTGCCTTCCTCTGCATTACGATATCCAATGCTGATCCAGAAACTGGCCTGCTGGAATTCCTTCTGATGCTGGACTATAAGGAAAGATCATCATGAGTCACAGAAAGCCTCTACCTAACCCCTTCTCACTCTGTTGGGACAGTTAAGCAATCCATATCTTCTGGTGAGCTGATGCCTTTCTTCTCCCCTAACTGCTATGAGTGTGGCAAAGTTTTACATCCTGCTTTGCCTCCAATAGGGGAAGAAATATAGTAAATCACTTTAGAGAAAAAAAGGCTGTTGTGATTAATTTACGGGAAAAGAAAGGTTAAAGAAAATATGCAGTGTATAGTTGGACAAAGTGTTAAAGAAAACAACAGGGAAGTTTGCAGATTTGGGGGACAGCCCTAGGGTGATGTTGAGGAAAGTGGTACAGGTGATTGGAAATAGAATTCACAGGGAAAATAGTGAGGAACTAAGAAGTATTGCCTGCCTAAAGATGAGGATTGTACATATACATTGATTTTCTTATTCCTCATAGTAATATTGTGAGAGAAGTATCATTAAGCTCTCTTATGGGAAAAAAAACATTCAAAAGAATTGAATTGTTAGTCAAAAAAACATGCAGCTGTTAAATAATGCAAGTGGGATTTGAACTCAGGTCTGTTAGACTCCTAACCCCTTGTTTCTGAACTTACCACATAAGTGAATGAAGTATATTTTTGTGGTTAGTTAATCAGAAGTAGACCATATAATTTGATTAGTCTGATTTTAATACTTTAATATTATTCTAATTGTGGAAGCAGAATTTTAGACCTTACTCTGTAGCTCAACCACGTAAAACAGAAATATCATTAGGAGATTCACTCAACAGGGAAATCAATCATACCCCATGCCTCCATACCCCTATCCTAAGAATGATCCACCTAATCTTTTGAAAAAGTGTGATAAAAAGTGTCATATTGTCCTGAGTTTAAATTATATCTTTCATTTTCAAGCTGAATGAACTTGATCACATTATATTTTGTTTTCCCACTTAACTCAGTTATTTCATCTGTAAAATTGAGATATTTTATACTTCACAAGTCAATCATTAGAATTAAATAAGATAATTTTATTAGAAAGAAATGGCTAGTATAGGGTCTGGCATACAGTAGGTGCTCAATAAATTCCTCGTGACTTTAATGTCTGTTAACAGGATTAAATGATGACTATGTTATTGCAATTATATTATCACTATTTCCACTGCTGCTATTACAGTTGCTGTGTCTAAAGTTATTTTCCTTGAATAAAGAAATTCTGTTGATTACTTCTAATGAAAATTGAATATCTTTCTTTGATTCTCCCCTCCCCCACACTCCTTTGGCATTTTTCCATGGAAACAGAAGGAGACTGTTGGAAAAGAAATACACACACACACACACACACACACACACACACACACAATTTTGACAGCCAAAATGGTGGAAGGCATCTGCCAAAAATCTACAACTTTATGCCGGGGCAAACATGTGACTTAATTTTCTTCCACCAGGATGGATTTGTGCTGTCACAGCAAAAATTGATCTTCTGTTTGTGGGAAATTATACACAGTTTGTTCTTGTCTGTGCTGGGGGAAAATTCAAGTCCAAATCCTTGCTTGAAAATTCTGGCAAATGTTTCCTGCTTCATATCTGTGAATTTTTTTCTCCCACAAATGTTTATTGAACAACTACTATATGTCAGGCATGGGTCTAGTCATAAGAAATATAACATTGAGCAGAAGCATACCTAACCCTTGTCTTTGCAAAGCTTCTGGCTCAGGGAGATTGGTGGTGGGATAAATATAAATCAAACACTCATTTAAATACATGACTGGAGCTAGAATAAAAAGCACAAGTAGGACTTAAATAAGTGAAGAGAGAGGGAAGAATGTTTTTGACACAGTAACATAAGCTAATCTATTCTCTTCCTTACTCATAAGAAATGCTATAAATTATAGAGAATAAAAGGTTGACAAACTAAGGAGGAGTAATATGAGTTAGGAAGGGAGTGTAGCTCTGATGTGTGACCTGGAAGCCCATCCTATTATTGTCATTTATAGCTTAATTCAATCTCTCTGAACTTCAGTTTTCTGATCTCTGAGATGGCCCTTCAAGTCCCCAAATAACTAATATATATGTACACAAATCTTCTCTTTCTATCTACACAGCTCTCCATATCTCTGCTGCTTTGTTAACTCCTATACACCTCTAAGGTTTTCTTCTAAATGCCTCTTCCTCCGGAAAGTTTTCTTTGACCTTCCCAGACTAAGGTAGATCCTTCGGCTATATAACCTGATAGCACCATGAACTTTTTCTTCTGGTACTTACTATACTGCTAATAAAACGTTTTTTCATGTATATAATTGTTTAATGTCTGTCTTTCCCACTAAACCTTATGAAGACAGGGATCTCACCTGCCTTGTTCATCAGTGTACTCCCAGTTTCAGACACAAGTTTGGGCCTCAATAAATATGTTTGGAGTGAACATTGAATAAAGCCTTTAACACATGCCTGGTACAGAAAATGCCAGTAAGTGGATCTTCCTGTTGTTGTTACATTGCTTGATGTCAGTGGTACAGAATAACTTAGCATAATAAAAATCTCGGTCAATAATAATAAAGGTTAACTATGACTTAGGTTCACGATGATGGCTTCCTTTTCTCTTGAAGTTCTCAACTTTTCTACCTTAGTTACCTTCTCAGAGGCAAACGCTACCTGAACTTCTGCCTTTTTTACTGTATTATCTTGCCTCTCCTTACTGCCCAATGCTTCTTACCTCTGAGTAGACTCTGAATTTCCTGAAGGCAGAAACCACCCTATCTGTTCCAATACTCTAAGTGTTTGGCTCGATAAACTTGTGACAGGGAGTGTGAGTTATCCAAACTCACCAGTAATTATAAACTGCTATGCCTGTGCACTTGCCCCACACTTTATAGCTTCCAAACACTCAATTAATCCTCACATTATGCCCATTTTGTCGATAAAGGAACTGAGATCCACTGATGAAACTAAAGCACCCATACCAAGTCTCATTGCAAATGATTTAAACTAGGAATCTTAAACCTAAATGCCTTGGAGGACCAGGCAGGTGCTTAGGTGAAAGTAGTGTTCTGGATGATGGTGTGTAGGTGGGAAGGAAGGTGGGATCAGAGGACCCACATTTGAAGACAAGTGGTTGTTGTCAGTCGCTGGCAGGCCAAGTTGCCAGATACTCATTTTTTTAAAATGAGAAATCTGGATTTTTATGTGAATCTTACCACTTTCCAATGTTGGCTTCTGATTGAAATTCTTTTAAAGCACATTGCAGTCCAAACAAAACAGCCACGGGCTGAACTTAGCCCCTGGACCACCAGTTTACAAGCTATGATTTAAATTTTAGAATCTTCAAAAATACTTCATATTGCCTTTCACAGTGGGGAGAGTCTCAGAGCTGGGTGACCCTGAGACTCAGTGGTGGCTCCTAGGTTTAGGCCACTGACTAGCAAAATGACAGAATATAGTAGACATTTAAATGTGCTGACCTGGGAAAATTAGAAGCATATTGCACCCACTCTTAATTTTTAAAAATTGTTGTAGTCCATGAAATCCAGAAGTCTGGAAACCAGTGGTTTAGCACAACACCCCTGTTCTATGGAAGAAAAGACAAAGATCCAAAGATGTTCATTGGATGAGCCAAGCATCAAGTCCAGGAGCACTCACCTCCTGTGTGAGGCATCTTGCTTTTCACAGATCTCAGCATTTTCAAGAATATTTACCTTCTGGGTCAGGCACAGTGGCTCACGCCTGTATTCCCAGCACTTTGGGAGCCCAAGGCTGGATGATCACTTGAGGTCAAGAGTTCAAGACGAGCCTGGGTAACACAGTGAAACCCCGTTTCTACTAAAAATACAAAATTAGCCAGGTGTGGTGGCATACACCTGTACTCCCAGCTACCCAGGAGGCTGAGGTGGGAGACTCACTTGACCCTGGAAGGTTGGGACTGCAGTGAGGCAAGATTGGGCCACTGCACTCCAGCCTGGGTGACAAAGTGAGACGCTGTCTCAACAAAAAAAAGAAAAAAAGGATATTTATCTCCTGTATGCCATCTCCTTAAGGGCAGGAGCCCTTGCCAGTTGACATCACTTGAGCAGGTGTGGCAGATGCTTTTTCAGTACTTATAGCCCAGGTTCCTTCTTCATCCCCTCCTGTGAAGCCCTGCTTAAAGGTTCAAAATTGTACTGTGTTGAATTAAACTAAATGTCGGCTTCAGGATATCTGTGTATTTGAGTCTTTATGTGCAAAATGTTGACTAGCTGAAAAACTAAAGTAGGAGTAGCAGATTTAAGAGTAGCTGAAAGCGTGATTTAGGAGTAGCTGACTTAGGAGGTGCTCAAAGCCTGACTTAAGAGTAGCTGGTTTAGAAGTAGCCAAAAGCTCCTACTGACTTAGGAGTTGCTGAAAGTGTGACTTAGGAGTAGCTAACTTAGGAGTAGCTGAAAGCCTGACTTAGGAGTAGCTGACTTAGGAGTATCTCAAAGCCTGACTTGCCACAAGTGGCTGAGTCTCTGTCAATCCCAGCAGTCAAGCCCTAGTCAATGGCAGGTTAGCTAATTCAAACAAAGCAAAATGCCAAGTTGTAACCAATTCAGCTGTCTCTATACATCACTTTCATTGAAAGTCCATAGTGATCTATGTTGCAGCCCCCAAATTTTTTAAACTTGCTGCCCAGTTCTAGAATTGTGAATAAAAGCCAATTCAAATCTTTAAACGAAACTTGTTTTAATTTTGTTTTTTGACAACCGGTAACCCACATCTTTTACAAGGACTCCTCAAATCCCCTCAGTTAAAATGATGGGGTGTTTTTTTCCTTCCCCGTACTCCTAAAAGGTATGTCTGCCTTTCTGTTATAACTAGAGCCTTGTGGAAGAGTTATTTTTGACTTACCTGTTTCCACAGAAAGATTGTGAGCCAATGGTGGGCACACCCGTGTGCTGTTCAACTCTGCCTCCCTTCCACAGACATGAGCTCAGCACCTTATCTGAAGAAGTTACTTTAAAATACTTACAGAAGCACCTGCTTTTTAAGGGCCTAGTATAGAACTGGCACATAGTGGGTGCTTAATAATGTCTTTTGATTGCTACTCCCTTTTAGAACCTAACACAGTTCCCTGGATGTGCTAGACACTCACTAGAATTTTCTGAATGAATGAATGAATGAATGAATGAATAGGAAAACACAGCCATTGTCAGGCTAAACACAGATCCTTTTTTGAAAAACTCCAGGGAACTTCCAGAGAGTTATAATCTCAGTTCGAATGCCCCCATTGTGAAGTTTGAGTGGTTGTTTGGTGCCAGGTGGTCTCTTGACAGTTGTCTGGGGTGGAGCTGGGACCAGGCTGAGGCACCTCAGAAGGCCTTCAGTCCCGGGTTGCAAGGCCCTGAGGCTGTCCTTGTGGTCATGAGAGGGAGTGCCTCACTTGCCCTACGGCCCCATCCCAGCCCGCCTGAGGTTTGTTGCTGGCCTCTGCCTTTTTTTGTTAGGCAGCATAACAAAACACCACTGACTAGGTGGCTTGAACACTGGAAATTTATTTTCTCACAAATCAGGAGGCTAAAAATCCAAGATCACAGCGTGTGGGAACTTGTTCCCCTTCTCTCTGTGTCTTCACATGGTCATTCCTCGGTTTTCATGCTATCTGTGCCCTCATCTCCTCTTCTTATAAAAACACCAGTCACGTAGAATTAGAAACCTCCAACAATTTACTTTAGTGACCTCATTAAAGGCCATATCTCCAAATATATGGCCCCATTCTGAAGTACTGGGATGGGGAGAGTGTAGGACTTCAATACATAAATTTGGGGGTGAGGGATCAAATTCAGGGCATAACAGTGCCCTCCCCCGCCCCACCAAGCACCATAGCTAACAACTTGTTTTGATCTCTTTGAGATGGTTTCTACCTTGGGACATTTGCAGTTGTAATAAAACCATTAGCAGTGTCCATAAAAAGCCAGTTAATGCAGACTTTTATGCAACTCAATAGTACTTGCCCCCACAAGAGATAACAAAATCCCTCTTCTTGTCATCCACCCTTCTACCAGGCCATCACCCATCTGCACGTCTATATCCTACCTACAGCATCAGGCAAAGAAAATTTAGTATGAGCTAGACATCTCTGATTATGATATATGATTATTTGTGATGCAAACAGACAAGAAAAGGGGAGAAAGGCCCAGAATCATTTATGTTGCCCATAAAACACAGTTACAGACACTACCTAGGTTTAAGTGCCCATAAATTCCTGTAAAAATGACTTATATTATAATGACTCCAGAAATAACTAACTGAAGGATGACCAAATATTTAATTCACTGGTGGAGGTTGTCTGTGGATTGTGGAAGGTTGGAAGAGAAAGAACTCTTTACTGAGATCATATTCAATTTAGATAACTACTAACTATGTTAAAAATCAAACCAAAAAAAGAAAACCCTGCTTTTTTTAAAAGTATAAGAACAGAATAGGGAACATTGTGAAGTTGAAGATTTATAGCTCTATGCAGTTCAGAATATTCCAGAAACGTGTTGGCATGCTTTCTTAGGACATGCATTATAACTCCAGTTGCTCAAGTAGTTCCTGGAATCTCCCCTGTCTTTCCTAGCACTGGAATCACCGCCTCAGTGCTGTTGAGCCTGCCACATTTTGGCAGGAAGGATGGAATGAATTAGGAGGAGAGTAAATACAGTTTGAGATGAGAAGAATGGCAAAAAGCAGGACATATTTGTTGGGTCAAGAAGCTATGCCCTTGGAAGGATCAAATCATGCAGGCTCCTTATCTTACAACTTTGTTTTGAAAATCTTTAGGTTGCTGTGCTACTCTGAGCAATTTTCTAAAATGTATTCTATTTTACTTTATGTTTTACCAGTCCTTTCTTAAGTTGTGTTTAAAACTGTCTACTGACTTCATATATTTCAGATTATAAAGTTAATTTTCAGACTTTCTGTTCTTTTTAGAAAATTTATTTTGCTTTTATAGTAGTTTTTCATAATTATTTCTATCTCTATTTCTTGGAACGTATAAATCTTACATATGAGCATATATGTTTATATAATGTATATAAATATAATAAGTATTATATAATGTAGCATATACTAATGTGTACATTATAAATGTATATGTATTTAATTTAAACGGTTTTGTTATCTCATATACTTGGGGTTGTTACCTATTCTGTTTGCTGTCCTTTATAGTGGGTTATTTCCACACGTGATTTTTAATATTCTTGTTGACCTCATTCTATATGAAGGTTTTGTGTGTGTGTCCAGGCAGGGGGAAAATTCTAACAGTGGAGCTCTGAGTATAGGGGCCAAGTCTAGTTCTGCTCAAAATTTCCAGCAATTATTTAGAGAAGGATAATTAATATCACTTACCTGTTCTGAAATGAAGATTGTATAGCAAGCATAGTTAATACCCTAGACTAGAGTCAGGGTCCCAGAAGATTCAATGGGTCAAGTTTAACCAGACATGGGAAAATCGGATACCATGCTCCAGTGATGAAAAGCCACCTACCATTTACTGAACTGGCCAACTTCCTTTCTCCCCTTGGCATTTGGCACATAGTTACCTTCATGGTCTACCTCTTCACTTTTTAAAAATAAATAGGTCAGACAGTACAAGAACGGATTTCCTGCATTCATAAAATGAAGTTAGCCCTTCGCGTTAACATGGTTAACTGTTGCTAGTTCTTCAGGTCTAATTCTCAATGTCATTTCTTCTGGACAGTCTTCCCTCTTCACTTTCCTCAAGACTGGAATGAATATCCTTCCTCTATGTCCCCATGGTATCCTACACTTTCCTCCATCATGGAGTTCATTACGGCACTGATGCTTTCTATCTCTCCCGCGATTCAGTAAAATTCTTAAGGACAAAGATTACATGTTTAAAATAATGCTTTTTAAAATAGCCATAGTATCGGACACTCACTATATGCCAGAAAGCTGCAATAAGGTTTTCACATATATTTTATCTTTCATAACCTACAACAAACTTACAAAGTCACACATTTTTATCTCTGCATTAAAAATGGTGAAAAGGAGGCTCAGAAGTCAAGAAACTTTCTCAAGATGATTCAGTTGATAACTGGCAGAGCTGGGATCCAAATCAAGATCTGTCTCCAAAACTTGTATTCTTAATAATGTTATATATGTGTGTATATATATATATATATATAGCCAAATAATATCTATTCCCCCACTGCCTCTAGCATGGTATAAAATGCATATTTAGTGAATCAAATCATGTGAGCTTTTGGGTGCTGAAATTTAAAAGAAAAAAAAGAAAAAGAAAAAAAAACCTTTCTAAATGGAAGGGAGAAAGGGGGAAATACAATGTTCTGATTATATATTGCCGCATGTGAAACTACCCTCAAGTCTTAAAAAACAGCACTTCTACTACAGCTCATAATTTTGTAGGTCAGAAATTTGAGCAGTTTGGCTAGGCAACTCCTCAACTCCATCTAGCCCCACCTGGGGTCACTCAGTGGTATTCAGCTGATGGCTGGGCTGGTCTGGAGGACACCTTGGTGGGGAAGTCTGAAAGATTGGGTTCATTCAGATCCCTTCTTTCTCTTTCCATTAAGTCTCAAGGTGCTTCTGTGTGGTCTCTCCTGCAGGATAATCATATTTTCTACTTGGCAGTTGCAGACTCAAGGTGAAATCTATCAGAGTTCTTCAAGGCTGGACTTGGAATGGGCACAGCATCACTTGTTTCTAGGGGAGGAAAATGGACATGCATCTCAGATGAAAGAATGTCAAAGAATTTGTAGCTATCTTTATTTTACTACCTACGGTGAATTAAATGACAAAGGAGAGCTGTGCAGTAAGAAGAGACCTTTGAATTGAGGATCCGCAGGGCTTCTCTCTGGGCTATATCAGGTCCCTCATTATATTTTCTCACAGCCCTCTGATCTTCTACAGTCTTCATCACCGGGTGTGTAATATGTTCCATTTGACATTACTTGATTAGAGTCTGTTTTCTTCTCTGGACTGTTGGCTCCAAGAGGGCAGGGAACATTTCCATTCTGTATGCCACTGTACACTCAGCAGTCAGCACAGAGACTGACACACAAAGGGAACTTAAAACACAGTTGTTGGGTGGGTGGATAGATGGGAAGAGGGATGCATGAATCGTTCTTCTAGCCACTGAACTGGATGGCTATGCTTCAATTCATTCTTTGTCAAAAAATGATCTTTGAGGTTTCTCTTAGCCCTGACATTCTGTAGTTCACCACCTGAGGCATATACAATGACTGGAAGGAAAGCATGAGCCAATGATGGGATAAGGCTGCCAAGAAAGCTAATGGGATCTCAGGCTCTTATGAATGAGATTGCTGAGTCCAGGACAGTGTCTGCTGCACAGTGTTCTGGCCTCTAACTGGAAACCACCTCTGCTTCTGGGCACAGTACTTTTAGAAAGATAATGACAAAGTATAAGCTGTCCAGAAGTCACTATACTGGTAGGTGAAGGGCCTAGATGTCGTAGAGAAGTTGAAAGCCTCAGGATTATTTTTCCATAGAAGAAAAGTCCTAAGGCTCATCACAAATGTATTCAAATGTTCAAGTGGTAGCCTCAAGGCAGAAGCTGACTTCCTCTGTGTAAACCCCAGACTGCAGAACTATGACTGATGAATGAAAGTTATATGAGGAGAAATTTTGGTTCAACAGAAAAAAATTTATAAGCAAGAAGTTGCTTGATAAATACTGTAAGGTTTAAAGGAGGCATGCATCCTCAAACACCAGAAGTATTCAAGAAAATAGTCTCAGTGCCTAAATACACAGGCTAAAGAGAATCAAAACACAACTAATGATTGGAAAAGATGGCCCATGCTGCTAAAGTACAAAGCTAGGTGGTATTTGTGGATTTGAGGCCAGAGGACCAGGGTTCCAACTACATCTCTACCACTTTGACATGATGTTAGGCACATGACTTTGTCTCTTAAATAAGAGACTCCTGAGAATTAAATAGAATCATGCATATAACTACCTAGTATATCAAGTAGGAACAGAGTAGACTTGTAATGAATGGTAGGTTTTTTTGTTTTGTTTTGTTTTGTTTTGAGACAGAGTCTCACTCTGTCACCCAAGCTGGAGTGCAGTGGCATGATCTCAGCTCACTTCAAGCTCCACCTCCCAGGTTCACGCCATTCTCCTGCCTCAGCCTCCTGAGTAGCTGGGACTACAGGTGCCCGCCACCACGCCTGGCTATTTTTTTTTTTGTATTTTTAATAGAGATGGGGTTTCACTGTGTTGGCCAGGATGGTCTCTGTCTCCTGACCTTGTGATCAGCCCACCTTGGCCTCCCAAAGTGTGGGATTGCAGGCGTGAGCCACTGTGCCTGGCCAATAAATGGTAGTTTAAAAAAATTATTTCTGTTAGTATTATTACATGAAAGGAAAAAGAAAGGAGAAAGAAAGCATTTCCCAACATCTGCTTTAAGCCAAACCATATATATATATATGTTTATGGTTTGGCTTATATACATATATAAACTTCTTTTCCTATTTACAAATTCTCCATTTGCAAATGAGAAAACTGGGACTCAGGGAACAGAAACAGTTCACCCAAAGACACACATATAGGAAGCGGTAGAGAAAAAATTCAAACCCTGATATTCTAACCACAGAGTCCAATTTCTTAATAAATCAGTCTGTATAGCACTCTACAAGTATGCCTTCTTATCCTAATAACATCATTTTCATTAAATGTTACACAAGCATTTGTCCTGTTTTCTCCACTAAGCCAGAACCTTTGTAGGACAAGGACTTTTTCCATATTTTGTTTGTATTCTGTGTCTCTAAGTAAGTCCTTAAATGCCTGAAGGGTCTTAATATTTCTCACAAACTGTAATTTTGCTGCAAATTTCTTTCTAGAGAAGATAATTCCTTATAATATTTATTTGGGGCTGTTGGTTATTAGGCATTGAAAGCATATTCTCCAAACCATAACTATTTTAATATTTTGAGGGTCATTCTCACTCTGTCAACCCAATCTGAGTATGCAGATATACCTCCCTCCAAGTTGATCTGTCTGTGCTGCCAATTCAAAGCCTGAGCAATTAAAGGTAATTTAAGGGATGCCAGCTTGCCTATTGCTAATCATGTGAATTTGGGCAAGTTATTTAACAGCCATAAACTCCAGTTATCTTATTTGTAAAGTATTTATTATAAGCTGTCTCGTAATAATTTTATGAAGATTAAATGAGATAACACAAGAGAGGTAAAACTGTGCTTTGCAAATTTTTTTATTTTCCTTCTGGGCACATAAGTAGTTTTTATTGCCCAGGCTCTTTATATCTAAGTAAGGGCATTGGTACCTAAATCTAGCCAAAAGAATGGGGCAGTTGTGACATAGGCCATTTCTTCCCCTGGACCTCAGAACTTTCTACCCACTAATCCTTCCCTAGTTATCAGTTAGATGTTTAAAAAAAATCCAGGGAAGGACTCTAAGGTCCTGGAAGAGGTCTGAGATGAAAGATGTCACTCAGATAGAGAAAAGCTGCTCCAGCCATATTGGACTGTGATCACTGTACATAAATGTTTTTTTGGGGATTGTTTACTACAGCAACTAGTATTTCTTGCCCCCTGGCTTACACAACTAATAAATAAATGCACCTAGCATGGTATCTGCCACATAATACTTTATCATTGTTTGCACCCTTATTTTTCCTCTCATAATTTCTTTATTTTTGGCATCTTGTGCCAAAATAAGAACAGTTTCAAATAGCAATACTATTACAATTTATAAAGCTTCTCATCTCTATACACAAATATATATATTTATTTGAATCATGCAACTTCCTAGAACTGGCATGAATTTATTGCCTTCATCTGCAATTAAAGAGACTCAGTTAAATTATAGGGAGAGGAAAATTTACTTTGTATGAATATTATCTGTGGGCCTGATCAACAAATAAGTGCTTAATTTAGTGTCTCATATCTGGCAATACAGGTAGCTAATGACTATTAAAATACTTCATGTGAGTACACTGGTACTCAGAGCACAGCCCAAGGCTGTATACCTAGTAAGTGATAAAAATAGAAATTTAACTTGAGCCAATGTGTCTCTAAAACCTGTGCCCTTTTGAATACACAGGCAGTCATGAGACTGCCACGATTACACAAGCAGGCTGCCACTGAGCTCATAGAAGACTACAAAAGTGTTGACTCCTAGCCCAGTTCCCCTTTCACTACCTCACATTGCCTTCCTCTGGAGACAAATGATTATCCCCTTGTAATTGGTTTCTCAGTTATCAGGAGGAAGATAAGACTCTTTTCCATCTGCATCACTTCTCAATGACAACATTGTTGCATAGCAGTTTTTGAATGAATTAATCAGATTTTAAATATTTAGAATTTACTGTGGTTGCCCCTTTATGAAATCAAATAAGCCAAAAGAAATATGCTTCTGACTTTGTGCATATCAAGAAATAAATATATCTTCTGCAAGGGAAAATATGGGTGCCTTTTGCCATTGAGCAACACAGCAACAGATGGAACTCAGCGTGAGGCACAGAAATCCATGGGTGTTTCCTGGTGGAGATGTCATTTGCCAGAAGAAAGCTGAATCGTGAGGCTGTTTTATAGCAATGAAAATAAACAACTTTATTCAAACATAATTAATCTTCCCCAAAATATTCTTCCTTCCTTGGTGTTTTTGTTCTCACCAGTGTTTGAGGAATCTCTCCCTAGGTTTGAGTCACCAAACACCTATTTTGATTTTTTTAATGTTTTATGTTTAGATACAGACGTGTCATTACCCACTGAGAGCTTAGTCATCCTTTCTCAGGGTCACATCAGTGCCTCCACCCATCCACAAGTCTAGCTTTCCAGTTTCAATTACCCCTACATCTTTATGTCCACCTTCAACTACAGCTCACCCAGTTGTAAACTGATCCCTATGTATGGCTTGCAGCATTTCATCTTTGTATCTGTGTCTCTGTTCCCTCCTTTCTGTTTTTCTTGCCTTTATATCCCTCTACAAAAATCCTCCCATCTTCCCTTTCTGTTTCTTTTTTAAAAAAAAAAAATTAATTGTTTGTTTTTTGTATAATAACTCATTACCAGAAAATTGCTATAAGTACTCATTTACCTGAGTTTTTCCAATTCCATTAGTTTTTCACATAGAAAAAAAAATACGTTTCTAAGATTGGTTGAAAGCCAGGAGGCAAAAAAAAAAAAAAAAAAAAAAAAAAGGAAACCAATATATTTGGAGTGCTTGGTCTGTGCTCAGTGTTGCGCCATGCACTTCACAGAAATTACTTTGTTGAATGCCCGCAATGACCTTGCAAAGTAGACTGACATGCTTCTTTTCTATTTAACAATTAAGAAACATTGGGCTCAAAGTGTTTAAGGAATTTCCCAAAAATTATCCAGCCATAAAATAAGTGGTAGAGTGTACGATGCAGAGTACAATCTCTTTCACTTTTAACTCCCTTACAATTCCCAGAACACTGCTATATTCAGCTTTTTTCACTGAGTAAACCAAAAGTATAAATACTGAAAGGATTGTCAAAGAAAAAAGAAACATCCATATTTAACCTTTCTATATGAACCACATTATCCATCCTTGGTTTCATGGAGACTTGGATTCTACACTGTGCCTGCATGACATATCAGAGCCTGTTTGACAAGCCAACCATACCATCAACTTCCTCATTGCCTTCCCTGATTTGAACCACAAAACTGGAGAGCTTCATTAATCCAATGTTGCATAGAAGACTTTGAAGAGATTCTTGCTCTGTCTTTTAATTTGGAGTCTGTACTTGAAAATTCAAGTACATTTTCAGCACTCCATACTCAAAAGGAAAAAAGACAAGAAAGAGGAGAAAAAGAAAGATATGGAGAAGAAAAAGGGTACACTCTTACTAATTTTCCTATAAAGCACTGTCCCATTCTGTTTCTTCTTACCTTAAGTGTTTTTTCATTAATAGTGTGAAGGTGACCTCCTTTGGGAAGAGGGAATATTTTTCTAAAGAAAAAAGTGTTTCATGTGCACATTAAGTTCCCAATAAATAGATGTGTGGCTTTTAAATGATTACTTTGTCCCATAGCTCTATATGAGAGTGGTGTTGAAATTCTCCCTGAAAATTTCTATATTTTGTCAAGGACCTTTATTTTCTCAAAGATTTAAAAATCTGGGCCTGGCTCATGCCTATAAATCCCAGAACTTAGGATGGCTGAGGTGGGGGAATTTCTTAAGCCCAAATGTTCAAGACCAGCCTGGGGAACATAATGAGACACCATCTCTACAAAAATAAAAATAAAAATAAAAATTTAATTATCCAGGTGTGTTGACACACACCTGTAGTCTCAGTTACTCTGGAGGCTGAAGTGGGAGGATTGCTTGAGCTGGGGAAGTTAAGGCTACAGTGAGCCATGATTGCACCACTGCACTCCAGCCTAAGCAACAAAGCAAAACCCTGTGTCAAAAAAAATTAAAAATGAAAAAAATTAAAATCTGATTAAATCCATCAAGTACATTTAAATTAATGTAAATGGAACTCAACTTCATATAAGATGAGATTAAAACCAATTCATTACCTTGAAAATTGGTGAATAAAGGGAAAGACTCAAGCATTTATCCTGCCCTTCCTATAGCAACTGTACCACTGGTTAACTAAATAGTAGGTAATGGAATGTGATTTTTATAAAAATATCCCAGTAGATAAATGCAAAAAATAAAATAAAATTAGACTATTTTGAACTCCCTCTCCCCAGTGAATTGATAGATCCAATTACTAATCATCAACAGCTCTGAACATCACAAGAAAAACCAGCAGTCATAATGCAGTTGTTGATGGAAGAACTCATCACCACTTCCAATGTTACCAAAGGGATTGAACTGAGTCTCATCAGGTCTTGGATCCAGCTGCCACTTTGCAAGAAATAGGACAGGGGAACATGTTGTCCTGTGCTATAAATGTGCAACAAACACAATCCAGACTGTGGGAGACTTCCCAGATGCCCTCAGTACTCTTGCAGATGAAGAGTAAGGAAAAGTGAGGGTTAGAGGGTGAACCTATAGATTAATAGACTCAACATTAAAAAAAATAATGAGCAAGCCTAAATCATGGTGTCTAGAGATGGATACTTAGGTAACAAATCTATAAAGAAACAGAAGGTGATATGGCTTGGCTTTGTGTTCCCAACCAAATCTCACCCTGAATTGTAATAATCCCCAAGTGTTGTGGGAGGGAGCCAGTGGGAGGCAAGTGAATCATAGGATTGGGTTTTTCCCATGCTGCTCTTGTGATAGTGAATAAGTCTCATGAGATCTAATGGTTTTATAAAAAGGCAGTTTCCCTAACAAGCTCTTGCCTGCCGCCATGTAAGATGTGACTTTGCTCTTTCTTCACCTTCCTCCATAATTGTGAGGCTTCCCCAGACATGTGGAACTGTGACTCCATTAAACCTCTTTCCTTTATAAATTATCCAGTCTCAGATATGTCTTTATTAGCAGCATTAGAACAAACTAATAGAGTAAATTGGTGCTGGTAGAGTGGGGTGCTATAAAACTACCTGAAAGTGTGGAAGTCACTTTGGAATGGGGTAACAGGCAGAGGTTGGAGCAGTTCAGAGGACTCAGATGTAGATAGGAAAATGTGGGAAAGTTTGAAACTTCCTAGAGACTTGGAGAGCTCAGAAGACAGGAAGATGTGAGAAAGTTTGGAATTTCCTAGAGACTAGTTGAATGGCTTTGACCAAAATGTTGATAGTGATATGGACAACAAGGTCCAAGCTGAGGTGGTCTCAGATGGAGATGGGGAATGTTTTGGGAACTGGAATAAAGGTCACTCTTGCTATTCAGAGACTGGTGGCATTTTGCCCCTGACCTAGAGATCTGTGGAATTTTGAACTTGAGAGATATGATCTGAAATTGGAACTTACCTTTAAAAGGGAAGCAGAGCATAAAAGTTTGGAAAATTTGCAGCCTGATGATGCAGTAGAAAAGAAAAACCCATTTTCTGGGGAGAAATTCAAGCCTGCTGCATAAATTTGCATAAGTAATGAGGAGTTGAATGCTAATTGCCAAGACAAAGGGGAAAATGTTTCCAGGGCATGTCAGAGACCTTAGCAGCAGCCCCTCTCATAATAGGTCCAGAGGCCTAGGAGGAAAAAACAGTATCCTGGTCTGGGCCCAGGGTCCTCCTGCTATGTACATCCTAGGGACTTGGTGCCCTGAATCCCAGCTCCTCCAGCTATGGCTAAAAGGGATCAAGGTACAGCTCAGCCTGTGGTTTCAGAGGGTGCAAACCCCAAACCTTGGCAACTCCCACATGGTGCTGAGCCTGCAGGTGCACAAAAGGCAAGAATTGAGGTTTGGGAACCTCCACCTAGATTTCAGAGGATATATGGAAATGCCTGGATGTAGAGGCAGAAGTTTGCTGCAGGGGTGGGGCCTTCATGGAGAACCTTTGCTAGGTCAGTGTAGAAGGAAAATGTGGGGTTGGAGCTCCCACACAGATTCCCCACTGGGGCACTGCCTTGTGGAGCTGTGAGAAGAGTGTCACAATCCTCTAGACCCCAGAATGGTAGGTCCACTGATAGCTTGCACTATGCACCTGGAAAAGCTGCAGACACTCAATGCCAGCCTGTGAAGGCAGCCAAGGGCAGGATCCTGCAAAGCCACAGGGACAGAGCTACCCAAGGCCATGGGAGCCCAACTCTTGCAACAGCATGACCAGGATGTGAAACACGGAGTCAAAGGAGATTATTTCAGAGCTTTAAGATTTTGCTGACTCACTGGATTTTGGACTTGCATGGTGCCTGTGGCCCCTTCATTTTGGCCAATTTTTCTCATTTGGAATGAATGTATTTATCCAATGCCTGTACCCACATTTTATCTGGGAAGTAACTAACTTGCTTTTGATTTTACAGGCTCATAGGCAGAGGGGACTTGCCTTATCTAAGATGACACTTTGGATTGTGAATTTTTGAGTTAATGCTGAAATGAGTTAAGACTTTGGGGGACTGTTGGGAAGGCATGATTGTGTTTTGAAATGTGAAAGAGACATAAGATTTGGGAGTCACCAGGGGCAGAATGATGTGGTTTGGCTCTGTGTCCCCACCCAAATTTCACTTTGAATTGTAATAATCCCACATGTCATGGAAGGGTCCTGGTGGGAAGTAATTGAATCACAGGAATGGGTTTTGTTTTGTTTTTTACTTCATGCTGTTCTCTTGATAGTGAATAAGTCTCACAAGATCTGATGGTTTTATAAAAGGGCAGTTTCCCTGCACAAGCTTTTTTGCCTGCTGCCAAGTAAGATGTGCCTTTGCTCTCCGTTTGCCTTCTGCTTGACTGTGAGGCCTCCTCAGCCATGTGTAATTGTGAGTCCATTAAACCTCTTTCCTTTATAAATTACTTAGTTTCAGGTATGTCTTTATTAGCAGTATGAGAATGGACTCATACAGAAGGAGATGACTAGAAATAAGTCAGGAAAGATGTCAGTTTTCTAGGGGAGAGGTTGGGATATGGGGTTGATTTGAGACAGGACACAAGGTAGTGCTATTGGAGTAGTGGAAAGATTCTATTTCTTAAGCCAGGTGGCAGTCACTAAGCTGCTATATTCACAATAACTCATTTTTTTGTTACGTGTGCTTTTTTGTGTCTCCATTATATTTTATAATTGAAATAATAAAATACCCAATTAAGCAGTTCTCTAAGACTCTAGTTAGTAAATTGAATATTCATTTAACCACATATTGAACTCAATAAAGGAGAGTGTTCCTCAATATAGGAAACATTAATTTTTAAAAAGTGAGGTAAGAAAACATTTTCTCCCATGAAATTTGGAGTCACACATGCCTAAATTCAGAGTATGTATTAGTTCTACAATTTGTTACTACCTCCTTCACCCCAAGACGTAGTTTCCTCATATTTAAATGAAGACATTTAAATTTAAACTTAAAAGGGGATAGTAACATCTTTTTCAAAGTTTTTTGGGAGGATTAAATAAGATGATATGTGAAAATTAAATTAAATGTAAAATGCCTAAAACAATGTTCCTACACAGAAAAACCTCAAATGGCACCTCTGCTTATTAGAGACAGGTTTTTATAATAGTGCCCTTTTGACTGTGAAACAGTTTCAAATAACTCATAAGTCAGGTATTAGAGCTAGATGGCAGATTTAAATATTTCAGTTCATGATGCAGGTGATGCTCCAGTGCCCAGGTGCAGATTCACGGTATAGTCAACAAGAATCTAAAATATTTGTCATCAAATGAAAAGCAGACACTGTATGAGAAAGCATTGCCCAGTAAAAAAAGATACAGAGCTTGTAGAATAAAACTAAGCTTTCTCTTCTAAAGCAGGGATTTGCATTTCTACATGGAAAAAGTTAAATTGCTACCAGGTACTGCTTAGCAAGGAACTGAGTTTTCTGTTTCTGGAATTTATGAAATAATCAGTCACCTTCTTATCAGGGCTGTTGTTTAGGTAACTCTTTCACTGGCAAGGAGTTATCCCAGATGGCCTTATGTTCTTTCAAACATCTCTGATAGAGATGTATTATACAGAGATGTCAAATATTACTAAATAGCTACTATATACAAGATACTAAGCTATATGTTAAACATGGGTTATCTATTTTAACACATGCACAAGACTTAAGATTCAGATATTATGGTCCCCATTTTAGCTATGGAAAAAAAATGGAGGCTCAAGAAGTTTAGAAGGCTTGTTCAAGGTCATAGAACTAGTGAATGGTGGAAGTGGGATTTGAAACTAGATGTCTGTGGTGACAATTTCCAGACTATAGTGCTTATTGGTTAACATCTCCCAAAATACATAACACCAAATATGGGTAGTAAAATATATATATCGACCTGGGTGGCAGTCACAAAGCCTGTGTGTGTGTGTGTGTGTGTGTGTGTGTGTGTTTATAGATGTCACAATATATACTGGCTCAAGGCCATCAAGCAATTAAATAACTAGATGATAGAAACAGAATTTTGACCCAGGCAATCTGATTTAAGAAACCTAACCTACATACACACTACCTCTAAATAGAACATCCTCTGGATGCAATTTTTCTTGGGAAATCAGAGAAGCATAACTCCAAATGGAGCTCACATTATACAAGGAAGAGACAACAGTAGATGTACTATGAAGTAATATAAGTAAAGTGAGATAAAATGAAGGCTAGAGAAAAAAAACCAGTATGAAGAGACAAAAAATAATGAAGAAGAGTTTGGGAATAAAATGGTTCAAATAATCTCTTGGAAAAATTAAAGGGGTGTGAATACTTGAATCAAATGAGATATGGGAGTCTCTTTTCTTTCTTCTCTCTAGTGTCTTTCAGCACCACACACACACATGCATGTGTTCACATAAACACATACACATTAAAGCATGCATATATACGTACACACGTGAACACATCCTGCCTTCCTCCTCTGGCCCAAGCCATCAGTCTTGATCACTTCTGCCCTGACAGCCTGAGGTCACCAGCTCTACACTCACTGTTTCTTTCCTGAGGAGGTTTTACACTCTTCCTTTCATAAAGTGCTTATAAGACATAAACATGATCAGATGCCTATGATAATGTTCACAGACATCATCCAAAAATCCCATTGCAATGCAGATCTCTGGGACTCAACCCCATAGACCCCAAATCATCAAGTCTTGTGTGAGGCCCAGAAATTGCACTGTTCACCTAAACTCCAGATGACTCTGATGCAGTATCAGGCACTGAGTGTCTCATCATTTGGAACTGTTCTACCTATGACACATCAGAAAGAAAGCAGCCTCTTCTAGACTAGAAGGGTAGATTGACTATTGACTTTGAAGCCAGCAAAACTTGAGTTTCAAATCTTCTTACTCAGTTTTTCTAAGCCTTGCTTATCTAACCTATAAAATGGAAAGAATGATACCTACCTTATTGAATTGCTGAAGATTAAATAAGATAATATATGTAAAGTACTTGATAGTAAGATTTTAGGAGGACCTCAGAAAATTCTACTCTATTTCCTCTTCATCTCTCTCATGACATTATCTAAATAGTTCTATCCCCCTGATGTGGCGAAGAATCTCAATATACTTACTGAGTGAATGAATGATGAATGGACTTCCAAAGAGGCATAATTTTTGGAGTTTGGAAAAATCATCTGGAACTGGCCATAAGAGAAGGATTAGGCTAACTACCTGCCAGATTAATAGGCGAGAGAGGAAGTTTAGGAGACTCCAAAGGAAGCAACCCAGTGGGGGTGGGGGAACTTGAGAAGAATCTCTACCACCTGTAAATCTTTAGCAAGTTAATGATTCTGTCCAAAAACAAGTTTTCTTATGACTAAGCACATTTCCCTTCTTTGCGCTTAACATAAAGGAGAGATTTAACATACTTTATTCCTTTGGAACATAGAGTAATGAAGTAGTCTAGAGCACAGCTCTGAAGTCAGATTGCTCAATTTTTGTTTTGGCTCAAACACTTCTTTACTGTGTGACCTTTGGAAAGTCACTAAATCTTTCTGAGCCTTAGATATTTTATCTGTAAAAGTGGATAAAAAATAATATTTACATTATAAGGTCACTGGAAGGAATAAATGACAAAATTCATGGGAAACATTTAGCATTGTGCCTATCCCAGAGACAGCACTCTTCAAGGATTATCTTTAATATTATACTGATTTTAATATTATCTTTTCTATTTTCTTTCTGGAATTATTTAGATAAGTTCTGAGCTCCACACTTTATCTCTGCAAAACGGATTGCAAGTAATATCTCCCTCATAAAAGCAATGCTTGCATGCCACCAACAAGAATGAACTGAAGAGAACATCCCAATAAACTATGAAGACTTCCCAGTCGTGCAGTCTACTCAAGAGAGAATGCATTCTTAGGTACATATGTCAGGTATACTCACTAGTAATCATCAGCATGGCCTGACTCTGCTTCCTGGCTACACGGAAACTTTAGAACAAAACCCTGGGATAAAAAATTTACCCCAAACTGGTCCACAAAGAGAGGAGCCACAGAGATTACTCATATTATGTGCAGGGAGTTTTATTCCGGTGACATCATGACCTTAAAACTCTTTTTCTTTACCCAGCCATAACCTGATGTTGATCATAAATGTCAGCCACGCTATAAATGTGCCTCTGCACACCTGCCAAGCCCTTGGGTCCCTCACAAGTGCTGCTCACCTTGAGCCAGAGGAAGCTGCTGCTTAACCTCTCAGGAGAGTTCTCAGCCTTAACAACAAGAGGGACCTTATTTCCACCATCACTTTCCCTCCTTCTACACTTCCTTCACTCTACTAGGTCACATTTTCTGCATCCCTTCTGTATGGGTCAGGATGGGTTATGTTGTAGTTACAGACAATCCTGAAAGCTCAATTGTTTAAAATGGCAGGATTAATTTCTTACTAATGTGTCCCTAATGAGATGTAGGCTGATGGAGCAGCCACCAACTTTAATGTTGCCTGTCTCTGTGTCAAAGAATAAAGAGTTCTGGAGGGACTTACGGTGACAATTAAATGTTCAACCCACAGATAATACTTATGTCTCGTTGGCTGGAACTAATTACTTAGCTAACCCATCTACAAGGGGGCAAGAATGTGCATTCTGCCACATGATCAAAAAGCATTAACTGACAAATTCAATGAACAGAACTAATGACTGCTGCTACTCTTGAAAGAACACATTTATTCATTCATTCAAAACACATCTCTCTACTGAGTTCCTACTCAAGCATTGTGCCTGCCCTCAGGGAATTCCTAGTGGGAGAGGCAGACTAGTAACCTGATACGTGTTCTAATCAGGGGCGCAGACAATATATTGGAGTGTAGCCGAGTGCCATGGGAATGAGGCCAGGGAAGATTTCTTAGACAGGGAAACCTTCTTCAAGGTTTCTCAGCCAAACCTTGAGGGATGAATTGAGGTTGACAAGATGAAGGGCTAGGATATTGTGTGCCTGGTAAAGGACTCAGTATTGGCAAATGCAAGTAAATACAGCCTGTTTGCATAATCAAATCAGTTCAGTATAGTTGAAATGTTGAATTTAAAGAGGAGACTGGTAGGAGGTAAGGCTAAAGTAGTCAGAGAGGCACATCCTGAAGTGCCTTTCTGGTAATTCAAGCCATGAAGGGAGCTTGGTCTTTATTCTAAGAGCAATGAGGTCCCATTCAAAAGTTCTCAGGAGGAGAGTTAGTTGCCGTTTTAGATAGAAGATGACTCTGGGAGCAATGTGGAGAATGGGTTAGTGAAAAGACCAACAGCAGTTAAGGAATAGCCAGAATGGTGGTGGAGCTGAATGACAGATGATGATGCCCAGGAACAAGGCAACATATTGAGGAGAGAGAGAAAGACGTGGCTAGAACCAGAAGGTAGTAAGAAAACAAAATCACAGTGAAGACCTGATCACAGTGAGATTTTCTAAGATACATTAAACATAACCTTCCTAGAGCTTGTACTTTCTTTCCAGAAAATTAATAACTCAAATGGTACCAACAGTACTTAAATGTTGGCAAAGATCATTATTTGTTCAGGAGGAAAGACAAGATAACTTAAAATTTTAAGCACATTTCACATGTTTGGTGAAACTGTAAAGTATACTTTAATATTCACTACAATGTTACGTGTTAATATTCTTATCTCTATTTTACAAAAAAAAAAAAAAAAAAAACTCAGGTAAATTAACATGCCAAGTTTGCAAGATATGAAGGGGGAGCTGAAATGCATACCAAACTTTCCTGAACTCTAAAACCTATGTATTTTCCATAAAAGTCATATTTCAAAGGATAGAATAAATATCCTTACAGTTATAAGCTGCTTCCCAGGAGCCAGTCCTTTTAATAATCATTATTAACACATATAATGGGTCATTTTTTGTGCTTGGTTTAGGCATATATAGTGATGGAGTAATTTTATGACTTTAGGGAGCTTGGAACTATATACATATAAGAAAATAGAAAATGTCTTAGTATCTTTAGAGAAGTATGGTAAACAAATAGGGAGCAGATTGAGTTGTAGGAAGATCATGAGATCTTCCATATTGAACTGGAAGTGTCAGAATAACATTCTATGTGGGGACCTCTAAGAGTGAGGAGTTGTGTATTTAGAAATAAGCTGCATACATGTGGTGTTTGAAACCTAAAGAATAGATAAGTTTGCTGAAGACAGAGTCTAGAATAGCATACTCCGATTTGCTCCAAAGTGTTTATAGATTTTCTAAGATGATGCTAGGGTAGGCAGTGCTGCCCAGAGTTTATTGACAATAGAATTCTTTTAATAGATAACCTCTCGGGACTGATGTTACAAAGAACACACTTTAATGCGTTTTCATCTGACCAGCAAAGAGAAGAATGTTCCTTATTCAGAAGAAAGTAGGGTCTGTTTCAGTAACAACCAACCTCCATCTCTCAGTCGTTTAAAATAACAAAGGTTTATTTATTGCTTTCATCACTGGTTGACAGGGAAACTCTCCTATACGCTGTGACTTAGGAAACCAAGTTGATGGAACCACTATCTTCAATGTTGTCTCTGCACCAGAGGGAAAAAGACCTCTGGTGGGTGGATCTTCAGTTTATCCCTTAAATATTCTGGCATGGAAAAGACACATAATACTTATCTTTACAACTTATTGGTCAGGACTAGTCTCATGTTCCACTGGACTCCAGAGAGATTAGAAGTGTGCATGTGGTTATAATTATTAGGTGAGCGGCAGTAGCATCAATTCCAAGGAGAAAGCCTTGAAGAATTCCCTTACTTACAGAGCATGAGAAAGGATCTTGAACAAAGGAGCAATGAAAAAGGTGCATGCAGATTTCTGGTATAGTTCAAGACACAGATTTTCGTAGGCTCTGATAAAATGCTCTTTCCAGACTTCTCTTCCAAATTTGTTTCTCCTTGCAAGGGGGGAGTTGTACTGCTGGAGAACTACTGGAAATTCTATGCTGTCCCAAGTTTGGCTATGATATTCCAATTTTAAACCATTTCTCTTCTTTCCCACTTAAGGTCACACCTTTTTTGGATGGGAATGTTGATTCACCATGTTTCCAGCCCTCACCTGTGTCATTCTTTCTTCCTGAAATCCCTCCTTGTTTCCTGACTTGTTTTTACTTAGTGATCAACTTTTCCTTTCTTTCATGATTTAAGAAGGTTAGACAAGAATCATCCCACTTGACCTTTATTGCTTTCACTCTTGGTGTTCTCTTACTCAAACTTTGGTGCATGCCTTCATGGAGCCCCACCCATGGATGGCCTGTTCTCCTGTCTCCACTACATTCAACCCTTGTCCTAAAGCCAAACACCCTGATCAACCCACAAGTCATTTTTTTCACCTTACTCAAGGTAGTGTGATGTAGTATAAACTACATAGAATGTGGAACAGACAGACTGAGTAAAGCCTTGACTGTACCACTTCTAGTCCCCTGACCTTGGATACGTTACTTTTCACTTCACTAAATCTTTCTTTCCTCATCTGAAAAATGGGGTCCATGATGCAAAAGCTCACAGAGCAGTAGTGATGATGGTAGGAGAAGGTGGTATATAGGAATGAATACAATTCCAGTATCAGTTATCTATGACTAAATACCAAACCACTCAAACGCTTTGTGGCTTAAAACAAAACAATTTCTCACTGCCCACAAGTCTTTAGATTTTCTGGGAAGTTCTTATCTGTCCAGGCTGTGAAGACATCAGCTGTTGTCACACATGTGTTTGCAGCCTTCTGGTGGGTCAATTGGGGCTGGCTAGTCTAGGACAGCCTCATTCATTGCTTGGCAATTGGCTGTCAACTTGGGAGATGGGTCACTTGACCAACCATGTGTCTTACATTATCTAGCTAGCCTGGGCTTGTCTTCATGGCAGCTGGCAAGGATCTAGGAGACAAAGCAAATGTATGTAAGACCTCATGGACCTACATTCAAAACTAGCACAGTCACTTCTGCCACATTCTACTGGCAAAGCAAAATCCAAGGCTAGCCCAGATTTGAGGGTTAGAGAGAAAGACTCCACTTAATGGGGGAAGCTGTTAAGTAGCATTTCAAAAGATGTGGATACAGGAATAAGTGGAGGTATTAGAACCATTTTGTAAGCAATCTGTGAGAGTTCTATTTTCTTTCTTCCTCTTTCAAGCCTCCTGAATGGTCTTGCCAATTGTGAGTTTCTTGAAGTCAGGGGCTACGTTATATACATTTCTATTTTTCATATTTCCTAAGCATCCAATGAACATTACCACTATCATCACTACCATTCATTAAGTGCTGGCTATATTCAATGCTCTGTTTTAATCACTTTTTAATACATCACTTCGTCCTTATGACTATTCTTTTTGTAATTACTGCTCTTGACTATCTTCCCATTCCTATATACTTAGTAAGTTCCCAGTATAATCCTACTAAAGACACTTTTTTTCTGCCTCAAGCTATTCCATGGGGTTAACACTTGTTTTGTGGTTGCAGGAGATGGGGCCAGAAGTGAATAAGTGAGTCAATCAATCCCGTCTTTGACTTCTTCCAAAATCCACTTCTGTGTATCACCTGTCTCACCTCCAGTTCACCCTACAGACTTGTTATCCTGGATTGAATTCAGCCTCCCATGAACTCTTGTAATACTTCTCGTGCCTCACAGTACCCATATTACTCATCTTGCTCACCCACACACCTCCTACTCCCCTCCATTCATGTCTTTGCATACAATCCTCCCAGCCCTTTGCTTATGTGAGTTTATCACAGTTATTTTTCAGAGAGAGATACCATAAACCCTATGCTTAGTCATAAAGAACGATGATAACAGCAATGCCTTTCTATTGCCAAGTGCTTGTCCTGACATCTCATTTGATTTCTGGAACCACCCAGATAGATACGTGAAGCTAGTATAACAGTCCCTGTTTACAGGCAGGAAAACTGAGGCATTGAAAGGTTTAGTGCCTTGCCCAAAGTCACACAATATATTGATGTTCAAGACAAGAGGAAAACTTGGGATTTATAATGTATAGACCAGCAATGGTTCTACCCTCTTATCATTCAATGTGATTTATTTAGAAGTTTCTTAGTTTTCTCTAGCTTTTTTTGTCCGCTATGCAGCAATGCTAACTCAACATAAACAAAGGACATCTCGTGGACATTGATTATATGCTAAGCACAATTCCAACATGGAAGGCATGTGAAGTCTGTCCATCCAAGGAGAAACACTGGTGTGTTGTATACAAAAGTTCTTTGTATTTAGGCAACCCTGGTTAAGCCTCTATCTCTTACTCATCTTGAAATCTTGGGCAAATTACACAATATGTTTGATCCACAGTTTCCTCCTTCTTTAGAAGTGAGAATTAACCTTCACACCATAGGTTTATTAGGAAGATTAAATGAGATGAAACAAATAAAGCTATGACACATTGGAGCCCTTCTGCAGACTATTATTACTGTTAATAAATATGAATGAGGTAAGAATGAGTCATGTTACTCAATTGCTCAACTGTTCCCTGTTCAATCTTCATCACATTTATGTCCCTGTTATTCATTCCGTGTTTGTCTGCCAAAGATATAAGCCATTTTTTTTTGTCTTACATGCCAAATTCCCTGATGACCCTCCTAGCTCAGAGGGGTATTTTGAAACATAAGTGATAAGTGACTTATTCATTCTATTAAGCTTCTTTTTTTCCCTTAGGCAAAGGTGAAGAAGAGATTGAGGGAACAGTAGCTTAGGAAAACATTGATATCCAAAAAAATTGGTAGAGACACAATACTGAGTTCTTGTCTCTAAACCACTACAGAACTCAACTTCTGATAGTAAATACAGCAGCCTGGATCATGATGCTAAGGGCAATAGTCTGTTCAAATCTAAAATTCTTTGAAGTCAATTTTACATGTTTTGTTGCTTTTCAAATTTTATTTAGATGTATCAGAACTCACTAAAGTTAAAGACCAATTTAGACAAATGATAAGGATTTCCTTCCAATACCTCGATGTTGTAATAGTAAGTACTGTGTATATAAAATTTGTTTTGTGATTCTTTGTTTACAAGCAGGTTTGCATATATTTCTTTCTACTTAGTTATCTAAAGACCCATGTTAGTTAAAGTAATATTACAGTTCATCTGTAAAATTGGAGAAGAAGAAATTGGACTCAGGATGTGAAGCAGCATGTCCAAGTTTGTGGTGTTAATGATGGGAGAGTTGGAACTTGAATACATATTCTCTAGCACCAGTGCTTTCCCACCCCAGCCTAGCGACCTTTCAAAATCAGTGGCTGTATTGGAATAGGATAAAATGGGACCAAAGATGGTCTGAGCATTGAATTTTCTTCCACACTCAGCTATACAGGAAAGTTTACAAAGCATGACTTCCTTCTTGAAGAGTGGAAAGTTGGAAAGCACTGAATGGATCCGTAAAAGACAGATCACTCTGTGAAGGAGCAAGGAAGAAACTGAATAATTCAGTGAACGTTAATGGGCTTTTCAGAACATGACAGCCGTCCGTTCCCATTCCCAAACCAGATGGTCACTGAGCCAACATTCTTCCTGTCTGATTCTTTTGGGCAGCCTGGAGACAAATAAGGAGTGCTTTCTAGTAGGTGGAGGCTCCTCGACTTGTGAGAAAGGTTGTCTTTACCCTTTCTACATGCTGACTTACACGGCTGTTGATTTGCTTGGTGCTGATTTACACAGATGTTGGTGGGGCTAAATGAGGTGGTAAGAATCTTGAGGGCTTCTCTCCTTTTGGACCTATTGTTATACACCAGGGCAGTGGAGATATACCAGGTAGAGTTTCCTGGCCACTCTATAGCTAGATCACATCTCTGATGTCATGATGTCAGTTACCATTACGGATGTTATCTTCCCATCTGTAAAACAAGAGAGCTAGGCTTCTATCTCTGAGCACTCTTTGAGTTCCAAAATGTTACAGTTCTCAATCACTTACTAAATTTTTTCGTGTCAACACTAACAGATCTATATCATTCTTTTTAATGACCACATTGAATACCACAGTGGAAAGTCTTGTTTTGTGTTGCTGTTTTGTTTTAGTAAAAAGCCTTCAGTGATAGACATTGTTTTTTTAGTCTTTTGATATTGTATACAATTTTCTAGTGTACTTGCATATTAGTGTGTTTGTGCAAATACTTTTGAAGGTAGCTTTCTTGAAAAGGATTGGAGAGGTCAGGGCACATGCATATTTTAAAATTAAATTGATATTGCCAAGTTCACTTCCCAAAAACTAATGCCATTAGCATTTTATTCCATTAAATCTCAAATGACTCTAAAGACTACTGTAGAAGCAGAGCCTCTATCAGATCTTGTCCAGAATATTGATGATGATGATGATGATGATGATGATGATGATGATAATGATGGTCATGGTCAACATTTGTAATAGTCTTACAATGTAGAAGTATTATGCTATGCATCATTCAGACCTTGTAGGTATTGCACATGAGATAAAGGAAACACAGAGAAATAAAAGTAACTTGTCCAAAAATAGATCGCTAGTAAATGGAAGAGCTATGATTTAAGCCTGTTTCTTTATGACTCTAAAGCCTACTCTACCACTGCAAGAGTACACAAGTGCTTACCATACACTAGTATTATGAGATGTTCCGCTAGGAAAAACTGCATAGTAAATGAAAGGGTTCTGTGACCAAACAATTTTTGGAAACTTTTTATATAGCCTGTACAATTTTGGAGATTCACAGTACTCATTAACTAAATAAATGCTCTAGGAAGGTGTTTAACCAAGCCAAATAAGCATTTTTCAAACTTGCTTGATTGTAAAACCCTTACATTAAAACATGCCTATTCTGAGGAACACAGTTTGAGAAATGTTTTCCTGCTTGTACAGTATCTCTATGATTCATCCATAGAACCTCAGGAATTTTTTAAGTTGTTTAATGTCATTTCCAAGAAAATATGGACATGGATAACATTCTTCCCAACAACATTTGCAGAAATGGGAGCTTACTACCTTATAGACCAGTGAATTCCATCTTGGGATTCCTCTGTTGTTAGAAAGTTGTTTCTCACAAAGTCAAGCCTACACATCTTTGTGAAATGTAATCATTGGATCTAATTCTATTCATTTGCAGTTTCATAGAATACACTGAATCCCACTTTTCAGATTTTTGTTACCCATGATCACATCTTAGTCCATTCCTCATCATCTTATCCCTTCATAGCTCAAATTTCTTGCTTGTTCTTACCTGGCTTGTTTTTGTCATCACTTTACTGTCAACATGATTCCCTCTTTAACACACTACTCTTTGTCTGTATTGGTAGCAAAGTATAATTCCCACAACTGGATACTCCATTCTGACCGTGGGTGGCCCAGCCTGAATCAGGATAAAACCAGATTCTCTTGCTCTAAGCATTCCATTTCTATTAACATATCCTAGTTTGAAATAGTTTGGTTTTACAGCCACAGCACACTGGAAACTCCAAGTGAACGTAAAAGCAGTTCAACCTCTTAATATCTATTAATTTGAAAGGGAGGTGGTGTTGATTGTAGCAACTATTGAATAAAGCAGACATATAGGTGATTACAAAGTTTTGTTCAGTACAGCTCTGACCTCAAAGTAATATTTAGCTTTGTGGTCTCCTGGCTTAAAGAGTCCTCTCTGTACTCAGATAAGTTGATAAATTAAGGTAGGAGAGGTGAAGGGAAACAGTAAAAGATGAATTATAGTAACTATTTGGCAAAATTTGCAAGAAAGTTAAAAATATTGAAAGTACAGACCAAAGAAAAAGAATTACAAACCAAAGTAAGAAGAGAGCATAACTAGTATGACCTGGCATTTTGCATGCATCTTCTCTCTTAATTCTCATATCATGAACTATTTTTAAAGTGCAGAAACTAAGAATTTGAAAGGTTAAATGACTTGTCCATATAGCCAGCTGGTAAAATATAGAATCAAGTTTTCTGCCTAGTTATATTTGATCTTAAAGCCCTAAAATTATAGAATTACAAGACTTTCCCTCAAAACCCCTAAATGAACCCCAGTAGTGCTGGGACAGAGCAGCAAAGTCCAGTGAGCTCCACTTCTGAGATGTGCCAAGGGTGGGTACTGGGCAAGAAACAACTTTCAAAGACCAGAAATAGTCATGGGAAATTGCCCAATTAATCAGCCTCCTTCAAGGCCTCTCAGGAAGGATCTCTTTTAGCTGCCACAATATGAATTAATTCTGAAAACCATAAGCCTTATAGACAACATGTTGGGGTGCTTCTATTAGGCTGCCTTGGACTCCAGTGATTTGGCCTATGTATCTTTTCTCCCTTTGAAATTATCTTATTGCTTCTTGTAAGTTCCTCACATCCCAGGGATACTGCTCCGCTGATGGAGAAGGAGCTACACAGGGCTAGATGATATCATTTTCCTGTGTGGAGGTTGGGATTTGCCAAGTTATTTACCTATGAATTTGATATTATCAATACCATTAATAAATACCATTATTATACATCTATTACATATCATGTACTATGTTAAATGTTTAATATATAGCATCTCATCCAGTTGTAGCAATCACATTTTGAAGTATTATTATTTTTTCTATTTATCAATAGGGAAGCTACAAACTTAACTTGCCCAGAGTCACACAGTGAATAAGGAGTGGTGCTAAAATTGGAATCCAAATTTGTCCGAACCAAAGCCTAGTTAATTCAATACATACCCTGAAGCATTTCAGATTTTGGATGTGTTGTAATCTCCTAGGTCTTAAATACACCCCAAGTCCAGATTCTGATTTAGTGAGTTTTGCGATGGACCAATCTGCATTTTGAATCTACATTTTGACAAGTACCACTGGATAATTCTGAGCATCGATTTTACAAAGAAAACTTTCTGAGACTATAAGAGGAGACCCCTCTAACTATGAATTGTCACCTTTCCCTTTCCCCAGAACATGAATATGATGTTCTTCTAATAAGGAAATATCTGAAAAGCATCAAGACTGAAAAAAGAAAGGCATTCCTGTCTGGAGAGAAGAAAAGTGAGTGAGGCTGGGATAATGAAAGAGGATGAAACGATCTATCCTGAAATCCTAAAACTCAGTGATTTCTAAAAGTTTAACCTACTGAGTGGGTTTTAATCACAGTGGTCTTCCCTGGCTTTATCCCACAGGCTTCCTGAATTGCTGGTGGGAGGATTTCCTGGACCAGAAGCAACACAGCAGCAAAATGGTGGGAAAGCCATGACTGGTCAGGGGCTCGATACACAAATTAAACACCTCCCCTCTCCTGCTCTTTTCCAGACTCCTGCACCCAAGAGGAGTGAACAGAACTGGGAACAAAAGTAGCCAGAGAATGAGCAGTTTCCTGTGGAATATAAAATGTATAACTTATGCATTGCCTGGAAATGCCATAAGAAATTAATATTTGTTACAGAAACAGTGGGGTTGCATTAATATTTTAATGGTGAATGAATATTTAATCCAAAACTCTGGATGGAAGGCAAACAAGACAACCGTGGCAGGAACAGTTACACTACCCGGTTAAGGATGCTAATGACTCATTGGATTTGTCAGTGGTAATAATGCCACACAATTTATAAACTATATAGTTCCTTTAACATACTGGTAAACACTCCTCAGAATCAAAATCAGGACAAGTTTTTTTTATTCTTTGAGACGCAGCATGATGTATTGGTTGGAGCAACTATTTGCAATCAGGGGAGCCTGGTCTTGGATACCAAGGCTTTAGTTTACTGGCTGTGCAACCATAAATAAGTTCAATCACCTCTTTGAGCATTGTCATCAAGATAAAATGAATGTCTACTTTAGAGGATTGTTGGCAGCATACGTTATTCACTCAATGTTTCCTTTTTGTTCCTACTAATTTTTGCAATATGGTGGAAGAAAACAAAACAAAACTGTGGCTGAAATTTCTCTTAATTTAGCTCTAAGTCTACTTCTTTGAGATAGGACATAAAATTTCCATTTTTCTATTTCCCCTGAATACTTGTATGTGTCTTTCATCATTTCTCTTCAGTGGAAATTTCTGTAAATAGTTGGAGAAAACTATCTCGCTAATTAAAAACCCAGTTGTATCTATGACCACTAAAATTAAATTACAATACATTGACAATACCTGTTTTTTAAATGCATTAAGATGTCTCCATATGGTCCCACTGTTAATGATTATGTTTACAATATAATTGCAGAAAATCAATAAGCTACTCCTGGCAGGTAATTCTACTTTGTTTCAAGGCTAGAATATGGCCTTGTAGTACATGGTCCCTCTTATCTCTCCTTTGTGGTCCTGCTGTACTTTAATAACTTCTCTATTCTGCCAGTTTGGACTTTCTATAGTTTAGTATTAAATGCATAGGCTTTAGAGTCCAACAGCCATTAGATACACATCCTCACTGGGCTTCTTAGTAGTAGTATAGTCTTGAGCAAGGTAAACCCCATAGGCCAGGGGGTCCTAAGTTGTAACACTGAAGCAATGACACCTATCTCATCACATTATGAGCATCTATGAAATATACATATAGAATAAAATATATCATTCTAAGTTTCCAGCTTAGGAAACTGAGATTTAGGGATCAAGTAACTTACTTAAGTTGATTCAGCAAGGACTAAAACCAAGTCTTTTTGAACTCATTTGCTGTGCACTGAATTTCTATAATACACCAAGAAGACATACTTTCTACGTGTAAAGTTACAGTCAAAAGTTAACCACAACTCAATGCCATACAATGTATTCTGTCTAAGGGCAATAAGCCTAAATGGCTTTAGGTTGTAGTATTTAAGTGTAGTGTAGTAGTTGCTCACCTCATATGGCCCAATCCGGAAACCAACAAATAGGCAATTCACAAGAGCTAGAAAGATTACTTTATTGCTTCTATTTGTTTTTTTAATGAATCCAGGTATTACTGAATTTATCCATCCTTTTCTCATATTCACTATGAATAAAAAGTATTCTAATAGTTAGATGTTTCTTCCAATCTTAGATATTGTCTTCTTCTGCTATATCAATCCTAAGACTCTGAATCTCAGTTGTTCATTTCTTAAAGAGAATATGTACAGTGATGACATCAGGCCCTATTTAATTCTCACTTCTCTAAGAAATTAACTAAGTGGGACATTAAGAAAAGAATTTTAAAGATAGTCTAGATGGAAAACCCCAATGACTCTACAAAAGTACTCCCAGACTGTAGGATACAAAGTAAAAAGAAAAGAAAATCAATAATATTTCTACCTTCTAGAAATGAACAATTAGAAACTCAAGTTTAAAACAAAATACTACCTATCATAGTTCAAAAAAAAACCTGAAGTTTTAGGTTTAAGTCCCTGGTATAAATCTAATGAAACAGATGGACACAGTGGCTCACACTTGTAATCTCAGCACTTTGGGAGGCTGAGGTGGGCAGATCACGAGGTCAGGAAATCGAGACCACCCTGGCCAACATGGTGAAAGTCCGTCTCTACTAAAAATACAAAAATTAGCTGGGAGTGTTGGCACATGCCTGTAATCCCAGCTCCTCAGGAGGCTGAGGCAGGAGAATCGCTTGGACCAGGGAGTCAGAGTTTGCAATGAGCCGAGATCATGCCACTGTACTCCAGCCTGGCAACAGAGCAAGACTCCATTTCAAAAAAAAAAAAAAAAAAAAAAAATCTAATAAAGCACGCATAGGATCTTTATTAGTACCTGAAACTACACAAAATTTATGAAAAAAATGGTAAGACATACTATGTTCATGAATTGGAAATCTCAACAAAGTAAAAAGTCAGTGATATGGTTTGGCTCTGTGTCCCCACCCAAATATCATTTTAGAGCTCCCATAATTCCCACGTGTTGTGGCAGGAACATGGTGGAAGATAATTGAATCATGAGGGTGGGTTTTTCCCATGCTGTTCCCATGATAGTGAATAAGTCTCAGAAGATCTGATGGTTTTAAAAAACGGGAGTTTCCCTGCACAAGCTCTCTTCTCTTGTCTGCCACCATGTGAGATGTATCTTTCACTTTCTTTCATGATTGTGAGGCCTCTCCAGCCACCTGGAACTGTAAGTCCAACAAACCTCTTTCTTTTGTAAATTGCCCAGTTTTGGATATGTCTTTATGAGCATGTGAAAACAGACTAATAAACTCAGTTTTCCCCATTTTGACCTATTGGTTTAATAAATTTCTTATTGAATCCCAGCAGGAATTTTTGTAGATATAGACAAATTGATTCTAAAACTTTTATGGAAAGCCAAGGTATTAGAATAGCTAAAATAATTTGGAAAAAGAATATAATTGAATAAATTATACTACCTTATTTTAAAACTTATTATATCATTACAGTAATCTATACAGTGTAGCACTGATGAAGGGATAGACACATATATTGGGAGAACAGAACAGAGAACCCAGAAAGACACACACAATATGCCCAACTTATTTTGGATAAAAGTTCACAGTGTTTCAGTAAAGAAAAGACAGCCTTTTCAACAAATTGTTTTGGAACAATTGGACGTCCATAGACCAAAAACAATGCACTTTGAACTAAATATTACACCTGATACAAAAATTTACTCAGAATGGATTATAGAGTTAAATATAAATCTTGCAACTATAAGAACATTTATAAGAACACATAGGTGACATTGCTCGTGACCTAGGGCAAAGTGAAGAATTCTTAGATATGACACCAAAATCATAATCCATAAAATAAAAAAAGTTAAATTAATAAGTTTTGCTCTGTTAAAGTCATTGTTAAGAGAATGAAAACACAATGATAGACTAGGAGAAAATAAGCAAATCACTTGTCTGGCAAAAGATTTGTAACCAGAACATGTAAAGACTGCTCTGAGCTCAACAGTAAGTAAACAATCACCCCTGTTATAAAAAAAATGGCACTTGGCCGGGCGTGGCAGCTCACACCTGTAATCCCAGCACTTTGGGAGGCTGAAGCGGGTGGATCACAAGGTCAGGAGATCGAGACCATCCTGGCTAACACAGTGAAACCCCATCTCTACTAAAAATACAAAAAATTAGCCAGGCCTGGTGGCGGGCGCCTGTAGTCCCAGCTACTCAGGAGGCTGAGGCAGGAGAATGGCGTGAACCTGGGAGGTGGAGGTTGCAGTGAGTCAAGATTGCGCCACTGCACTCCAGCCTGGGTGACAGAGCAAGACTCCATCGCAAACAAACAAACAAAAAAATGACACTTTATCATACAAGGTATATAGAGAGAAGATATATACATAAAGCATGTTCAACTTCATTTACCATTAGTAAAATGCAAATTAAAGCCACAATAAGATACCAGTACACACTTAATAAAATGGCTAAAACAAAAATTTTCTGGCAATAAGCACTATTAACAATAGCAAACACATTGAATCATCCTAGCTGTCCACCAATGGGGGACTGGATAAAGAAAATGTGGTACACGTAAACCATGGAATACTATGCAACTATAAAAAGAAGCAAAACCATGTCCTTTGCAGCAACATGGATATAGCTGGCGGCCATTATTGTAAGCGAATTAATGTAAGAATGGAAAAACAAAATACCACATATTCTCACTTATAAGTGGGAACTGTACGTTGGATACTCATGGATGTAAAGATGGCAACATGCACTGGGGACCACTAGAGGATGGAAAGAGAAAAGGGAGCAAGGGTTGAAAAGCAAACTTTTAGTTACTATGCTCAATACTTGGGTAATGGGATCATTTGTGCCCCAGACCTCAACATCACACAATATACCCAGGTAACAAACCTGCACGTGTACCCCCAAATCTAAGTTAAAAGCTGAAAAAAATATTTAAAAGAAGGCAAAGATATGGGCAGAAAAATTTCTAGCAATAGCAAGTGTTGATGCAAAGCAAATGGTTGTCTCATATATTGCTGGAAAGAATGTAAAATATTAAGTCATACTGGAAAACAGCTTAGCACTTTCTTATGAACTTGAAAATATACTTACAACATGACCCAGCAATAGCACTTTTGGGCATTTGTCCTAGAGAAATGCCAGGATGATATAACACAACAACTTGTACGTGAATGTTTATAGCACCCTGTTATAGATTGAATGCTTATCACCCCCAAAATTCATTTACTGAAGTCCTAACCACTAATGTGATGGTATTAGATGGTGGGGACTTTGAGAGGTAATTAAGTCATGAAGGTAGAATCCTTGTAAATAGGATTAGTGCCCTTATGAGGGAATTATGACACCAAAGCTCTCTCTTTCTCCCCTGTGAGGGTAAACAGAGAAGTTGGAAATCTGCAACTAGGAAGAGGACCCTCACCAGAACCCAGTCATTATGGCACACTTTCTTGAACCTTCAGTGTCCAAAACTGTGAAAAATGTTTTTTGTTGTTGTTTTTTAAGCCACGTAGTCTTTGGTACTTTGTTATAGCAACCTGAACTGACAAACATATACTTTTATTTGCAAGTTCAAAAAATTGAAAATAACTCAGATATCCTTCAACTACATGGATAAACAAACTAGTATATCCATACAACATAATACCACTTAGCATTAAAAAGGAACAAACTATTGATACAACCAAAAGCTTAGACAAATATTAAAGACATTAGGCTGTGTCTTTATAATCTCAAAAGATTACATATTGTATGCTTCCACTTATGTAAAATTCTTGCAGTGAAAAAATTCTAGTGATAGAACATCCCTCAATCAGGACAATGGTTGTCAGAGTCAGTCTTGGGGAGGGTGTGGCTACTAAAAGTTAGCATGAGGGAGTTTTTTGAGGGTGTTGGAACATTTCTATATCCTGATTGTAGTAGTGGCTGTACAAATGTATACATGTGTTAAAATGTTATAGAGCCATACACCAAAAAAAGTGCATAGAAAAAACTGGTGAAATATGTATGAATAAAGTCAGTAGTTTAGGAGTGTTTTGCCAATATCAATTTTCTAATTGTTAAATGTACTATCATTATGTACTATCATTAGGTATCAAATGTTATTATCAAGAGAACCTAGGTAAATGGTACCTTGGAACTTTCTATGCCATTTTTGCAATTCCTAAAATGAAAGAACAAAACTAACTTGAATATCCTATTCATTATCGTTCAAGTCTTACTGATATTTTTTCTTATTTATCTGCTCCTATGAGACCAAGAGCTACTGTGTCCTTATAATCTCAACAGTTCTTTTCTCCCTTTGCTGTTGTAGACATTTTCAACAACATAAAATCACTAGGTAATTAAGCTAAAGGTGAAAACACTGCCCCCTACCAGTAGTGGATTATTTCCTTTGATAAATGTTCATTGAGTGTTCATTATGTGCCTAATTTTACAGTATGTGTAATGGTGAGAATGGGAAGATGGTTACTCAGATAAAGAAAACCAAGAAAGTGGGATAAGAACATAAATTATTGCAATTCAAAGCAGGAGGCCATTCTTGGCAAAGGAAAAGAATATATTGCAAATTGGAAACAAAGAAACAACTAAACTTTTAATTCATGTATTGGGGCTCTATCTATAATTTCAGCAGGAGGAAAATGTCAACAATAAGAAATAGAAAAAAAAAGCCAAAAAACACTATAATAGATGATGTCAGTGAACTGCAACCAAACTTTAAACATCCGTCATTCTGTGCCTTCTTCTGGATAGAATTAAGTCATGGAACAGATTTCTATGAATGCTTACCTTTTTGTTTTTCCTGGAAGAATGCATGAAGTTTACATGGGGGAGTGAGCATGATGGATAGACAAGAAAGGGGAAAAGCCAGAAGCCTGCATTCATAAGAGAGTATGCAGTCCTGTTACAAACTTTCTGTGTTGTCAAGGAAGGAAAGGATCCATACAATTCCCTGCCAGAAGCTGTGCAAAATGCCCTACACATCTAATTTCACTTAATCTCCAAACACCCCTAGGAGGTGGGACTTGTATCAGCAACAACAGAATTCACCTCTGCCTCTCTTAAACAACAGGTTGTTGTTGGGCAGAGGAAAAAGAGGCATCTGTAGGCCTCCCCGCTATGAGTGCTGACACTGAGACACCTCCGCTCCAGCTGAGAATCCCCTCTCCCTCATTCCATCGTTATCTGACCCATTCACTTGACCTAGAAAGTCCAACGCAGGGGCATCCAATGAGCCATTTCAGAGTTACACCATTCATTCCAGGACACATGAAAAGATGCAAATCTCATATTGACTTTTCTGCTTTCCTTCCAGACACACAATGAAGCCTCCCAAATGGGGAACAAGTCCATATGCATGGCAAACCAAAATGACAATTGCCTACTGTAGGTACTATCATCCCAATTTTACAGATGCAGGCTTCAAGGTGGAGAGAAGTGAAAAGAAAAATGTCCCAAGGTTGCATAGTTAGTTTTAATGATTTTAGATTTTAGACTATGTAACTGGGTCTGAACACAAAGCCCAAGGTCTTTCCACTATGATTTTCACACCAGTTTTTTTCTCTCTGATGTGGTGCTTCTTATTTTATTTTTACCATTTCCATACACGCTAGCCTGATTTTCCAACTCCCAGGACTTCCCTTCTCTCAATTCTTTGTGTGTGGGCTTCCTCAGGCCAAAAAGCCCACTTGACTTGTGTCTGAGACAGACCGGAAGTAAAGTGGGAGAATCAACATTTTGGGTGCATCCCTCAACCAATGACTGACAGATGTTGGTGTGTAAATAACCCAGCTTCCTTGCTCCTCCCATAGGTGATTTTTTTTTAATGTGGTAAAATACACATAATATAAAATTTACGCTCTTAACCATTTTTAAGTGTACAGTTCAGTAGTGTTTAGTATATTCATTGTTGCACAACCACACTCCAAAACTGAAAAAAATGAAAATTTTGCAAAACTGAAACTAAACTCTATGTACATTAATCACTAACTGCCCATTTCCCACTCCTGCCAGCCCTTGGCACTTACCATTCTAATTTCTGTCTGTAATTTTGACTACTCTAGGTACCTCCTGTAAGTGAAACCATGCAGTGTTTGTCTTCCTGTAACTGGCTTATTTCACTCAGCCTAATGTCCTCAAGGTTCATCCATATGGTAGCATGTGTCAGAATTTCCTGTTTTTAAAGCTGAATAATATTCCATCTTATGTATATACCATTTTGTTTATACAATCATCTGCTACTGAACATGTGAGTTGCTTCCACCTTTTGACTATGGTAAATAATGCCACCCTGAACATTAAGTGTACAATTATTTTTTGAGTTCCTTCTTTCAATTATTTTGGGGTATATGCCTAGAAGCAGAATTACTGGATCATATGGTGATTCTGTTTTTCATTGTCTGAGCAACCGCCATACTGCTTTATATGGAGGCTGCACCACATTTACGTTACCACTAACAGTGCACGAGGGTTCTGATTTTGCCACCTTCTTGCCAACACTTGTCATTTTCTGTTTTTTACTCTTATTTTTAAGTAGTCCTCCCAATGTGGGTATGGTGGGTCCTGTAGGATCACTTTAAGTGCATATTTAACACTGGCTCCCAGACTTCCACAGTAGGATGAGAGCTCTAGATGCCTATAGTGGTGATTTACTTAATAACTTGTTTTATTGGTTTCCTTTCTTTCCTTGTCGTACTTCCCCACTTCATCACTGCTGTTTTCTTGCACTACCTCCCAAAAAAACTACCTACACTAGAACTCTTACCTCAAGATCTGCTTCTGGGAATCTTGAACTAAGACACATATTTTAGATTATTCTGTATCCCTTATAGCAATTGTTAACATGTACCTTGATCAGTTATGTTAGACTGAGTTGCTTTTCAGCCTCAGTTTGCTGAAAGGTTATCTCCTTCCACATGCAGTGTAGAGTCAATAATTTACTAATTAACTCCATGAGCATAACCCACATTCCTAAATAAATACAGGATTCATGCAGCCTATCGCATGGATAAGAAATCCCTCAATCTTCACTGTACTCAAGATTCTTAAAACTGTACAACATCAGAAGTAAATGGGAGCTAATGGATCTCTAGAGCAGTTGTTTGAAAATGATGTGCCATGGGCCCCTAATGTTTCAGAGACTCTGCACATGTTTAAATTGTGCAGTATAAGAAATAAATTAGTTGTACATAAAATATCAAGACATTTCAAGTGGGCTAACTTGGATTGCCAAGTTCATGGCTTTTGGTGCAAAACTCTTTTCACCATTTCTCCAGTTATCTCTGTTAATTTGAAAGTATCCAAAGTCTCTCAGGCAAGTTTTTTTTTTTATTTTGTTATATCCAGTCACAAATCTATGTCACTCAGGACTTTATCAATACCGTGTCATGATACTGTGACTTCAGATCTCTTATTTTATATTAATCAAGATAATAAAAATATTAAATAATTTCCCCAAAAATATATATCACTGCTTTTATCCTTATATGTACACAGGAGGTTCCTGTATAGTTTGATCAAACATAAACAAAGAGAAAATTTTTCATAGCCATAAAATCTTGTAAACCATAGATTTATGTAAAGCCTTCATCCAATTCATAATGTCTTTCAACAGTATCTTGACATGAGTGCTTAAACATACCCAGTTAAAGAAAGCTTCTACCTTCTGGGGAAGTCTCCTTTATTTTAGGATATTTCTAATTCCTATGAATATTTCTGTTTTTACCCCTATTTTGCTAAAATATGCCTCCCTGCAACTTCCAGTCGTCAATCCAGAGATTTTTTTTCTCCTGACTCTTTCGAGGCAGCCTTGGGACTTTGTTGTGGTTTCCCAGTGTTCTCCCTCAATCAGGCAAGAACTGCTGCAAGTGTTTGAATCTCTGCCTTTTGGCACACAACAAGAAGAAAATCCCCCTTCTCCAGTGGCCAGCAACAAGGCTCCCGTCTCCAGTTTATCTATAGCCTATAGCAAAGTGATGGCAAAGATATGGATTTCACCAAGCTTAATCAAGCCTTAAGTGAATCAACAAGAGTAGGGGTAGGAGGGAAGCTAGAAGTGTAGAGAAGGGATAGGCAACTTTCCAACCCCAAAACATATGGCAATCATTTCGAAAGTTCAAGACGGTATTTATTTCATGCAGCAACACTGTCCCAAGAAGAATGCAGGCCAAATTTCTAATACATTAACCCTATATCCAATTTTTCAGATCATCCCCTTTTCCTCTAATTTTTCTTCCCCAACCCCACTTCACTCGATGCTAGTTCCCCCTCTTTATTTTTTTAAAGACTCCCTGTTTTTCTCGAAAACTAAGGCAGTATAACTGGAATGTTTTAATCTACTATAGCCCCTCTGAATCAATTAATTTCTGCATATTCTGACAACTGAGGGGTTGGGGCAAGGGCTGAGGGAGAACAATGGTTGGGTGGTGAGAGGTTAGGATGTAGCAGGGGGTGAGGAGAATGGGAGGTGGAACTCCCTGGAGGACTTTAGACAGGGGAAGATAAATTACCCTTGTGTTTGCTGTTGAGAGAAAATGACTGGGGGAGAGTCTGGTATATGACATGAGCACACATGAGCATTGGGGGAGGGAGTACTGCCTGTCATTCAGAAGGTTAAAAAATAGAAAAAGAAAGGGCTATTGTACATGAGATTAAGTTCTTGATTTGATTCTCAGCTTGGTTGTTGTTGGTGTATAGCAGGGCTACTGATTTGTGTACACCGGTTTTGTAACCCGAGACTTTACTGAATTAATTTATCAATTCTTTGGGTATTTTGGAAGAGACTTTAGGGTTTTCTAGGCACAATATGATATCGACAGCAAACAGGGATAGTTTGACTTCCTCTTTTTTTCCAGGTTGGATGCCCTTTATTTCTTTCTTCTGCCTGATTGCTCTGGCTAGGACTTCCAGTACTATGTTGAATAGAAGTGGTGAAAGTGGGCATCCTTGTCTTTTTCCACTTCTTATGGAGAATGCTTTCAACTTTTCCCTGTGCAGTATGATATTGGCTATGGGTTTGTGTTATTTGTTTTATATTATTTTGAGATACGTTTCTTCTATGCCTAGTTTGTTCAGATTTTTATTATGAAGGATGCTAGATTTTATTGAATTTTTTTCTGCATCTGTTGAGATTATCATATGGGTTTTTTTTAATCGCTTGTGTGGTAAGTCACATTTATTAACTTGAGTATGTTGAACCATCCCTGCATCCCTGGGATGAAATCCACTCAATCATGGTGTATTTTCTTTTTAATGTGCTATTGGATTTGGTTTGCTAGTATTTTGTTGAGGATTTGTGTGTGTGTGTTTATCAAGAAGATTGGTGTTTCATTTTCTTTTTTTGTTATGTCCTTTCCGGCTTTGGTACCAGGGTGAAACTGGCTTCATAGAATGAGTTAGGGAGGATTCTCTCCTTCTCCCTCTTTTGGAATAGTTTTAGTAGGATTGGTACTTATTTTTCTTTGAATGTCTGGTAGAATTCAGCTATCAATCCATCTGTTCCTGGGCTTTTATTTGTTGGAGGATTTTTTATTACTATTGATTCAATCTCACTGCTTGTTAATGGACTGTTCAGGATTTCTTTTTTGTCAGCTTTGGAATTTATTTTATCATTATTATTATATTATACTATAAGTTCTGGGATACATGTGCAGAATGTGCAGGTTGGTTACATAGCTATACACGTGCCATGGTGGTTTGCTGCACCCATCAACCCGTCATCTACATTAGGTATTTCTCCTAATGCTGTCCCTCCCCTAGCCCCCCCACCCCCAGACAGGCCCTGGTGTGTGATGTTCCCCTCCCTGTGTCCATGTGTTCTCATTGTTCAACTCCCACTTATGAGTGAGAACATGCGGTGTTTGGTTTTCTGCTCCTGTGTAAGTTTGCTGAAAATGATTTCCAGCTTCATTCGTGTCCCTGCAAAGGACATGAACTCATCCTTTTTCATTGCTGCATAGTATTCCATGGTGTATATGTGCCACATTTTCCTTATCCAGTTTATCGTTGATGGCATTTGGGTTGTTTCCAAGTCTTTGCTATTGTGAACAGTGCTGCAATAAGCATACACGTGTATGCGTCTTTATAGTAGAATGATTTATAATCCTTGGGGTATATACCCAGTAATGGGATTGCTGGGTCAGATGGTATTTCTGGTTCTAGATCCCTGAGGAACCACCACACTGTCTTCCACAATGGTTGAACTAATTTGCACTCCCACCAACATTGTAAAAGCCTTCCTATTTCTCCACATCCTCTCCAGCATCTGTTCTTTGATGACTTTTTAATGATCGCCATTCTAAATGGTGTAAGATGGTATCTCATTGTGGTTTTGATTTGCATTTCTCTAATGACCTGTGATGATGAGCTTTTTTTCATATGTTTGTTGGCCACATAAATGTCTTCTTCTGAGAAGTGTCTGTTCATATCCTTTGCCCACTTTTTGATGAGATAGATTGTTTTTTTCTTGTAAATTTGTTTAAGTTCCTTGTAGATTCTGGTTATTAGCCCTTTGTCAGATGGTAGATTGCAAAAATTTTCCCCCATTCTGTAGGTTGCCTATTCACTCTGATGATAGTTTCTTTTGCTGTGCAGAAGCTCTTTAGTTTAATTAGATCCGATTTGTCAATTTTGGCTTTTGTTGCCATTGTTTTTGGTGTTTTAGTCATGAAGGCTTTGCCCATGCCTAAGTCCTGAATGATATTGCCTAGGTTTTCTTCTAGAGTTTTTATGGTTTTAGGTTTTATTTTTAAGTCTTTAATCCATCTTGAGTTAATTTTTGTATAAATTGTAAGGAAGGCGTCAGTTTCAGTTTTCTGCATGTGGCTAGCCAGTTTTCCCAACACCATTTATTAAATGGGGAATCCTTTCCCCATTGCTTGTTTTTGTCACATTTGTCAAAGATCGGATGGTTGTAGATGTGTGGCGTTATTTCTTTTCTTCTTTTTTTTTTTTTTTACTTTAAGTTCTGGGGTACATGTGCCATGTGCAGAATGTGCAGTTTTGTTACATAGGTATACACGTGCCATGGTGGTTTGCTGCACCCATCAGCCTGTCACCTGAACTAGGTATTTCTCCTAATGCTATCCCTCCCCTAGCCCCCCTTTCCCAGACAGGCCCTGGTGTGTGATGTTCCCCTCCGTGTGTCCATGTGTTCTCATTGTTCAACTCCCACTTATGAATGAGAACATGCGGTGTTTGGTTTTCTGTTCTTGTAATAGTTTGCTGAGAATGATGATTTCCAGCTTCATCCATGACACTGTGAAGGACATGAACTCATCCTTTTTTATGGCTGCATAGTATTCCATGGTGTATATGCGGTGTGGCATTATTTCTGAGGCCTCTATTCTGTTCCATTGGTCTATATATCTGTTTTGGTACCAGTATCATGCTATTTTGGTTACTGTAGCCTTCTAGTATAATTTGAAGTTAGGTAGCATGATGCCTCCAGCTTTGTTCTTTTTGATTAGGATTGTCTTGGCTATATGTGGTCTTTTTTGGTTCCATATGAAATTTAAAGTAGTTTTTTTCTAATTCTGTGAAGAAAATCAATGGTAGCTTGATGGGGATAGCATTGAATCTATAAATTACTTTGGGAAGTATGGCCATTTTCATGATATTGATTCTTCCTATCCGTGAGCATGGAATGTTTTTCCATTTGTTTGTGTCCTCTCTTATTTCCTTGAGCAGTGGTTTGTAGTTCTCCATGAAGAGGTTCTTCACATCCCTTGTAAGTTGTATTCCTAGGGATTTTATTCTCTTTGTAGCAATTGTGAGTGGAAGTTTACTCATGATTTGGCTCTTTGTTTGTCTATTATTGATGTATAGGAATGCTTGTGACTTACACACATTGAGTTTGTATCCTGAGACTTTGCTGAAGTTGCTTATCAGCTTAAGAAGATTTGGGGCTGAGACGATGGGATTTTCTAAATATACAATCATGTCATCTGCAAACAGAGACAATTTGACTTCCTCTCTTCCTGTTTGAATACTCTTTATTTCTTTCTTTTGTCTGATTGCCCTGGCCAGAACTTCCAATATTATGTTGAATAGGAGTGTTGAGAGAGGGCATCCTTGTCCTGTGCCGGTTTTCAAAGGGAATGCTTCCAGCTTTTGCCCATGCGGTATGATATTGGCTGTGGGTTTGTCATAAATAGTTCTTATTATTTTGAGATATGTTCCATCAATACCTAGTTTATTGAGAGCTTTTAGCATGAGGTGTTGAATTCTATCGAAGGCCTTTTCTGCATCTATTGAGATAATCATTTTTTTGACATTGGTTCTGTTTATGTGTTGGATTACATTTATTGATTTGGGTATGTTGAACCAGCCTTGCAGCCCAGGAATGAAGCTGACTTGATCATGGTGGATAAGCTTTTGGATGTGCTGCTGGATTCAGTTTGCCAGTATTTTATTGAGGATTTTTGCATCAATGTTCTTCAGGGATATTGGCCTGAAATTTTCTTTTTTTATTGCGTCTCTGCCAGGTTTTGGTATCAGGAAGATGCTGGCCTCAAAAAAGTAGTTCAGATGTGGATATTGGGGAAAAGACTAAAAACACGACAGAAAGATTTGATGTCCTGGATGGCTAAGGGCAATCCTAGTCTCTGACAAAACAGACTTTAAACCAAAAAAGATCAAAAAAGACAAAGAAGGGCATTACATAATTATAAAGAGATCAATGCAACAAGAAGAGCTAACTATCCTAAATATATATGCACCCAGTGAAAGAGCACCCAGATTCATAAAGAAAGTTCGTAGAGACCTGCAAAGAGACTTAGACTCCCACACAATAACAGTGGGAGACTTTAACACCCCACTGTCAATATTAGACAGATCAACAAGACATAAAATTAATAAGGATATTCAGGACTTGAACTCAGCTCTGGACCAAGCAGACCTAATATACATCTACAGAACTCTCCACCCCAAATCAACAGAATATACATTCTTCTCAGCACCACATCACACTTATTCTAAAATTGACCACATAATTGGAAGTAAAACACCTCTCAGCAAATGCAAAAGAACCGAAATTGTAACAAACATTCTCTCAGACCACAGTGTAACCAAATTAAAACTCAGGATTAAGAAACTCACTCAAAACTGCACAACTACATGGAAACTGAACAACCTGCTCATGAATGACTACTGAGTAAATAACAAAGTTAAGGCACAAATAAATAAGTTCTTTGAAGTCAATGAAAACAAAGACACAATGTACCAGAATCTCTGGGACACAGCTAAAGCAGTGTTTAGAGGGAAATTTATAGTACTAAATGCCCACAGGAGAAAGCGGGAAAGATCTAAAATCGACACTTTAACATCACATGTAAAAGAACTAGAGAAGCGAGAGCAAACAAACGCAAAAACTAGCAGAAGACAAGACAAATAAGATCAGAGGAGAAATGAAGGAGATAGAGACATGAAAAACCCTTCAAAAAATCAATGAATCCAGGAGCTGGTTTTTCGAAAAGATTAACAAAGTAGATAGCCAGACTGATAAAGAAGAAAAGAGAGAAGAATCAAATAGACACAATAAAAAATGATAAAAGGGATATCACCACTGATCCCACAGAAATACAAACTACCATCAGAGAATACTATAAACACCTCTATGCAAATAAACTAGAAAATCTAGAAGAAGTGGATAAATTCCTGGACACATACACCCTCCCAAGACTAAACCTGGACTGTTCAGGATTTGTATATCTCCCTGATTCAAGCTTAGTGGGTTGTATGTTACCAGGAATTTCTCTATTTCCTCTAGTTTTTGTTACTGTTGTTGTTGTTGTTGTTGTTGTTTGAGACGAAGTCTCACTCTGTCTCCAGGCTGGAGTGCAGAGGCATGATCTTGGCTCACTGCAACCTCCTACTCCCTGGTTCAAGCGATTCTCTTGCCTCAGCCTCCCGAGTAGCTGACATTACAGGAGCGCATGACCATGCCCAGCTAATTTTTGTATTTTTAGTAGAGATGGGATTTCACCATGTTGGCCAGGATGGTCTCGATCTCCTGACCTCGTGATCCACCTGCCTCGGCTTCCCAGTGTGCTGGGATTACAGGCATGAGCCACTGTGCCCAGCATCCTTTAGTTTTTCTAGTTTGTGTGCATAGAAGTTTTCATACTAGTCTCAAATAATATTTTGTATTTCTATGGTATCAGTTGTAATGTCTCCATTTTCATTCCCGATTAAGCTTATTTCAATCTTTTCTCTTCTTTTCTTGGTTAATCTAGCTAGTGGTCTATCAATTTTATTTATCTTTTCAAAGAATCGACTTTTAATTTCATTGTTCCTTGTTATTGTTTTCTGGGTTTCCATTTCGTTTAGTTCTGCTCTGATGTTTGTTGTTTCTCTTCCTCTGCTAGCTTTGGGTTTGGTTTGTTCTTGTTTCTCTAGTTCCTTGAGATGTAACATTAGGTTGTCAGTTTGTGACATTTCTATCTTTTTATTTCAGTCCCTGAGCTTCCCTAGGACTTTTTGTCTTTTCGATGTGGTGTTTAGTGCTAAACTTTCCACTTAGTGCTGCTTTAGCTGTATCGCAGAGGTTTTGATAACTTGTGCCACTGATATCATTCATTTTGAAATTTTTTTGAATTTCCATCTTGACTTCATTATTGACTCAAAAATCATTCAGGAGTATTATTTAATTTTCATGCATTTGTATAGTTTTGAGGAAAGCCATTACCTAAGTGAGGTAACTCAGGAATTGAAAGCCAAATACCATGTGTTATCACTTATAAATGGAAGCTAAGCTAAGGGTACTCAAAGATGTACAGAGTGGTATGATACACACTGGAAACTCAGAAGGGAGGAGTATGGGAGGGGGGTTAGAGATGAAAAATTACCTGTTGGGTACAATGTACATTTTTCAGGTGACAAGTACACTAAAATCCAAGACTTCATCATTATATAATTGATCCATGTAACCAAAAGTTATTACTAGCACTAAAGCTATTGGAATAATTTTTATTTAACAAAAGACAGTCTTATTCCAAGAAGATAGAGGACTAGGGTATTAGATGTCTCCCCCACTACCCTGCTCCCATTCTGCCTTGGGTTGCCTGAAGCCATAATTATGTTTTGTTTCCTGTCCATTTACTTCCGCAGAAGTAGCTCCATCTGAGGTGAGCAGCAATATTTCTCAAGAGCAATTATTTAAGGATTCTATTAGAAAAGACTGAATGATGAGGCTTTTCTTTATCATTTCCTTCCTTCCTTCCTTCTTTCCTTCCTTCCTTCCTCTCTCCTTTCCTTATTACATTCTCTCTCTTGATCACTCAGTCATTCAGTTTCAAAATGTACTAAACAGCTATTCTAAGAGAGACTTCATATTAATCATGATAAGAAAAACCAGACTTCTAATATATAATAAAATTCATTTTGAAAGCATTGCCTCATCAAGCCCTCTGCTAGATGCTGGAGATGCTGGGTCTACGATGACGAACTCATCACTGATTGTGATCTCAAGAAATCCATTGCTCTATAAGGGGAGACAGACATGTTACTCATTTCTTCAATCATTGAATCCCTAGGTGGGATGCTGGGACTATTGGCTCTTTTCCATCTTTAACATGCAGGACCATGCCTGGACTCCAGTTGATATGCAATAAATGATGAAACAACTACATTTATTAGAACACCTGTGATGTGTCAGGTATTTTTACATATTTTATTGTTAATCCATTTCCCAACCTTGTGACAAAGATGTGGTCAATCCCATTTCATAGAGGAGGAAAAGAGATACAGAAAGGTTAGGCAATTTGTCAATCTTAAACATCATTAAGAGATAAAATTTTAAAATGGTAATTCAGGTCTACCTGATGCCAGTGCACATTATTTTCCTACTTTTCTGTGCCTTTTTTTCAAAAATATGTAAATAAAAAACTATTAGGTATTTTTTTATTTAAAGTTGATGAGACCTTTCTAATTTAAGAGAGAAATAATATTCCTAATGGGCAGAACTTTGGGTTGTAATCTATTTTTCATGGCAGGAAACTTAACAAATAAATACGTAAATATAACTGGCATGTCCTCTATGTCATTCATACTAGCCTGAAGTGTCTATAGCATGAATACCCAAATTTTGTTATTTCAAAGGCTCCCACCTGCAAGATTATAGGATCTTAGCACCATCTAGCTAAAATCTCTTTCCAATGATTGTTGCTATCCCCATATACTCAGTAGTAACTTATCTCTTATTCTTCTATTTTCGTCCCTTTGTTGACATCTTCTGTAGAAAGTCACTTGGGGTGGTTTTCACCATTAACATGGTGCTCAAGATCCTGAATGATAATTCTGTGCTCCTCCTGAGGAAGATTCATGCCAAGGTACCCCAAAATATACTTCCAAAGATTTGTTTATCATTACGACTATATGCCCAAAGCAATTTGTCAAAAAGAATTTGTTCATGGAATAACTCACTCATCACATGCTCCCAACACCACCTCAACAGTGAGTCGAGAGCTCCTGGAGTTGCCAACCCCTGCTGTATTTTCTACAGTACACATTGCATCAGACCCAAGTTACATTCCAGGCCTAAGGAGGAGAATGCTCCACTCCTCAACTCTGCATGATCTTTATGACATGGCCTGAAGAAAATGTGCTTATATGTAGTAGATTGATTGCAAAACTTCTCACTCCTCTCTGAATCCATATCCATTGATAGTAAACTCCCTGAATCTGAGTTTGGCCCATGTGATTTGTCCAATGAGGTAATAACAAACTTGATGTGAGCAGAGGCTTGAAAAAGGACTTTCAAAAACACGCCTAGACAGGACTGCTAGAGGATGAGATGCGAAACAGATGTAGTTTTCCCAGCCAAGGCAATTTTAGATTTGCCAATACTCAGCTGATCACCTGAGTCCCAGAAAGACCGGAATAACTGCCCAACCAAAACCAGCCTGATTTAGCAGAACTGCCCATTCAAGTCATAGACTTGTGAAAAATAACTTGCAGTTTTTCAAACCACTATATTTTTAAAAAAATATATTTTTAATTTTTCTGGGTACATAGTAGGCATATATATTTATGGGGTACATGAGATGTTTTGATACAGGCATTCAATGTGTAATAATCACATCATAGTAAGGGTATACATCCCCTCAAGGATTTATCCTTTGTGTTACAAACAATCCAATTATACTCTTTTAGTTATTTAAAAATATACAACTAAATTATGATTGACAATAGTCAGCCATTGTGCTATTGAATGCTAGGTCTTATTCATTTATTTTAACCATTTTTTTGTATCCATTAACCATTCCCACCACCCGCAACCCCCCTAATACCCTTCCCAGCCTCTGTAAACCATCCTTCTACTATCTATCTCCATTAAAAACACCACTGATTTTTTAGTGTAATTTATTAAACAGCTGTAATTAACTGATATATTATGAGTTGTATCACAAATTATCTCATTGAAACAGATTATTTCGCTCCTGCTACCAACATTTCTCTCCAGAGTCATCCTCCTGTTTCCATTCTCCTGTATCACCCCTTTCCTTTCCAGCTTTCCCCCTACAAATCTGCTTAAAAATTCACCTATGTTGCTATCAAAAAGCAGACGCACATGACCTATTGTCCGCTATATTCTTCTGTTCTTAATCCCCAACAGTTCTCCCAGTCCCCACCTCTGCATTCACTAAGATATCAGCATGTTCTCTTCTCCTTCGGTAAGAGAAAAGAGTAGACACAAGCCTCTCATATAAGTTAATTCATGCAAATAGATGTCTATGGATCTGCTAAATCTTTCATTTTATTAGGCAGACATAAATAAGACTAAATTATCTTCACAGTAAGCAAGGATCTCACAACAGAAAAAAGAAATGCATATAAACATAATTTATATACAATCTGCCCTTTGTATACAAGGGTTCTGCATATGCAGATTCAACAAACCATGGGTTGAAAATATTGGAAAACAAAACAATAAAAAGTACAACAATTTATATTTTATTCTCCTAACACTGGTCTCTTCATTTTTATTTTATTTTATGGGCTTTTAAAACATATATAATTTCAACTGTTATTTTACACTCAGGAGGCATAGGTACAGGTTAGTTACATGGGTAACATGATGTTGAGGTTTGGGACATGAATAATCCCATCATCCAGACAGTGAGCATGTACCTAGCAGTTTTTCACATCTTGCCCCCTTCCTTCCCTCCTCTATCTAGTAGTCTCCAGTGTCTATTTTTGCCATCTTTATATCATGAATGCCCAATATTTAGCATCCACTTATAAGTGAGAATCTGCTGTATATGATTTTCTGCTCCTGCATTAATTCACTTAACGATAATGGCCTTTAGCTGCATTCATGTTGCTGCAAAGGACATGATTTCACTCATTTTTATGGCTAAATAGTAGTCCATGGTGTCTATGTACCATTTTTATTTCTCCAAGTGACCATTGATGAGCACCTAGGTTGATTCCATGCCTTTGCTATTATGACACATGCTGCAATAAACATATAAATTCATGTGTCTTTTTGGTAGAATTATGTTATATACATATATATATATGTGTATACATATATATATATGTGTGTGTGTGTGTGTGTGTGTGTGTGTATATATATATATATATATCCAGTGATGGGTTTGCTGGATTCAATGGTAGTTTGTTTTAAGTTCTTTGAGAAATTTCCAAATTGCTTTCCACACTTGCTGAGCTAATTTACATTCCCACAAACAGTATGTCAGTCTTCCCTTTTCTCTGCAGCCTCACCAGCATCTATTGTTCTTTGGCTTTTCAATAATAGCCATTCTGAATAGAATTGCATTGTGGTTTTAATTTGCAGTTCTCTGATGAATTGTGATATGTAGCACTTTTTCATATGTTTATTACCCACTTGTAAGTCTTGTTTTCAAAAGTATCTGTTCATGTCTTTCACCTATTTTTTAATGGGTTATTTATTTTTGCTTGTTGAATTGTTTAAATTTCTCATAGATTCTGGATATTGAACCTTTGTCAGATGCTTAATTTGTAAATATTTTCTATCATTCTGTAGGTTTTCCTTTTACTCTATTGATAGTGTTGACAGTTTCTTTTGCTATGCAGAAGCTCTTTAATTAGGTCCCACTTGTCAATTTTTTGTTTTTTTTTTTCTTTTTTCTTCAATTGCGTTTGGGGACTTAGTCATAAATTCTTTCTCAAGGCCAATGTCCAGTATGGTGTTTCCTAAGTTTTCTTCCAGGATTCTTACAGTTCAAGATCTCACATTTAAATCTTTCGTTCATCTTGAGTTATTATTTTTTCTTATGGTGAAAGGTAGGGGCCCAGTTTCATTCTTCTGCCTGTGGCTAGCCAGCTGTCTTAGCACTATTTATTGAATAGGGAGTCCTTTCCCCATTGCTTGTTTTTGTCAATTTTGTCAAAGATCAGATGGCTGTAGGTGTGTGGCTTTATTTCTGATTTCTCTATTCTGTTCAACTGGTGTATATGTTTATTTTTGTATCACTACCATGCTATTTTGGTTACTGTAGCCTTATAGTATAGTTTATAGTCAGATATGTGTTGCCTCCACCTTTGTTCTTTTTGCTTAAGAACAATGGAACAATTTTGAAAACACAAATGAGAAAATCATTTACATAGCATTTACATTTTATTAGTTATTATAAGTAATTTAGGGATTATGTAAAGTATACAGGAGGATGTGCTTAGGTTATATGAGAATACGACACCATTTTATATAAGGAACTTGAGTATCTTCAAATTTTGGTATCTGTGGGAAGTGCTGAAAACAATCCTCCAAGGATAATGAGGAATGACTGTACACAAGTGTATCATGGACACACACACACTTAGATGCGACTTATTTGCATTACACAGATACCATAAGATCAAATCAATATGAATAAGTAGAGGAGATGATGAAGAGTGAAGTCAGAGAAGACTGAATCATGTTATAATACATTGTTACCACTAAAGGCAGATCTTATTACTTATTTTGGCTTCTATTATACATGAGCATCACACATACCCTTTCTTAACTGTAGCAGATGCTAAATTAGCAGAGTGTAAGGTAACAATGTGTTCATGCCCTCATCCTAACTTGTGATTTTGCCAAGAATACATGAAAAGCTTTGACTTTGCTGGAACCCATCACTTTTACCTGGTGGGAGACCAGGCCCAGCCTTGCCAGGCCATCCTGGTGGCATCAGAGAAAATCAGTCATGCTCTTATTTCTAAGAAGCTTTTCCCTTTTGCCTCATCTTTCAGATACCTGCAAACAGGTCCCCTTTTCCTTTGATCCATGCTCTTATTTTACCTAAAAAAAAACCCAACATCAAGAACAACATATCTTCCTTCTTTTCTTAGTCAAAATGGTCTCTGCATTTTGTGAGCAGTATTTTGCTTGTCAAATACTTGATAAGGACCAGCCATAAGATGTGAATGCAGTAAAAGAAGCACTGTACCAAAGGGTGTCAAGAGGCACAGTTCTAATCACAGCTCTGTCATCAACTTACTTTGTGAGCGTGGACAAGTTATTTCAGGCTGGATTTTTGTCTTATTTTTTTTGAAATGCAAGGCTTTTGTGAAATGTTCTTTAAGACTTCATCTAATTTCAAAAACTGTATGAGTTGATCCTGAGGTTCTCAAATTATGTCAGAAAGCTTGAAGCTGTACTGCTTAAGGGTCTAGATCTTAGACTCTATTATTATGCTCCTGCTCAGGACACTGTGATCTTTGGCCTGATCTGCTTCAATAGATTTCTATTTTGTTTGCCAGTTTCCACTTTTGTATTACTAGAATTAATTCTCCACATGAATTATCAAGTAATGTCTATAAACACAAATCAAATCATGTATCTCCTTTGCATAAGCACTCTAATTGTTTTTCATTGACCTTACAACAGAATCCAAATACCAGCTAAATTCAAGCTGGCCGTAACCTCCATTACCAATCTCATCTCCTGCCACTCTCCCAGGCTGATAACCAGCAAAGAAATAGAAACTCCAGTCTTAGAATCACATGGAATTGGATTTATCCGGCAATCTGAATGAGCCTGGAAGTTGATTCTCACCCAAGAAACTCAATAAGAAACACAGCCGTGATGACACCTGAATCTTGATATTGTGAGGCCTTACTCAGAGTCTACAGGACTTTGTGTGAGATCCATCCAAGCCAAGCAAAACTTATAATCTACAGGACTCTGAGATAATAAATTTGTGTTTGTTTAAAGCCAGTAATAGGGTAATAACTTCTTTTACAACAGCAACAGAAAATTAACACAACAAATGACAGGACTCATCTGTAAAGATTCCATGAGGAAAGCGGTCCCAAATCTCCTTCCATCTCTTATAACTCCTTCTTCTCTCTTAGAACTTTTAATCCTACTTTTATGCCAAACAAATCCTAAAATTCAAATTACTCCTAGTCCTGGATGAAATCTCAGCTGATATTCCTGACCTGTCCTCATTCATTTAAACATGAAACCTGGGCTTTAGATGTAGCAGGTTCATTCCACCGAAGTCTCAGAATTCATTCTTTTTCCCACCGTTGAAGATGATAAGGATAGAATAGGGTATGTCCAACATGGAAAAGACCCTGTAAATTATAAAATAGAAGAAACTAGGTGATATTTTGCAAAGGGAAGGGAGCTCAGAGGAGAGAAATGTCTGCAGGGCCTCAAAATGGTGAGAAAACAGAGTTCTTTTAGTACTAGAGAATATAAATTAAATGCATAGGTATGTATCATAGATAACTTGTGTCTAGGGAAAAAAATGCTAACCATAAAAGGTGTTCAGGATTACTTTTGGAGGTACTTAGATTTAGAATATTGTATTTGGAGAGCATGACCAAATTGACAGAAATTTGAAGCATTTCAGAATCTCTGGTCCAACATTCTCATTTTGTCAATGAGTAAACCAAGGTCCAGAGAGCAAGACTTGCTTCATGATCTTTAAAGTCGTTTGCTATCATGAAATTTAATTTAAATTATTCTTGTTGGACCAAAACCATATGACCATCTCAATCGATGTAAAAAAAAAGTATTAATTCAATAAAATAAATAAATAATAATAAATAAATGATTCCTGCTGTATGAAATTTAACATCCTTTCATGATAAAAACTCCTAACAAATTAGGTATAGAAGGAGAGTACCTCAATACAGAAAAGGTCACGTGTAACAAATACAAAGCCAAAATTATACTCAATCAGAAAAAATCAAAAAGTTTTCAATAAGATCAGAAATATGACAAGTATGTCTACTCTCTCCACTTCTCTTCAACACAGTACTGGAAGTCCCAGTCAGAACAATTAGGCAAAAGAAAGAAATAAAAGGCGTCTATGCAGATTGAGGTGTCTCATGACTGTAATCCCAGCACTTTGAGAGGCTGAGGTGTGTGGATCATTTGAGGTCAGGAGTTCGAGACCAGGCTAGCCAACATGGTGAAACCCATCTCTACTAAAAATACAAAACAATTAGCCAGGCATGGTGGAGTGTGTCTGTAATCCCAGCTACTAGGGCATGAGAACCATTTGAACCCAGGAGGGAGAGGTTGCAGCGAGCCCATTTCATGCCACTGTACTTCAGCCTGGGCAACAGAACAAGAACTTGTCTCAAGAAAAAAAAGAAGAGGAAGAGGAAGAGGAAAAAGGAGAATGAGGAGCAGGAGGAGGAGGAGGAGAAGTAGTGGAAAAGGAGGAAATCTAAAAAAAAGAAGAAGAAATAAAAGGCATCCAATTTGGAAAGAAAGAAGTTCAATTGTCCCTGTTTACAGGCAACATGACCTTACATATAGAAAACCCTAAACTACACACACACACACACACACACACACACACACACAATTGTTAGAACTAATAGGTTGGTTTAGTAAAGTTGCAGGATGTAAAATCAACAGACAAAAATCAGTAGTATTTCTATACACTAACAGTGAACTATCCAAAAATGAAATCAAGAAAACAATTTTATTTATAATAACTGCAAAAAGCAAATAAACAAAAAAAGTAGGAATAAATTTAACCAAGGAAGTGAACACCTATACACTAAAAACTGTAGCATATTGATGAAAGAAATGGAAAAAGACAAATAAATGAAAAGATACTTCATGTTTATAGATTGGAAGAACAGAGGAATATTAAAATGTCCATCCTACCCAAAAAACTCTATTGATTCAATGTAGTTCTTATCAAAATGCCAAAGACATTTTTCACAAAAATAGGAAAAAATTCTAAAATTCATATTGAACCACAAGAGAACATAAATAGCCAAAGCAATCTTGAGCAAAAAGAACAAAGCTGAAAACATCATACTACCTGAATTCAAAATATACTGCAAAGCTATAGTAATCAAAACAGCATGGTACTGGCATAAAAAGAGACACACAGACCAGTGGAACCAAATACAGCCCCAGAAATAAATACATGCATTTACAGTCAATTGATTTTCAACAAAGGTGACAGGAATACACAATGGGGAAAGGATGATTTCTTCAATAAATAGTATTGGGACAACTGGATATTTAAATGCAGAACACTGAATTTCTCACACCATATACAAATATCAACTTACAATGGGTTAAAGACTTAAATGTAAGACCTGAAGCTGTGAAATTCCTAGAAGAAAACAGGGGAATAGCTCCATGACATTGGTCTGGGCAATGATTTTTTAGATATAAACCCAAAAGCACACGCAACAAAAGCAAAAATAGAAAAATGGGATTACTCCAAACTGAAAAATCTTCTTCACAAACAATGAAAAAATCAACAGAGTAACCTATGGAGTGGGAGAAAATATTTGCAAACCAGACATTTGATAAGGGGTTAATATCCAAAAATATATAAGGAACTCAAACAATTCAGTAGTAAGAAAACACATCACCCAAATAAAAAATGGGCTACACACTTGAAGAGACACTCTTCAAACAAAGACATACACATACCCAATAAAAAAAATACTTAACATCACTAATCATCAGAGGAAATGCAAATTAAAGCCACAATGAGATGTCACCTCATACCTATTAGAATGGCCATAATAAAAAAGATGAAAGATAACATGTCTTAGAGAGGATATGGAGACTAGGGGCCCCTTGCACAGTGTTGGTAGAAATATAAATCAGTAGAGTCATTATAGAAAATATGGTGTTTCCTCTAAAAATTAAATCTATAGTTACCATATGATCCAACCATCCCACTTCTGGATATATATCCAAAGGAAATGATATTGGTATTTTGAAGAGATAACTACATTAACAGGTTCATTACAGAATTATTCACAATTTCCAAGACATGGAATCAACTTAAGTATCCATCAATGGATGAATGGATAAAGAAAATGTGGTGTATATATACAAAATAACATACTATGTTGTTGTAAACGAAATGATTTTCTTATTTTTAAAGGCTTATTTTCAACAATGTGGATGAATCTGAAGCACATTATGATAAGTGAAATAAATCAGGCACAGAAAAATAAATACTGCATAATCTCACTTCAATGTGGAATCAAAAAAGGTGAACTCATAGAAGTAGTAGAATGGTGGTTACTAAGGACTGGAGTGAGGTGGTCTGAGGGAGATGTTGGTTAAAGGATACAAAAATTCAGTTTGAAAGAATATGTTCAAGAGATCTATTGTAAGACATGGTCGCTATAGTTAATAACAAAGCATAGTACTCTTGTAAATTGCCAAGAGAGTAGGTTTAAAGTATTCTCACAACAAAATTGATAACTATATGGGGTAAAGCATATATTAACTAGCTCAATTTAGCCATTCCACAATGTATACATATTTCAAAGCAACATGTCGTACATTATAAATTTATACAATTTTGTCAATTAAAAGTATTAATTCAATAAAATAAATAAATAATAATAAGTAAATGATTCCTGCTGTATTAAATTTAAAAAGGCCCATGGGAAAGACTATCTAAAGAGATTATGTTGCAGCTTTTCAGTAATTGCAAAACCTTATTTATCCCATTTCTAATTCATACTCTGGTCCTGTTTCTCTCTAATTTGAACTCTGGGTTTACAGTGTGTACTCTTGCTGTCCATGTGCTGAAAAAAAACCTGTAGGAACTGCAGTTCTCATCTGAGTCTTCAAATGAAAATCTTTCAGATTTCAGATGTGCTTGTGGCTTATGCTTCCTTGTCACTTGAAAAGGGATTTATATAGCCAAATAAGGGTTCAATCAAGACGTTCAAGTCCTGTTTTATCTAATGAGCAATATTTGCACTTTCCCTCATTCAGTCATATAAAAAGCATCAAGTCCTTCCGTGATTAATAGAAGTATTATAGAAATGAGTAACATAAAATCCCCACCCTCTAGCTCATAGGCAAATAACATGGGAAGAGATTGCTGCTATACCATACCATGTCATCAGTACTACAGTGAAGGGCTGTCCAAGATGAAGATGAAAGGAATAGAGAGTGTAGAGCCTGAGGCATAAAAGAACAAGGTGGGCTCCTTGTACAGAATGATTGCTTCACAGGGAGCTTGGGGATAAATGGACAGATAACAGATGAGGCTGGGAAGCTTGGCTAAGGTCATGAATGCCATGTTAAGGAATTTGTATTTCATTCTGAAACTAATGTACATTAGAGGATATACTTAAAGAAGAGAGGTGACATGGCGATATTTTATTTTTAAGAAAATAATTCTGGCACAGTGGGGAAGACCAATTTCCCATAATTCCCTTAGCAACAGCCATTTTTTTGTTGTTGTACTAGAAATTATTCTCCTCATTACAATACATCCAGTGAGGCTCCTCAGTTGTTTACATAATGTTAGCTACTAATCGTTGCTTTCAAAGAATATATATGAGCCATGATTTTTTAAATATTTCTATAGTACCTGTGCACCCATATTTATAACAGCATTATTCACAACAGCAAAATGTGGAAGCAACACAAGTATCCATTGGTGGATAAATGGATTTTAAAAATATGGTATATACATACAATGGAATATTATTTAGCCTTAAAAAGGAAGGACATTCTGATGCATACTGTAACATGGATAAATCTTGAGGACATTATACTAAGTGAAATAAGCCAATCACAGAAGAACAATACTGCATGATTCTATTTATACGAGATACGTAGAGTAGCCAAACTCATAGAAGCAGACAGTAGAATGGTGGCTATCAAGGTCTGTGGGGCAAGGGAATGGGAGGTTAGCGTTTAATGGGTATACAATTTCAGCTGGGAAAGATTAAAAAGATGGAGATGGGTAGTGGTAATGGTTGCATAACAATGACAATATATTTAATGCCACAGTACTGCACACTTAAAAGTGATTAAAATGTCAAGTTCTAGGTTTTTTATTTTTTGTTTGTTTGTTTGTTTTGAGACAGAGTTTCGCTCTTGTTTCCCAGGTTGGAGTGCAATGGCGCAGTCTCAGCTCACCTCAACCTCCACCTCCCGGTTCAAGCGATTCTCCTGCCTCAGCCTCCTGAGTAGCTGGGATTACAGGCATGCGCCACCATGCCCAGCTAATTTTGTATTTTTAATAGAGACGGGGTTTCTCCATGTTGGTCAGTCTTGTCTCGAGCTCCCGACCTCAGGTGATCTGCACGCCTCAACCTCCCAAAGTGCTGGATTATAGGCGTGAGCCACTGTGCCTAGCCCCGGTTGTTTCTATTTTATGACAATAAAAAATACATATATAAATTACTGGCCAGGTGCCGTGGCTCATGCCTGTAATCCCAGCTCCTAGGGAGGCAGAGGCAGGGGGATAGCTTGAGCCCAGGAGTTCGAGACCTGCCTGGGCAATGTAGCAAGACCCCATTCTCCACAAAAAGAAAAAAAAAATAAAAAAGTGTAAAACTAATATATAAATTACAAACAAGAGGCAAACTCGAAATTCAGTTTTTTTCAGAGTCCTGGAGTATACTTGATACTATCCAGCCTGTCAGTGATTATGCAGCCACTGTCTTCAATTGCTTCTTTCTCTGGATTCTTCCCAGCTGCATATCCCTCCTTAAAATGTGATAGACTTTTCCTCTTCTGGCCTGTATAAAACAGAGACAAGTTCCATTGCTCGGCAAAACTAAAATGACAAGGGAGCTTGTGAGATCGTTTCATACATCCCACATCTTTATCTGTACCAAGAGACAAGCCTGGGCCAACTCTTGTTCATTTTGTTCTGCTGAATCAGGGAAATTCCATCTCTCTTGTAGTATGTGGTCACACTAATGGGGCCTCAGGTAGGGGGACAATCTGCCAGACGTCTCTGTGTCTCTGGCCTTCTCCCTTGTATTTGGCATGAGACCAGGAACCCAGATATTTTTAAAGAGAAGGAAAGGGATGACCTGCAAATTGAGCCAGGCCAGAGGCCTGAGTTGACCATTTTTAGTCATAAACCAGAGAGGGTGCTTGCTGTAGAGTAGGACTCCAGAAACCTGGTGCCTGCTGAGATGGCACCAGAATACGAAACACCTGAAACATGGGAGATGCCAGCAGAAACAAACATAATAAAGACAGGGAAGGGTAGCCCAAGTGGCCTGGGTGCAAATTCTGCTCCATGATTTTGGGAAACTCTCTTACCTCTCTGAGCCACAGGAAACTTAACTTATAAAATGAACACTTTATTCTATAGAGTTATAATGCATAAAGGGATGACAAAATATTGTGTATGATATTCTATAAGTACCCACAAATATTAGTTCCTCTCCTCCTGGCATCATATCAAGAGGCAGCCCAGTTCTAAATGATATACTGGTCTCCCCTTAACAGACATCTATGCATCTCTGTTGCAAAAAATGGCACCACCCAGTTTCCCCCAAATATGTCATCATCCTATTAAATGCCTACTGTGTGCATTGTGATTGTTCATCTCAGCTCTCATTCTAGCCTTTACTTCTGATGCTTGAATTGCTTTTTCTACTTTCCTCTTACTTCTTTAAGTCCATCTTGTCTTGCAGGTTTCAGACCACGTTTGGGGTAGGATTGTTGTTACATGCCTGGCTAGGGCTACGTGACACAGAATGATTCTTCTGGGACTTTTGGAGCTCTTTCTTTCCTTGCCCCTACCTAAGTGGGTTTGTGCTTCAGTTTCCACGCTACCCACTACTCTCAACTATCTGCTGAGGGGTCATGTGAAATGGGAGAACAGTCAGGGCCTTAACAGTCAAACCAAACAATAATTTAATTTCTCCACATGATTCCAACTCCACCTTGAGTACTGTCTCCAGAGAATCACTTTTTAAATGCACATTTGAAAAGCGTTTGCTCTACTGGGAAAAAAATTCAGTAGATGATATTTGCTCTTCATTTTGTCACATAACCAGGGGCTGGCCTCCAAGGATTTTAAATGTGGAGAGGACCTTTGAGATCATTTGATGCAGAGGTGGTAAACTTCAATGCCCACCAGGGCCAAGCAGGGAAGGTAAATGAGTGATGTCACTCAGGAGAGTGAATTGGAAAGGCCCGGCTTTATCTAAAGGCGAAGCTGCTACAGAGGTCCCAAGATTGATGCCCTCTGTGATTGTAGGAGCTCTAATGCACCCAAATATTTACGTGTTGGCAATTAATATCCTTAAAAATATTAATGTTGGCACTAAATACAAGTATTTTAAAGATAATATGTAAGCCAAATAAGCATATTGGCACAGCCCTGGACCACCAGTTGGCAATTTCTGACTTGTCCAAACGCTACATTTTGCAGAGATCTGGGACATAGACATATGCTGCCCAAAGTCGCATCAAACAATCCTGGGCGACTGGAATGAGAACTCACATCCAAAGCTGATCCACAGTCTGTCCAGTATACCTCCAACTGCATGTCCTCAGTGATTCTTTCATCCCATTTGAGAAGAAGAGGAAAGAGAGAGGATGAAATGCACTTAGAATGAGGGAGTAATAAAAGGGGTAACCCTGAGGTGGAAAATATGGTACCTTTCTCAAAATTTCATTGACTCAACACATTTTTGTTGAATAAATGCAATCTGCTGACACTGTCCTAAGCACTGGGGACTCTACAGGGAACAAAGCAGAAGTCCTTGCCCTTATTACTAAACTCACTTCCATTTCTTGAACCTCTCAATATTTCACCTCCAGACTTTCATATTACTCTCCCTTTGATGAGAACAGGCTTCTCCTGACAAAGCCTGGCTAAACTTACTCATTCTTCAAGATTCAGCTTAGATTCTACTTCTTCCAGGAAGCCTTCTGGCATGCACACACTCACAGATCTGTATCAGATAAACCTCCTCTGAGACCTCGCAGTGCCTTGCACTTCCCTACTGAAACACGTCTCACAGGCATTCTAATGTCCCTTGTCTCTACTAACTTCTGAGCTACACAGGAGAATATACCATGGCTATCTTGTGCACAACTTACTCTCAGCACATTGAGCAATCTGTAGCACAGAGTTGGTGTTCACTAAATGGTACAGTATCCCTCCTTCCAAGAATGGCAAACCAAGACCATGAGAGTTCCTCAATACTAACCTCTGACAGATCCCGTACTGTCCCCCACCCCGGTCTCCTAAGATCCTCTCAGTTACCCTCTACTAGGGACCTCTCCATGTGCCCAGATCTTCCTGCCTCTCTTCATTTTTCCCTCCAGCTGCACATTTTAATTCTGGAATCAGTCTTTGCTTTATTAGGCTTGCGTTCCCTTTGAAGCCGTGGCTACACATGGCCACACAAACCCTGGCATCTCGGCCTCCAACCAACAAGATCCTTGGTGACCTGACAAAACATCTGGGCAACTGACTCATCTTGGTTTTCTCTTCATGCACATGGCTTGGCACTACTTAGGCACTGCCTGAAGGTCGGGTGCTGAATCCCTGATGCCGTGACAATTTTTCTTTGGTCTCTTGAAATCATCAAGAGCTTGTGTACATGGGTAAGGCTTTTTTAATCAGGGAACAGCTGGTTGTGGTAGGGGAATCTATTTGTTGTGCCCACTATTAATTAGTAACATTTTAGAAAGCAGAACAAGAAGAGCAAAGTTTATGACTAGAAGGGAAAATTGGAAGCCATATGTAAAAGCTGTGGGTGATGAATATTGGATTAACATGCCATAGTTGAAGGATTTTCAGGTGAAAGATGAAGATTTCTTTTCCATGACTTTAGAGGATGAAACTATGATTAGAAGTTTCAAGGAAGAAAACTTTAGACTTTATTCTTTCAACAAAAAGGACCAAATTATAAGATACTCTTTTGTTGTTTTTCAATAAACATTTGTAAAAATCCTGTATTTTGAGCCACTTCATCAACTAGGCATGAAATGAACAGTTATCAAACAGAGTTCTTGCTCTCAAGGAGACTGCAGTCAAATGAGGGAAACCAACACCGAAACAGGAAAATTTGATCATGCAATGTTGAAGTGCAGTAACACATAAACCTTGTGGGAGCAGAGGAGCAGAGCACCATGTAGGGTTTTCAAACCTGGTACTACCAGCTACTGGTGACATGATCTTGAGAAAATCTCTTAACTTACCTGGTAAGATGATACTGAAACTAAAAGGATTTCGTACAAGCAATATTTTGTAAACTAAAAATGGACTTAACAATGTTCGTGTCCACCATTAAACTTTCCCAAATTCACACAGGACTATCTTGAAAGGTATTGAGATTCTGGTCTTAGGAAGAATTTAAGGAAGCCAGTACCTTCCTAGATAAGGGATGTTTAAAGAGAAATTCCTATACACTGGGGAGAGGCTTGTATATATTGAGAACGTCTTCTTAACAATGCCTTGTTTTAAATAAGATTAGTGAATTTGTTCCAAGAAATAGAAAATGTGTTGAAGTTAAGCTAGCAGCCAAGTGGCACTAAAAAATAATTCACCCCTAACAACGGAATTGAGATGGCTACTCATCAACCCTGCCCTGATTAAGAATATTTCGACTTAGATCACTAGCAAGCATAAGTGATGAGTCCCCTTCTCATTCTCCAGTGACACTCGATCTAGTTTCAGAATTTATTTTCCAAGATTTTGCCACCTCTCCTCCTTTCTTTCTTTTCTTTCTTTCTCTTTCTTTCTTTCTTTCTTTCTTTCTTCTTTCTTTCTTTCTTCTTTCTCTTTCTTTCTTTCTTTTTTTCTTTTTCTTTCTGATGGAGTCTCACTCTATTGCCCAGGCTGGAGTGCAGTGACATAATCTCTGCTCACTGCAACCTCCAACTCCTACGTTCAAGTGATTCTCCTGCCTCAGTTCCCCCAGTAGGTAGGATTACAGGCATGCACCACCACGCCCAGCTAATTTTTGTATTTTTCATAGAGATGGGGTTTCACCATGTTGCCCAGGCTGGTCTTAAACTCCTGACCTCAGGTGATCTGCCAGCCTCAGCCTCCCAAAGTGCTGGGATTATAGGTTTGCAACCTGTCCTTCTGTCTCATCCCTCCACCGTCACCAAGTCCTGTTGATTTTACTTTCTAAACCAATTTTTATTCATCTTCAGGCATTTTCTTTGTGCAGCCTTCACCATCTGTCATCTAGCCTCTAGTCCTGTTTTCTCACTTCCAGCGTCCAGTATAATCCCTTCTTTAAACAATAGCCAGAGTGATCCTTTATAGATGAAAATCTCATCATATTAGTTGCTTATAGAAAACCATTCATTGCCTATCACTGGCCTCAGGATCCAGTCCAAGTTTTTTGAACAATGTGCACATTATGCTCTGGCCAGCAAAAGCAACTGCACTTCTCAAATTATCTATGTGGACTGTTCCACAGGGCCTTTGCACATACTGTTCCCTGTGCTTGAAAACATCATCCTTCTCCTAGTCTGAGTGAATCTGTGCTTCTTCATTTTTGAAATCTTCCCAAACTTTTGCCCTCCTCAATTCTCATCTATGTTAGAATTAACCACTTATCCCTTGAGGCTCCAAATGGCTGCATGTGTACCTCTATACGGTGTTTGTTAAATTAAGAAATTAAGCTGCCCACAGGACCACTTAGTGGAAAAAAAAATCAGCAAATTCATATATTCATTCTTAGCCTTTTTCTTATTATAAGAGGTCCCAAGCACTTAGCATTGAGCAAAAGAAGAAATTCAGAAAATTTCAAGATTTACTCCCTTTCTTCAACTAGCTCATGATCTCCATACAGGAGCCTGCTAATTAGACTATATAATTAGTGTCATCATGGAGATCTGAAGAATAATCAAGTGAGGTGAGATTTTTCATTTTCCTGTGCCATCTGGGGACATCGAAAGCATAACTTTCCGATGTCATATCATGAACAAAACATTTATTCAAGCAAGAGATAGTCCCATTTATGTTTCTGTGGGACAAAGGCACAGAGTAAGGATGAGCTGTTCATCCTTAAAATCTTGACTGTCCCCATAGAGTCTCAGTTGATGGGCAGGGAGCAGTAGCCAGCCCTTGCATTCTCCTCTGTGGAAGCTGCTGGCCAGTGGCAGTCCTTTCTACCAGGGCCCCTATTGCCATGAAGGAGGAGGATTCAGGAGCATATTCAGCCTTTGATGGGCCACCATCTGGAGCTGTCACATTTCTTTCCCCCAGGCAATAAAGGTGTTGTTTGGAGCTTATTAATCCAGAATAACAACAACAAAAAGTATATAACTACATGGATAATTTACCTGGCTGGGATGGGAGTTGGCATATGAGTGCTTAACTTTTGAGGTAATGTGACAATTTTTTTTTAGGAAATGTGAACGGTAGAATAGTTACTCCTCAAGGACATTGAAAACCAATAATAACGAGCACCTTAAAATGGCATATTAGTCTTTGTAGCAACCTTTCTTGTGCATTGTAAAGATGTACAGTTCCTTGGATTGAAGTCACCCAGAATAGGAGAACATGACTGGTGGGAGTCATGGCATTCCCTGATTATGTCATTATTATTACTATTGTTATTATTATTATTATTATTGGGCTTATTCAATTCCTAATGAAATTTCTAGGTCTAAAATGTGTTTCATTAGCATACTTCATCAAAAAGATTTAGCTGAACTCGTGCTCTCCACAGGAATTGTGAAAGAGTAGATTGGGCACTTATATAATAGGACTCAAGAGACCTGGATTTTGTCCCAGCAAAGCCCAGGGTGAATTGACATCCCACTCTGTCCCTGCATTTTCCCATCTCTAAGACTGGGATGGGATATATTGGACAAGACAAATTTCTTTCTAGTTCTGCCTTTCTTGGCATCTATATTTCCATGAGTTTTATTATCTCAGCTATATCTCTCTTAACAATGATACTATAATAGAATATTATAAGGAAATCATCAGAGAAAGTTCACTAGAGCATCAAAATTTCCATTGTGTTGATCAGGAACACACAGCTCTGAGTTCTGTGACACTTATAAAGAAGGCCTTATAATCAGCATTAGTGAAATTGGATGTTCATTAAAATATTGGTAACATTTCTAAAAATAATGATAGCCACGTCAAGCAGGCCACAGAATATATCCATTACACCACTATGGTGACCGTAAGGTATCAAATCAAGTGCATTAATTGTACTTGAGTGGACCAGTTGTCATTATGACCTTGAGATCAGTATTGAGATTGTTGGTAATGATAATCAATAATAATAATTTCTATATAGCTTTATAGTACATTTAGAACACTTTTAAATCCAAACATGGTATTTCTCAGTGAGTAAGGAGGGCAAGCTACTCAGAGGTGAGTTATCATCTGACAGATATTAGTTGTGTGATGTCAAGGTACAATGGTTATAAAGTTTACAGCATGGTGTCTAGCATAAAGTGAGTGCTTGGTAAAAGTTGGATCAATTGTCATTTTCATGAGACAGGTAGGCAGGAGGAGAAATAGTTAGATCAATTATCCAAGTGCCCCATTTACCAGATCTCCTTTAGAACCTAATTCTCCTTATTTCTGAGCCTATGTACTGTTTCTATAACAGTATGTTGGAAGGAAGGAAGGAAGGAAGGAAGGAAGGAAGGAAGGAAGGAAGGAGAGGGGAAGGGAGGGGAGGGGAGGAAAGGAGGGAGGGAGAGAGGGTAAGAGATGGGGAGGGGGAAGGAAGGAAGAAGAAGCAGGGGAAGGGAAGGGAAGGGAAGAGAAGGGAAAGGAAGGGAAGGGAAAGGAAGGGAAGAGAAGGGAAGGGGAAGGAAAGAGGAAGGGAAAGGGGAAGGAAAGAAAAAAAAATTGTACAATAAAAAAGGGTCTAATGAAAATATAGAATATCATCTCTCTTTTTCCCTCATGAAATATAGACTGAGAATGAATGAATCCATTTGGATAGAATGGAATTTCTTGGAACAAGTATTTGTGGTTGGAATGGCTCCTGTAAAAGTTGTGTAACTCTCTGTTCATCATTCAGTGGGTTTTGAGCGTTTGAAATGGGCTGGGTGTGGTGTGAGATAGACACCTATCGCAGACAGCTTCATCTTTAAGCACGTACTCTGTGCCAGGCACCATGCCAAGGGCTTTAGTGCACTATCCCATTTGTGTCTCACAATGGTGTTGAAAAGTGGATAATTTTAAGCCTATTTACAGATGAGGAAACAGAGACCAAGTAAGCGCTTAAGTAATTTGCCCCGGGACATGTATCTTTTAAGTGACCGAGCCAGAATTTAAATCCACACTTTTTGTACTCCCAAGTCTGTTTCTAAGTCACAGAGCTTCTTCTCTAGTCTTCACATCCTGCTTGGCCAGAGAGGACATTTACATAAGAGGCAAAGCGAAGGAGCTGCCTCTGTGGAGAGACTCCTTTGTATATTGGATCATATCATTTTTATAATTGAGTTCTGTGAAGTGAAGGAGGCATTGTCATTTCCATTTCTCAGATAGTGAAACTGAGGTGCAGCTGGGTAGACTGGCTGGCAGGAAGATGAGGGCAGGACAACTGCTCAGGTGCTCTGGGAATGTTTTCTCAGGAGTTAGCCTTGAGGTTGAGGTAGTGTGGGTTTATTTTCTCCTTTCTGATGACTGGCAAGAAAGGTATTAGTGCAAAGTAGTAAAAGCAAAGTCTCGGTAGTCAAATGACTTTGGCTGAAACCCTACCATAACCTCCAGGGAGTCAGTCAGCTTCTGCTGGTAAGCCCCAGGCTCTCCATTAGGAAAGCATGGCTAAGAATTGTGCTTATTTCAAATGGGTGATGAGAAGATTTGATGCTTTAAAGTTTAGCAGTGTGCATTGTCTTAGCAAGCACCATAGAAATTTTAATTAGCACATCATCATTGCCATCATCATCATCATCAATTTTACTGTCTAGCAGCAATGGGAACTTGAATTAGCCAGCCAAGATGGAGTCAATTCATGAATTAATATGCACATGAAAAATCCTAGGCTCGCCACCTCTTTTCTGTTTCACCCTAGGTCAGTCACGTGACGCTCCTTCCCCTCTTTGGGCTTCAAAATTCTCATCTCTAAAGTGGGGCTAATAAAGATTTCTGCTGTTTCACCCCTTTGCAGGGAGGTCCCAATTTTTCAGTGAGGTAATGAAAGAGAAAGTCTTTTTGCAAACTCTAAAGCGGACTGGGTATATAAAGAGCCTGTGTTGCTAATTCATCTGTAAGTATTTTTCTATTTTTTAAATAACTAACATTCATGCATAAATATACTTTCATTGTGGATATAAAAGACAAAAATATAGACAAAACGAAAGTCCTCTGGACTCATTTTTATATGCTTACCCTGGGCTCTCCCAATCTCTTCTTCAGAGGTCCCCCAGTATGTACCATCCCAATCCCTGTTTCTGTCATACTCAGTTTGTTGTTGTTGTTATTTAACATTTTGCTTTTCTAATGAAATATGTGGCAAAGTGGTTAAGTGGTGGGTTCAGGACTCGAACTGCCTGAGTTTGAATTGTAGCTCTATCATATTTTAACAACGTTGATAAGTTGTTTTTCCTCTCCGGTCAATTTTCTTCTCTGTAAAGTGAGTGCACGAACTCAGGACTTTGTTGTGAGGATTGACTACGTTAATGCAGCACCCAACATTTAGTGATTCTCAGTATATGCTAATAGTGTTATTATTGGACAGGTAAGTTAATGAAGACTTGGGTCGTACTTGAATCCTTCACACTTAGCCTGTTGCCAGGTGCCCAGTGGGTGATTGATAAACATTTATTCGGTTGGTAGAAGAATGCTACATTCATTTTTATCTGAAGATGCCACTAAGGAGTGGGGAAAGCTCAGTAGAACGACTATTAAAATGAAAATAGCCTACATTACTCGAGTGAAAACTCTGCACCAGACAAGCCCCGAATACTCAGTAAATACTGACTCATTCAACACTCACAGAAACCCTAAACAGTAGATCTTATTATTACTGCTCTCATTTTATCAGTGAGTGAACTGACTCACAGGTTAAATCTCTTGCACATGGTCATATAGTCTGAATTCAAACCTGGCCAGTGTGTGGCAGGGAGGAACTTTTGTTCCTGGCACAGGAACTTTTCATTTCTCTCCAATCCTGCTTTTCTACCCATAAAAGTATGTTAACCGACTTCTCATGAAGATGCTGAGTAACCTGGCTGGTAATAACCACGCAATGGTTTCTCCACTTGTCTATCTGGGTTGCTAGTATTCACTCTCTCCCCTCTAAATGATGAACATCATGATGCAAGACATAAAAATCAGTTAATATTGCCTTTGAGAACTTATGCATGACAGTGACCAGACAGTCTGAGAAAGGTGTTGAGATAATTTGGCAGGTTGAAGCCTGATGGGTTGGGTAAGGCTGCTATCCGGAGAACCACTTCTATACTTAGAGCCTGTTGAACTTCAAGACCTAGCTTACCATCCTGAACTGTGTTCAGAAGTGATACAGAATGACTCAAGTGCTGATGAGAATCAGGGAAGAACTGAATGGGAAGGATTCTTAGTAGGCACATAATCCAGGAGTCTTAACAGGATTATCAATGGAATCAGGAAGGAAATTACCAAGTCTGTAAAATAAGATGTGAAATTGTGTATAAACACGGGGTAATATTCAGAGTCATTTAATAATGTATAGGAAATTGGGTAATGTTTAGAGTCATTTAATACTGTGCAGTTCATAGAAAACCAACAAATCAGAAAGGACTTTGATTCTATAGAACAGAAAGGACAGTGGTCCCAGAGAACAGCTATACTAGGGCTTATCTGTTGCCCATAAGACCAGGAACCAGGTCAGTTTCCATTTCCAATGTTCTAACAGGTTCTCAAAGAGAAAAATAAAAGATCTGTCTAAAGCAACACAGGAATTTAGTGGCAGAAGTGAGACCAGAGCCTGGACTCTTGAGTCCCACTAGAGCTCTTCAATCAGTGTAGTCTGTCCCATGGCCCTTACTGAACACTGCAAGAGCAGATCCAAGTGTGAGCTCATCATTTCTCAACATGACATTGTAAAATAAGTTTAAGTTTCCCTTTCTTCTGAGGAGCACAGTGTACTCTCCATAAACTAGGGCCACTGTCTAAAGTTATTATTATTTATTAACTGTTTGAAATTGGTGGTTTCACTATTCACAATAGCAACAATATGGAATCAATGTAAATGCCCATCAATGGCAGACTGAATTTAAAAAATGTGATTCATATACACCATAGAGTACTATGCTACCATAAAAAAAAATGAGGTCATGTCTTTTGTAGCAGCACAGATGGGGCTGGAGGCCATTATTCTAAGCAAACTAATACAGGAACAGAAAACCAGATACTGCAAGTTCTCACTTATAAGTGGGAGCTAAAAACATTGAGTACATGTGAACACAAAGAAAGGAACCACAGACAATAGGGCCTACTTGAGGGTGTATGGTGGGAGGAGGGTGAGGATAAAAAATATTGGGTACTATGGTTTATTACCTGGGTGACAAAATAATGTATAAATCGAACACTGCAACACACAATTTACTTATATAACAAAACTGCACATGTACCTTTGAACATAAAAGTTATAAAAATACAAAAATAAAAAAGGAAAAAATAATAAAATAAAATTAGTGTTTTTATGCGTGGTCCAAGTCAGTCCAGGGTCCGTATGCTCCCAGGATTATGTGATGCTTTCTCTCAATGTTCATTGTAATAGTGTTGCCTATGGACCTAAGTTTGGAGGGCTGGCCACTGTTGGTTCCCTTTATCAGTGAAGTTAAGGACTGACTTGAGGCACTGCACAGTAAATCTCCAGTTATCATAAAGGAACTTTCAAATTTCTCATTGCTGTAGTTTATCTTAAAGGTTCAGAATATGGACTTTGGAGCCAATTGTACTTGGTTTTTGATTGTTGCAAATTTATGCAGTAGTCTAAAGATGTTTTTCTTGTCTATAAAATGAAGATAATCATATTACCTGCCTCCTAGTGTTCTTATAAAGACTAAAAAATGTAATGTATAAACATTCACCCCATAAAACACCAATAAATGTCCACTATTCATAACAAAACTAATAATAATTTTAAGAATGAAAAATCATGCTAGTCAGCTAGCCAGGCATTAACATATTGTTGGGCACATAATTGACAATAGATAAATAAATAATTATTGATGAATAAATGAATTATCATCATCTGCAATAATAGAAGCAGCATTTTAGTAGAAAGCGTATTGGTTAGGAAATTCTCACTTTGGGATGATTTGGATGTGTAACTTTGGGAGAGTCCTTTCCCCTCTGTGGATCTTTATTTGTAAATTGGGAGTGTTAGATTTAACAAATTGTAAAGCACTTTCTGTTAAAACACACACACACACAAAAAAAAAAACTACAATGAGCTGGTGTGTCAGATACTAATGGCTAACTAACATCATCCTTATATACCATCTAGCCAAGTTTATGTCTATGTGACAAGCGAAGTAGCAACATAAGGCTGTGCATGACAGTGCTGGCTCAATGGCTTGGGGATTAGGTATGAGAGTTTCAGAAGAGGGAGAGATTAATTCTAATTGGTGGAAGGTATAAGGAAACTTTCCTGTAAGAGTCAGGACTTTCTTCAAATGAATTTTAAGAATTTGTAGGACTCAAACTAAGGTGTGGGAGAAGCATGGCAAAATTCTGGAAGTCAGACATACCTAAGGGTTATGGAAGTTTCACAGAGTTCACCAAATGTTCACTCAACTCCTAATCAGTATAAAACACAGAGGGTAGGCCGGGCGCGGTGGCTCACGCCTGTAATCACAGCACTTGGGAGGCCAAGGTGGGTGGATCATCTAAGGTCAGGAGTTCGAGACCAGCCTGGCCAGCATGGTGAAACCCCGTCTCTACTAAAAATACAAAAAATTAGCCAGGCGTGGTAGCGGTCACCTGTAATCCCAGCAACTCAGGAGGCTGAGGCAGAAGAATCGCTTGAACCCGGGAGGCAGAGGTTGCAGTGAGCTGAGATTGCGCCACTGTACTCCAGCCTGGGTGACAAGAGTGAGACTCCATCTTAAAAAACAAACAAAACAAAACAAAACAAAACAAAAAAAACAAAAAAACACAGAGGGTAAACCCCATGAGGGGCTGCAAAAGGCAAAAGACTGAGGTCTCATCTTTCAGAAGCTTGAAGTGTGGCATAGAATGGAATACAGCAGCATAAATCTAAAATACAGGAGGAAGGGATAAAAACTAATCCTCTAGGAATGATTTCTTTTAATGTTTCATCAAGAACAATGTTATGAAGATATACGCACTCCATTGAAGTCAAAGCACATAGGTTAGAGTTCTGCTTTGAACATATATCTTCTAGTTAGGTGATTCTGGGTAAATTGCTGCCTCTTTCTGAACCTGAGTTTCCTATCTTTTCAAACAGACAGCAAAACCTACCTATTTGAGTTGCTGTGAGGATGCAGGTTAGGTCCACGCATGGCACAGAGAAGGGGCTCAGCAAGTCATGCTATTCCCAATTGCTATAGATTGAGCTCATCACAAAGCATTGCTGAATTAGTTTCCCATGAGAAAGTCTTCACTGAAGAAAAATTAATTGCACGCCTTCAATCTCAGTTGATATAAAAGTGGCCAATTAGACAGAGATTCTGCAATTTCTGGAAAAAATTAAAAAAAAAAAAAAAACAGATCTGAAAGCATTGTCCATTATATGACTCAAGGCCTCTTCTCAAATAAACCACAAGATACATTTGTCCTGGAATTAAGCAGAAGGGGTTATCAAACGTTTCATTTTCCACTCAACAAAACACTGCAACATGTACTGAATGAAGAGAACGCCCACCATGGCCCATTTCTGATTTCTCTCAAAGCTTCCTCTTCCAGGGGATTATCGAGATACTTTCCTGATTAAAATTTAAAACAATAGCAAGATTAAAGGTGGATTAGAGGCAGGCCAGCCAAACAGCTAAGAATGTGAACTTTGGAGAGAGATAGCCTTGGTTCAAATGTGTCATGGAATCTCACCAACTTTTTAAAAATCTCAGTATTTTCAGCTTCATTTTTTTAATCTGAAAAATTGAAGAAAATAAGAAACATTACAGATTATAATTTGAGGATTAAATGAATGTAAAATTAAATATATGTAACCAATCAGAATAGTGTCTGTCACACTAAATCATAGCTAATTATTATTACTAAAGGAATAATAAATGAAATTTATAAAATAATATGCCTTTTTACAATTTTTTTAAAGCATGCAATGTAAATTAGTGGTCTTCATCTTTAATTAAAATTCTATGCATAAGAAATGCCTTGGGCACCTGAGACTAACAAAATAGGGCACCTTGGCATGAGTCAAAGGACCAGGGTTGCAATGCAGACGTTTCTGTGTTAGTTTCCTAGTCTTAAACCTGCAGGAAGCTTAAGAGAGAACCCTAGTTGATTCTAAGCCAACCACTATTGGACACAAAAATTTCAAAAACATACAGAGGAAAACATCCTGAGGTCACCGTCTTCACTTCTAGCCTCAGAGGTCCCTGACTCCCAACCCCCTACCTCCAGCTCAGGCAAACAATCTGATCACCAGCTTTCTTTCTGTGCAGCTCTAAACTCAGAACAGCAATAAGTAAATCACCGTATTAATTTTTGTTTCCGAAGGATCTTGGAGATTCTCAAAACTACTCTGGGCTGTGGGTAAATTTATTTTTCATATGATTTAAGAAGGCAGAAGGACAGATAGAAACTGCTGGGCAATTCAGATAAACTGGGTTCAGACTTACCTCCTAGTCTTGTGAAGTTAAAAACTTAGTACAGGGTCCAACACATAGTGGGTGCTTAATATGAGGGAGTTATTATGACTGCTGGTGTAATTATTACAATTGTCAACTCTAGTATATATGTTAAATTAATACAACTAAACTACTGTTGGGGGGAAGTAAAGAAGTTAATGTTTATCCAACACCACTGACATATGTACTCATCACTGTGCAACATGATATCCACGTCTTATTTAATCTTCCAGATAACCCCAAGAAATCCATAAAAAGGGGAAATGAAAAATGAGATTCAAAAGGTTAAGTGATTTTTCCTATCCCCTTGAGCTAGTACACAGAGTGCTAGATTTGGATTGGCTGAGCTCTCCATTATTTATTTAGTCTCTCCAGTTCAGTGTTGTTTTTTTTTCTCCTGTAAAATGGGATGATTATTAGATCTCTTCTGTAAGTTTGTTATAAGGATTAGATGAGATCGTTCCAATAAAAAGCACTTACATATTGCGTGGAACACCATGCATACTCAATCAACGTAAGCTGTTATTGTAATTGTTATTTAGCAAAGATAGGATTTGAACCCAATTTATTCTACTCCAAAGCCTACATTCTTTTTAGTGACCTTCACTTGAGCAACTGATGAACTATATCTGTCAGGGTGTTCACAGATGCATCATCTGGGAAAACTGAGGCAGAGAAAACAAAGAAATTAAATTAATTGTTTATTAAGAAACTAATAGAATCATAGCACCATGATTGGTACCACAGGAGAAAATAAAGAAGCTATACAACATATATAAATATATACACTTAAATTCAACAGGGGTTGTGGACAAACATCTTTATGCACAGCGCTGAGCTAGGCAGTTGGGAAAGAACAAATATGAATGCAACAGTCTCTGACCCAAATGGAAAAAAGAAGCATGCCAATATATAATTTGCCTGAGAGTTTGCTTTGAGGGTGTGCCGATAGAAATTCAGAAGCAGTTCTACAAGGGCCCAGAGGAGGGAGCCCTTCAGGCTGCTCGGGGAGGGGTGCAGTCAGTTGAAGATTCTCTGAGCAGGTGACAGAACTGGCCCTTGAAGATTCTTGCCTTTAAAGGTCTTCACCCTTCAAGGATTCTAATCTTGGAGGAAAGATATAAGCAGGACACTACACTAAGAACAATGGGAGATCCTATCTCAGTGAGTTCCAGATTCTGTGAGACAGACGATGCTTGCTTTAGGAATTCTAAGACGAGAATTATCCATCTGGCTTGACATAAGAAGTACATAGGGCTCTGGCTCCAGAGAAAAGCTGAGAAAAAAAGCTCAAAGGGCCATTAAAAATTAGATCTGTGGAAATGAAAAGAGGGTACTTATATATTGAGCACCTACTATGTCATGCAACACACTAATCTAATCCTCATGACAACTCCATGGTAAGGTCACAGAGACTCAGAGAAATTAAGCAACTTGCTGAGAGTCATAGGAACCCAGGTCAGGGTGACTCTGAGATGTACTTTTAACCACCCTCACCCACATTCAAATCAGTCTCAATCTTTAGGGCTCTACTTTGATGTTACTTTTCTAACTTCCAGTAGAATCTTATGTCCTTTCTGGAAAAACGCTTTTAGTAATTACCAAACAAAATGAACACTGAAGGAGTATATCATAAGAGCGAAGAAACAGAGTCAAAGTACCTTTTAGGAAAAAATCCTCAGGAACTTAAGGGAGTCCCTGGGGAGGAGGGCTGGAAGGAAGGAAACTAACTGAATATTGGATGACTAGATGGGAATTGTTGCCTTACTCCGATAATTAGAGGCTACATTATATTTCAAATCTGGAAGTGATCTTAAGAATATTTGATTCCAGTTTTTTCATTTTACATTAGAACAGAATGAGATCTAAAGATCCTACACAAAGCAGAATAAGATCCTGAGTCACCTGACATTGAAACGATTGCTCTTCTACTAAAAATGATTAAAAGAGAGGGAACACATCCATAAAAGATCAAGTATTGTAGTAAAAAAGGGATAGCAGTACATGATACATTTTATATATATATATATATATGTGTGTGTGTATATATATATATATATATATATATATATATATATGAAGGTCTTTTATATATACATATATATATGAATGTCAGTCATAGATCAAGGGTTAGGGTGGGTCATGAACCAAGAATTAAATTTCATCTAATTTTATGCACTCAATTAAAAACAAGCAAATACATACATACATATATGCATAAAGAGTTAGAATGGCTTCCAAGACAGATGGAAACAAATAGTAAATGTATGTTCAATGAATGGATGAGTGAAATGTCTTGCCAAATGATCCCAGTGCATTTGAGGACGGAGATCAAGGAGTTCAAGGACCCATAAGACATGAACTTCGTTGTCCCTTCGTTTTCCTGCCTCCTACAGGAGAGAAATAACTTGGCCTCCTCAATTCTTGTTTGTCTTTAAGAACCTGAGGAGCACTTTGTCTTTGACAACAACAATAGAACAAATGGTATTCGTATATCATTTTTATTGTTTACAAAAGATTATACCCCAGAGCATATCTTGTCCTCAAAATAAATTTGCCAAGTAGATATTCCCATTTTAAAGGTAAGGAAGTGGAAGGGAAGAGAAATGAAGTGTCTTACTCAAGGCCAGTGAACTGATATGTGTTGGAGGGAGTAGGAAATGAGAAGTAAAAATCTTGTGCTCCCACTGCTGGTCTGAGAATTGAATAATTCCCAGTTGTCTAGGAATATTCAAAATTATTGTATACAATGACTTAAAATCCCCCTGGAAGACATGCAGTTTCTAAATGCCTAATTGCCACAACTGAAGTAAATCAGTAGTCATGGTCCAACCTCTATTGGAGAGGAAGGGGGATTTTGAATGATACAATTTATGTTGTTCAACATAGCTCTCTTTTTATCCAATGGCAACCTTTTACAGATGACTTGGAGTTGCAAAAAGTCAAAGATTTGCTTAGGCAAATTCTTTATTCATGACATTGTGCACCCAAGATTTTCTTTCCTCCAGCCAGTCTCTGGAAACACATTTAGGGTATTGTGCTATTTTCATTTTATGACTACAGAAACAGAGTTCAAACGTTCTTAGTCTAAGACTATTCAGCAACTTCTTTCTAAACTAGGAAGGTATGAATCTGAGATCTCCCATTTTCAGAAAGCTTCCATAATCTTTGCATATATCGCATTCCAGCTTTCATAGAGGGGATGTCTGAGTCATTTGCTCATCCGACAAATCGTCATACTTTTGCCAACAAACATTCTTCCTTGGTTTTCTCTCTTCCTGAAGCGTGTAGCAATGTTCCTAGCTCTCAAGAAAGATCTGGAGCAGCTCGGAAGATAAGAGCAATTGAAGAAGAAAGTTACAATTTAGTGGAGTTAATTTTATCGCAGACTTTCAGCACGCTATTCACATGCAAACTTCACACAGAATATTTTTATCACTACCTTATTGGAATAGATTGGTAATTAATAGCTTGTAATCCACCATTGCTAACATGTTTTGACTTATTAAACACTTGGACAAAATAAAAGAAGATCTGTTTTGCCATAAGGGGGAGCTTTTGAGTTCTATAAAGAGGGGGAAAAAAGAAGAAAAAAATATATTACATGTATGTCCCAGTTCAAAAACAGACCTACAAAGCAGCAAATGGTCAGATCCTTACCTGTGACTTTAACAATTTCAGAGGACCTGAATTGCTTAAGTTGAAAACATTAGGCAAATTAATATTTTTCTCTCATTTTCTTCTTATAAAATTAAAATAATTTCTAATGACCAACAGAGTATTTTAAAGAGTATTCGGGGAAATTCAGAGACCCAGTTGTACTAGGACTACAGCTTCTGAAAGGCAGATGTCCTGGACAGTGCCTTTCTTCTATTTTCTTCTGATGATTCCATAAGAACTTTGGAAACATTTGGGTTAGCTGAAGCCAGCCTTATCTGGGGGCTCAGAAAAGAGGGGAATGGTTCATCATCGTACAACTTTAAGGAAATTCTGAGAGGGAAAAGGACAGGGAAAAGAAGAGGGAAAGAGGTAAAGGGAGAGGAAGCGGGAAGAAGAGTAAGGGAGAGAGTGAGAAAAAGAGAAAGAGAGGGAGAGGGAGGGAGGGAGAGACAGAGAGAGAGAATTAAAAAAAAAAATCTAAGAATCAAGTTTCAAGACTCTTTATGTGCTACAGAAAAGGATGAGGTTTACCAGCAAAGTGCAAAGGGGATCCTAAGAGAAGAGACAGATTTTTCTCCTGCCATCAGAAATAATAATAATAAGTGGGGGGAGTGAGGGAGGGAAAAAAAGCAAGCAAAACAAAACAAAAACAGGAATGTGTGTTTTGAGCAGGAATGAGAGCTGGGAGGACCGTAAGGGGGTGTGTACAGAATTTCATTAAATTGTTACTTTAAGATTGTCTCCTTAAAAAAAAAAAAAAAAAAAGAGAGAGAGAGAGAGAGAGAAAAGGAGGGGGTGGTGGAGAAGCGGGAGCGAAGGAAAGGAGGCAAAAGGCAAAGTGAAGGAAAGCTGGATAGCTCGGCCTCTCCAAACTGATTGATTAGTCATGATCCCCGCAGTTTTAACAGGGACTCATTCAATTGGGAAGGTGGAGCGCTGGGGAGCAGATTAGCATACGCTTGTTTACTCATCTTCTGAGGGATTTTTTCCCCCTCTTTCCTTTCATTTTGAGAAGAAGGAGGGAGGGGAGGGGGGACTTGGGGGGGGAGAAGGGGGCTGTGGCTTGTGTTATAAAGGACGCAAAAAATAAATAAATTAGAGCATCTTTTGGGGGGAGGGAATTCAGCGGATCAGTCTTAAGAGGAGCTTTTTTTTGGAGCGAGAAATCATATAAAATAAAATGAAATAAAACAAGGAGGAAGGCAACCAGCTGTTAGGGGAAAAATAAGGCAGATAAAGGAGCGGGGAGAGAAATTAATTGCCAACCAGGAGGAGTTGGGCTGTATTTTTCAAAGGTGGGGAGAGTGGAGCACACACCTTGAGGAGGAAAGCGAGAAAGAAAAGAAAAAAGCAAGTGGAAAGGGGGGCTCGCCCAAGAAGGGTGAAGAAGCGAAGAAAGTCGAGGCGCCGAGGCTCCCAAAGCTGGCAGCTCCGGGTGGCGGTGCAGGGGCGAAGGGGGGGCGGGGGGAACCGTCGGACATGCGGCTCTGGAGTTGGGTGCTGCACCTGGGGCTGCTGAGCGCCGCGCTGGGCTGCGGGCTGGCCGAGCGTCCCCGCCGGGCCCGGAGAGACCCGCGGGCCGGCCGACCCCCGCGCCCCGCCGCCGGCCCGGCCACCTGCGCCACCCGGGCGGCCCGCGGCCGCCGCGCCTCGCCGCCGCCGCCGCCGCCGCCGGGCGGTGCCTGGGAAGCCGTGCGCGTCCCCCGGCGGCGGCAGCAGCGGGAGGCGAGGGGCGCCACCGAGGAGCCGAGCCCGCCGAGCCGGGCGCTCTATTTCAGCGGGCGAGGCGAGCAGCTGCGCCTCCGGGCCGACCTCGAGCTGCCCCGGGACGCGTTCACGCTGCAAGTGTGGCTGCGAGCGGAGGGGGGCCAGAGGTCTCCGGCAGTGATCACAGGTAGGTGAGGGCGCCTCGGCGGGCGCTGCACCGTCCCTGCGGCCCCAGAGGCTCGCGGGTGTCTGGGCGCGGGTGGCGGGCGGGTCGGGGGCTTGCGGGCGTGTCTGTGCGAGAGCTGCCCCGCGAGCGGCGCAGAGACATCCGGGCGAGCTGAGAGCCTCACTTTGCTCCATCGGTGGAATGGGCACACTCGGAAGGCGTAGCTGCTCCATCCCTGGGAGGAACCTGGGGAGCCCTCCTGGCGGCCCCGCGGACCCTCGGCCAGTGAGGGCTGGTTCCCGGAGCCTAGGGCACGTAACCCGTGCTCCGAATGGTCAGATGCACTCTCTCCTTTTGGGATGAAAGGGAGGATGACCCAATTGAGATGCATGTGAAAGGAGACTTGGGGACCGTTGATTTCTTTGACGTTTTAATGGAGGTAACTCCCCTTCATTAGGCCCCATTCCCCTGAAAGCCGGCAAGGGCAAGGTTGTTGTAATGGCCAGGACTTAGAAGTCCTCGAAGTGCCCCAAAGTTGCTCACTGATTGAAGCCTGCCTCTGGGACTCACCCTCACCCCCTCCACGCCATCCCATGTCCTAGCTTTTAAAGCCCATTGCCTGTCACTCGGGGCTGGGACGAGACCTTCCTAACGCATACCCCGCCAGCGTTCCCCAGACGCGGCTGCGAAACGGGGCGCTTTTCTCATATGGGACTTTATGAGCCCGTAATGAATTTGAGTTCTCCCTCCTCAACCTCCCTCTCTCTCCCCTTCGCTGTTCCACAGCAAAGCCTATAGTGAAATCGGACACTTTGCGAGGATTGCAAACCTTAGAAATGCTCCAGCATCCATTTTCCCCCCTCTAAATGAATCTGTGGAAATGCCTTTAATAAAACTGGGGAGCGGAGGTGGGGGCGGCGCTGGAAGAGAGGAGGAAAGTTTTGCCTTTTCTGTCTGGGAGATTCCCTTTCTGCACAAACAATCTTGCCATGTCCTGGGACGTCTTAAAGTGAGAGTAGGGGTTCCCCCTTCACTGCAGCCAGGAAACGTGTGAAGGCGTTTTGCGATCCCACCCCCTCACACACACACTTTCTTAGAAGGGAAAGCTGTGAGCTCTCCGGGCAGTTCTGCTTCTTCCTGTCTTTCCATGGCTTGGACTTTCACAGATGTAGCACTGACTATCCAGTTGACATGAAGACCCCTTTAGGAGACCCACACTCTGCTGCTATCCCAAGAATACGTCTCCCGAAGCCCCCGCTTTCCAGCTATCAAAGGAGAGCGATACAGTGATTCCCCCCAACAACCCACAACTGACGTCATCGCATGCTATTTTTCCTTTTTTTTTTTCCTCCGGGAAGAAGAAGGAGACTGAACTCATTCACTTTTAACTCGCAAGCCCTATTTGCCCAGAGGAGGGTCTAATTTGGAACAGAGGAAACGTTATCCATAATAATAATGACGATGGTGATAATTTAGAGCTGTAGTATGTTGACTTCTCTTTCCAAACATGTGAAAAAGCAAAGAGACTGCTGCTTGGAGGTGATTTTTTTTTTTTTTTAATCTGTAGGTCTGGTTTTTCCTAGTCTTTACCTAGTACCAGTGATTTGGAAGGCATTCCCTGGAGAGAGGAGAGCACAGGGTTATGCAGGCATCATCAGTGAAAGGGTAGTGAATGCATTTTAACTATGTAAGTGTGTCTACATAAATACGTGTGTGTGTGTGTATATATATATATACATGTATATATATGTGTGTATATATATATGTGTATATATATATATGTATATATATATATATAACACCTGGGATTCCACAGGAGACTGCTTTATAAATGTCTATAATTCAGACAAGGAGCCTCTCTTCACACACATTCTCTTGAGCACTCATTCACTCTCTCACACAAAGATTGTTGCAGTAAAATACTTTAATTGGATGGGGGGCGTTAGGTTATTATTGCTTGTATAAAATGCCTGGTCCATTTTATGTGTAGAAATAACATTCCTCTCAAAACGAAAAAAATAAAATAAATAAATAAGCACTGCTGTCGTGTAGCACCAGAAAGCCAGGAGCTTTTCCCCTGAGGATTCTGGTGGATTTCTTTTCCCTCCCCTAGTTGAGTTGGAGCCAGATTTGGCGGCGTGTAAACACCTGGCTCTGAGCCAGAAAAGACTCATTCTGCATATCCTCCACATGGTACAGGCTGTTGGACTAAAAAGAACCTGCTTCTCCTTGAATTAAAAAGCAAACAAACAGAGGTTCTTTGCAGAAGTACTTTTTCAGCTCCCTCCTTCGTGTAAGTTTGGGCTGGGAGAGCCAGGACCGAGGTGGGCAGCAAGGATCGGGTGCGAAGGCTCACCCTCTCGCGGCGACCTCAGGTGCCCAGTTTGCTGCCTGACCTCTGCTGGCTTTCTCTGGCTGGGCGTTGCCACTTTCCTAGGAATCCCTGGTCACCTATCTTGAGAGAGCAGTCATCGCTCAGCAGGGACCGCGCTGCTATTTCAGGCAGAGAGTTGCTGTCTTGCTGTCAGGCCAGGCTGCCTTACATCACTCTTTGCTGCAGGATTCAATTGGGTTTCGTAAAGGTCTAATTTTACGGTGCTGTTAACCGGGTCTGTCGTCTGGCAGAGGCAGGCCTTGCCGCTCCTGGTAGGCGGGCTATGCTCCCAGATCCGCCCGGGATGCTATTTCTGCCCCGGTTCAAACTTCACTGACACCAGTTCAGACAGGCGCTCGGAGAGACAGGGGGAAGGAGCGAAGGAGCAGTTTGCTTCTGAAGCTCAGAAAACATGCCTTTTATTTTTCTGAAAGGAAAGGAGAAAAATATATATACTAATACATAAAAAAAGGGAAGGCTTATGCAGGCAAAAACAAAGCCAAAGTTAGAAAGTGCCTATGTGTAGGATTCTCTGGAGGGTCCACCAGTGGATGGTCTTTAGGATTGAAGAATCCTTTAAGGCTGCTGTGAAAAGGGTCCTCAGAGGTTACCCAAGCCAGTTTCCCTTTTGGCCGAATGGGGAGAGAGACACACAGAGAGGGGAGGGGTGTGTGCTGGATGACACAGCTCCTCAGCGGCAGGAACTAGGATTTAATCCCTGGCATCTGACTTCCAGGCCTTGCCCCCTGCACCGCTGAGAGAATGTGTCTCATAAACACCATCACCTCTCACCCCACACGGACCCACCACCCACACACAGCCTTCAGCCTTCATGCATAGCAATTTGGGCTCCCTTTCAAGTCAGGGGATGAGGGGTTGTTTCTGACACATCCCTTTGCTTTTGTACCACACCAGGCAGGAGGAACCAGACCCCTGTTCCTCATCCCCAACTGCCCCCCCAACACCCCTCCAGTTTGAAAGAAAAGGAAAACAAAAGACTCAATTTGCTCCATCGAGCAGAGGCCTTGAGCAGCAGTTAATCTTGTTAAAGTTTCTCCTGACCTGTTAGATAAGTGAAATGTGGACCCCACAAGTACTGCCCTCCTCCCACCCCTGTCCCACTCCCCTTGCCTTAGTGATTCGGAATTCCTGCTCAGAAGGAGAAAAGGATTTACCTGAATCCCATCCAGCACCTCTGCTTGCCAGCCTTTTTTCTTTTGTTCTAATGGTTGGACTGGATTAAGTGTGCTGGTTACTCCCAAGAATCTTTTTTTCCTTCCCTTCTGCACCCCCACTTCCTAGTATCCACCCAACCCTCAAAAAAGAGTACCCACATTTTCTCCACTTCAGCATTGCTGTAACAGTGAAGGCTGGGTTTAAGTATATGGCTAGGAGTCCATATATTAACAAGGCTTTTCCCCAGTATCTGTAGTCCTACCTGGGATCTAGAATATTGTAATAGTTAGAACTCAGTTTTAGTAGCCAGGTTACCTATGTGGAATCTCTGCCCCTAACTAACTGTGTGACCTTGGGCAAGCAAGCTAGTTGACTTCTCTGGACTTCATTCACCTTCCTCATGTACAGAGTGATGATGGCACAAGTACCTGTATCATAGAGCTGTGTAAATGCTAACAGAACTTGGACATGGAAGGTACTTAAAACTGGACTTGGTATGTAGTAGGTGCTCAACAAACTTCATTCTTATTAGACATGATTTTCCAAATATCTCAGTCTTGGCTTTCTGGACTGGGGAACACTTGAAGGTATGAAGAAATCCAACTCTACCTGGGTGCTTCCTTGGTGATGCTGGGCACTTTCCTTGTGCCAGCATGTTTTGCCTTCACAACTACCCTGAGAAGTGTGTATCGTCGCCTGTACTTCACAAAAGAGAAATCTGAGTTTCAGAGAGTTGAAATGACTTGGTCTAAAGTCCCACAGGTTCTCAGTGGAGAGAGCCTAGATGTGAACCCAAGTCCTCGTTTCCTCTGTCAGCAGTCTTTTTGGAGAGAGAAGAAATTATTCACATGCTCTTCCTTAACCTTTCTGTGGAACATTTCCATTCCTTTCTGCATCTCTATGTGTCAACCATATACCTACAGATCGAAGAGGGTGAGAAATGGATATAAATCTCAACTGAAGCCCTGCATGAGACCTGGCAGATCTGTTTTTCTTTTCACATCAAATTATCAGACAGACAGGCTTGGAATTTCTCTTACATGCTGTGTAATTTGAGTCAAGTCACTTCATCCATCTCTTCCTTGGTTTACTTATCTGTAAAGTGGGCATAATGACATCAGGATAGTTCAATGAAATAAACATGCAAAAAGTACCCAGTGCAGTGTCAACTTGTATTAGAGACTCAGTCAAGGGTAGCCGGATCTAGGAAGTAGCTGCATCTCTTTTTCCAGTTTGCGGCTTTGGCTTTCAAAAAGTGGGGCCTGTTTGTAAGGCTTCCCCTCTTGAGTTGCTGGGGAGTCTCTCTAGAGTAGATAATGTATCTTGGGGAACAATTAGACTCCTTCAAATACCTTTCTTTCAATTTGATCTTCTCCTCTTTGACATGCTAGGATTACCCCTCTGTAATAAGAGCCAAAGGAGGCCCAGAACCACTGGGACCTTTAAACAGGAAAACAAGTTAGCATTCAGAGAGAGCAAGCACCTCCAGAAAAGGAAGCCACACAGATCTACTGTCGGCCTCTTGCTCCTTCCCCAGGTGCTCCTCAAACTCTCACCTTCCGTTGAGCTGCCACTCAGTGAACAAGTAGAAGTGATAAAGGCTGTGAAACCTGGGAAAGCACCTCCCATTTTTCCCTGCACAGAGGAAGGCAAAATCAAGGTCCAGAGATATGGAACTCGGGAGTGTGGGTTGTGTATGGCCAGCCTGGACATGAACTCAGTGATCATCTGGGTCAAACAGCTCACTGTGCAACAGGAAAGTTGAGGACCAGGGTCACACAAAATTAAACTGTATTCACAGATGATCCCCTCTAAATGGTCTGAGAGATCATTTGGTCCAGCACTTCCCATTCCTGGCTGCACCTGGAATAACCAGCTTTTAAAACATCCTTCTGCCCAGGCTGCACCCCAAGGATTCTGATGTTGTGGGTCTGGGGTTGGCCTGGGAACGGGTGTTTCCCAAAGCCTTCTCAGGTAATGTTGAAGGACCACTAGTGAAAATAATTACTGATGTAGTCTGACATCCTCTTGTTCTGCAGAGGCCCAAAGGGTAAACGATGTTCCCTGCTTACTGAGCTGGGTAGTAGCTAAGCATTTGGGGAAGTTCCGGTGCCCCAGCTCTGAAGGACCCCTCTTCCATGCTGACTTCCTCTGTTCACTCCAAACCCCTGGGTGCCACAGGTCCTGACATTTCATTTTTTCCAGTGCCATTCCTGTGTGGAACCATGGTGGTCCCCATCTTTACAGGAGGCACCTGATGTCAAATGAATCTCTCGGAGTTTTGGAGAGAGAAGCCTCTTTGAACAGGAAGGATTATAAGAAAGGGAAGCTCAGCTCTAAGGCATTCACCATTCACTTTGCCCTGGGCTAGTCCTTTAGAAAGATGTGTGTTCCTATTACTTCAAAACCCCTCACCTTGAGATCCCTCTGAAACCAGCACTGGCTGCAGGTGTCTCCAATGAGGAGAAGAGAAAATCTCCAGGTACTAGAGGACTCCCTCTATGGGCAACTTGTATCTTATCTACCTGTGGCTGAGGGCTCGGGAATCCAGTAGGTATCTATTTCTCTCCGCACCAGCTGCCCCTTCTCTAGAACTTAGTTCCCTTTCCCTAAGGTTCTCCTAACTTTCTTCTTACTGCAGTAAGAGCTCTGCTTCTTGCCTTGGTGCAGTTACTGGAAATGCTCAACTGTGATTCTGACATCAGCAGCTGAGAACCGACTTGTAAGTTCCTTGGCTTGTTTGAAGATCTGTAAGTGGGAATTAGGAGGTCAGCGTTCAGGTCCTGGTTTGGCTTCCTCTAAGCTGTGTGACCTGTGGTCTCTGACTTAACCACTGGGGCCTCAGGGGAGAGGGTTTGGGGGATGGTTACTCTCAATGTCCCCATCTCATGGGCTGTCATGGGACCAGGTGAGACAATGCCGGGAGAAGCCGTTGGCTGAGGTCAGACCACAGTGCACGGGTCAGCATGGTTAGGAGGAGCTAGAAAGTGAGAGATGTGAGGGATTAGTGCAATCAAGGTCATTCCTGGAAAGGTGCTTTTATTATGATCATTCACACTGTAGATGATAAACAGTGATGGAGTTAGCAAACCTTTTCATGCCTGTGACCTCACTGGAGTTCTTTGATGTTGGGACTTCATAAGTCTGCCAAATCCTGCCACTTACTGCTTTATGACCTTGACCATTTACCGCTTCTCTCTGGACCTCAGTGTTCTCAGGATGCAAAAGGAGGGTCAGGGGTAAAATAGCGACTTTCAAACTGTCAGGGGTAAAATAGCGACTTTCAAACTTTTCAAACTTCTGGGACAAGGGTGAAGGGCAGGACTCTGCCTCTCTCCTTCCCTTCACCTTATTCCACTTAAATTGTGTGATTCTACAAGCTTATGTTTAAAGGAATATGTTCCTCCATTACAAAGAGTTTAAATGGATATGGACTGACATTGAGGAGTTATTGTTAATCTTGATAGGTGTGATATGATATTGTTGTTATGTTTTTTTAAAGATCCTAATTTGTTAGAAATGCATACTGAAGTACTTGTGGGTAAAATTATGTTTTGTCTATTTTGTTTGTTTATTTGTTTAAAAAGCTCCAGAAAAAAAAAAAAAAAGGTTCTGGGGGTAGTGGTTGGTGAGAGATTAGCAAACTGATAACAATTGTTGAAACCAAGTGATTAAACCTTGGAGCTTTAATACATTTTTGTTCATGCTGTGGTGTGTGATTGAAGATTTCCATAATAAAAAGTTAAAAATACTAAAAGTGTTTGAGAGCCACAGGAGGAAGTGAAGTCTCAGTTCCCTGCGTGTTCTGTGACCTGAAAGGTTTGCAAATACGGAGACCACCGTTTAGAGAGGGTTAGGGACTCCCCCAAGGTCGCACAAAGATTAGCTGAAAGTCGTGACACAGCCCAGGCTTCAGATCTGAGGAGCTCCCCATCCCCTCCTCTCTGTACACTTGCAAACTCAAGTGAAAATGATTATCCAGGGAGAACTCGAGGGGAATAAAAGTGATGAGGGGAGCCTTAGGAGGAGCATGGAGAAGGGGCAAGTGGAGGCTTGCTCTGCAATAAGAAGCTTTTGAGTGAGAAAATTATTTGCTGTATGGGACTGCCCTACATATTGTGAAATGTTTAGCATCTTTGGCCCTGTTTATGAGAATTTCATGGGATCTGTTAGTGATTGTGACAGGCCCAGAAGTATTGTGACGATACACACACACATACTCATATACTCACAGGTCCACATACCCTTAGTTCTCGTTTTTCTGGTTCCTTATTTCTCTCCATCCCTAACTACCTGGAGAGCAATTCTAGAGCCTTCTAGAGGCCTGGGGCAGTGACCTGCAGGAGCATATGTTTACTGAGGAAGTATTTTGCAATGGTTGATCACAGGACTCAGGAATCAAACTGCCTGGTCAAACCCTGACTATTGCACCTGCTGGTTGTGTGACCTTGGGCAAGTTACTTAGTATCTCCAAGCTTCACTTTTCCCCTCTGTAAAGTGCAGATAATACTAGCTGTTACTTCATAGGGTTGTTTTGAAGATTAACTGGGCCTCCATGTGGAAAATGCTTAGTAATGGAATCTAGACCATGCGGTAACCCAGCAAACGTTAACTCATATCAGTATTATGTGTGCCAGCCATTGCCACGCATTATTTCTAATAATCTCAATAACTCTAGGAGTTAGACATACTTATCTCTTTTGGCAAAGCCAGGAATTGCCTTTTCCTCCCTTACAACTCAGGAAAGAGTTATTGCTGTCATCTTAACATAGAAAAATTAAAAATTTAAACAACTAAAATGAAAGGCTAACAAGATAAACACATTATTGTGTCATTTAAAAAAAAATAGTGCATGCTCATTGTAAAAAAAATCTCAGAAATGCAGACAAAGAACAAGAGACCAGGTAAAATTTGTCTATTTCCTGCCCAAGCATGCAACAACTATTTTTTGAGTTTCTGCTCTGTGCTGGGTACAGTTTTAGGCCTTGAGGACAGACCAGTCAACAAAAGAGAGAAACATCTCCGCCCTCAGGGAGTTTATATTCTGGGCAGTGGGTGTTGGGGAGAAGGTGGAGACAGACTATAAATGAATAAGCATATATATCCCATAATGTCAGGTGAATGTTTGTAAAGAAAAAGTTGAGAAGGAAGTCTAGGAATGCTGTGTGGGAGTGGGGATGCAGGAGGAGAGAGGAGTGGGATATGAAAAGAGTGGTCAAGGGAGGCCATCATCAGAGTAGCTTTGAAGAAGAGACCTATGAGCAGGCCTGAGGCTCTCTGGAGAAGGCCATGGTGTATCGCAAAAGGAGGAGCAATGCTTTGAGCTAGGAGATGTCAGTTCTAGCACTAGTTTGCTGTGTGACTTTAGGCAAGTCACTCTCCCTCTCAGAACCAGTTTTCACATCTGAACTTTGTGGTACTGTAGGGATTATTTGCACTAAAGACACTTCTACAGACACTTCCTAGGATTCTATAATCCTCATCAAGGCTGTCCTCAGACAAAACTGTGAAGTTGGCAATAGTTCCAGTTTTCTTCCTTTTCTGGTGTATTTTCCTCCACTAGGTGGTGCCTGTGCCTGTCACCCTCAGGGGCCAAGTGTGGACACATTTTCGGCTTCCACACCTCAGCAACACTGGGGAAAAAAGAAGATGGTACACCTTCTTGCTAAGTACCATTGACTGGTAACAACTTGGAATGTTACTGCTCCATTGGTGGATACTCTTTTAGGACTTCCCAGAAAGCTTTGTGTCACAAAGCAATGTAACAGTGGTAGAATTTCTAAGACTGACTGAAGACATTATTTGGGGAATATTGGTACTTCCTGATAGCTGGAATCCATCCTATTAATAATATAACTAATTCTAGCCCCCACAAATATCCAGAAAACTTGCTGAGTGACTCCCAGTCATCACTTACTGGGTGAATGCTAGCATGTTCATATTTTGTAATTTCTTAGGATATAAAGGCCATTCCAGACAAATTCCTGGACTTTGGAATAGACCACCGGCCTTGTAGTATTGCTTATCATTTTAATCAGATAACTCAGTGAATTAAAATACCAAAACTCTGGAGTCTGTCATCATTTTCCAGACTATTTTCCTTCAGAGGATCCCTGGAACTGTCATCTCTGAAGTATATCCAGCTTCCTCTCAACTCCCTCCTTCTTCTCTCTCTTCCTACTCCTCATACCCAGCTTATTTGCTTTGACCACTTGGATTTTTCTCCAAACAAGATAAAGAAAATGTGTTTGTTTTTTGGTATTATTTGCCACAAACCCAGGGTCCACAGAACTTGGAAGAATATAAGAGGTTCCCCTCTTCTACTTTAGATTGTAGAGAACCCTGGTCAGGTCTCAGATTCCAACCCACTTGGAGGAAGCTAAGACATAAAAGCTGGTCAGTAACAACTTGGAATATCGAAGTATGTGAGTAGGGGCAGCGTACCACTAGTTGCTGAGACCTGTTATAGCCTTGTGTGTTTAGGAAGCCAGTGGTCCAACCTGTACCTATTATCCTTGTAATCAAGAAGTCATTCCTATGCCTGTCCCGTATCCATTCCTGTTGCTCTATGAATCTGAAAGGTGGCTCGGCAGAATGTGGCCAAATGCATTTATATGGAGGGGGTTATTTTCCCCAGTGTGACTGCAGATCTTTCAGCTCAGAGGCTGATGAATGAAGAGAGAAGGCTGTGTTAATAGGCTAATCTTAAGATGCAAGGCACCCAGGCAGAAAACATAAAACATTGATAAATGTGATACTCAGTTTTGTGAAGTAAACTTCATTTAAGTCCAAAGAAACAAGGTGTGTCAAAGTCCAAGGACTCATCCAAGCCATTTATTTCATAGATGAGGGACTGAGGGTTGATGAGGAAAGTGGCTTATCCAAGTCAGTGACCAAGCTGGGTAAAGACGAGTACCATTGACTGATAACATCTTAAAATGTTACTCTTCCACTGGTAAATACTCTTGCATGACTGCCCAAAAGCTTTGTGTCACAAAGCAAACAACTTAGAATGTTACTTCTACATTGGTAGATCCTCCATTGGTAGATACTTTAAAGTCTTAAGCCAGGTCTGGGTCCACTTGTCTCCTGACTTTACACCCTTTCCCATAGATTAATTACCCATCTGTCTACTAATGGTAGTTATTTGTCCAGACTCCACTGGGCTCCAGACTCACAGATCCACCTGTCTACTGGAAATGTTAGCACATTCTACAAACTCCACACTTCCGAAACAATCATCTTTCCTCCAAAATTCCTTGCATCCTCATCTTGGTTGGTGTCACCCACTCTACATTACATCATCTACCATATTCAATCAGTCATCAACTCCTGACTCTCCTGCTTCCTTATAATGTTTATAGACAAACTCTCTTCTCTGTACCTTAAATCCTCTTTATTTCTTGCTGTGACTATTTCCTTAGTATTATAATGCCCACTTCTCTGAAATTCAATCCCTGCACCCCCTTCAACCTGCCCACCAACATCCAACAGTCACATCTGTCCAGAATGCAAATCTGACTCTGTCACCTCTAGCTGAAAGCTCTTCAATAAAATCTGAATTATTTGAAATTCCCCCAAATGCACCTGGTTCTTTAATTATCACTTTTTTTACTTGGCTTATCTTCTATTTCCAGTGCACCATTTTGCAGAATGTTTATGCCTTCCCAGGATTTTGCCAGAGTTTTCTCTCTTCTGAGAAGCCCTTCATAACTTCCCCAAAGTGTAACTTGTTCCCTACCTTGTTCATCTGTTCCCACTATGCTTTCTGCACACTTTTATCAAAATACCTGGAATTATGACATTTAATTGTGTACATATTTGAGATCTTATCCATCTCAAGTTCTCTATTGCCTAGCTCAGTATCTGACCTATAAAGGGGCTATATGTATTTTTGTTTAATAAATGGATAACTGGATAAGAGAACCAGTTTAATATCTAATGATTCTGGGAGAAAGAGCTCAGGAACCTTAGGCATGTTGCATTACGTAACCAAAGCACATGACCTAGCATGTGCATCACTGTCAGAAACATTACACAGTGGTTAATTCCATTTACCCCTGAGCAAAGAAGTCAGAAGGGAAAAGAAATCTGGCCTTCCAAAACAGAAGGGGAAGGGGAATAGTATATTTAAGGGCCTTCTCAGCTCACATTGGGCTTTCTAATCCAAGCCATATTTTGGCCTTGGTCTTCGCCTCTCAGCCCTGTGCCTGTTTGCAAAGCATTTGTTTTGTGTGTGCACGGCAGCACATAATCTTAAGCTTTGCTTGCCTCTCAAATTTCCCTCTCTCCCCCTTATCAGTGTCCTTCTGAGCCTCAAGTGTCCTGGCAGTCATATCTGTTGCTTCAGTCTTCACCCATTTCCCTCCTTTCTGTTAATGGGGCTTTCTATCTGCTTTCCTTGATTTTCCTTGATCTTGTGAGACCTTGTGATGACCTCAGGATCTGGAATTCTCTATCCGCTGTTTATATACCCCTAGGAGAGAAGACACATTCTCAGCAGTAATAACAGTAATGAAAGCAGCTAGCTTATAATAAGCACTTACTATGTGCTGGCACTATGCTGAATGCTACACTTTGAACACTCTGAAACTGGGTTATAAAGTTGCATGACTCCCTGAAGTACCAATTGCTAATGGGTGATGAAACTGGAATTCTCATCCACACCAGTTTAATTTTATCTCTCTTCATCCTCAAGGCCTGACACATTGCTTGGAACACCGCAATTACTCTGTAAATGTACCATGAGAGAATGAATATATGAATGACTGAATGAATGAATGGTGGTGCCCCCCAGTGGCTAATGCAAACATTTGAAGAATGTAGAATGGAAAGGTAAAGAAGGAAGAGAGGGAGGGATAGAGGAAGAAATAGAGGAAAAATCTGAATGAACATTATAAGATTTCAAAAAGATTGGCTAAGAAATCTCAGATATGCAAAGTATATTTTATTTGCAGGTGATTTTCAAACATAAAGACATTTTACATCCATTAGAGCATTTCCCACCTTTAACTAGTCCTTTAGGAGATATACAGTTGTCCCTCAGTGTCCACAGGGGATTGGTTCGAGGACCAACTCCCTCAATGCCAAAATCTGAGGTTGCTCAAGTCCCCAACATAAAATGGCATAGTGTTTGTGAATAACCCACACACATCCTCTCATATACTTTGAATCATTTCTTGGTTATTTATAATACATAATCCAATGTTAATGCTATACAAATAGTTGTAATGTGGTATTGTTTTATTTGTATTATTTTTATTAAGTATTATATTTTAATTTATTCTGAAATATTTTCAATCTGAATTTGGTTGAATCCACAGATGCAGAGGCTACAGATAAGGAGGACCAATTGTGCACTTATTTCAAAGATACTCTGTTTGCCAAAAATGTTTTTGGATTCTTGTTTTGAGAATCAGTGCCTGGGACATGTTTCCCCAGATATGCTCAATGGAGCCTCCTTGTCATCCTCTGATGAGGGGCCCTGATGCATTCTCAGGCAAATCTTGGAATTATGTGGGTGACCATGCTGAGTGAATATGGGGTTTTGAATAGAACAGTGACTCTGGAGTAACAAGGCTGATTTTTGGGTGACTATCATCAGAGCTGATTAAGCCTTGATAGAGCCAATATTAAGCTCTCAGGATGACCCCTTTACAGAAAAGCCCCTCAAAAGGCTGATTTAATCTGCTAAAAACAAATGCAATATCTTGACCTTCCCTTTCCCAAATTCTAAAGCTGGAGTAACAGAAACTGCCTTATCAAATCTGCTCAGTTTACTGACTGAGAAACTGAGATCCATGGATGTTTACCTGCTAAATTAAGCTAAGCTAAGTGAGTAAGGTTAAGCAGCAAATTGGCAGTAAAATTGAAACTAAAATTTAGATCTGTTGACTTCCACATCAGTGCTCTTTCCACTGGGTCACTTTATTTTCCTTTACAGTGTGGGGTGATAGTTATAACTATGGGTTTATATTAGTAAGATTACTAGAAAGCATCATACAGCTGTTTAATAACTTTTTTAAAGAACTTCTTATGTGCCAATCTGCTGTCCTAGACATTCTTTAAGATTCAATGAGAAATGAAAGTTTATTAGGAAAGGTAAATGTTCCTTCATTTCTTCCTTCTTTCTAACCATTCACCCTTCTATTTCATATGTAGTTATTCAGCAATTTTTATATATTATACATTGAGTTAGGAGATAAGAATTAAAAAGAAGAACAAGGCATAGTTCCATGCCTTGAGGAACTCCCAGTCCTAGTGGTGGAAGCAGACTGGTAAACAGATAGATGACATCATGGTAACTGCTATAACTAAGCAATTAACAGAGTCCTGGGGAAGCACAGAGCAGAAACACTATGTTATGAAACACCCATGTTTATCATGAGAGTGAAAAAGTGCTCTGAAATTTCAAAGGCATAAGTGATCTTTTCCACCTGGAAGGATTGGGGACTTGTTCATGAAGTGAATGTGTATGTATGTAGAGTGTGTGCTCTGCCTTGTGTGGGGGTATAGTCATGTATGTAATTTTAAACATATAGCCATAAATCAAATGAGAACAATCAACACTTCTGGATTCATGCCTCAGCTGTAGATACTTACCCAGAGTATCTTTTAGGAGTATGGTGTTAGGAAATTATTGGACAATTCAATATCCATCACCATCTGCATCAAGCCAATGCAACTCCTTATCTTCCCTCCTCATAGCATTTATCACACTCTATTGTGATTTCCTTGGTATCTGTCTGTTTCTCCCCAATTGTCTCTGAGCTCCTTGGAGCAGAGACCATTTTGGTCTTCATCTTTGCATTATTCCTTTTACTTCGCACAATACTAGTCATGTCGGTGAGGGCTGGCTAAACAATGTTAAATGAACGAACAGATTAGAGATGGCTCCAAATAAGGAATAACATAAGGTGATTGAATGTGAGTGCTGTGAAGAAAAGGTGCTTTGAGAATTAATAGCATAGGCCTTAGAAAGACCAAAGAGTGAAGGCAGACACATTGTGAGTGGCATTGACTGTGAGATATGGCCCTGGTCTCTCTGAGCTAACCAGTTACCTATTGAAATGTATATGCTTATCATCTTTCCCTATCTCTCTTCCTCTCTTTCTTTCCAGTGAACCAGTATACCATCTATGCCAGCTTTAAGTCCCTTCCATGTGGCTGTCCTTCGGCCTCTCCAAACCCATTCTTTTTTTTTTTTTTTTTTTTTTTTTTTGAGATGGAGTCTCACTCTGTCACTCAGGCTGGAGTGCAGTGGCACAATCTTGGCTTACTGCAACCTCCACCTCCCGAGGTCAAGCAATTCTCCTGCCTCAGCCTCCCGAGTAGCTGGCATTACAGGCACCTGCCACCACGCCCAGCTAATTTTTGTATTTTTATTAGAGACAGGGCTTCATCATGTTGGCCAGGCTGGTCTCAAACTCCTGACCTCAGGTGATCCGCCCACCTTGGCCTCCCAAAGTGCTGGGATTACAAGCATGAGCCACCGCACCTAACCTCTCCAAACTATTCTTAGAAAGAGCTGCTAAGAGCTAGGTGGAATTGTAAGGGATGTGTCCATGCTCCTCCTGCAATCTTCACCTAGAATATAAGAGGATGAGGATGGCACACTAGATTTTTTTTTTTTATCTAGTGTGCCAGGAAGTTATCAGAGAGCTTCAAACAATGGAGTTACTGGATCTGGTTTATGGTTTCCAAAGATCACTCTGACTACTATGTGTAGAATGGATTGCATGAGGCCAAGAGTGGGGTCTCAGTTACAACAGCATCATGATCGATTGCTGATGTTATGACTTAGTATTTTGGTTAATATAATTATCATTTATTTCCTTATGAATACGAGTACCAAGTGAAATACCAGAATAGCACTCCTATTTTAGATCAACGAGGATAGGGGAGTTTTTGCACTTGGGTTCAGAAGTACTTGATTTGTAAACCCCAAGACATTTTCTGTAAAAATTTGAGGTTGTGCATATTTTTCTGGAGTCAAAGTTCTTCTTAGTTGCTTAAAGGGATATATGTCCCCCAAATGGTGACTTACATGCTGAAAAACTGGGGGCATACCAGGTCATTTCCTGAAGCTTGTTCCCAGCTCTAAAATATGAACACTATAGGGGATCTGTGATAATGAGAATGTTGATGTTGAGTTGTCATATCAGACTGAGCAATTGCACTTTCCTTCATCTGTACCCTTGTTGGAGTAAATAGAATTTGGACCTTTTTTTCCTCTGAGGAAGAATTAGTTTATTTCTTAGAAATATAATCTACAACTTTGTTTATTCAAACTCTGCTTTCTGAGTTTCTCTGAGTTTTTAAATAGGCAAGTACACTTCAAATGTGGTCTGAAGTGGTCCTGCCCATAAGTATTCACTGTGGACTTTGACCATGAAGCCACAAATCCAGCCACCTATCCACCCTTCCATCAATCTACTCTTCCATCCATTACCCATCTATTAACTCTCCTTCCCTCCCTTTCTTCCTTCCTCCCTACCCCCTTATCTCCCCCCACTCCCTCCCTCTCTTCCTTCTTTCCTTCCATCCACCCTTCCATCAATCCATCCCCTTTCATCCCCATTCATTCCCTAATCCATCCACCCTTCTTTTCTGCTATCCATCCATCTATCCATCCATCCATTCATCTGTCCATCCATCCTTCCATTCTTGGATAAATGTAATCTTCCATTTACCAGGCTTTGTGCTAGGACTGGAGGAAGAGTTAGGAGGTTCCAATTCTTGTTTTTATGCCGCTGTGAGTTCTTAAAAAAAAAAAAATCCCCTGAGACATCTTCACTGAACCTTATGCTTCCACATAGTAGAGTGTGAAAACCACTCATTGAAAACTAATTTGAAAAGTTAAAGTGTTCTGCCTGCATAGTTCTATCATATAAATATTCCTGGTAGTGCTCTGAGTCTGGATCTAGACTACCAGAGGCTCCTTTATCAACAGTAATATTTTAGATCAATAACAGTTTCTACCCTTAGGTTAGCAGGTACTGGAAAAACAATAGGAAGTTTGAAATGGAAGCCTTTCTTTGGGAAAGGGCAGGCTTAGGTGAGACCAGAGAAGGGAGCTGCTAGTCACTTAGCCTCTGGGACTCTTTTTTCCCACAGCCTCCCAAAGCCCTTGTTTAGTGATGCTGAGCCTTCACATTCTGTGTATGCCTCTGGATGTATGATGTAGCAGAATGCCCTTGTGGCATGGGGTTGTTTCAGTTTCCAAAGCATTTTCGACATCTACCTATCATATTCCCACTCGCCTTGTAAAACAAGCATTTTCATTTAATACAGTGAGGTCTTTGTATTCTCAACAACAAACACATGGTCCAAGGCTCTAGGACACAACCTGCCTTTTTCTCCAACCCCCACTTTCAACCCCCCCACCACTCTGTCCACCCTTACAAAGCCCAGTGTTAGCAGAAATATCTGTTTACAAACAAGTGTTCCAAAAGAACAGTATCAGTAGCTCAAACAAGCCTCTGAAACATGCCTCTGATTCTATACTTGGAATCCCTGTGAACAGTGGGTATCACTGGCAGCAGCTTTCATGGAAGGCTTCCTGCCTTTCCATCCTTCCGTCTGTCCTCATGTCTGACTTTCTCTGTCTCCTTCCCCTTATTCATTGAAACCATGGGGAGGCTGAACTGGAGAGGCAGTCAGATGCTGGCCTGGGCATTATGGATATCTAGGAGACAAAGCCCAGACAGGGAGTTGCTTGCAGACAGCAAGACAAACCCAAACACATCCGCCTGCAGTGTTATCTGAAGCAGAAGCTGATTGAAGAAGGATTATTAATTGGGTGGATATAATAGTCACATGATAATCATGCAGCTCTAAGCCTTTTTCTAAGGTTTCATCGACTGAGGAGCTGCTATTGCTGCTCTCTGGAAGTTGAGTCTACTCTAGCTCCCTATTACCTATGCATAACAGCTAATATATTTAATGCATAATATGTGTCGGGCACTGTTCATAAAATTTTGCATATGTTAACTCTTTAATCCTCACCATGACCCTCTGAGGTGGGTACTATTATTACTGCAATTTTCCAGATGAAAGATGAGGAATGTTAAGTGAATTTCCCAAGGTCCACACAAGTCAGTGGTAGAAGCAATCTTCAGAGTGCATATTCTAACCCCTCCACCATAAACCTCTCTAGATTCTCTAGACTGGTTCTAAATTCTGTAGCCTCACATTCACCTTCCTCCCTAAGCATTGTTTACTACTGTAACTTTCCCTCGTTGCTTCCACCAGGGATGCTAAACCTCACCACTATTAACATTTTGGAATGCATAATTCCTTGTTGTGGAGTTTGACAGCATCCCTGGCCTCTATGTACTAGACACAGTAGCCACAACCTCCTCCCCAGTGTGATGATCAAAAACGTCTGTAGACATTGCCAAATGTTCCCTGTGAGCAAAATCTACTGACTGAGAACCACTGACTTACATGGATTCTTCTGATTAAACTGAATTACCTGATACTCCTAAAACACATATTTCTCCCTCTATGCTTTTTCACATTTGTTTTCCCCTCTTGAGCTTACAGTGTTCTTGGCCTCCTCCTCATCAATCTTCTCTGTTTCATAGTCTTTCAGTTCCTCAGCATCTTTTACAGCCAGAGGAAATACTAACCTGTCTGGTTACTGATCTGCTTGTTTCTATGCCTTTTTTGTTTAAAAAATGGTCACCACTTCCAAACTTTTGATTTAAAGTCCCTTAAAGATCCCTGGAGTCTTGAGTTTAAAATTTAGTTTGTACTATGCATTCCACGATGTTTTACAGAGTCTACCATGTATCAGATCTCAAGCTAATCACTGAGGATATGAAGTCAAAGGAGATAAAATCCCTTTCTTTCAAGGAGTTTATGAGATAGACTCTCAGGGAAATAAAGGGATCTGAAGATCAACTCTCCATCCTCCTTCAGTTGAATAGATGGGGAAACCAAGAGACAAAAGGTAGATGACATTTTCTCAAGGTCAGCTAGAGACCAGGATCAAGGCTGAACTAATCATCCTCTACCTAGTGCAACAAAATTTAAATTATGAAGCCCCAAAGAGCATCTAAACCCTATTTATCCATTTAGAGCCTTAAAGCGTTTTTTGAGTTGAGTTATTTATAATTTATGATTTTCTAACAGATGTCAAAACAATAGAAATTTAGTAGTGTATCAAACCTCTCTCTTTGAAATTGTGCTCACATTTCACCCTCTTCATTAATGAGTCTTAAGGCTAAATGACTCCAGATTGCCACATGAGCACTAGACAGGAGTCCTGAGACTTTAGTCCTGGCTCTGTTAGCTCTGTGACTGTCAAAAGGAAGACCATATAATCCCCAGCTAATGATCCCCACCCACCCCCATGGACTGCCTCAAAAAACACCAAAGATTCATTCTTTTCTATGGAAGAAACTTTAGATCTTTTGGCATGTCATTCACAACCCTTTGTGATCTAGCCTCAGACAGCCATTGTACTTCATTTCCCTCAGTTACTCTGTGCACCCTCAATCCCATCAAAAGCAAATATCTTTCTCATCTCGAGAGTGACCTTTAGGTGGACTTCATAGCTCTTGCCATTGCTGATGATTCACCTTGTGCTAGAAAGTCTTTGACCAGCTTCTCCTTCCCCAAATCCTGTACCTCATGCAAGGCTCGGCTCTTTTGAGACTCATCCAGGAAAACTTCCCTGCACCTTCTTGTCAGAATCAAGTAGTCTTTCTGCTGAGCTCTATTTGCTTGTACCTCTACTATAGAACTCGCTTTATTACTCTTTATTTATCATTAAAAGCAGCCCCTTGTCCTGGTGTAGTCAGCTTTCCCCTGACTAAGCAGAAATATTTAGAAGTTAAAATGTGAATTCTGGAGTCTGATTGCTTGGGGTTGAACCCCATCTTTGTCACTTGGCCAACAGGTTACTCAGGCTTAGGTGAGTTATTTGGACTCTCTGAGTCTCAGTTTTCTCATCTGTAAAATGGTGATAATAATAATATTTCCCTGCTTGCATTATTGTGAGAGTTACCTGAGTTATCTATGCAAAGAGTTTCGCACAATACCTGGCACACAGTAATCACTCGGTAAGCATCAGCTGTCATTGCCCTCCCTGCCTAGAAAGGTAATTCTGGAGGGCACCAGCCCTGCAAAGTGGAGATCTGCCTGTCTGGCCTTGTCCCTTTCTTATCTCCCTTTGCCATCTCTCTCCTGAAAGGCTCACCCTAGGCTGTGTGGGCCAAGATGAGGTGATGGCAGGCTCATCTGAGAGAGGAGCTTTTTCTTCAGAGCTCAGCCCACACTGTGTGGGCTGTGTTTTTATACAACTTGCTGTAGGCCTGCATCAGGTATGAAATTTACATCATTTGACTTGCCCATGTGGGAATCTTCCCCATTCCTCTTGGCTCCTTAGAATGGGTACAGGTGTTCAGTGCCTCCTCCTCCCAATGCTCTTCAGCAGATGAGGAACCGAGGTCCAAAGATGAAAACAAGGCTGATGACTCACCTGTTAGACACAGTTGGCACAGTGCCTGAGGTCTACAGTACTTTTGTTAAACTACAAAAATGGATTAATTCTTTCTTTTAGAATTAATTAATTTCTTTTAGATTAATTTCTTTTAGAATCAGAAGAAAAAATAATATAATAATAATACATCTAAAATAAGGAATCCAGACTCTCAATTACATTTATTTTTATAACAATGCAATCATAAAGCATAATTTTGGAAGAAGGAGCCTATGAAAGTCATGAAGTGACCATGGATGAAAAGAAATTTGCCCAAGATTAATAGTGGCAAATTAAAGCACAAGTTCCCGTCTTATTACCCTCCAAATAGAAATTTTTTTCTCTGCATTTTCAAGAAAACTGGTAGAATTTATTTTACCACAGTCATCTTCTTTCACAAATAAGAAAACGGACACCTGAGAGAGAGTGTGACTTGCCTAAGGTCTCGCCAACACACAACTAAGTTGTATTTTCCTAACTCCCTGTTACTCCTTTCACTATTTATACATTCAAACCTAATGACCACTGATGTCAACCTCCCATTATATAGATGGAAACATCGAGGGCCAGAAAGTTGAAGGGGCTTATATGATGTAACAAGGACCGCCACTCTTGCCTCTAAATCAGGGCGCCCTCCAGTACCAAGAGGAGCGTTTGAAAACTGGATACACAATTTTGTTAGACAGCAGGAATCACTTCAAGAGATCTATTATACAACATGATGACTATAGTTACTATTGCACACTTGAAAATTGCTAGGAAAATAGATTTTAAGTGTTCTCACCACAAAAATTCTAATAAGCATGTAAGATAATGCATACTTAATTAACTTGGTTCAGCCATTCCATAATGTATACGTATTTCATAATATCATGTTGTACAGTATTAATATACATAATTTTTGTCAATTAAATACAAATACAAATAATACAAACTTAAAAGAAGAAGAAAAGCTTGTTTGAAACCAAAACTCCCCCCAAATTAGGTTTCCTCACAAGCCTTGGGCACATAAATCTTTCATTTATTTATCCATTCAGCAAATGTTTATTGAGGACTTATGTCCTAGCCACTATATGGAGGGTTCTATATAGTGATACAGGGTGGTGATACAGGCTCTATATAGTGATACAGGGTGGTGATAGACATGTACTGTCTGTTCTTATGAGGCTTACAGTCGAGTGGGGGAGAGTACCATTGGAGGTTGACCTCAGAAATGAGTCATACTGTCAACAGTGATCATTGCCATGAAAAAAAATTAGATCAACAACTAAACAACCAAAAACAGTATTAGGACCTCAGAAAGACTCAGGAGAAAAGAGAGGCTGTGCCCTCAACAACTACATGTGGGAACTATCAAGAAACAGCCCAAGTGTCCTGTGGCTGGTACAGAAAGATGGCTGGGTCAAAGACTGACTACATCTGTGCCAGATAGCAGGTGCTCATCAACACTTATACACTGATGGTGGAGACTCATGAAGACTGAAGGTCTACTGGAAGAAGTAATACTGGTATTGTCTTGAAGATCAGAAAAGAGAAAAGGACAGGGACAATAGGGAGACATTTCTACCTGTAGGAAACAGTGTGGGCCAAAGTGAGGAAATCTTACCAGAGTCTGTCTACACACTCAGAGATAGATTGAGACCAATTTCTGAAATGCAAAATTGTTGTTGGTCTTTATTCTGAGAGCATCAGAGAAAGAGGTTTGTCTGTTTGGGGGAATAGTGAAAAATAGGATTTTAGGAAGATGAATCTGGTGATGCTTCACAGGCTGTATAAGGGAGCAATGAAACTTCTGGACCATGGGCCAGTTAGAAGAGTGTTCCAATAATGTAATTATGATGGATTAAGCACCAGCTTTGTTTTTTCATACCCTTTATGGTGCATAATAGGATGCTCATTTTACCAAGTAACAGAAGAAAAGCTCAGACCAAAATTATGACTTGCTCTAATCTCTGCTCCATGGTAGCAGAGTTGATATTTGAAATCATATCTCACACCCCAGCTTGGAAAGATAAATATCCCTCTCTCCTGTTAGTCTGTGAACTTGTGGATAGAATACTATAGTATCCACATAACTGCATGTAGAGCATTCATTCAATTAGAGTCTGTTGAGCACCTACTAAGTGCCACCATTATGCTAGGCAATATGTGATATATTCTTTTAAACTTTAAACATATGTGCATGAACATACACACAAGCAAAGTTACACAGAGAAATAAAAATGGAGTTGACAAGATGAGCCAAGGTCTGATTATAGCAAAACTGGGAGAAAGTTACCACATCAGGGAAGCTTCCTTTACTTCTCCAACAGTATTAATGGCTATTAATGTCTTGATCTCTGGAGTACTGAGAGGAAAGACCCCCCCCCCCAATATTTTTATTAGTGACATTAAATTGACATGTCCATGTGGCTTTGCAGGGACATGTAAAATATGTTTCTGAGCTTATTAGAAACAGTTCTCTCCTTCTTCTTCAATTCTGTCTCATTTCTCTGATACTTCCCATGTGCATTTGGTTTTACTTTCCTCACATACATCCTTCATGATGCCCATTTCTTGGATGCTTATTGTACACCATGCACTTTGAAAAGTGTTCTATGAACAGTGTCTTATTACATCCTTCCAACCAGAGCTGCCTCAAGGTCATCACAGAGCCAGAACTTAAAACAGCTGTATTCACTCCCAAATTGTGCTCTTCACTACCAGACTGTCCACTGTGCTTTCACTCATGCAAGCACCCTCACATGCATTTCTTTATTTCCCCTTAAATGCATGCATACATATAAGCATTTTGTCAACTTAATTGGTGCTTTCTACTTGCCAATCATTGTGCTGGCCTGGAAATATGAGTGGTCAGTCATTTGTTAAAATGTTGTACAGATGATTCAAATATGAGGTTAGGTGTGAAAGGGGATGATTAAATAACCAGTAAGAGAATTTCCAGCCCTGACTCTGCCTAATTCAATGAATGGTGAAGGGTCAGTCTTGGGGCTGCCATGCAGGGTATGACAGCAGGATGCACTGGTCCTTGACCATTTTCTGGCAAGTGGTATCATTGTCTCCAGGCTTGATGAGTGAGTGGAGAGAGGAGCTTGTAGATTCTCAAGTCATTAAAATGACCGAAGGAAAGATCTCTCTTCCAAGACAGCCCCAACATCAGCCCTCCTTAGTCCACCAGGATCTGGTTTGTGCTGTGCAACTTTCAAGGATGAACAATAGTTCATATTGTTATAGTGTACTTCTTTGACCCCATCCCCCACCTCTTCTTTCTCCTTGATCTTTTTTTCTTGTCCTTCCCCACTTCCTTTCTTACGTTGATGTGCACCAATTTTATATGCACTGATTTCATCGACAATGTGTGAAAAAAGAGCAATAAACATGCATCTTCATTTCAGAGAACAGTGTCAGAAAGGAACCTTTATGTGTGTGTTTAACAGCACAAAAAGGGGGGAAATAATCCCAATTCTGAAAAAGAAGGAAAGATATTATTTTTTGTTTGTTTGTTCATTTATTTGTTTGAGACGGAGTTTCGCTCTTGTTGCCCAGGCTGGAATGCAGTGGCGCGATCTCGGCTTACTGCAATCTCTGCCTCCTGGGTTCAAGTGATTCTCCTGCCTTAGCCTCCTGAGTAGCTGGGATTACAGGCACACATCACCATGCCCAGCTAATTTTTTGTATTTTTAGTAGAGACAGGGTTTCATCATGTTGGCCAGGCTGGTCTTGAACTCCTGACCTCAGGTGATCTGCCCACCTCAGCCTCCCAAAGTGCAGGGATTACAGGCGTGAGCCACCTTGCCTGGCCGGAAAGATATTTATTATTAACACACATTTTTAAAAAGTGTAGCTACAACAATCCCATTCTATGCAAATGAGCCTTTGGATTCTCTTACTAAATCCTCGAAATGGCACTATTTATTAAGTACTTATTATTATCAGTTTACATATGAGGAAACTATCAAGGAGATAAAGAGATTTTGTCCAAGGCTACACAGCTAACAGGGAGCAGAGCTGAGATACACAGATCAGCCTCACACCACTGTCCATGTGTTGTAACACTTGTTTTGTTGCCAGTGGCCATGTGCCAAGTGCTGTCACATTTGTTTTATCATTAGTTCCCCCACTACAACTGTCAGAGGAAGATGTATCATCCCCATTTTACAGATGGGGAGACTAATACTGGGAAAGGAGCCCTGACTTTCCCATCCATAGCTAGTAAATGGCAAAGCCAGCATTCGAACTCAGATTTACTGGCCTGTAATCCCCCAACCTTTCTACGTCCATGCAGACTGCTTACACATGAGCAAAGGAGGAAGGCTGGAGACACAAGAGCCAGAGGGAATTACAGTTTGCCATCCCAAATGTACCACATAAGTCTGTGTATTATTAAAACTTATGGGTTTCAGGAACCCTCAGGCATACTACTCTCAAGCTTGCCTCACATCTGGATAGCCTTAAATAGTTTACAAGGAAATATGCATACATTTATCTCTTTTCTCTCTCAGAAGACATCTGTGAAGTATACAGGATAAGATTCTTCATCCTAGTGTACATGTGGGAAAACTAAGGTTCAGAGAGGTGAATTAACTTGTCTGATGTCACACAGCTAGTAAAAAAGGTGAACAGACCCATTTAGTGAGGGTGCTTTCAGATAACAGTTCCTGGCAAGGAAGAAGAATACAGGCAGGAGAACAGACACAGGTGCCATCAAGGGTGTTCATTCTACTGCTCCATGCCGTCCTGCAAAAGGAAATCTGGTCCTCCTCCTACACTTGCATGGCCAACACATGGGAAACACCTGAGCTAACCCTGACTTGGAGAATTGTTCCATGTGGTTACTTTCAATGCTCCTGCCTCTCTTGAACAAGACACAGAGATGTCCAGAACCCAGTATAACTTGGTATAATCCTCCAGTCCTGTATGTCTCCCTTTAAGCCTCCTCCTTCCACTGAGCCTAAGGCAAATCTTTTGACCCGGGGTGGACCCGGAGGGATGAGGATGCTGAGGAGCAGTCCCCCAGGTACCCTCCTCGGTGATATCCCAGCCTTCCTCTGAATGCCTGATGGTGCTGAGTCCTCCAGGTCATTTTGGTGGGTCTCCCCCCCGACTGAACCAAGTGCAGGGACCATGGGTATACTTAACCCAAATCTGTCTGTTTTAATCACTGTCCTCTGGACAGATAAAAGCTTTCCATAGGATTGCTCTCTCAAGCATTCCTCTGTGGCTTTGATACTAGTGATTAAATCATGGAAGGGAAAGCAAAACAAAACAAAACAAAAAAGGGACCAGCTCCAACCTTTAGCTTTTAATTTTTTTAGCCTCATGAAAGAAACCAGATTGTTGACCTAAATTCCCCCTTTCATCCCCTCATCCTCTCACCTCTGCTTGTATTCTCCTGGCAGATGTCCCACAGCTAGTGGGCATCCTTTAATTGAAGGGTCTGAAACTGCCTTTTACCCTGCCCCACAATGACCTTACATCTCCCGCAGGGGGAACCAAGGCTGGGATACCTGTAATCGCTGGGATCTTGGAGTCACAGAATGTGGATGGAAGGGACCTCTGTGACCATGTGGTCTAACACTCTTATATCCTAAGGAAAGGAAGTGAGGAAGCCCAGAGTAGGGAGCTATTCACCCAGGGACCACAGCACAGCATGGCAGACCTAGACATTAGAGCCTTCATGGTGGATTGAGAGCACCAATCCACCATGGAAAGCATCTTGGTGGGGAGCTTTGGCTCTGGAGTGAAAGAGATGAGAGTTAGAATTGTGATTCTCCCAATCCCTCGCTGGGATCCTTGGAGGGAAAATCAATTAACCTCTCTACATCTCAGTTTCCTTATCTGTCAAAAGAATACTAATAAATCCCACTTAGTCTGTGCTTAGTAAAGAGACTACTAAATAGAGGCTTTCAGAAAGTGTTTGTTATTATTATCATTATTTATTTAAAAATACCACTTTTTCACAGCAGAAATGTCCTGGTGGAGTTTTTTCTCCTTCTATATCTACTCTCCCAATGAGAGAAAACAAACAATAATACGAATTGCATATAAATTGTCATCCTTTGCTAATTATCTCCACCCCGCCGCCCCCAGACAGTGATGGCAGAAAGTCAAATGTTATCAGAGATAATTTTATGTTGACTTAAAGCTTCCCAGGAAAACATCCTAGGCAAGACCACAGGAAGAAAGCATAGCTAGAGTCCCCCTCAGCTGTGGGGGAGCTTTCAAATTTGAAATCAGGAGACTCGAATTCCAGTTTTTCCTACCCCTTAGTGCTGTGGGACTTTAGGCAGGGGACCTCGCCTCTCTGACTTTCCAGTTTTCTGATCTGTAAATAGTACCTATTGTAGCAGATTGCTGTGAGGATTCTAGGAGACACCTTGAGGTGAGGAATGTTTCCTGTAAGTGATGAACACACCACCAATTTTGCTATCTTTCTAATACACCTTGCTCTACTCAAAACAGCAATTGAGTAAATTGAGACATTGCATTGTAACAAGAGAAAAATTCTGAACTGGGAACAGGCATTAGGAGATAAGATAGATTTTAGAAAAATTTCAGTGGGAGAGCTTAGAAAACTTGTTGAATGATGGTTTGCTAGGGCAGGCATAACAAAGGACCCCAGCCTGGCTGGCTTAAATGACAGAAATTTATTTTCTTAAAATTCTGGAGATCAAAAGTCCAAGATCAAGGTGTCAGCCAGGTTTGTTTCTTCCAAGACCTCTCTCTCTCTCTCTTTCTCTCTCTCTCTTTCTCTCTCTCTCTCACTGGTTTCCAGATGGTCATCTTTTCCTTGTATCTTCACATAGTCTTTTCTCTGTATTACTTGTGTCCTAATTTTCTCCTCTTATAAGAACACCAGTCAAATTGGATTAGGATCTGCCATGTCACCTCACTTTAATTTAATTACCTTTTCAAAGACTGTATCTCCAAATACAGTTAAATTCCAAGGTACTGGGGTTACATCTTTAATGTATGAAATTTGGTGGAACACAATTTCATCCACCACAATGAAAAGGAAAATGGGAGGCAGCCAAAAGCATGGCAGCAAGCTTGGGAAGAAAAATCAGTATCGACATTGGAAGTTAGAGGAAACCTGAGTCAGAAACCATCAGGCAGGTAGGCTGGTAACGGAAATCCAGATGTCGAAGGACAAGCTCAAGTAAGCACTCCAGATGGACAACTATGCCTGGACAAACTTTGGGTTCTAGCGAAGTGGGCTGAGCCCAGTGGAATAGATTACTCTTTGGTAATAAAGAACCATCAATTCTTAGTTAATTGTTTAGGTCCCTACAGAAGAATGATAAAGACAGCAGCCTCCTGGCTTTCAATTCAATTCACCTTGCTTGTGGGGGTGCTGCAGAACTTACAGAAGTATTTCCAGAGGAGGCCACGCCTTTAAACAGCCTACAACAAAACATTTGGCCTTTGGCACTTAATGTATTGACCATGACTAAGAGCCTGGGTGTGGGAATTCTATAGACCTGCATTCTGAGCTGTGTTGCTTTGGGCAACCATTTCCCTATTCTGAGCCTCAGTCTATCCTGAAGAGGGAGCAATGCTGATAGACTTGTTGTGAAGATTAAGCAAGATAATTAACGTAGAGTAAATGATAGTATGTTCTCAATAAAGAGTAAGATACTCTTATAGAGAAGGCAGAAATAGGGAAGTATCCCCCTGCTCCCTTTCTTTCTTTCTTTTTAACTTTCAATAACAAACTCTACAGAGCACTTACAACATACCAGATTTTGGGTTGGATGTTAGGTATTTATAAATGAAGCAAACAGCCACATATGTGGGAAGCACAGATCTTGAATGAGTAATTACTCAGTGATGAGGCAGTTTTAGGATGGGGAGGAGTATGATGAATATACAGGAGGAAGATTTGTTGGTGCCTGGGTGGCATGGGGTCGTCAGACAGACTTGTCTTGGGGTAATATTTACCATGATGATCTTTAGAGAATACCCCTAATGCCCAGAGTATTCTCCCACACTCTGTACAGCCTTAGCCAAGGTTCTGAGAGACTCTTTCCATGCCTTTGAGCTTTTCTCCTTTGTGGATGTTCTTCCTTTCTGGGATGAGATTGAATGAGTAGATGAGAAGAAAAAGAGGCAATGAAAAAAATAGACATCAAGCTTCTGGGGGCCTATGGAACCCTTTTCACATCCAGCCTAGCTGCAGGAAGATAGGGTGCATTAGAAAGATCAGCTGGCCAGGGTTCCAGGGATGGTTCCGTAACAGGAGGACCATGGCAGGCTCCTTTCCTGCTGCACCTCAACCTCTCCCTCTGTGCAGTGTGCCCAGACACACTACTTTAAAAGGGCTCTTGCACGCTTTCATTGTCTAGTTCTATGTGCTTATAGCATTGAGACAGACATACGCTAATTATATGTAGATTGTGTGCAGAATTGCATGTGGCCTTCGGTTTTGCCACATGGGACTATATCCCCTGGGATCATCCTCTAGTCCCACACAGATGGTGCTGACTTCAGACAAATTAGCACCATTTTTTTTTTGTACTATGCCTCTATCTTTATGGAGAACTGTGAGGAAGGGCAGTGTGGAGACGTGGGGGTTCTTTTGTGTCCTCCAGAGAACAGCATTGTGTGTCCTGTATAGAGATCCTCAGAGGAGACAGAACCTAAGCATGCAAGAGTTGCGAATGACATAAGGCATCTAATTCCAATCAACACATATTTTTGAGCACCTTCTCCTTACAAGGAACCATTCTATCAGTGAACAAAAGAGCTCTTAAATTCTAGCAAGGGATCATTTTTATCCAGACCCCTCCTTTTACAGAGAAGGGAAATTAGGTTCAGCAGCATAAAGGAGGTGGTATGACTTGTCCCAGGCAAGGTTACCTGACAAGTCAAGCTCAGATCTCTGGTGCCAAACTTCTGGTTCTGAGCTGGTGGTACAACGATGCTTCCCTTTCAGACCCTAAAATAAGACTACTGTTGATTAAGTTATGTTCATATAGAAATAAAACCCCATTGCCACCATACACCCCCAACCTTATTGAAGCTCGGTGATTTTCTTTCACTACTTATACTCCAGGTAAATATTTCCCTCTGAACTTGTGAAGCCGCTGCTTCAAGGTTCTCATTTCCCTTAATGTGTTTCTTTTTGGTTCCATTGAAAACCTTCTCTTTGCCCTTCCTCTCTGCCTCCCATGGCTAAGCCACCCCTTATTTCTTAACTCTTTTGCAGAATCTGCCTTTTCTCACTTCTTCCCCCTTCTCTCAACTGCAAACAGAGGTGGCCTGAGCCTGGGTCCCAAGCCCCGGCAAGGTTCTGAACTGAGAGCACCCTACAGATGTGTAAACATTTTACCTTGCTAACCAGGCTAGCTGCCTTCCAAAGGCAACAGGAAAACCAGAGACTGGGAGCCCCTGGCAAAATAAAAACCTGCAGAGAGAGAGAGACAGAGAAAGAGAGAGGGAAAAAGGATCTTGTTTTAGATTTTAATTTTCTCATTAGAAGGCCATTCATTTTCTTTTCATGAGGGATAGGGTTAGCTGGGAGAGAGAGAGAAGGTGAGCTAAGAGGTGGGAAGGACATGAATGTCATGGCTCCAGGAACCTCTGCTCTCAACTGGTTCCATAACAGGCAGCAACAGATAGATCTGGCGCAACTCACTTCAAATCTGGAGTTGGATCTTAGGCTTTTGAAGGAGTCAGTGGGGAGGCAGCTTTTAATATGTAGTCTCATGATATCATCTAAGCTGACGGGATCTATGATTTCTAAGAAGGGTTTGCCAGTGGGTTTGAGGAGGACCTGGGCTTTTTTGAGCCTTCCTTCTTGATATGTCGTGCAAGATGCCTTCAGGGTACCCTCTCTTTCTGGCCTTTCTATTTTGTTTCCCGTCATTTCCTCCCTCCTTTTCATCCTCTACATCACCCCTGAACCCTCCAGCATCTTAACAATGAACTCTCATTTGGACAGCCGTTGTATGCGGAGGATGTCATATTCACTATGTCTTTTAAGTATGACAATATATTTAGAGATACAGATGAAGGAATTAAGGCTTAGAGGTGAAGTGATTTTGCCCCATACGTACAACTAGTAACTGCTGTCATCAAAATTCAAAGTAAATTACCCTGAGTGCAAAGATCCTGATCTTTCTACTTTACCAAGAATACATTTTATTCTCTGATTCTCCCTGTACTTTAGTCACAGAGACATAAATTAATGCCTTTGATTCTGTTTGTCCTTAAAATCCCTACCCTTTCTCGTCTCCGGCTCTATTTAGAATCATTCCCATGCCTGCTGTAGCAAGGTGCTGGAGAGGTTACTGGAATGACACAGACACAACCATTGCTCTCGAGAAGAAAACAGTTCGGCAGAGAGGGGATAATGGTGAGAACACAGGCAACTCCAAAACCGAAGAGCACATGTCAAGTTTCCTAAAAGTAAAAAGAGTTCAAAGAAGAGAATAATCACTATTCACAGGGAAGTCAGGATGAACTTCTTGAAAGAGTTACCTTGCATGCTAGTCATTGGGAAATCTAGAATAAAGAAAATCAGACTTGGACCTAATATGTGACACAGAACCTTACTTAACCCGCTCCTTTACCAGATAGAGAATCAGGACCCAGAGGACACCAGAGGAGGCATTTGGTGCTTCACTAAGGTTGTCCTGATGGTAAGAGCAGGATGACTTTGTAAGGAGACTCTGGCCATTTCCTGAAAAATGGCTGAGCAGGAAGTAGGAGGAGAGGTGTAGATTGGCATAGATGCTGGTCCAAGACTGCTGGCCATGTCAGCTGCTGACAAAGAGATTTACACCAATTCTAAGCTCCCACTGCCCACAGAGGAGTGAAGACTGTGTGGGCCTCCTCTATTGATTTTGCTGGAAGCTCTCCTTGCTCATTTGATGAGCACTTATAGCAGGTGAACTCCCAGAGTTATGGTGACTGCAACAATTCTCCAGCTGAGAGTAGTCACTGTCCTTCTAAATGAGCATCTTTTATTCACTCTCCTCTCCCTCTCTTTCTTCTCCCACCTGGCCTCATACATCATCTGACACTTAAAATACACTCTTAATTAGAAAGTCCTCTTCCCCATCCAACAGCTTTGTCTATGCCAGGGACACTGGGTATATTCCAGAAAGGCTAGGAAATGGGGGTTGGTGAGCATAAAGATAATTAGATCCAGAGAGAATCTGCTAACCTACTTCCTGGGGTTCCCAGAGTAACTATAGAGATGCTTGGCTTGGAACTTCCTCAAATATTGAACTCAAATTTGTGACATGCCCCAGGTAGGTGGCATAGCCCAGATGCCTGATGATTTTGGTGAGGCAGGGGGAGCTGCTATAGAATTAGGGCCTAGGACAGTGAATCCAAGGATCTGATGGATCTAGGATCCACTTACCAAGCAGTTGACCTTCAACCTGTCTCTCTATCTCCTTTAACTTCCATATTCTCACCAGTTAAGTGAGAAACGTAATGTCACCACCTTAGGGATATTACATGGATTAAGTTAGTGCATATACAGACCTTAGCACAATGCCTGGCCTGCCATAGAGGCTTGGGAGATTTTGCTCATTATTATTAACTATTATGTAGGCATACCCAATTTATGTTAAGAAGGCACTCATTATATGTGTGTGTGTGTGTGTGTGTGTGTGTGTGTATCTATATCTATATATCTATATAGATATATAGATATAGATATAGATATAGATATATATAGACAGAGAGAGAGGCATCAGTGTAAGAAGAAAGCTGAATTGGGACACAGGGGAACTGTCAATGACTCTGTGACATAACAAATGCCTTCCATTCTCTGGGACTCAGCTCTCTCACCTGTCAAACAAAGGGTTTGGAGGTGATGATCTTTGAAAACCTGTCTAGTTTAGCTCTGAAGTGTGTTTTCTTTCTTTGGGGATAAATGGCAAGATTCCTGTTAGAGAATGAAGTTCCAGCTTTTCAGGTCCTGACCCTCACTTTTATGCCCCAACTTTCCTGACAATTTAATGCCACTGATCATTTAATGACTGCTAATGGCAGATGTACACTCAAAGTTCTGGTAACTATGGTAGGGACCTCCCTTCTAAATGAGCATCTTCTGTTCGTTATCATCTCCCTCTGTTTCTCCTTTCACCTCGTATACTATATTACACTTAAAATACCCTCTTAATTACAAAGTCCTCTTCCCCATCCAACAGCTTTGGAAAATGGTTTTCAGATTTTTATTATTATTGCTGCTGTTGTTGCAACAACTTCATTAGATGAAGTACCCTTTCTTCAAACAAAAATCTTTCTTGTATGCTTCATATTCAAAACCAATAAAAGTTAAACTTCATGGGTTAAAATTGTGATGAAAATGCTCCAAACCCAACTTACTCATTCTCTCAGCTCCTCCAGCCCTTGCCTTGCCCTCGAGGTGGTCCCAGAGGCACCATTAGCAACTCCTAGGATCCCACAGAGCAGTTGGAAAGCGATGAGTCTAGGATAACCTGATACAAATTTTATTAGAGAAAAATAACTTAACCCCCCCTCCTTTTCCATCCTTTATTTATTCATCTTTCTCTTTTGGGGCCACATAGGGCTGTATGACAAATGTTCTTATATCTCACGTGACCGAGGATGGGTCGTGGGCATTCACACCATCAGTGACCAAGACAACAAAGACCCACGCTACTTTTTCTCCTTGAAGACAGACCGAGCCCGGCAAGTGACCACCATCAATGCCCACCGCAGCTACCTCCCAGGCCAGTGGGTATACCTAGCTGCCACCTATGATGGGCAGTTCATGAAGCTCTATGTGAATGGTGCCCAGGTGGCCACCTCTGGGGAACAAGTGGGTGGCATATTCAGCCCACTGACCCAGAAGTGCAAAGTGCTCATGTTAGGGGGCAGTGCCCTGAATCACAACTACCGGGGCTACATCGAGCACTTCAGTCTGTGGAAGGTGGCCAGGACTCAGCGGGAGATACTGTCTGACATGGAAACCCATGGCGCCCACACTGCTCTACCTCAGCTCCTCCTCCAGGAGAACTGGGACAATGTGAAGCATGCCTGGTCCCCCATGAAGGATGGCAGCAGCCCCAAAGTGGAATTCAGCAATGCCCACGGCTTTCTGCTGGACACGAGTCTGGAGCCTCCTCTGTGCGGACAGACATTGTGTGACAACACAGAGGTCATTGCCAGCTACAATCAGCTCTCAAGTTTCCGCCAGCCCAAGGTGGTGCGCTACCGCGTGGTCAACCTCTATGAAGATGATCATAAGAACCCGACGGTGACGCGCGAGCAGGTGGACTTCCAGCACCATCAGCTGGCTGAGGCCTTCAAGCAATACAACATCTCCTGGGAGCTGGACGTGCTGGAGGTGAGCAACTCCTCCCTTCGCCGCCGCCTCATCCTGGCCAACTGTGACATCAGCAAGATTGGGGATGAGAACTGTGACCCCGAGTGCAACCACACGCTGACGGGCCACGACGGCGGGGATTGCCGCCACCTGCGCCACCCTGCCTTCGTGAAGAAGCAGCACAACGGGGTGTGTGACATGGACTGCAACTATGAACGGTTCAACTTTGATGGTGGAGAGTGCTGTGACCCTGAAATCACCAATGTCACTCAGACTTGCTTTGACCCCGACTCTCCACACAGGTAAGACCTTACTGGGCTAAAGATGCCCAGTTGAAAGTTGAACTTGATGTCCTCCATATTATAGATAAGGCACCTGAGGCCAGTGGGTGATATGGGGATTTTCTGGTTCAACCAGCAGCTTCATGATTGAGGCAAGTCTTTTACTCGGGTCATTGTGGAGACCATAGGTAAACCCAGTTTATTATAAAAATATTTATTGAGTGCCTACCATGAGTCATGAGGGAAGCCTGAGAGCCCTGTTTTCTCAAAGAGCCCAGAGTTCAAATTGAGTGATATAAGCTGAGTACAAATAGCTGTTGTATTGTATGACATAGAGTGGGTGAGAGTTGCACAGTCCAATATGGTAGTTCCTAGCAACATGTGCCTACTTAAATTTAAATCAGTCAAAGTTAAATAAAACTCAAAATTCAATTCCTGAGTTTCATTAGCCACATTTCAAGTACTCTAGCCACATGGGACTAGTAGCTACCATACTGGCAAAGCAATATGAAACACTTCAGTCATCACAGAAAGTTCTGGTGGACAGGCTCAAAGAGGTGGGGTCGCATGGGGCTAGAAAACCTGGCCCCATGGTCTCAGCTCTCTGTGACTTCTTCATTTTGTAACTTCTTAGAAGCTGTTTCTTCATCTGTAAAATGGGGAGAATAATGGTACCTATTTTGTCAAGTTGCTCTGAGGATTGATAGAGAGAAGACATATAAAGTACACTCTCTTACAGCACATCATTAATTCTCAATAGTATGTCTGTCATTACTTGTCTAATGAAAGGTAGTGTGCTGTGTTTAGGGAGTGCCCTAGATGATCAAAGAGAAAAAGTTGATTTGCAGCTTGACTATATCAGGGAAGCCTTCTTGAGAGAGGTGACATTTGAGCAAGGTCTTCAAGAATAGCTCTAATTTGAAGGATGTTAGAACAAATCTAGAGATCTAATGAACAACAAGATCAATACATTTGGTGTAATAGAACAAATCTAGAGGGCTAATGTATAGCATGAGGACTATAGGAAATAAGGTTGAACTGTATTTGGGATTCATGCTAAATAACCAGATTTTAAATACTTTTGGCACAAAACCAAAAGAAAATGGATGACTTAAGATAATGGATATGTTAATTTATTTCACTATAATAAACTGTTTGCTATCTATATGTTTCCCATAACATCATGTCTACCTTAAATATACACAATAAAATTTACCTGAAAAAAGAATAGGTAAAATTTTGACATCAGAAATTGGGTGGAGGAAGAAGGGAGGACACTCCAGGCAGAAGGAATTTCTCATCTACTGCTAAAAAGAGGACAGAAAAGGGGGCCTTCAGTCTAATGCCTCACTTAGCCTCTGCCATTGCTGTCAGTTGCAACCAGTAATCCAAAAGTAGAGCCCAAAAGGTGAACTCAAGGGTAACCTGTATTAAATGTGGGACCTGGAGGAACTAGATTCAAGCTGGAGAGACCATCAATATCCACTTTCTTGTTTTTCCCAGATTCACACTGAACTTTTCTATTCTGTCCAACACACAGGACCCTGGACTTGCTGATGGCTCGAGCACATTTGCCGACCTCTGCAGGTTTTCTGCTGACTCTTCTCTTTATGTCTCTCTCAAAAGAGCAAGGGCCTCCCGTGCGTGAACAAAATACCTATGTGCAAAGGAATGAGGATGCTGGCAGGAGAATGCCCTGCCTGGCAGCAAGTCAGAAAGCACCTCAGCTCAGCTTCCCGGCACCAGGAGGGCCCCTGGACTCTCACCTTGGCTCCAAGACATGAGCAGCCCATGTGAGGAGAAGCCTTGGTGTGTGACCAGTCTCTTCTAGGTCACAGTGCATTGTCATCTCTGCTTTCACTTGGGCCTTTCCAAAACTTGGCAAGGGAGTCAACACAGAGGTTAACATTCACATTTGACTGATGGGAAATAGAGGAAACTTAGAGAGTGGAGTAACTTAGCTAAGTTCATGGGTCAAGAAAATCATTAGGCTAAATCACAAGTGCAAGTCTATGATCAGTGTGCTCCACCAAACTAGACTCCCAAGAGGTACCTCTGTGCCTGGTGAGAGTGGGCGTGGGGTAGGATGGGCATAATTGGAAGTCATCCATTCATTTGTACATCGATTTATTTGCTCATTCATTCACTCATTCATTCATGCAACAAATGTTTATGCAGCACCTGCCAAGTGCCAGGAAAGTGGATACCCTTAGCCCTGTTTTGCTTTGAAAATTTCAAGATTCAGAAAGATGAAGGGACTTACCTAAGCTCAATCTGCTAATAAATGGATAGCTTGGATTCAAACTCAAGACTACTAGGTCCAAACCTCCCATGGAAGGAGGATATTTTTTAATCTAAGGAACAATAAGGGGCAAAATTAAAAGACAAGTGATAGGGAGAGTGGCGCTACTAAAGTTTTGGGGAAAAAAACTGTGTATCATTGAGACAGGATGAAGAGCAGCTGGCCTTTGCAGAGCACCATGCTGGTGTGGAGGGGCCATGGGGCCCCAGGTTCCAGACACCTCACAATCAGCAGACAGCACTGGCAGGTTCCAAAGGCCTCCTCTTTTCTAAGTCACGGGAATGCATGCCCAGAGTGTCTGTGAGCGACCATGAGCCAGCTATAACCGCTGTGACCAGGGCTTGTTTGTTTGCTAGCTGGGAAAGCTGTATGCCCTGGGTGAGGCCCACCAGGTCACGTGTCATCTCTTGGTGAGGCTGGGATTTTCTGGGTTCTGGCCGATTCAGCTCTCCTGTGTGCAGACAGAAACCTGTGGAAGGTTGCAGATAAATTTTTGCTTTGTGAATTTAAACAAAAAAGGGAGGAAGGGAAGGAGGGAGGAAGGGAAGGAGGGAGGGAGGGAGATAGGGAGGGTGGGAGAGTCATGATTACATGGTCATGACACATACACTTCAAGCTCTGAAGGCCTATCCTGTGGGAAAGTCACAGAATTATTCTATATGGTTTCTAAGCCATGGCTGTGACTACAGTGTTGCAATTACAGGAGGCAGCTTTGAGCTGAGTAATAGATGATATCATCTCCAGTCAGAATGGTCCTTTTTGGGGAGGGCTTTGTCTGTGGGTGAGTGAGCTCCCCTTCACCAGAAGCATGCAAGTCAGTACTGATAACCATGCATAATGAGGCCATAGGTGGGATTACAGTTCTGGTGGAGACGGTGGCCTTGTGGTCTTGGGGTTGAGCACTGCACAGTAATATCTTATTCCATTTCATATCAGAAAACCAAATATTGACTGCTTCTCTTCTCTTTAACAGGCATTTATTGGGCATGTCTATCCCACCAGCCTTTCTGCTCTTCACTGGGGGTGTTGCAATGAGTTGGACATGTTCCTCACCATTAAGGGGCTTCCACTTTAGTGGGAAAGTCATATAGAAACATAAGAAACTCTGATTTGTAAATTTAGAGACACACAGTAGGACAGGAGACTGAAAAAGCAGAGATTTATTTGACTAGGAAAACAAGGCAAATCAGCTGGAGGGGGCAAGATTTGAGTAGGCATTTGAGAATAGGCAGCCTGCTGAGAGGTAAAGATGCAGACTCCATCAGTGAGGGTCCTAGCAGGAAACAGATGGCACATTCAAACAGAATAATTAAGGAGAATTGAAGGAGGGGCTGTTTTCAAGGAGAAGCTGTTTACAATGTTGTAGGCAGGATTAAGGACAACCAACAAGGCCTTGTGCTATACTCTAGGGCGGGCAACCATGGAGAGCCATTTACCCCCTTGGCCTGTAGGGGCAAGAGGAGAAAGTGGTTATGGGACCCAGAGAGAGGGACTGTATGGAGGGGATTTCCTGGCAGCAGCTGTGGCTCTCAGCAAGGGAAGCAGCCAGGCTACAGCCACCTGACCAGAAGGGAACCAGGAGAGTAAATTCCATGTTGTCATTCTCTCTGCCTGCCAGTCTCCTGCCAGTGCTTCCCATTTGGTGGATCCAACTGAAGTCACAAAACAAAGGAACCTGTTGATGCAATCCATAGATAGCCAGCCTCCCAAGGACACAGAGCAGGGTGGGGAGTGGACCTGCATTAGCAAGCAGAGAATGTCCAGAGCCTAGAGACAGCCAGCCCATGCAGAGGGTAGGGCATAAGCCAGGCAGTGGAGAGGGTGAGGAGTGGTGTATAGAAGAGAGCATGGAGTTTAAGGGGTTATTATGGCTGAGATCCAGACCATGAGCAGAGAAAAGTTCAGTTTATCTCACGGAAAACTTTAATGTTAGGCTTAATCCTCTGTTCCTTCCTCCCTACATTCTTCCCACCTTCCCTTCCTTCTGTCCTTTTCTTCTCTCAATAAATATTTGTTGAATGCTCTCTCTGTGCCAGCCCGATCACTGCCCTCCCAGAGCTTACCACCTAGTGGGTAAGACAGAGAAGTCAACACCCCACTGCAATCACTGGTGTGAATGAAGGGTCCACAGTACTAGCCAGGAGGAGCAGTCTGTGTGAGCAGTAAATGCCTTTCTATGAGACTAGCCAGTTAGAAAAAAGACATTCCAGGTGAACTGTGGCCATTCTCTACAGTGGTGGAGAATAGCCAGGGAGGCAGGACTTCATCTGCAGCCATTAGAGATGTCTCCACGCAGGTAGAATGCACTTCACACACCCTTTTATAAATGAAATGGAAAACCTGGATATTAATAGAAAATTCCAGTGTCAGGAAATCCAGGGGCATTTGACACTGAAGACTGTAGCTACCTCACTGAGAGAGGATATTGCAGCAAACCAACCAAGTTCCTGTTTGGACCCTTCCAAACCCTGGCACCCTCAAGTGAACTCACCTTTGTTCATGAATATCTACTCATACAAAATGGGATGGGTGGAAAAAAAGACACTTTCCCTATACACTGTTGTCTCATAAGGAAACATTTCCTTTGTCTTCTCTTTATTATTATTTGGGAATTATTTCCTTTGTCTTCTCTTTTTTATTATTATTTTTTTGAATGTAACAAGGACAATCCCCTGAGGCCAGGTTTTTGTTGTTGTTGCTTTTGGACTCCAGTTAATGTTGTTGGAAGTCTCACAAAAGGGGCTGCGATAAGTCTTGAGGTCACCCCCGACCCCTCTGCTGGCAGCTATAGCCCCCGTTAGCCTCTTCCCCTGCTCTAATCAGGGCCACTGAATGATTTGTCCTCTCTGGGTGGGGTTTCCTACTTAATTTCTGATTTGATCTCATGGAGCATAAACTTCATACTTTCCTCTTCCTTTTCAATCTGAATGAAGGACTCTCAGAGCTTAATGGATCAGTAGATGGGTCCAGTACTTTCTTGCTGCAGATGGGGAGACTAAGCCCTCAAGGAGGGGCAGACACTGACGCAAACCATCCATTGAGAGGGGGGCTGAGCTGCGATGGAGACCCAGGGTCTCACTTCCTACTCCCATGCTTTTTCAACTACACCCTATAGACACCTTAGACACCAGCTTAAAACCTGGAAAGGTTACATTTAGTATGTTTATGTTCTTACCCATCATCCACATTCCATTAAGACACCTTAGTATCCAGAGAACTGTGATAAATGCTGTAGGGGTCCAAGATATAATCTCTGTCTTCAAGGTGCTTGTATCCTGTGATTCAATGACATTTTGTTACAGTCATTCAAGAGAAGGCAAGAGGGCAGATGACTAATTTCCCTGTAAACCACATAGCCTATAAGGCTTCCATGAGCTCTGAGAAAGGGCAGGATCACTGTGGTTTGGAGAAGTTAGGAAAGGTTTAATGATGGAGAAGGGATGCAATAGGCTTTTAGCATAAGCAGGCTTTGTAATAATAGAAAAGAGCTGGTGGGCTGGCCAGACATGTAGTGATAATAGGGTAAATAAATTGAAGTGGGAAGATGTTGAGGAGATGCAAGAAAGATGTGAGTCTGGTTGGGGCTTCATGAAGGTAGATGCCACAGTTTTTTCTTCAGACTGTAGACACTGAAGACTCGGGCTGATTTAGAATGAAAGAATTCAGGTGAAACAGATTCTAGCCTGGGCTGGGCAGTTTGTTAGCTATGCAATCTTGGGCAAGCCTTTTAATCTCTCTGAGCCTCCAATTCCACATCTATTTGGAAGGAATAATAGTATCTGACTGCCTGGATCACACAATTGCCATGAGGGTCTCATAAAATAATATCCCAGAAAGAGTTCTGGGAAGAGTTAACCAGCATGCAGATGAAAGGGGGCATTGTTATTTTTCAGTCACTTTGTTCATTCTTTTCCAGTAATCATGTAAAAGAAATTGCTTGGAATTTTATAATCAGAATATCAGGGTTTATTTAATGTGACTAATATTCATTAAAGCAATAACAGGAGTCAGGTCTGGTGTAGTGGAAAAATTATGCGTGCTAGAGACTGACCAGGGTTTGAATCTTGGCTCCGCTCTGCACTAGCTGTCTGACCTTGGCACATTGCTCAGTAAGAGCCGCTGGTTTCTCATCTGTAATAATTGGGTGATAGCAGCTATCCTGTGGCATGTCATGGCACTCAAATGGAGTCATCTGTGTGAGACACCTGGTATGGTACAGTGCCTGGCACATGGTAGGTGATGGAGAAAAGTCTCCTCCATTCTTGTGTGCACATGTGGACACCATATCCTCCCTGTCAGCATTGTTTTACAGAGACTGTGTTCCTACAGGCTCATAAAAAAAGGCCTGGATGAAACTGCCATATACAAATTGAGAGCATTTGCTGAGATTATTTTCGTTCTCAAAATATTAACTTTTTTTAAAGGACTAGCCACAGAATTGGTATTTTTAAATAAAGACCCTATAACTTCTATCAAACTCATTGAGTTATTGAATTTGCACACTGGCTTACTTTTAAAATGACCCAAATGTCTGGCAGTGTTAAAGGACATATTTCTGTACAAAACCATTCCAGGCAATGTTGGGATGGCTCATAATGAGAGATATGCCAGACTTGTGAAGTTACTATATGTTTCCACCATCTCCAGCCCTCATGCCTGCTTGAGGGTTGATACACAGACATACAGATTCAGGCATACTCACACATATGGTTTGATTTTCTCTGATTCAGTCTGGGTTTTCTTCATGCTTTTCTTCTGAACAAAGTCCACCTTTACTCACAAGTTCCATCTGTGAGACTTGCACACATATAACTTTGGTCTTAAGAGCAGAATAGAGGGGTGAACTGAATTAAAAGAAGAACTGTTCAAGGCCCCTAAAGATGAGGTTAATAAGGAGCTCGAAACAGTGACCTATGAGGAACAGTAGAAGATCAATACAGTCTAGCAAATAAATAAGAATACAAGTTTTGGAGACGGAACATACTACAGTCAAGTCATTTAACAGTTCTGTAACCTTGCACAGGTCTCTTCCTTTGTCAAAGACTCAGTCACCTCCTCTGTAAAGTCAGGAATGAAAGTAACAGTCTAGTGCATTGGGTGGTTTAGAGGATTGGATGAAATAATACACAGTCAACCTTTTAGGACAGCACCTGGCACATAGTGAAGTCTGAAAATAGCAGTTGTTATTGCTGCTGTTGTTTGGGAATTGCCCTCCTCCGATAGATCTTCTCGCTTCTTATTGTGCATATCCCGAAATTCTTAGCCCCTTTTCAATCCTGAGCCCCCTCACTACAATCTCAGTGCGGGAGTAAGAGACAGAAGTAACCTAATCAACCACTCTGTACTACCAAAAGCCCTTTTATTTTATCATCCTCAGGTTTCATTTTTAAAATATTTTTTTTAATTCCAAAAGTCCTGTATAAACCGAATGCTAATATATTGATTATCCCAAGAGATAAGCAGCATGCCACACTAAGTTTAAGCATTTCCAGCAAAAAAGCAAAGGCATGTCTGGGATTCCAAGTTGGGGCTCATTGAATAGTGAGTAGGGAAGGAACTGGAAGCTGGGAAGCCAGGAGGGTACCCATAATGTGCTCAGGACTACACCAACCAAGGCTCTCTCCTGGCCTGGGACTCTTGCCCCAGCATACTCTATATTCTCAAAGTTTACAGATAAAAGTTGGAACTCCTTTGCGGGGAGAAGTCAGGAACATGCCAGGATCTGAGGTCCTCCTTCTTTCATCCCTTTCCCAAATGTTGTGTTCCCTGTCCCATTCCCAGCTGCCTGGATGGATGGCAGTACTGGTGCCCTTTCAAGGGCCTCAGCAGGAGGCAGTTGGTTTTTTCCCACCCTGGGTTTGGCATGCTCAGCACTCTCATTTTCCTTTCTGCATCCACTGATGACACTGACCACTCATGACAGCCTCTGCACTTGGTCAGATGCCCTTCCAGGTTAGGAAACAAAGCCGTTGGGCGTGCAAGAGATGGTTGAACTGACAGACAGCAGCACATTTTGTTTTATTGAAATACATTTTCCTAAGTTGGTTACAGCTCAGCTTGTTGCTTCAAACTCACTGCTGGGCAGTTTTCCACCTCCTGAGAGGGAACCTCCACACCTCCACTCTCACTTTCTGAAAACACAAAACTAGTGTGTGAACAGCATTGCATTTTGTTCATGGGTTTGTTTGCATAACTAGAATATGCTCGTGTTTTCCCATTTTTCAGAGGAGCATTTTCTGTCTTCCTCCTTTCTCCTTTCTTCTCTTTCTCTTTTCCATGTTCTAGGTTGTTTTAGTGGCCTGGTGGTGAAGGGTGGAGGAGCACTGTCTCCACATCGAGCTTCTGATGTGTTTGATTCAAAAGTTGTGTGAGTTCAGGCAGCCAACTGCAGCTCTTAGCCTTGAACTTGACTTCTAACTACTGAACTATTTTTATGGCCACAGAGGGCAATGATGATTATAACTCCACAAAATCATGAAGTAAGAGAGATGCAAAGGAGGTTTCTTTCCCATGAGAATCCATGGTAGAAAAACACAGTTTGCCAGTGGTTTGGCCAAGCGTGAGGAAGGAATTGACTAGATTCTTCCAGGAACTTAGTGGCCAGCATGAAGTATGACACTTTTCTTCTCTTATTTCAAATTCTTCATCTGTAAAATGGGAGGATTTGAGGTTTGTTCATGCACACATATTCTCAAATTAGACATTGGAATCCTGTTTCCAAGATTGTGGGAAGTAGAACTAGAGTACAGAGGATGGGCTTAATATTTAAAAGGTACAAATAAAGCCATGCACTGGCACTGGAGACGCCAAGGGATATAAGAGACAGTCTTTGCCTTCAGAGGATTGACCAGCCCCTGTAACTACTTGAGTACAAAGTGTTCAGTGTGGTAATGAGGAGCAATTATGCTCTATGACAAGTTGAAAAAAAATCCTACTCATATTTCTCAAGTCCCAGCAGTGGCCTTGTGATGGTACCCCATACTGGGGCAGTCTACATGTCTGCTATTTTATTTTCCCTTAGGCTCCAAATGTGGCATCCTCTTTCCAAAAATCAATTTGAATTTATTTCTACTTTTGACAGCCTGGCATATAATGTCATGCTTTCTAGCATCATTTCTCTATACTTGAACTCCTTGATCATCACATGACTTTCTAAGAGTTGTCTCTGTTTAACCCCAAGGGAGACCCAAATTTGGAGAAGTTACTAGACTTATTCAAGGTCATCCAGAGGGACCTACATCTACTGTACGGCCTGTATTGTTTTAATTTTAAATAAATTTGTTTTTTGCCTAAGGTTAGGTGATTTGTATGGGACTATGGTCCAGATTAAAATTTAGACATTGCCATTTTAACACATATTGGTGATTATATAATTCTTGATTTATCCTTTCTAAACTTAGTATATTTTAGTTAGTCTTCACATCAGTTATATGCCTACATGGCTAAAGTCTAGAGCCAAACTATGCAGTCTTCTGAAATAACCCTTGTTCCTAAAACATTGACTGCTGCAGCTCATGAAGGAGATGTGATTGTCTTTGCTTAGTTGTGATTTAAGCATAAGACAAATCACAGGGCTGTTAGTAAGTTGTGCATATTCACTCAGTGTGGTCAGTTGTGTTATTTATCAATTTGGTTTGATGCTCCAAGAAGGAAGTGAGGTGGTGGGAAGAGAGCTGTGGGCCCTTGAACGGTAGAGTTCAGTTGCAAGAATGATTGTCTGACATGAGATAATTGTATTACTACTGTGTTGCTTTTGAACACAGCATCACAATTCAATTGTGCACCTCCTTACTTAGCAAGAGATTCCTCAAGCCTTAATGGCTGCTCTGAAAATATATGAACTCAGAGTTTCTGAGGCTGTCAAAACAGAGATTGGAGTACCCCAAGAGAAGATCTTAGGGAAGTGACTATTCATCCAATAGTTTGTGCATGAGTGTGTGTGTCTGCCTTCTATGTGCCAAGCACAGTGCTAGGTGCTAGAAGTACAACATTGAACATTGCACAAGACATCTGTAATTCTGCCCTTTTGGAATTTCCTGCAGCAAGATAAATAGCTAGCTGCATAATTGCTGTTACGGAGAAGTCCAAGGTGCTGAGCGAACACAGAGAATGGCTACCTGACTCAGACATCGGGGGTCAGAGTAGCTTTTAGGCTGTGTCCTAAAGGATGATTCGTGTTAACCTAGTGAGTGTAGCTGAGCTTGCCAGGAACCAGGTGTTCTGACACTTTGCTTTCTGTCCTAACAATCTCTAAAATTATTTTCCAAAAGGTAAATGAGAAAAATAGCAGCTGTGTAGTTTCTAGTAAAATGCATTCATTGTAAAGTAGTGTGCTTTATTCTGAGATTATTTTTTCTTTTGGAGTGCTACTCAAGTACCTTTTATTTTATGATATGAGGGACCTCATACATGGTGGAGTGTTTTTTTTTCCCCTTTTGAATGCTTTATTTATTCATCGAAGTTACACAAACTGCTGACTTCCATCTCAATGTTTATTATTAGGTTGCTGCAGAAGTAATTGTGGTTTTTGCCATTTAAAAGTAATGTTGAAAACCGCAATTACTTGTGCATCAGTCTAATAATATCCCAAAAGTCTAAGAACCTTGCCACTGGCACACTCTGCTTCTCTGAACCAGCACCTGGTTTCCTCTGAACCAAATTCTCAGGATTCTCCACCCCACCCATTACCTGGTCCCATCACGATCCAATCCACAAGGAGCTGAAGGCCAGTGATTTTCCTATGGGTTAGCCTTCCAAGAGACTCAGCAAAGGACATGCCGTTGGCAGATAAATCTCTGCATTTAGAGCAGCAATAAAGGGGGCTTTGATATGTAGTGTCTGTGACTGATAAAAGAAAAATACTACAGGAGACAAAATCAGAAACCAGACCAACATTTCAGCTTCCCTCACTCCCACCCTAACTCAGCATCAGATTTTTCCCCATGTGTGAATACCACTACTTCTTATATACATTCCTATTGCTGTGAGACACTGCCAATGCCTCCTTCTCCACTTTCACCACCTCTACTCCATCTCCCAAATTCCTTCAGAAATCTCCCTGGAAAATGTAAACCAGATCATTTTATCCTCTTACATAAAATCTGCCAGGGTCTGCTTGGGACTCCCAGGACACTTTCAATTCTCCATTGCCTAGTATACAAGACCCTTCCTGATTGTCTTAGTTTGCTGTATATTGCTTCAGAGGAATACCTGAGGCTGAGTAATTTACAAAGGAAAGAGATTTATTTGGCTCATGGTTCTACAGACAGTACAAGAAGCCTGGCACCAGTGTCTGCTTCTGGGGAGGGACTCAAACTGCTTCCCCTCATGCTTGGAAGGGGAAGAGGAGCCAGCATATGCAGAAATCACATGGCAAGAGAAGAAGCAAGAGAGAGAGTGGGGAGACGATAGAGTCTTTTTAACCACCGACTCTCACCGGAATTAGTAGAGTAAGAACTCACTACCATGAGAATGACACCAAGCCATTCTTAAGGGATCTGCCCCCATGACACAAACACCTTCCACTAGGCTCCACCCCCAACATTGGGGATCACATTTCAATGTGACATTTGGAGGGGACAAATATCCAAACTATAGCACAGATGTAGCCATTGCTGTCCCCTCCAGCTTCATCTTCCTCAACCTTGCAAGTGAGGGCTTGTAATGTCTCTTCTCATGCTTCTATGCTTCTGGGCTTTCTGGAGCTTCTGCCATTTTCTCTATTTCCCACACTTGGTTCAATATCAAACCAAGGTTTATTCTTTATGTGAAAACCTCAGTGGCTTCTGACCCTCCTTCAGCTGGGTGTCATTGCTGTATGCTCTCATTATATTTAACACCCACCCACTCTATCATAACACATATAATAACAGGAAGTAAGAGACTAATGGCTAAGGATATGGTCGGTAGCATCCAACAGACTAGGGGTTGTGTCCCCCCTCTGACACTTTTCCAAGTGGAGGGACCTTGGAAAAGTGGTGTCAGCCCTCTTAGCCTTGGTTCCATCACCTATAAGTTGGGGATACTCTAGGGCTTTTGAAAAGCTTCAAAAATATAACAAAAATACTTCAACAGTTCCAGTGTGTAGTAAACTTTCCCAAATGGTAGTGTTATTAATGTTATCATATTATGTTGTGATCTTTCATTTATTCGTCTCACTTTCTTCATAAAACTTCTAATACCTTGATAATGAAAATCATGCTTTTTTTCATTGTCTGTAGGCAAAGTTTCTGGCTTAAACATGGTATTTAATAGAATCTCAGTAAGTGTTGTTGATGAATGAAAGCAGAAAAGAATGAATGAATGATATGTGGAAAGGAAAGAAATTAGAAAGGAAGAAAGGAAGGAAAGAATGAAAGCAGGGAAAAAGAAAGGAAAAAATGGAGGTAAGGAAAGAATGACTCATTCAATAACTAAATAAAGGAATGATCAATTTTCAATTAGTCTTTGATTGATGCTATTATGTTACATGTCAGGCTTCCATACAAAATCTGTTATTTTGGAAACTAATCATTCAAGATTCCAAGAATTTAATAAACTCTCCCAGCATTTTCTTTCTGTGTCTCTTTTTATAGACTGGAGAGGCAGATTTAGGTATTTTTGACAATGAAACTAAGCAGGAGGATCAAGTCCAGATTGTTAGGGCCCTTGGGATAAAGAACAAAATTCAGGTTTTTGTACTGGTCACAGCTTGGAGAAAGCTTGTTATTTGGAACAAGGATATGGATGCAATAAACATTCTGAGGTTTATCTTGCTTTAATGACTTGCCTTAAGTGGCTTTGATCTTTATATTTGATAATCATTTTCAAATGGTCTGGTGTGTTCTGAAAATTAAGTAGCGGTTCATGGACTTGAGAACCTCCTTGGGAATGACAAGCTACAATCAGAATTTGGAAATGGGCAATGTTACAGAATTTGCTCTATGAGATGGAGAAACAGGACAACCTCCTGTGAAGAAGGTAAACACATTAATCCAGTGTTGGGAACCAGGTTTGGCTGGTGGAGCGGGAACCCAACAGGCACTGGGAGCTAAGGCCAGTTTTCTTTCAATCCATGAACTAGCTTAAAACAGAATTCTGCATCTCGAGGGTTTTTCATGAGTTGGGTACTCTTCTAGGCATTTCCTTGTGCATTACCTCCTTGAATTTTTGTATCCTCCTTTCTTGGTTGAATTTTCTAATTCCCATTTCACATGTGAGGAAATTGAGATACCAAGTGACAGGGTCAGTTGTCCAAGATCACAGAGCCACTTTGTGGAAGAAGGAGGATTTGAACGCCAGTTTGTCTCTCTCTTAAAATCACCCTCTGTTGCCTTTTATTCTAACCTGAAAGAACTGTTTCCAGTCTCTAGGTTGCTTAAAAGTGGCCCACTCTTGGCCAGTGTTCAGCTCACACAAACCTTCCTCCAGTTGAGGGCATCTACGCATGGCCAGTACCATCTCTGTGACCAGCCGCACCCATCAAGAGCCCAGGAAGCATGACTCTGGCGTGACATTGCTTAAAGATCTCCTCAGCTATCACTTCTGCATAGGGGAAGTCCACTGAAGAGTGACCTGCTTTGAGTGGGAATAGAAATTGAGAGTCCTCAGTCTTGATCTGGGCTCACTGTAAGCTGTACCATTGAAACGGGAAGGCCAGTGTATTATGCTTCTACAGGTGAAAACAGGCCTTCTCACACTTTTTTCCCATGATTTTATTTAACGGATTTGTTGTTGTTGCTGTTGTTGTTTTGCATTTTGAATGTGGTTCCCTTTTGCTTCTCTCTCAATAAAACAGGCCCTGACAGCCCTCTCATTCAGATTATTACAGAGTTGTGCCATCTCAGGCCAGTGCATTTAGGAAATATTTTGTTGGCACTTACCAACGAGTGAGATGCATAAAGAAAATATTCTAATGACAGTTGAGTTGAGAGAGCTTTGATCTCCCTCCAGAACTGCACTCATGGCTTTGAAATGCAGTTCTGGCAAAGGGGTAAAGTCTGGGCGCCTTGGCAATCAGGGCTGGGCTCCCTGAAATAGACATTCCAGGGGACCCGCAATCTCAATAGTGGGATCCAGGTGCATGGGTTGTGTAGGAAGACAAGAGACACTGAGTTACCACTCTTGAGAGGCGGCTCAGGGGAAAGTTTCTAAATCAGGAGGGACATTTCAATCTAGCCAACATTTTCCAAACTTTGTTGTTTGTACTGCTGTTTGGTTTTTGGCAAAGGTGGAAGTGTGTAAGGGGAGGGGTGTGGAGGAGGAATTATGGTCACATATTTTTGGGTACACTTCCTGTGCTATCTGTCTTACTCTTATTTTGCATATTTGAGGCTCCAAAAATTCTTGCAATTAAAAAAATATGTATTTAACCTTGTTTAACAGACCATGTCCCAAATCCATTTGACTCAGCGACATTTTTCTTTAAATATTCATCATTTTCTTACAAATTTAGCCCTCTGTAGACCATGATCTGGAAGACATTGATCTATTTCACAACCTCACTGAACAGGTACGGACCCTGAGCTGCAGAACAACCAGCAGAGTATAGTGAGAAGTGGTCAGATATTCAGGCAATGCAGGTTCCCACACCCAGGTGTCCAGCTGAGGGAGAGAATGGAGGCTGCCATCCTTCCCATGATTTGTTCTCTAAACTTTGCAGGGAACTGTGTCCACCTGAAGGAAGAAATGACTTTACTTATGATACAAAATTGCTGCTATACACAAGTGACATGTACACAGGTTAGAGCAGAGAGGTTTGTTGGCAGGCTTTTCTACAACCTGTATTAGATATATGACCTTGGGCAAGTAATTCCCTTTCCTTGAGCTCTGGCCTTGCTCATCCTGTTTTGAAACTATGTAATTTGAGAGAGAGGTGCTCAGTAGCTGCCCATCGGTGGTGGTTCTCTCTTGAAGGATACTTTTAAGTGATACGGAGATAATAAAGATTTGGTCCCAACTGCCAGAAGCTCATTACCTGATGGAAAAGACAGATGCTCACACAGTGAATATAACCCAAAGCAGATTGATAAGTACTGGAATTAAAAGTAGGGGGCACAGAGGAAGGAGGACTCATTTTCAGATAGAGGTGATGATGATGATTTGAGTGTTGTTAATAATTTTTGTTTTGCTAACAATAATGCAGTAAAAGGAGCCTATCCTAATCAGTGATGCCTTCTCTGTGCCAGTCACCATGCTAGGCACTTAACCCGTGTTGCCTCTAATCCTTATGATGCCCCTGACAGGTGGTCATCATCATCCCTACTCTACAGATGAGAGTGGTCATAAGAGGATACATGGAGTGCATCACATGTAAGCTGGACTTTGCAGGGTTCATAAGATTTAAAGGGCCAATCATCAGGAAGAAAGATTGCAAGGCAGAGGAGGGAAACTAATGGGCATTCTTAAGGGTTGGGCATAACTGGGGAAAACTAGAGGTTCTCAGAATAAGAAAACCAAGAGAACTTGAGCGGTTGAGGTTGTAGAAGGAAGAAGGCTGGGTAATGAGGAAGAGACACTGAAAGCTGAGACTGGGAGAGCCACGCAGAGGCAGACTGTCAGTTTAGGTTCTTTCCCAGCAGGAGAAAATAGGAGACCAGGATATGGGGGGCTCACATTTTCTAGTTATGTGCTGGGACTGTGCTGAGCTGTCTTATTTAATCCTGTTGGGATCCGCATGAGCTAATTGATACTCAGAGACTTAAACCTACTTGTCCACAGATATAGGTCTATCTGTCCAATTCTGAGTAGCAAAGCTTCTACGCAGATTAAGCCACACAGATTAAGCTACAGATTAATACACACACAGCTTAATCTACAGACTAATACATGCACAGAGTTGGACAGACAACTTGCCCATAGATATAGGTCTATCTGTCCAACTCTGCGTGAGTCTGGGATTTTGATTGATTTTTCTGGGAAGTGAGTAATGTTTGTTTGCTTTTGGTTTTGTTTTAAGAGATGGCCTATTGCTCTATTGCCCAAGTGGGAGTACAGTGGTACAATCATAGCTCACTGCAGCCTTGAACTCCTGGGCCCAAGCAATCCTCCTGTCTCGGCCTCCGAAGTACTGGGACTACAGGCATGTGCCACCATGCCCAGCTAAATTTTTTGAATTTTTTGTAAAGATGGGATCTCCCTGTGTTGCCCAAGCTGATCTCAAACTCCTGGCCTCAAGCATTCCTGCCGCCTTGGCTGCCCAAAGTGCTGGGATTACAAGCATGAGCCACCATGCCCAGCCCTGACATTTTAAAGTACATTTGACCAATTTACGATGTATACACAGGGACAGCCTTCCCAAAAATTGCAAAATGTAAGTCACATGGCCATTTTCCTTCTCTCACCTTCACTATCCCTAGACAGTAATGTTCCTTCTAAATTTGACCTCCTGTGCTTTCTCTTCTATCTTGTTGACAAAAGTGAAAAAAAAAAATCCTTTCAAGGCATAGGGGTAGGGAGGTAAATACCCACATGGACTCCTGTCCCAAAGATTTTCCCCCTGATATATTTGAGAGACACTCAGCCTGGCTCTGTATTAGTGGGAATACCTCGGGCAGCAAAAGGAAAACTTTCATCCACAGAGCTGTGTTGTTGCTTTTTTTTTTTTTCCCCCCTTTGGGTGGGTTCCCCTAGGAGAGGTGGGGAAGAGAGAGGCCTGGATTGCTGCTGTGGAGTCTTCCCCCTTAGGGAAATGGAGGCTTCCCAAAGTATGAAAAAAAAAATCACATACAAGCCATGAAGAGGCTCCCACATCCCACTTCTCTGCTTTGGGCTAGGATGAATACCACTTCTTGAAAAGATTGGCTTCTGCAATTACCACTGAATAAACAACCAATTAAAATGTCTCCCCTGCCCCTACCCCACCCTTTTTCTCTCTTGAAGCTTTCTCATCTCAGAGCTATGGGGCAGAGGTGGCTTTCTCTAATAACATTTGTGTTCTCTGCCTGAGAGAACATTTGATGGAAATGAACAAATCAATTAGAAAATAATAAATTATGTGGAAAGGGCTGATCCAAGAAAATCTCAGCTCCTCTGTGTTTTCATTCTCCTCCCATGCATTGTTTCTCTTTTCACTCTGGGCCTGGGTGAGCTTGGAAATGAGGGTGAGGTTGTGGGAAGGGTTGGACACATCTAGATTTGTACTTGGCCTTGTCTCCAGTTGTGTGATCTCTGAACCCCTCTTCCTTCATCTGTATGATGGCGATAAGTGATAAGAATAGCTAAACATGCACTGAGGCTTTCTACATGCCAGGCATTATTCTAAGCCCTTTACACTCTCTTTATTAACTACCTTAACCCTCTGAACAGCTGTATGGGGTAGGTAGTATTATCACCCTCATTCTTTATATAAAGAAACTGAGGTGCAGGAAGTTAAGTACATTGCCCAGGGTGGCCCAGACATAAAGTGGAAAAGCTGGATTCAAAACCTAGGGCTGTAGCTTAAGAATGAGCCATCTCACCCACTCTGTTGCATTGCTTCAACTACCAAACAGGGATGAGACATGTGTACCTAGCACAGGGTCTGGCATACAGCAAATGCTTAATAAATGTTGGCTGTCTCCTTCCTCGTTCTCTTCCCTGACGACAGAGCAGACTGATTAGAATTCCTCATGAGATTTCCAGCCTAAGAAGTTGAATGTGGGTTCTTGGGGAAGAGAAGGGCTCAGCAGCGAGATTTCAGGTCAATATCTGAGTTTGTGTGGCTATTCTTGGAATTAGTCAGCTACACCTAGACATAAATGTAAGCTCTCCTGGGCCCACCTATCTCCAACTCATGTTTTTTGTGAAAACATGTACAAATTATGGTCACAGGAATGTTTGGTTTCGTGAGCTTGGGGCTTTCTGTGACATGGGCGGCCTTGACACGCTAGATCTCAGACGTATCCTATTCACAGCAGGGTAGAGGTGTAGGTTTTCCACCCATAGAAATGATCTGTGGAGCATCAGGCAGCTGTTACTAATTTCAATGTATTGATAAGGAAACTGAGGCCCCATTAGTCAGGAATTATTGAATTTGAGACTGAGAGTTAAATATTTTTACTCTTACTTTCCCTAATTTAATTCAATTCCATCAAAATCTACTGAGGGCTCACCAGGTATCAAGCTTTGTGCGGAGAACTGGGTAAACAGAGATTAATAAGGCACCTCGCCTTCCCCCAGGTGGCCACAAGTGTGTATTATGTAATAGAAAGAGGAAGCAATTTATTGAAATGGCAAATGAGAGACAGTGCTCTGCTAGTAGGAGGTGGACGAGTATGGAGATGTTAAAAGGGGTGCAGGTGAGGAGAGCATCAGGGAAGTCTTCCTGGAGGAGGGATACCAGAACAGACTTTGGATTTGTTCATTAGAGAACAAAATGCTGATCAGAGTCCCAGCAGAGGAAACAGCATGAATAAAATTGCCAATGGGATAATGCACCGTACAGGGTACAGAGATGTTTTCTGTATGCAGTGGGGTGCTCAAGAAAGGTTGTAGAGATAGATGAGGCTAAGGAGTAGGTTGTGTCTTGGAGGCTATATTGGGAACTTGAACTTTGTCTTTCATACATGGGGAGACCCTTTATTATTCTAAGAGGGGAAGAGCAGGAAACCATCACTAATGTGTGCTACTGGCTGGGCTCTGTGAGAACTCCTTGGGAGAGACAGCATTAAGAAAAAGGAAAACATTGCTAAGTAGCAACTTGAACTTAGTAAGGTATGAAGAAGGTTCTCTAAGCCTCTGGAGATAACGATACTACCTACCTCTGTGTTCATAAGAAGCCTAACAACTTTGGCAAGTCTCTAAAACTCTCGAGAACTTAATTTTATGATCTGTAAAATGGAATCATCTTACTTATAATATTATTGGGGGAATTCAATAAGGTAGTATTTTTAAAGTGCTTAGCAAAATGCCTGGCACTCATAGTAGCTCTAAATTATTTGGAGAGGGCCTGTTATCTTTTTGGGGGCATGATAACAGCCAAGGTTCTTTTTCTGTTTCAGAGCCTACTTGGATGTTAATGAGCTGAAGAACATTCTTAAATTGGATGGATCAACACATCTCAATATTTTCTTTGCAAAATCCTCAGAGGAGGAGTTGGCAGGAGTAGCAACTTGGCCATGGGACAAGGAGGCCCTGATGCACTTAGGTGAGTCTTAGAAACTCCTTCAGGAGGCAACTAGAGTAGGACAGTAATACACTTAGTGCGATGATGATCATTGTTACGATCATGATGGTGGTGGTGGTAGTTGTGAGGGTGAACAACCGATTTATTTATCACTTTTTAATTTACAAAATTCTTTAGCATCCTTTATCTCATTTTGACCACCAAGCAATTTTCTGAAGGAAATAGCACCATATTATTAACCATGTTTTATCAATGGGGAAATGAGACCCAGAGAGGAAATGGGGCTTATCCAACATCACACGCAAGACAGTGACAGTCACAATTGGAATTTAAGTTTCCAACACTGCCCATTGTTTGCTTTCTCCTTATACCCTCTGTCTCCTAGTTCCTGCAAATATCTTCTCAGTCTGGTAACCACACTGTACTGGCACAGCCAGTCATGGGTTGGCTTAAAAGACACCAAAGAGGCAAGAAAAAGTGAGTTTGCAAGAACTCTGTGTTCCTCCATGTTCCACCCACCAACACCAACAGGAACTCTTCTTACATTCAAATTATACATATCCATAAACAAGACATAAGTTTGTACAAACCAATCACCAAAAGTTAGACATGACAACAGTTTCTGAACCAGGCCCTGTAAGCAAACATTGCAGTTCTTTAATTTTATTTTTTCCATGCTCTCTTCCAGGACACATCTATATGTAAACATGCATTTTTTTAACTGTACATTTTTAAAATCATAGCATAGATGAAATTCTGTGTTCTTTTTTCACTTAATATTATGCTATCTACTTTTTTTTCCATGTCGCAGAAGTCTTATCCTTAACTTCCCACCCATATTTTTTTCACTTAATCACAAAAGAAAAGCACCCTTGTGGGTTATTTTCCCCTCTCTAAAGCCAAGATTTTTAATAGCCACATAATATTCCCTTGAACAAGGGCACTGCCATTTATTTAATCATTTTCCGTTTGGTAGAATGTTCCCATTATTTACAAGAATGAATCGTGATGACTCAGTGAACATCTTTATCTGAGAATGTTCAGGCTCAGCAGTGACAGTGCTGGATGTATCCTCAGGCCTGCCTGGTCTCCTGGTGAAACAGAGTCCAGTAGCTTCTCCATTGCTATTCTGTCTTGGAAATGAGAGATTTAAATAATGCAAGTTTTGCTCAATGAAACCATAGACTTAGTTCCCTCCAGACGACTCTCATTTCTCAATTGTTTTTTAGAGAATGAAACCAATTTGTGTGTGTGTGTGTGTGCGTGTGTGTGCATGTGTGTGGTTGTATAAATAAAGATAGATACAAAGATAAATATCTACTTGTTCTCAGCTGGGAGGATTTTATGCCCCAGGAGACATTTGGCAATATCTAGAGATGTTTTTGCTTCTTACAAATGGGGGAATGCTACTGGCATCTAGTGGGTAGAAGCCAGTGATGCTGCTACATGTCCACAATGTCCACTACAAAGAATTATACAGACTAAAAAGTCAATAGTGCTGAGGTTGAGAAATCCTGAGACATATGGTGTATGGGTAGATAGATTGGCAGATAGACAGACACAGACAGGTGGGGTTGGGCAGAAGAGAGCGTGCAGCTTAGGCAAACTTGAAGATGATCAGCTTATATCACATGCCTAGTATGATATATGGGAGTAATGCTAGACTAGAGCCAAAATTCGTGTTTGTTCTCAGCTGTGACTTTACTTAGCAGTATGGCCTTAGGCAATTCTCTTTCCTTCCTCAGGTCTCAATGTCCTTCAATATTAAATAAGCAGGTCCTAGGAGGCCAGAAGACCCTAAGGATCCTTCTCAGTTCTGAAATTCTGTCCTATTAGAAAAGCAACTGAAAGGGCCATGATCAGAGTCTGAGAAGGATTGAGTAGCAGGCTTCTACTGTTAGAAAAAACTACTCCTGATAATTCCATAAATTTCAGAGTCTGGCTCAGGGCCAGGAATAAGGGAGGCTATAAATCCATAGCATGTTATAGTATTTCAGGATGATGTCAGGCTCAAGCTATTTCACCTTTTAAGAGAAGCAATGAAACAGGACTGGGGCCCAAGTGCTGTCACTCTGTGAAAAGGGGTGAGTTGGGAGGGGATGAGGTAAAGCAAACAGGGCTAGCCTAGACATTAAGTCTGCAATCCAATCATCATCCCTGGAATGGTCCTGTCCTCTCATTACCTCAATAATGAAGCTTCATGGAGAGACAGAGAATCATTGGCATTATTGTAGCTGCTTATTTTAGAGCTCACCAGAGATGCAAAGTCCATTTTCCACAGTCACAAGGCCAGTGTGAAGCAGAACAAGGATTGCAACCTATGTCAGCTAACTCCAGCTGGACTCCAGGCTGCCCTCTCCCCATCCCAAGAGATGCTGCTCATGAGTAATTCCTCTGCAGTAGCCCCAATCAAACCCAATTTATTACAACCATATTTTTCCCCTCTTTTTCTGCTATTACACCATGATCCCTGGAAAAAGCCTTGGGTGGGAAGCGGATTATGTTTCATGTTATGATTGACAGAAAATAATTGAGAAAGATTTCCTGTCTCAATTTCTCTTCCTCCCTGCCTCTGCCTGCCCCCTTCTCATACCCAAGTGAATGTGCACACCCGCACACTCACATGCCCTCTCACACATCTTTATCTTTGTGTTAGAAAGCTCTAAGCAATTCAAAATTGCTCAGAAATTCAATCTCTGAAATTAAGTCCTCCAGTGACCCTAACACGGAGACAGAGTCCTTCTTCAAAATCAGAGACCTCTGCATAGACTCTATGAGTCCCTTGACTGAGCAAGCACACCATTCCAGAGGTTCAGTCTAAGATAAAACCCTCCATGCCCATGTGGGGCTTGCCAGCTCAAATCAACAAGACCCTACCTCCTCACCATTCTTTTAGAAGATGCTGCTCTACACCTAAAGTACCTACTTTCAAGGTTCACAGACCTGAGTTTTAACCTTCCCTTAAACATTTTAAAATTTTAAAGTTTAATTATCTCTCTGGCAGCCTGTATGCATCTTTCCAATGCCTAAAATGAACACAGCACAAATACTACCCATAAATTCTGCTGAGATCTGTTCTGTCTATCTGCCCAAGCCAAGCAATTCTCAATCTTCTGAGGCATGTGATATAGACCATTGCTTCTCAAACCAGAATATACAGACAAGTCATTCAAGGCTCATTTTAAAATACAGATTGTGCTTCTGTAGGTCTGGGGTGAGGCCCGAGATTCTGCATTTCTACTAAGCTCTCAGGTGATGATCATGCTGCTTGTCCTCAAGTGATGTACTTGATGTATGGAGGTGCTATTCTAGTTCTCACACTAGATTAGTTAAACCTCACAAACTTCTTTAGATAAGTTAACATTCAGCAAATATTCAACACATATTTAATGAGATACTCTGCTCCAGGCCCTGTGATAGTCATTAATCATAGAACGTTGATTAAGAGTCCTGCTCAAGTGACATTAGCTAGTATGAAAACTGTTACAATGGTGAATACAGCATGGTGCTGACCTTCATTAGCGTTCATGCTCTTACAGCATCAGGGATGAAGATATGAGATTCAGAGATGCTAATTACTCCACTCGATGTCACAGAGTTAGTGAAGGCAAAATGGGAACCAGAACCAAGATCTCTGAGCCTGAGGGCTTTGTCTAGACAAGAATATGTAGAATATTTGGAAATAAGAGTAGGCCTTACTTTGTAAGGGAAAGGTTGCAGCAGAAAGGTTTACTGGCCCAGAAATCAGAGTTTCTGAATTGCTCTCCATTGAAATAATTTGAAATCACCTTGGGTAAGTCCCTTCACCTCTTTAAGCATTGGCGTTTTCATATGAAAAATAAAGGAATTGTACAAAATGACTTTTGAGATTCCTTCCTGCTCTGATAAGTCATGATTCATGCCATAGGTTGTAACAGCTCTCAGGGCAATGGAGTCCTAGGGTGGAGAAGCTTGTGTTTATTTTGGGCAGCATCTCTTTATCCTTGATGGACTTGGGGGTTCTTGCACCAAGAAGCAGAGTACCTAGTTTGCCTGATTCTCTGGATTTCCCCTTACAGGTGGCATTGTCTTGAACCCATCTTTCTATGGCATGCCTGGGCACACCCACACCATGATCCATGAGATTGGTCACAGCCTGGGCCTCTATCACGTCTTCCGAGGCATCTCAGAAATCCAGTCCTGCAGTGACCCCTGCATGGAGACAGAGCCCTCCTTCGAGACTGGAGACCTCTGCAATGATACCAACCCAGCCCCTAAACACAAGTCCTGTGGTGACCCAGGGCCAGGAAATGACACCTGTGGCTTTCATAGCTTCTTCAACACTCCTTACAACAACTTCATGAGCTATGCAGGTAGGGCCCTACACTCTGTAGGGTGAACAGGTCTGGATGTCAGATGTGGGATCCAATCCTGGCTCAGGGGAACCTTGAACAAGCTACTTACCATTTCTAAGGATGGAAGGCCTAGCTCTGCCACTTATCCACCTAATGTCTTTCGGTCATTCTCTTTCTGGGTTTCACTTTTCTCAAGAAAATGGAATTGTTGGACTAGCATCTCCATGATCCTTCCTAAATGTGCAGCACATTTTTCTAAGCTAGTGGTTGTTGAACCTTTTTTATTTAACCCATGTGTCCCTTAGATAAGCATAAAACTCTCACATTCTCTGTTATTTTGCAAGAACAATGAGAGTGCTTTGGACTTTGCAAAGAGAAAATTATGACATGAGATTGAGTATGATTTTTTTTTTCCTAACTGCATATATCTTATCATAGTACTTTTGAGTACCACTAGTAACAGTGTTAGGAGCATTAGGGGATGCCCTGCACTTCCCTTTAGCATGGGATACATCAAGGCCTTGGAGCCCTTTTAGCACCTTTGGCAAATTAGAACAAGACACCCCTTCCTCAGGGCTGTCATAGCCCTTACCACTGCACCTGCAGCTAAGAGTTTTTGTGTTAGTCACAATGCACACAATTGCACATGGCAGGCCAGCATCAAATTCTGTTACCATACTCAACTTAGTGTCTTTTTCCCCACTAGAACAAGCAAATTCTATCAAGCCAAAGATTGCATCTAATACATCACTCTATTCTCAGAAGTCAGCACAGGGGCCAGTGCTTAATAAATGTTTGTTAGGAAAGGAAGAAGTAAAGAAAGAAAGGGAGGAGAGAGGGAGGGCTGGAGGGAAGGAAGGAGGAAAATGAATAAATTCTCTTATAACAGGTATATAAAATTTATTCTTATCAAAAGCAATATTTCTACTCATGTAACAAAATATTGTCCAGAAAGGCCTTTAATATGCTCTCTCTCATTTAATTCTCACAACAAATGTGTAGAGTCAGAACTATCCCCACTCTACAGATGACAGCTTTGAAGCTCACTGAAATCATTTGCACCAAGTCACATATCTGACTCCAAGTATTTTTCTCTTTTACTCTTGTATTTCTTCTAAAGAGAGCTAGCTGATGGTTGAGTGGGGAAATTGAGCAACCTGGGTGGCTTTTACACTCTGTTCCACAGGGATGCTTCAGGGCAACTGCCCTGGTGGCTATATGAGTAGGGCTTTAGGCTCTCATTCCTGCTAAAGCCAGGGAAAACACACCCCCTTTCTGACTATTTTACATTTCTGTTGAGGTTTTGCCTCATTGCATTTGAAGAGAGGAATTTGCTGCTGGAACCCAAAGGTTTCTGTGATCCCCAGTGGTTCTTTCTGCTTGTCCATTTGGGCTGATGACCCCTGGGGGCCTCTCCAGTATAAGGTTCCTGCAGTCCAAATCTGAATTGAAGTGTCAATAACCCACCTCTGGTACCATAAAGAGTCTTAGATTTGAGTGCTCAAAAAAGACCAGGGTGCTGGGTATTTCCTGAAAAGCAGATTCCCACTGGGCTCCCATTCCCAGCCAAGCTGACATCCCACATCCGGTGCCCCATCCCCTCATACAACACTGCTAAAGTTCCATTTCTATAGCACCTTTTCTTGGCCAGCTCAACACACATGGAAAATAAACAATAACATAAGTTTGGAAGTTTGCCGGCCTCTTAGGGGCTAGGAGCTGCCACTAGCTACCAGACCCCCATAAACTAAATCTTTTTTTTTCCCCTTTGTACAGATCTAAAGGGTGATTGATTTACTATTTTTTTTAAAGGAACCCCTCAGCTCAGTGACCCATTAACAGCAGAACTAATTCACTGAGCTACGATAACAAACTTACACCCACAAAAGCATATTCAAGGCAACCACGATCTTTGAAATGTTTGTTTTCCTTGGGATTTCTGATAGATGAGGTGACAAAAGCAGCTGGATGCAATTCAAAATGCAGAACAGGACTGGGTTCTCAGGGCTATGGAGAGCCATGCATGGGAGCTCTCTCCATCAAGATAATTGGGTGAAGACATTGCTGGGTCAACTTCTTCTCGTTGCTTTATCTTCCTGGGTGCTTCTTCCTCAGGCCTGATCACTGGTAGGGTAAAGGTTTGTGGTGCAGCACTGCCAACAGAACTTTCTATGAAGATAGACATAGTTTATATCTGTGTTGGCCAGTATGGTAGCCATGACCTCTACTACCCATGTGGTAACTGAACGATTGAAATACAACTAGTGTGACTAATGACCTGAATTATCAATCTTATTTTAACTAATTTAAATCAGAATAGCCACATGTGGCTGGTGGCTACCATATTGGTTAGCTCAGGCCTGCAGTAATTCTTGAGTACGTGTGACATGCCGGACACTGTATGAAATTTTTCATAGGCTTGTCTCATTGAATCCCCACAGTAGCCCAAGGAGGTGCACAAGTTTTACAGATGCAGAAAATGTGGTTCAGGTAGCTTAAGTATCTTGCCCAGCATCACAAAGATAAAACAAGGCAAAGGTGAAATCTAAACTCAAGTGTTTCTTACTGCAGAGCCTGTGTTACTAACTAGTAAGTATCTGCCTCATTTTCTGGTTGTGGGGAAGGTTGAGAGGGCCACAAATGCTCAGATCAAGCAGGCACCAGGCAGTTGATGGGGGGAAGCCTAATTCAGTAGGCAGGCTGGACAGAGCTCCAGAGGAGTATAGTTATGTTGAACTCTTGGGTAACTCTTGGAAAACTCAACAGATAAAAGAGTAGCAGACCCAGTTCCACTTTCTGGAGATAATAGGCTACAAGAGTTCCTGGAGGAGGACACTCTGGTCCTCAAAACTGCAGGAAGCCAGGCTTTCTCTAGCCTACAGGAGCAAGTGTCCTGTCCCCATCTTTCTGTGTGTCATGGCTTCTTAATATGCACACATAGATTGACCCAGCAATTCCACTTCTAAGGAATATATCCAAAGCAAATAAGTCAATTGGTATGCTTAAAGATTTAACCGTAAGAATGTTCTTAATGATATTTGTTTCCTAAATATTTATTAGGCATTCACTATATGCCAGGTATAGAAAACAAAATGTTTGAATAATTAGAAACTGCTTACAAGCCTAAAGATAATGCATTGCTGAAGTGAACTGCAAGGTATTCATGTGATAGGATATTATAGGGCCACTAAAGATGACAGAGAAGATGTTTGAAGGACATGAACAGAAGTGGAATAACATGGTGGTTCAGAGCATGAAATTTGGAGTGAGGAGACCCAAGTTGAATGTTCGGTGCCCAGCTTTGATCTTCGGCAGTTTACTTCTCCTCTCTGAGCCTCAGTTATTTCATTAATACCATTGATGATAAGGATGCTTGCCTTGCCTGATTGTAGGTGTAATGGTACAAGTGAAGCACTTAGAACTGTTGTTGTTCTAAGTGCCCATTAATAATAGACTGGATAAAGAAAATGTGGTACATATGGAATACTATGCATCCACAAAAAAGAATGAGATTATGTCTTTTTCAGGGACATGGTTGGAGCTGGAAGCCATTGTCCTTAGCAAACTAATGCAAGAATAGAAAACCAAACACCACATGTTCTCACTTATAAGTGGGGGCTAAATGATGAGAACACATGGACACACAGAGGGGAACAACACACACTGGGGTCTATTGAAGTGTGGAGAGTGGTAGGAGGGAGAGGATCAGGAAAAATTGCTAACGGGTACTGGCCTTAATACTTGGGTGATGAAGTAATCTATAGAACAAACTCCCTTGATACAAGTTTACCTATGTAAGAAATCTGCACATGTACTCCTGAACTTAAAATGAAAGTTAAAAAACAAACAAACAAAAAAGAACTGTCCTTGGTATCATAATTAGTGCTCAGTAAATGATGATTAGTAGGATTATTCATTGACTACTTAATGTGAAAAAGGTCAGAAAGCCATATATATAGTGTAAGACCTGTACATATGTATGTGATGATAAGAATTATAGAAATTTACTGTAGATATTTACATCCATATACAAACACATATATATATACATACATATACACACATATACCTTAGACATCAATTTTATTATCTATAGGTAATGAGTTCAGGGTAATGTTTATTTTTTGTAACATTTTGACATATTCCAGATACTCTACAGTGAAGTTTTTATTATAAAATTATTATCTACATCTATTATTATGACTATTATTACTATCATTATTTTTAAAAACATCAAAAAGACAGAGAGTTTCACACAAGGCAACTTAGTTATCCATTCACTAGACATTAGTTAGCTTGTTAAATGCTCTCATCAGCTTTATGAGACAGCTAACATCTTATTCCTCATTTTATGGTGGGTGAAAATGTGGCTGACGGGGGGTCAGCATTGTGTCCAAAGTCCTAAGTGGAGTGAAGGCATGGTATTCATGACCTGAACCTCCATGCAGTGTGCCCTTTCAGCCACAGATGGACATTTGTTCTTGAGAGGAAGATTCAGTTAGCAAACCCAGGGTACCGTATCAACAGCATGGGGACTGGCATAGGCTTCCCAGTGCTGAAGTCCCGAAGTTCTTTCTGCTTTGGGACAAGATACAGACAGAAGAACAAGATGAGCTGGCCACTCCTGGAGACCAGATGAAGTGGCCACAGATATCAAGAGGGGAGGCACTGGGGGGAAAGAAGCCAAGTGGGACTGACTCTAGACATTAGCTAATTGAGGCAGATCTTTTGTGATAGATGAAAACCCTTTGGTACCTCTCCCCAGATTTTGATAGCTGCTAAGTCTCCAAGTAATGTACCTTGGGATAGATTTCGACTTCAGCTTTTTTTTTATTTTTATTTTTTGAGGCGGAGTCTTACTCTGTCGCCCAGGCTGGAGTGCAGTGGTGTGATCTCAGCTCACTGCAACTTCTGCCTCCCAGGTTCAAGCGATTTGCCTGCCTCAGCCTCCTGAGTAGCTGGGATTACAGGCGTGCACCACCATGCCCAGCTAATTTTTGTATTTTTGGTGGAGACAGGGTTTCACCATGTTGGTCAGGGTGGTCTCGAATTCCTGACCTCGTGATCCGCCCACCTTGGCCTCCCAAAGTGCAGGGATTACAGGAGAGAGCCACTGTGCCCAGCCTCAACTTCAGCTTTAAAGTTCAAATACATTCCTGTCTCCCTACTAGGTTCCATCACCTACCCATTTTTTCAAACTTATTTTTATCAACAAATGTGAAAATGGTTCCATTTTAAGTTATAAAAGAAAAATACACTTTTTTGTTGGGGGAAAGCAAGTAAAGTAGATGTTTATACAGGAAAAAACCTACTGTTTTTCAGTGTCATTCATCTTGAGAAATGCTTTTTGTGCCCTTGCTCATTGAATTCTCACAACTTCATGGTTTGGAGTTTATTTAAATGCCCCCAATTTATGCACGAGGGAACTGAGTCTTCAAGTTGTCTCATTTTTTGGTCATGTCTGATTAGTATTCTGTTCTATGTCTGTGCCTTAAAGTACACAGCCATTTCCCTATGAATGAACAGATGTGCTATTTCTAATATTTTCACCATTATAAATTATGCTTCAAGAAACATCTTTGTATGTCTATTTTACCCCTGTTTACCCAAGAGTATCTATCTTTTGAATCCATAAATTCCTTATTGTTAGATCAAAGAGAATGCATATTTTATATCCTGAATTTTTTTCCTGCTTCCAGTTTTCTAACACTCACACATACATGAGCACACGCAAGCATACACACACACACCACACACACACTATTTCCAATTCCCATGTACTAACATTTATCATGGGGCAGGCATTGCTCTTAGTGCCCCACACCCCTGCACCTTGGCTGTGTTTTGAGATGAGCAATCGCGTTATCATCACTGTCTTCACTTCACAGATGGGGTAACTGAGGCACTGGGGGCAGAAAATCACTTGTCCATTTGACTCCAGATTCTGTGTGCACTAATCTAGTCACGTGGCCATACTTCTTCCCTTAGCCATCATGCCCTTCTCCTGCATGTAACCTATTTGGTGGCTTTTCCAAAGTTTTCAAGATGAAGTACAAAGTTCATGGCAACAAAGAAAAAAGTGTCCAATTATCTGGCCCTTTTCGGTCTGAGGACTTTTTCCTTGCAATAGGGAGCCATAGAATGTTTGGTATTCAGGAGTTACATGGTGGGATCTGGGTTTGAGAGAGATTTACTCGGTTATTCACTATACTGTGTTTGTTAAGAGACATTGGGCTCTTCCACTTCTCCAAATGTGTTAAAGACTTCCCTAAGGTGCTGGAAAGGAGATTGGCAAAAATTACTAAGGGGATTTAAGGCAGCTTCTGCATAGAACCTCCCTCACACCCTGCACCTTCCCTAAGCTGGATTCTCAAAGCCATGTATATAGCTGTCCAGCACCTGCCCAAATGTATTTAATGTTTGTTTGATAAGAAGAAACCAGTATATGCTGCAGGATTCCCAGTAGCAAGTTTATTTTAAGATTGGAAGAGCCCTGTACTCCTCTGTCTGGGGCCCAGCTGCAGGCTCCCTGACCAGGTGGACACCTCTGGGAAGTGGTGTTTTTGGAAATTAAGCCAAAACAGTGCATTGCCCTGTCCCTAGGGCAGTTGAATAAAACTGTTGGAGGGAGAAATGCAAGCGTTCTCCCTCAGAACCAGGTCTTAGGTCACACCCTGGAAAAGAGAGATTAGGATCAAAGGTCCTTAGATCTAAAGACACCTGAGAGATTGTGTTCCAAGCTCCCTTAGCCTCAGACTCAACTCCCATTTATCAACCACCTGCAGGATTTTATATCCATACAATGTCTCATTTATGCTTGAAAAGAAGTTCTCATATTGATCAGAAGCATGGCCTTGAAGTCAGGACTGCCTGGGTTCAAACCCCAGATGTATCCCTAGCTTTGTGATTTTGAAATAATTATTTACCCTCTGTCAGCTTTAATATCCTCTTCTGTACGATAAGGAAAATAGTAGTGCGTACTCCAAAACTCCAGAGAAGGAAAGGGGTTTACCGTGTCTAAAGCACAGTGCACCAATGGCAGCATGGAGTGGGAGATGTTACTACTCATATTTTCAGCATGCACACTACCCTGGTTTGTTCCCAGGTCTGCCTGACTCCCTGGCCTGTGCTCTCTGCCTAAGGCACCATGCCTCTGTAGTCATGCAGCACTTTCTCCTGCAATCCCTCTCCTTTCTTTTCCAATCTTAGCCGTGCAATCTGATCAGCCTCAACTATCTCCTTCTTTAGAAGCCTTCCTGGTCGCCTGCCTGTCCCTGCACCCACCCATGCCGTCTTCCTCGCTTTATCAGTGATTGACATCACAGACTTTAGTAGCCTTGTAACAACCTTGACTCATACACTGGACTGGTCTTGACTCCATAACTAGACTTGTACCTCATCATGGGCAGGAACTTTTAAAGTTTCATCTTTCCATGCCCTTGGGCACAGAGCAGAAATGTAGTAGACACTCAGAAGGTTTGTTTGAAGGGTAATATCAGCACATTGGTTAATAGTGAAATTAATGAATGAGTGGATGAAAGAATGTGAAGGAATGAGTTGGAACCAGTGAGTGCATCAATGAATGAGTGAATGGATAAACAAGTGAATGAATGAATGAATGAATGAGAGATATTGAGTGGGGGGTGAGGGAGGGAGGGAGTAATGGAATTGTTGACTTAGTGCCCAGTGGATTTGGGGGCCATGGGAAATAGGGGAAATAGCTCATCTTGCCTGTGTCCTTTGCCGTGACCTCTGGGCTGCTCTCTTCCCAGTCTCAGCCATACTTTTTCAGTTACATCCACCCTTCCCTCCCTCCTGTTTCCTCTCACCTGTCTCCAGAAGTGATGACTACACTAATTTGTTCACAGGCCATTAACTCTTGAGAGCTGGAAGAGGCCAGCCCTGAGTTGGCAAGGAACGACTTGGGTGCTGACTCTTGGGCCGCCAGGAGCCGTCATTACTCTCTCATATGCCTGCCTGCCTTGCGGCTTGGTGCTTATCTCTCCCTCTGCCTGCTTGCAGATGACGACTGTACGGACTCCTTCACGCCCAATCAAGTCGCCAGAATGCACTGTTACCTGGACCTGGTCTACCAGGGCTGGCAGCCCTCCAGGAAACCAGCGCCTGTTGCCCTCGCCCCCCAAGTTCTGGGCCACACAACGGACTCTGTGACACTGGAGTGGTTCCCACCTATAGATGGCCATTTCTTTGAAAGGTGAGTGTGCCCTGTGTAGTGTTGATCCCTCTCTCTCTCTCCTGCCAAGAAGAAGGAAACTTGGAAGGGAAGCAGACTTGGAGAGGGATTTTACTGCATTTCTTGTTCTTGTTCAAAAGGTATCTCCACCACCTAGCATGTTGTAAATTTGGGATCAGGGAATAAATAAATGGTCATTAATAGAAACAAATAAATAACAATAAATATTTTTAAGTGAATGGGTACTTAGATTCACTTTGTTATTAGAAACTTGGAAACCTCTTTTGCTACAGACCTCTTCTGGGATGGAGGTAATAGTCTCATCTCCATGAGCTCAGGAGTTGTGATTGCCTGGGCAAAAACATTTATATTATATTATATATTATATTATATTAATTATATTGTATCATATTATATATGCTTATATATGGATATATATATTTATGTGTGTCACGTGTGTATATAAGTACATATTTACATATAAGAATACATATACAAGGCCGGGCATGGTGGCTCACTCCTGTAATTCCAGCACTTTGGGAGGCCAAGGTGGGCAGATCATGAGGTCAGGAGTTCGAGACCAGCCTGACCAACACAGTGAAATCCCATCTCTACTAAAGCACAAAAATTAGACGGGTGTGGTGGTGCGCGCCTGTAATCCCAGCTACATGGGAGGCTGAGGCAGGAGAATGCTTGAGCCCAGGAGGCGGAGGTTGCAGTGAGCCGAGATGGCACCACCGCATCTCAGCCTGGGCAACAGAGCGAAACTCTGTCTCAAAAAAAAAAGAAAAAAGAATGCATATACATATATGACATATAAACATAATTTTTGCACCAAATGTTTTTTTTTTTTATTTTGTAGAACTAAAGGTAGCATTTTATAAGACCAGGGAATGATAAACTGAGGCACAAGGTACCTCTATTCTGCTGCCCTGACTGTTCGTTAATTAACCACATGGCCTTGAGCAAGTCACTTTCTGTCTCTGAGCCTGATTCTCCCTTCCCTGAAAACTGGGTCTAATGATACTACAGTGGCTTGAAGGTGGAGACCTGAATCAAGTGGTCTCTTGTGATCTTTCCCCCATATAAACTCCTTGAGGAGCTCAAGCTCTAAGGGGACCAGATTTAAAAGGGTCATGAAAATAGACCAAGGTATTTGCATCTATTTTGGAATTTTGCCATAATTCAGGGAAGATTAATGTATTACCTCTACTCCCAGCCCTTCTTTGGGATGCTTCATCTAGTAATGGTGATATATTAATGATGGTAAAAATAATAACCATGCTAATAATTAGTTAATATTACTTTATTGTAGTTGCTGGGATCTATCAAGTGCTTACTATGTGATGGATTCTATACTAAATGCTTTACATACAGAATCTCATTTAATCTTTCTGGTAACCTTGTACAAAACAAATCATCTTCCTCATCTGCTAGATAAAAAGAGAATTGGAGCTGAAAGAGGCTGAAAGGTGACCAGAGGGTCATGGAAAGTGGCAGGCACTGGGCTTCAGCTCTTGTTTTGTATTGTGTTATCTCAGACTCGTATGTGCTTTCATTAAGTTGTTTCAGAACTAGAATTGGAGAAAAGGCATTACACTGCCCCCCGCAAGGCAAAAAAAAAGCCACAAAAAGAAGCAAGAAATTCTCATTTACAAGTGTATTTGTCTGCATTTGTGTGTGTGTCAAAGACATATTAGGCAAAGGACCTAAATAGACACTTCAAGACACACAAATGGCCAACAGCTATGTAGAAGAAATGCTCAACCTCACTAATCATCAGGAAAAGGCAAATTAAAACCACAAGAAGGTGTCACCACACACCTGTTAGAATGGCTATTACCAAAAGGAGGAAAGATAAGAAGTGTTAGCCAGGGTGTGGAGAAAAGGGAACACCTGTGCACTGGCAGTGGGAATGTAGGTTAATATAGCCATCATGGAAAATAGTATGGGGGTTCCTCAGAACATTCAAAATAGAACTGCCATATAATCCAGCAATCCCAATTCTGTGTATATATTTAAAGAAATTGAAATTAGTATGCCAAAGAGATTGCTACACTCCCATGTTCACTGTACATTATTCACAATAGCTAAAATATAGAAGCAACCTAGGAGTCCATCATCAGATGAACAGGTAAAGAAAATGTGGTGTACAGATGGTCTCCAATTTACGATAATTTGACTTCCACTTTTTTGTCTTCACAATGACAAAAAAGTAATATGTATTCAGCATTGCTTTGAGTATTAAGATGGTATAAACCTATTGTAAGTTGAAAATATCGTAAGTCAAAAGTGCATTTTCAACTTACCGTATTTTCAACTTAAGATAGGTTTATTGGGTGAGTCCTAACCCCATTGTAAGTCAAGGAGCATCTGTATAGACACAATGGAATACTATTCAGCCTTAAAAGCGGGAAAATTCTGTCATTTTCAACAAAATGAATGAACCTGGAAGACATTATGCTAAGTGAAATAAGCTAGGCACAGAAAGACAAATAACTGCATGATCTCACGTATATGTGGAATCTAAAAAAAATGAATTCATAGAGGTAGAAAGTAGAATGATGACCACCAGAGGCAGGTGGGGTGAGTGGGGAAAGGGACGATGTTGATCAAAGGGCATAAAGTTTCAGGTAGATGGGAGGAATAAGCTTTAGTGATCTGTTGCACAGAATGGTGACTCTAATAAATGATAATGCATTGTATATTTCAAACTTGTGAAAAGGATAGATTTCAAATGTTTTTGCCAAAAAACAGTGTGAGAGATGATGGATTTGTTAATTTACCCAATTTAATCCCTCCACATTGTAAACATATATCAAAACATCTTACTGTACTCCATGAATATATACACAATCATTATATGTCAATTAAAAATAAAATGTTAAAAATTTTTGAAACCTATTTGATCACAGTACCACATAAAATGTGGGCATTAATTTTTCACATTACCATCAGTACCTGAGTCTAGAACCTAAATTTGGTAGCTGGCGAATGTGATCATCAGGGAAGGAAATGCACTTACTATGCTCTGTAGAAATTCCCCTTCCCCTGCCCCAGCCATCCTCACTGGGAGCACAGAGCTGGGTTTGGGAAACCTCGTGTGACACTTCAGAGGTTTCCAGCAGGCCATAGATTTATTTACTTTTTCTGTGGTGATGAGAAGTATCAGACTTTTGGTCAAGCCTTGGCCTCCATTCCACTTGAAAATGGAAGTTTCATAAATGAAGCTTCCTGTGTATGTATTTAATTTATATTTCATAAAGCAGTTACTGTCCATTAAATAAATACCACCTGATTGTTGGAAACCTATTTGAGGGTTAATTGTTGTGTAATGAGATATGTCTCTATTACACAGTGTCCTTAGCTTCAATCAATATGTTTTTAATCACCTATAGTCAGTTGGTTCTTGAGGCTCATATAGTAGCTATTCTGTTCAGTTTAAGATTTCATAACATAGTTATCATACGTTAAATTAAAACTGACATTTCCAAAACATATCTAATTAGGGTTAGCAGCTACGTTGACCATAGTCTATGGCTAAAAGAAGTCAGTCCACAAATTCAATAAATTGTTGTAAAGAAATGGAACTGTCTTTAACGTATATCACTCTCCCATACAGATGGAATTTATACTCATGCAAATTGGCTTAGTAGAAAGTATACAAGCTTTAATGCCAGGTCATACATTTCCCGTCCTCAGCTTTATCACTCCCAGTCAATGGGACCTTGAGCAAAGCCATCTCACCTCTGATCCTCTGGGCCTTCTTCCATCAAAATGTGCTCATCCTGCCCACGTCACCTGGCTTTTGTGAAGAATTTAGCAAGATAACGGTGAAATGCCAAGCACACACACTCTATGTTCAAGAAACATCAGCTCCCATTTTGTGCAACATTTTCCAGAGCTGTTTAGCTTCTTAAAAATTCCCTTTCCCTGCAAAGCCTCTGGTGTTTTCCACTACATCCATCAATGCCAACCTCTCGCCCCTGGCCATCCTCATGTCCTCCTGCTGTTCTCACATCTGTGGTCTAAGAGAATACAAGGGTTTCCCTTAAAAAAACATATTCAGATCCTCCCACAGCCTGTGTCCTCACACATGGGCAACTGAATAAATAATTCAAGGCCACCCCTGGTTTTCCTAACTCCTTTATTTTTATCTGTCTTGCAAACACGTGTTGACTGGGTTGTTTCAGTTATCTGACAATTGGCCATGGTATATTGGAAATAGTACTGGACTGAAAACCAAGAAACCTGGGTCTGAAGTCTTTGCGACCTCATCCATTCCCTCTGCCTTTGGCCTCAGTTTTCTGATGTGTAAGCCAAAGATGTTCTAGGCTTTCTCAACCAAGGTTCCTCTTCTAAATTTTAAGACATGGAAAATGATTTGTGTAACTATTTCCTCATTTCTCCCAAAGATGGTATATAATAAGTACTATTTTAGTTTCATAGGAGACAAGTTAATTCATTATATACAATGGATGCCTTGGAGAAACACTGTCCAATAGGATTTGCTGCAATAACGGAAATATTCTATATCAGTACTAAGATTATAGCCATTAGCCAACTGGGGCTTGAAATGTGACTGGTGTGACTGAAGAATCAAATTTCAAATTTTATTTATTTTTAATTAAATTAAGTTTAAATAGCCACATATGGCTAATAGGTGCCATATTGGACAGCACATACTTAGAGCTTTAAGCTTTAATTTTCATGAAACCCAAGTAAGAAAGATGAGCTCTCCCAGCTTTGGTATCCTGCATGTCTATGATTTCATTGTGTATGTTTGTGTGTGTTTATGTGTAGATATAGGTATCCATGAAGACAATGTGAATGTGAAAGGTAGGAAACACATACAATTCCTAGATGTGTAGGACAGGACATCATACATTTGCTTCAGCTGGATGATTATTTGTTCACTCATCCAAGTATTTATTGGGAGCCTGGGATGTATCAAGAATTCACTGAAACTCAGGTGGCTTTATGTGTATCACCCACAATGAAACATCTAAAGCACATAGACGAAATAATGAATGACCATCAAGGTCAGCATGGTTCCTGAATTCATCCCAGAACATTTGTAACCCCAGTGTCAGTCTAAAGCCAGTCATGTGACTCAAAGCCACTATGCGTGGATTGTGGTCATCCTAAGGGAATGCCTCCATTAGCAGTGCTGAGGAAGCCTTTCTCTCCACTCCTACTTTTCTGCATTTGAGTATATTTGTATAATTGTTATTATTGCTACTCCAAGAGTAACTCATGTATTTAAAATATGTAGAAAATTTAGAAAACCAGAAAGAGTAATAATAGGGGGTGGGATCAATCATCCTATATTCCATTGCCCAGAAATTGCTGCTGATAATATTTTGTTTCATAGTGTTATTTGAACATTGAGATATTGCTATAGATTTAGCTTTGGATGTTACTTTTTCATTTAATATTATAGCTTACACATTTTCCATGAAGTTGCATAATATTTATAAATATTTCTGCAATAACTGCTTGGCATTCCATTAAGCATATTAACCATGGGCTATTTAATGATTCTCTTATCACTGAATATTAATATTAGTGTGCTTGCAAAATTTCCACCTACATATGGTTTCATATTTACAATGATAAGGCTGAGAATGCAAAACCTACAATTTGAAGGTCTGCACTAAGTTAGCCATGAGTATTAGCACATGCCTAAGTGACTGGTATCCATCCATCCATCCATCCATCCATCCATCCATCCATCCATCTATCCATCCATGCATACACCCATCCATTCAACTGCTTATACTGACCAACATTATAAGATAAGTTGTGTGCTGTGCTGTGTGAAATAAAAAGATGGTTATTAGATATTGACTTTGTCCTCAAGGACCTCACAATCTATTAGGATAAACTCTCCTGCATGTCAAAAAAAGTTTTCACAGAGGAAATGATGTCAAAGGTGAACTTGAAGGAGGAGAAACATCAGCCAAGTGAAAAAAGTCTGCAGAGGGGATGTGGGTAACATGACGCAACATGATAGGTAGACAGAGCTTATCATGGAGAGAAACAAAGCTAGAGTGAAGCAGAGGATAGTATGAAAGAGCATTGAATACCACATTATAGGGCATTAGGGGATAAAATCACTGAAAGAGGTAAGCAGAGGCATGACTTGTTCATCTTGAGGTTTGGGGATGATCTACTGTCCGCTGTGTGGAGGAGGAACGGGGAGAAACAGCACACTCTGATGCTCACAAGCACACGGTTCCTGACTGTGTGAGCCCAGAGGCATAGTGAACGTCCCTGTGAGGGGAAAGCCATAAGGAAGGCTTCAGACCTGGCTTCTCCATTGCATCCTTTCAGGTAGCCAAAGCACAGAAGTTCTTCCAGGAATGATGAAAGAGTTATCATCAGGACCATTGCACTTTGAGAAATAATGGGTTGTGCTGGGACATTTCTCGACGTCTTCCCGAGATTTTGTTTCCAGTCCCTCTGCAGAGGTCACTCAGATTTGCAGTTTTCAGTTCACAATAAGACAGGAGAAGAGGACTCATTCCTCTCCCTTCTCCACAACTGCCTCATAAACAGATGCCAAATCTGGAAAATGAGTAGGATCCCAGAGACTCTATAGCCAAAGGAAGATTGAATCCAGATACACAAGACCCAACTTGGTAGGGGAAGCCATCATAATATTCCACTTCTGGGACTGGTCCCATTGAGGGATTGGCTAGCCCCTTGGAAAGCCGCTACAATGAATTAGATGGCATGGTAGAGAAACTGCTTTTGACTGTAAAATCGAGGAGTGACTCATCCATCCACAGAATGTCAAGGCTGGATGGTTCTTTAGGCATCATTTAATCCAGCCCTCTTATTTTCAGAAGAAGGAACCATGCCATCTTCATATTTAATGCCTAAAACACAAGATGGTGTCTGGCACATAGTAGGTACCTGATAAATATTGTAAAAGGAGTAAACTTTGAGAACGAAATGGAGCAAGAGATTTTCTCATAACTACATTGCAAATCCTCAGTGGAGCTTTATATGCCTGATAAAATTAAAATTATTGCAGGTGGTGAGACTTCAGCCTGTTGACTTTGTGCTGCTAAAAGTCAGAGAAATGTATGCATCATCAGAACAGAAGCCACTTAGGCTCAAACGAGGTTCTTGCTGGGCAATGGGGAGGCATTTCACTTACGGTTATTTCCAGAAGCCTTGGCATATGTAGGCAGGAAAGGGGGAAACACAGATTTGTTGTGTCCTCTGCCCCATTGACTCTGGCCTAGTCCCATCAGTTGCTCATTCAACTGTTCCTAAGTCGGTGCATTTTCCCTCTTTCCTTGGCCTCCTAGAGAATTGGGATCAGCATGTCATCTTTGCCTGGAAGGGAGAATCCTGGTGCAGTATGCTTCCAACGCTTCCTCCCCAATGCCCTGCAGCCCATCAGGACACTGGAGCCCTCGTGAAGCAGAAGGTAAGCCAGCCTTCTGGAAGCTCATTGACAGGAGGAGTGTGCAAAGAACAGCTCTTTCAATGTATATGGGGTTTTATTATTTTTATGGGTCTTTGCCATGTATCATTTCATTTGAGTAACATCATCCTGCAAGGTTAGTAGTCAAGCGCTCATCCATTTGACAAATACTTTTTGAGCACTTGCACTATCCTAACATGTTGTTCTCATATTACAAATGAGGAAACAAAGACAATAAGATATTAAAGAAGTGCCCAAGGCCACACACCTGATACAAACACAGTGTCTTGGGGGTATTTATATATCCTTCAGACCCCAACTGCTTGTAGTTACAAACAAGGCCACTTTAGAGTCAATACAAATATTTTGGGGCTTCAAGGCATCAGTGGTCTTTGATTCTTCTTCTGTTATTTCTTAGACTATACAGAGCACTTTCACATGTGTTGCAACTATTCCTTTTAATTTCTTCTATATACCCTCTTTTTGGGATCTATTTACCTGTAAGACACATAAAGGAAGTGCCTTATGATTGCCACTATTATGGGTTCCACCCACTATCAGACTCTTCCCTGCTCAGGGTTGTCTCTCAGGCTTACCAAGGAACCAATGATCTCTGTGCTTTCTTACATCATCATTGAAATTAAGAGAAGAATACCTTTTGCCAAATGCTTGTTGTCACACTTTGTCACTTGGCCTCAGAACCAGGCTGGCAGAGGCTCCATACTTTCCTCTTAGTCTTTCATCTCCCCCTCCCTGGTACTCAGGGATGTACACATAGACCCTGCCCCCACCCAGTCCCTCTTGCTCTTCTGCAGGTTAGCTCATGCCAGCAGTCACTGGGTGAGGACACTATTACACCAGTGCATCAGAGGGAGCGGAATCAGTCTTCTCACTGAACACCAGTGAGAACTCCTCCGCTATCCTCTATATTTTTAGAAAGAAGGTTGAAAAGAAAAAGCCAGAGATAGAATAAAGCAAGGGGGAAGGATCAGAGAGGAAAGTGAAGTTGAAAAACGACGGCACTGCACTTTATTTTTTAAAGTAGCTTAAAATAAAAATGAGAGTCAAACTTGGGAAGTCTAAACAAATCCATCTGGAATGTAAAGCAAGAGGGATGTCTGGGAAAAGCCCTCAGTTCAGCCTCACAGAATCACAGGCTGTCAGACCTGAGAGGGATGCCTGGGGTCATCTGGCCCGGGCTCCCCCCAAGTGCAGGAATCCCCTCTATGTGCATCCTCACTGAGGTTCCCTGGAGCCTGTTCAAGCTCCAGTTTTTTAGGAAGTTCTCGAAATCTGCAATTGTAATTTTTCCACCCAAACTGAACCCACTTTGGGTTGTCACAGAGAATGTGTGTCTCTGCCACCTGACAACATTTTGCATGCTTGTATCTAGTGAGCCTGTCTCACTAGTGACCAACACAGGCACTATATGCTGGGCACTGTCTTGGGCACATGGGCAAGGCAGTGCTGAGTGTCTGCTAGGGAAGTCAGATAAGTAAATGGCCAATTACCATTCAATGTGAACAGGCTTATGGTAATAGAAGTACCAAGTGGTGCTGGGGGCCCATAAGAAGGGGACCCCATGCAGAACTGGAGACTCAGTCTTCCCATGAAATATCACAACACTATTAACGAGGTGCATCTGAGAATGTGAAAAAGTTTGGTATGTTCACAGAGTGGCTGTTTTCTAAATCTACTTCAGAGGCTTATAGGGTTCCTGGAGACGTTTATAGGGTATCCTCAAAGTCAAAAGTATTTTCATACAATTACATATGACATCATTTGCTTTTTCCACTCTCATTCTCTCCTGAGAGTCCAGTGGAGCTATCTGATAGACACATGACATGTGATGTCATTTGTGCTCTGATAGCTAATGGAGCACACTCTTCTGTATTCTTGAATTTTTAAATTTCTTAGCTTTAGTTTATAAAGCGGAAACTACTAATAGATATAACCTGCATAAGCAAAAGTTCAGTAAGGCTATAAGAGTTTAAGTAGGTTCAGAACATGTAAAACAAGGTAGAGGTGGCAGAGGTAAGACAGATGAGATAGATAATGGCCAGGTGAGGACGGGTTTGGATTCACAGCAAGGGCAGTGAGAAAACCATGTGCTTTATGAGGGCATGATATATGGTAAGACCTGCATGTCATAAAGATTGCTCAGACTGCTGTGTGAAGAAGAGATCAAGAGGATTTGGTTGCTAGAGGAAGGGAAGCAGCAAGGTGACTGTTGCCAAAATCCAGCTGAGGAATGATGGTGGGCTGGTGAGGTCGGTGGCTGTGAGAATGGAGAGAAGTTTATGGGGTTGAGAGGTACTTGGAAGGTAGAATTAGCAAGATTCTCCCCTGAGATGTCTCTGGCTAAAATTATCTTGCTTTGTTCTACCACTTGTTTGAATAAAATTATTTCCAGACATCTCCCCACACTTACATCCAATGCAACTATTAGTTGGTGAAGTTTGCTCCTAGTTTGTTCCTGACCTTCTTAAAGCATGATATGCAGAATGGAGTTCAACTGGAGGCACTGAGGTCTCTGGTTCCCTGAGCCAATTCGGAGCTCCAAGGAAACCCAGCAGCCTTGGGTTTTCCTCCTATGTAAATTTAGTACATGTGCACCAGGAAAAGACACTGTTCTTTTTTTAGAGCATCCTATTACAGTCTCTGTGATCCTTTTGGCTCAGACCCTTTTAATATCCTTGAAGAAATAAACTTTTCCATGAGCCAAACTCTGCAATTTATTTCTCAACTCATTCTCATCCTATTTATCTTCACATGTTTAAGTTTTTGGACTTCCCAAACTAACTTAAAACTCCCAAATTCATGAGCAATGCCAGACATATCTGTATGGTTGGGGAAAAAACATGGGGAATGCAGGGGAGGGAAAGGAGGAGGATTGGACCATGGTCTCAGCCCTACTATTGATGTACTCTGTGCCCTTGAGTGAGTCACATAGCTTCTCTGAAAATGGCATTGTATCCACAGAATGAAAAGTTGAAATATAATATCCTTTCTAGCTCTAATATTGCATGGAGCTGTAACTTCTTTTCATATAATCCCATATTAACTAGCAGAAGATTCTTCATTTAACAAATCTTTATTGGAAATCTACTGCATTTCATTAGCTTCATTTCTAAGAAGGTAAATACAGTCATAGAACTGCTTGCCTTTGTTCATAGACAGTGGTTGCACTCCTACCCCTTGAGCAAAAACTGTATTTCATACATGAATATTTTTGAGATATTTGACGCCATGTTTTATCTGTAGCCTATAAATTAGATAAATATATATTTCTTGATCTGACTGACTCAAATCCCAGTTAAGATCACTTATGCAAGTATAAAATAGATCCCAAGTGTTGGGTTTTCCATGAGAGATTAGCACATGGCACTAACTGTTTTTATTTTTTCTCATTTGTGTGTTTTCTCTATTTTTCTGCCCAGAATATTTCAGGTGTGCTTAACTATTCACCTGGAAAAAAGCTTGGCACCAAGTTTTTATAACTATATTTGTGTCAACAGCTGCAGTGTATATATATATAGATATATAACGGGTGCCTGTATAGTGCTTCACAAAAGTAAATATAGATCAGCATGATTATGTATAAATATATGTCTATACACATATATGACCTTATTTCTAGTGGACAGTTTATATAAACATGTAATTTTTAATTTAATCACTGTATATACAAAAGGATATCTATTAATAATGAAGTAACAGGGCTTTTACACTTAGTTCTCTTTTCTTCTTTGTTTATTCTTTTCTCCCCTTCCACCTTTCCTCCTCCCCCTTCCTTATCTTCTTCCTTCCCTTCTCGCTTTGTTTCTTTTCTTCAGCTCCTGTCCTTACCTTCCGACTACATGTCCAATCAATCTCCCAGCTGTGTTCACTTTTCCTCCTTAGGAATTCTGACTTGCCATCTCCTTGCATGCTTTCTTGCAGTTCATATATTGTCTGCGTTAGTCCAATACTCTCCTAACTAGTCTTGCAAGACTAAAAGCTCCCTGAGAACAGAGATCATGTTGGCAAGCTTATTCTCTTGGAGCCTAGCCTACCTCTGGACACACCTGGCACTGAATAGTTACTCTTTGAATGCATGGAATGAATGGGCGGATGGATGGATGGATGGATGGATGGATGGATGGATGGATGGATGGATGGATGGATGGATAGTGTCTGTGTCTCTAAACAGTGGTTTTTCTTTTCTTTTCTTTTTCTTTTTTTTTTTTGAGATGGAGTTTCACTATTGTTGCCCAGGCTGGAGTGCAGTGGCGTAATCTCGGCTCACTGCAACCTCAGCCTCACGGGTTCAAGTAACTCTCCTGCCTCAGCCTCCTGAGCAGCTGGGGTTACAGGCACGTGCCACCACACCGAGGTAATTTTGTATTTTTAATAGAGATGACCATGTAGGTCAGGCTGGTCTCGAACTCCTGACCTCAAGTGATCTGCCTGCCTAGGCCTCCCAAAGTGCTGGGATTACAGGCATGAGCCACCGCACCTGGCCAACAGTGGTTTTTCTAAAAGGCGACCCTGATGTCACTCATTTGCTTAAAATTTCTCAGTAGCTCTTCGTCTATTTCAGTGTAAAGTTCAGTTTCCTCCTTAATGTAGTATACAAGCCACTTCACAATCTTGGTTCTACTTAGCTTACCAGCCTCAGCATTTGTTGCTCTACAATTGCACTTGAAAACCATAGTAACCTTAACTTACACTCTCTCCCAACTATTCTCATGCTTGGAATACCTCCTCTTACCAATATTTTCCTTGTTAATACGTCCCTACTTTCCAGGACAGAGCTAATATATTTATGGGAATCTATTAATGATCTCATCCTATTTGAGGTTTACAGCAACCTTGAGGTAGGTAACATTACAGTAGGTAACACAATGAGAAACCCTATAACTGATATTTTAACCCAACTTTCATTCCTTCAAAGCCTGGCACGCTGCCTGGACCAACAATATCATATTCTACTCCCTGCCAGGGAATTTCTGAACCATCTGAGTCTCAGTTTCCTCTTCTGTAAAATGAATTTCATAAGACCTGCGTCACAGACTTAGTGCCAACGTAAAAAGACCTGAGGCGTGTAATGTGCTTGGCACAGTGCCTGCACATTGAGGATGGTCAACTCGTGAAGGCTGGCATTATTAATGAGGTTGCTGCTTTGGTTATGGTTACACTTGGTGCCTCTAGGGACTCTTTTTTACATCTAAGGGTTTGTCTCTAATAACCAGACAACCACAAGCTTTGCTAAGATTTCTACTCCTGTTTACTTGCTTGAGCATAATGACCAGACTCACCTTCCTGTCCTTTGGAAGTATTTGGTCCCTCTGTTGATTAACAAGAAACTAGGGAGGAAGGATGAGCCAGGCAGATTTGTCATCTTTGCTCTCCTGTGGCTTCCCACCCCTGACAGTCATTTTCTCCAAGGAAGGGAGGAAGATTACATCATCCCTTGCCAGTTGCAGGAGAAAGCCCATGGAGGGGTGGAATGTTCACCTGGCACCCACCATCAGGAAGCATGCTTTAATGTTCTATGCTGTAACTTTTAACTCAATGTTAACAGGCTAGAAGGTTAACAAATATTTATTTAGCATCTGCTATGTGAATACTCTATGGACTAGGCACACTGTATTAAGCAAAAGCTACATGGCGTTGAGCGAAGCAGTGCTCTTTAATAGAGACAAAATGACAACGATCTTACAGGATTTTGATGACAATCAGATGAGTTAACTAATAACTAGGAGATGTGTTTCATATACTGTAAAGTGCTGCCTTCAATGAAGTTGACTGAATGAATAAGTGATACATGTGTGTCAACATCCCACAAAGTTAAGAAAGTCAGGAACTCAGTGTGTGGGAAAGTAGACAAGAAGAAAGGCTTCAGCTAGGTGGGGAGTCCTACTTGTGTTTTACACCCTAAACTAAAGGTTGCTTTGAGCCAGCAGTTACTGCAAATAATGAATGAAACTAGCCAAGGAGAGATAGAGGAAATCTTGTAATTAAATCCATCTTTTCTTGCTGTGATGCATTATATCTAAGAAGCCTCTGTGTATTTTCTCACCCCTCCTTCTCTTTTCCTCTTCTCTTCTCCATCTCCACTTGGTGGCTTCTTTCTTTCCTTGGCTAAGCAGAGGCAAGGAGGTTAGAGGCATTTACAGCCTTCACTGGCATAGTTTTTTCACTCCAAATAACTTTCTAGTATTGACATTATAGTGATTCCTGTTACCCTGTAACATTACCACAAAGCGTTTTTAAGCAAAGATCTTTTTTTTTTCTTATTTGCTTCAGAAATGTCTAGGGTCACCACCACCCTCCCAACCAACCACTGAGGCTGAAGAAAAAAAAAGAATGTGGCTAGGTGGGCATGGGGACACATGCCTATATTCAGCTACTCAGGAGGCTGAGGCAGGGGAATTTGAGCCTGCAATGAGCTACAATCAGACCATTCCACTGCAGCCTAGGCAACAGAGCAGGACTCTGTCTCTTAATTTTTTTTTAAGGTGTCTAGTTGGGCAACTTGAGGTCCTTCATCTTACCATCCGGTCTGTCTCTCTCATGAGGCTCCCTTAAACAAATTAGAGCCAATCACTACATTGAGTCCTGGTTATTTTCCTCAGTAGTGCAAGGAAGAGCTCTCTGGGAGTCTAGATGTGATCTCAGCAGAGAAAAATTCAGAAGTCGCTGCAGGCTGAGATCAGTGGGGATGAGGCATCATCTCCCTAGGGAAAGAGGAGAAGAAACCCTCCTTCCTTCTCCCCGCTCCTCACCCAACCCTCCCCTTCCTGAGTGAGACAGAACAGAGTGCGGAGAAGCTCAGTGGTATGGAATGACTGCATGTAGAGAAGGGGAGGAGGAGAGATAAGAGGGCTCCAAGGCTGCCTTCCAGCTCTGTTGTTCATGGTTCTAGACAGTTTCCTCCCAGGTCCTCAGTCTGCAGGGTGGATGCTATTTATGCTCACCTATTCTTTGCTGGTCGGGGGGTGGGGTTAGGATTTCTGTCAGTCCAAGTAGGTTTTACCAATGGCAGTAATACCACAAGGATTCTAATTTATTCTACTGTCCCCTGCATCCAATAGGGAGAACAGCAAAGAATACAGATTCCAAAATGAAACAAAACTCGGTTCCAATGCTGGCTTTTACACTTCAAGTTGTATGAACCTGATCGATTCACTCTATATTTGGGAGCCTTAGTTTTATCACCTCCTAAATAAGTCCTTGCAAGAATTAAAGTTCAGGGGACACAGTGGGTGTTTAGCCAATATGTACCCTTTACTTCTTTTCATCTTAGGCAGCACAGCCTCCTAAGTGGAAGATGAGGAAGGAAAGTTTGAACATTGACTCGGTAGTGAGATGAAAGCAGTTTGACTGAATGTCTGGTGATTCCTCTGAAATCTGTATTGCAGGGGTGGGGATGAGATGGATGCTGTGTGTATAGCAGATTCACCAAGGCACCAAGAACCTTCCTCTCCTTTTCCCCTCTGTCTAAGTTCTAGTCAGACCAATTTCTCCTGGGGTCCACAGGAAACTCTAAGGATGGGAATAAAGCTCTTTCCCCAAGAACTCATTCCCTCATCTCTTCTGCATAGGTCATCCTGATGTTGAACAGCCCTGTAAGTCCAGTGTCCGCACCTGGAGCCCAAATTCAGCTGTCAACCCACACACGGTTCCTCCAGCCTGCCCTGAGCCTCAAGGCTGCTACCTCGAGCTGGAGTTCCTCTACCCCTTGGTCCCTGAGTCTCTGACCATTTGGGTGACCTTTGTCTCCACTGACTGGGACTCTAGTGGAGCTGTCAATGACATCAAACTGTTGGCTGTCAGTGGGAAGAACATCTCCCTGGGTCCTCAGAATGTCTTCTGTGATGTCCCACTGACCATCAGACTCTGGGACGTGGGCGAGGAGGTGTATGGCATCCAAATCTACACGCTGGATGAGCACCTGGAGATCGATGCTGCCATGTTGACCTCCACTGCAGACACCCCACTCTGTCTACAGTGTAAGCCCCTGAAGTATAAGGTGGTCCGGGACCCTCCTCTCCAGATGGATGTGGCCTCCATCCTACATCTCAATAGGAAATTCGTAGACATGTAAGTGCATTCTCTGAATAGGGAGTTTATTAAGTGGGTGGGTTGTGGAGGAACGTGAGGTGGGTCAGAGAGGCCTGGACAGGGGGAAGGTTCATCACAGTCAAGACTCACTCTATGGATTGTAACCCATCATTGGGTGTAGATTTGTCTTAACATGGCAGAGTTGATATCATGGGAAGAGCAATAGGGAAGGAACCATTAGACCTGGATTTAGTGACAAATCTGATGTGTGACCTTAAGCCTCATAAGCCTTTCTTAATCTTAGTCATTCCAATAGTAAATGAAGGAGGTTGGATGAGAGTAGCAGTGAGAAAATCATTTATTACTAATGAAAGTAGAAGAACTGAAGTTTGCTAATGATTTTCTTTTTATATTAAATTGAAGACAATTTATGCATTTTGATTGCTTTTTCAGTGGGTGAATCGGGGGTGAAGTTATAGTAGATTGGGTGGGGGTTGGGCACAGTCCTAGGTATTTGCACAAAAATTGTGCTGGAAAGTGAATATCAACTTTAACAGCACTTGTTTTTGTCTTATTTCCTGAGGCAGAACAGTGGTTCAAACCCATTTGATCCTTAGGGCCTTTGCAGCTTTAGGTTTCCGTAACTCTTTCTGGATGCTCACTGCTCTTATGTGAAGTAGTACTTGTCTTTCATACTCACTTCCCGGCCAGGGAGGTGGCTCACTCCTGTAATCTCAGCACTTTGGGAGGCCGAGGCAGGCGGGTCACCTGAGGTCAGGAGTTTAAGACCAGCCTGGCTAACATGGTGAAACCCCGTCTCTACTAATAATACAAAAAAATTAGCTGGGTGTGGTGATGAACACCTGTAATCCCAGCTACTCAGGAGGCTGAGGCAGGAGAATCTCTTGAATCCAGGAGGCGGGGTTGCAGTGAACCGAGATCATGCCATTGCACTCCAGCCTCGGCCACAAGAGTGAAACTCCATCTCAAAAAAAAAAAAAAAAAAAATTACTCACTTCTCAAGCCACCTCTCTATTACTTCTTCCCCAAACATCCTCAGAATTTCTGTCTTAGGAGGAAGACCATCTTATAATGAAGCCATTAGTGCTTTTCCTGTGTACTAGAAAATGGGCTAAGGTCTTTGCATCTTTTACTCATTCCATCCTCTCCACAACCATAGCCCTATTATTCTTATTTTACAAAGAAGAAAACTGGGGCTTAGAGATGTGAAGTCACTTGTCCAAGATCACACAGTTAGGAAGCGGTGAAGGTAAGGATTGGAATTTCGTTCTGACTCCTAAGCCACTGCACTCAACTGGTGCTCAATTAAAGATGTGATTCCAACTTCTGTTTTAATCTACAAAAAGGATAGAGTCTTCGCCATCTAACTTGGGTGTCAATGGTTTCTATAGGCCTTTTGTGGCTCTTTATTTGGTTCTAAAATGATGTAAGACAATCTCTGCTCTGTCTACTTGAAAATATTCACTAAGCCAATCATTAATGGGAACCAAGTTCTAGAGGAAACTTTTAATCTTTTTAAAGGGCAGAACCACTTTCAAACACTTTACCAGCACTTCCTTTTACATACTAGCAATTAATGTGCACATCACAGGCAAACTCTTGCTAATTCATTGAATCAGAGATGAGGAACAGCTGTTTAAGAACTCAGAAAGAGCACTTGGTTTGTGTTTGAGAATGTACTTAAAATTTAAAGGATAGTCTTGCCTTAAAAATATTCCATAACCCTGTCTCTTCCATCTCCTCACTTGTCTAGAGTGGTAGAGTTCTATAAATATGCTTCCACTTAAACTTTCTTTATAAAACAATGGAGGGAAGAAATAATAGATGTTTTAAAATCTCAGTTTAAACTCAGCTTTCCTTTTTTTGCCTCGAGTTACGAGCCTATGAGAGCTGCCATGGGTTGATAAGTTTGAAATGGTGAAAATTAAACTGAATAAATGAAAGAACCCTTAGTGATTTAGCTTAGTTCTATTCTCAGCAAAATCTCAGCTAAATCACTAACTGGCTCTACCCTCTTAGGTGAGTCACTTGTCCTTTCTAGTCTTCCGATGCCTCAACTTTGCATGCAGGAGGTTGCACTGGATTAATTCTTCTCTCTCTCTTTTTTTTTTTTTCTTTCCAAGACAGTCTTGCACTCTTGCCCAGGTTGGAGTGCAGTGGTGTGATCTTGGCTCGCTGCAACCTCCACCCCCCAGGTATAAGCAATTCTCCTGCCTCAGCCTCCTGAGTAGCTGGGATTACAGGCACGCACCACCACGCTGGGCTAATTTTTGTGTTTTTAGTAGAGACGGGGTTTTGCCAGGTTGGCCAGGCTGGTCTGAGAACTCCTGACCTCATGATCTGCCTACCTCAGCCTCCCAAAGTGCTGGGATTACAGGCATGAGCCACTGCACCTGGCTAGTTCTTCTCAATTTGGATTGCACATTTAAAAACTGGGACATTTAAAAATTGCCTGGGTCTCACTTGTATCCCATCTCCACTCTCCCCCGAGATATTTATTTAATGGTTAAGAATAAGGCCTGACCATTAGAACTTTTAAAATCTCATAAGGTGATTATAATTTGCAACAAGTTTAAACAAGTTTAAAAACCAGTGCACTTAAACAAGTTCTCAAAGTGTGGCCCCAGACCAATGGCATCAGTATCACCTGGGAACTGAGAAAGGCCAGGCTCTCAGGCCCCAGTCCAGCCTAGTGAATCAGAAACTCTGAGTGCAGGGCCTCTCCAGGTAATTTGGATGCTAGTTAAAGTTTAATAGCCACTGCTCTAAATTATCTCCAAGGCCAGGAATCTCCAAATTCTCTTTCACTCATGCAACTACTTGCTCAACTCACAAATATGTAATGAGAACATTCTATATGCCAGATTCTGTACTGGAAACAGTATTAGGATGACTCAGACCAGTCCCTTTCTTGAAGGCACTCAAACTTAAGTGCTGAGCTCCTACCCACTTTGTAAAAGTGCCACGTACTGTGCCAAATCATCAGTAGTGAGGTCGACACTCTTATGCACAATTTGTTCTTTCATTCACTCTCCAAATATTTCTTTAGTCCCTACTATGTGTCAAGCACAAGGGCTAGACTGAGGCTTTCATCGGCCTTCCTCTTCGAATCTTTTGTGTTTCAAGGAGTTTATTGGAGATCTGGGCTGGGATGGGCTGGGCTTCCTGACCTGAATGTTCTCTGAGACTGAAAAAAGAGAAACACATCCTTCCAAATCAACCTACCATTTCAACTCCTTTATCTCTTGGTAATTTGAGTCCTGAACCCCACCACAAATACCTCTTTGTGTGTATATGTGTGTGTATGTGTATTTTGCTGCTTTCACATTTTTTCCATATCAAATAAATTGGCTCTTATACAAGTTCTATATAAAGACTGTTTTGGAGAAAAAGAGGAGAGGGAAAAAATGCTTTCTTTTTCTTTCCTGACTCAACCCATTACATGATTCCCTTTGACCTTTGTCTTCATTTTTTTTCTCTCAACAAAAATATTTATTCTTTCTGTTATCTACACTGGAGATAGTTTCCCAAGGTATGACAGTGATGAAGAGAGAGCCTTCTGTGCTTACCCCATGGAAACTTCTAGTAGACTGATTACTTTTGGCCAGGACCAGAAAGAAATGTGGAACATCTCCATCTCCCTTAAGTGGAAACCCCTCTATCGAATGAGAAATGACACTATCAGAAGAAAGGGTACCAGTGCCAACTCTGCTACAAACTCACCATATGACACAAAGACACACCGCATCACCTATTTGGACCTCAGTTTCCATATCTGTACAATGAGAGGCCAACACATTAAGCCCTTCTCTATGGGTAGACATAGAGAAGGTGTCTGGGGTAACAGGTGATTCACATACTTTTTTGTAGTAAAAGGAATTCAATAGGGATTATCTGTAAGAATCAGTACCCAGAGGAAACCTCACTGGCTCTGTATGCCCTACTGAAATGTGGACCACAATAATGACAACCATTTACTAAGTATTTCCTCTGCTTTAAGTGCCTTACAAACACTTCTGAGGTAGGTGAAAAAGCTTAAATTCAGAGAGTAATTAAACTAACCTCATACAGCTAGTAATGACATAGACAGGCCTCAAACTTAAGTCTAATTCCAAATTCCACCTTCCTAACCACTACCCATACTACTTCCTACTACAATAATGTAAAGGCAGAATTTTAGAGCTGAGAAATGCATCCAATCTGGCCAAAGCTCTAAATATAGCAAGGGGAAGACAGGCTTACAAGTCAGAGGCCACTAGTCCACAATCAGTCCCTGTGGCCCACCCTTGATGTCTTGGTGTCCAATAACACAAATTACACAGACAGTTCTTTATGCTTCTGGCTGGGAAGAAATAGCAGGGAAGCATCTTTTTCTCCACTTGGCTGTCAAGTGCTTCTACACTGAGCACTGTGCTCCTTGGCCTATATGGAATCTTCAGATTTCTCCAAGAAGTAAATACTCTGGACAAAACTGAGAAAGCAAAGTATAAAGCAAACCAGGAACAGTGAACAGTAGCTCACTCTCATCTACTTATTGGTCTGTCTCATTCATCCATCACTTCATGCAACAAATATTCACTGGGTATCTATTAGGTGCTATGCACTATTTTAAGAAATGGTGATCCAGTGGTGCTGAAAACTCAAGGTGCTCACAGTCTATGGGAAAAGAGAGGGACAGGCAAGCAGTGTCATTGCAGTATAATAATATTCTGATGGAAGAAACAGAAACACAGAGTCAGAGGTTTCTAACCCAAACTTGGATGAATTGAAGTCTAAACTTAGAACTAGAATATAAACTCCCCGAGGGCTAGATTTTTTTCCTGTTTTTCTCCTGGTGCATTCCAAGCACGTAGAACAATTATAGACACAAGGTAAGCACTGAGAAAATGTTCTTTAAATGGTTCTGGAATGAAGAATGAGAAGGAATTTAGCATTTGAAGAGAAATGGAGAAGCCAAAATGTAGTAAGCTTGTACTATGTGTCAAGCACTAACTAGGGACTTTACATAGATAATCTCATTTGATCTAATCATCCCAACAACCCCACAATGTAGGTGGTCCTATCCCCAGATTATATATAGGGACTGGAAACTCAGAGAAGGAATGTGGATTATAGTTTACAGCTATCAAGGGGCAAAGCTGGGGTCTGTAAGTAGATCTGTCAACTCCAAAGCTAATGCTCTTGATCATTCATTCTCTGATTGAACAAGTATGTTTGTTTATGCCTCTGTCTTCTTAGGATCCTCAGTTGAGAGCTAGAAATATTCTTAAAAGTCATCTCTCTCAACTGGCTTATTTGTGTATCCCAATTTAGTCATCTATTAATTCTTCTCTCACATTCAGACCTGTAAAGCTTCCAACACAATCTATATCTATTTTATCTCACCTCCTTGGCATTCTCAATATAATTCTTTGGGGAAATGAATAGACATAAGGAAAGGAGATGTTTATATGATCTGGGTGGACATTCTTGTGAGTCCAAATTTTACAAATCAGATCCAAATTTTTGCCTCTGAACTCCAAATGCTTTGAATACCCATCAATTAGAAACTTTAGTGCATTCATTAATTCACTTGCTCAGCAAGTATTTGTTGACTTCCAACATGAGCTTAACTACTTTCTAACCTCTAGGGATTCAATAATGAATACAGCAAGAAAAACTTTTTGTTTCATTGATTATTATCCTGTAGTTGGGAGAGATAAAAGAAGCATGTTATTATATAATATCCCAGTTGGAAAAGATTTAGTGATTTTTAGATAGGTGGTCAGGAAAGTCCTCTCTGATGAGATGACATTTGAACAGAAACCAGAAGTGTCCCCCAGTAACTTATAATGAAAGCTAGCTGAGCTGCCATCCCTGGGATCCCAGCCTGTTTGGAATATGAATTTCTTATAACATGATCCTTAGTCCTTGATCACAGTTTGTGTTGTATTATATTTAACAGTGCTTGTGGTTTTTCCTTCACCTGGTTCATATTCTTAAGTACAAAATTTATGACACTTAAATGACACAATAGGGGCTCCATGGATACTTGTTGATCATGTGAAGAATAAGTCAGCAGTAGCACAAAGTGGGCTCTAAGAAGATGCGTCTCTTGCTTTCAGATCTTAGTTATAACATTGATATGTAATGTCATATTAAGCCTCAGAGGATTTGGAAAGTTTACCCCAAATCAGGGTCAGGTGAAGGCACAGGTGGCTCTTACATGCTGTTTCTATGGCTCTTGAGCTGAGTCACCACTTTCTTTCTTCCTTTTTTTTTCCTAAGCCTCATTTCTTTTTATAGCTCTTTCCGTTTCTCACCTTGTCATCCATCCTTTGTTCTTGTATGTATTAATTTATTCATTCATTCATCCATCAACTAGTGAAAATCTAATATAATCCATGTTAAGTAATACTTGTCCCATTTAACAAATATTTATTAAATATCTATTCTGTGCTACGAATGCAGCCCTGATTAATACAGACATGATCTCTGGCCTCATGAGCACATGGTTCTAAATGAAAAATATTATACTGCAGCATGAAAAGTGTTATGGTGTGAGGAGCACGGGGGGCAGGGGGGCTGTGAGAAAACATGGGAAGGGTGTCTAACTGAGCTTGAATAGGTAAGGAGGGCTTCTTGGAAGAAGTGACATGTAAGCTGAGACTTGAAGGATGCATAACAGCTGATCATTGAAGAAGTTCACCACAGTTCAAATGGTTGAAACTAAGTGGATGTTCAGCCAAGATTGATAAATGAATGAAAGAATAAATGAAGGGAGGAAGGAACAAGCATACTGCATGTCAGAAGGGCATACTCAACCACAGATCAAATGTACAGCTTTGAGATGGAAATTGTATTAATTTGGGATATCTATCTACTTCAATTCTTAGATATACTTCAATCTTTTTAGCTGCTGTACAGTATCCCACAGTATGAATGTGCTGCAGGTAATTTAGCCATACCCTTAATGGTGGGCATTTAGGTCACTTCACACATTTTTCTGCTGCAAGCAAATGTTGCAGTGAGCATTCTCGTACAAACATCCTTGCAGGCACATACATGCAAGCATTTTGCTAGGGTGAATACTGAGAAATTGCCGGTGATAAGCTATGGGCCTTTTTCATTTTAATGGACACAACTATGACATTCTGGGCAGGTGAACTAGCTTCCACCCCACTAGCAGTGTGTGCCAAGACCTGCTATTTTGTATCATGACTGCTTATTATTTGGCATAATGAAAGTGTTTTTTCTTTGCACTTTTTTACCCACTTTGATGGGAAAAATATGACTTCTCATTGACATTTCTGTTATGTGCTCTTAAGTAAGCATCTACTCAAATACATTTACTGGATAATTGCATTTCCTGTTCTATGACTTGTCTATTCATATCCTTAAGATGGGCCTCATCTTTAATCTCCTTCACACCTCTATTTCTCATTCGTTAAATTGGGATTTCAATGTCAGCCCTATTGCATGTCCATTAATGTTATCAGAATCCAGGGTGAAATAGGAAGTTAAGAGGGAAATAGCATTTATGCAGAAGTTACTCTGATTCTTCTTTTATGTATTGATATATTTATCAAATGCTGATTTAGTACAATCCCTGTGCTAAGAACCATGACACATTCTGAAGATACAATAGGTAACAAAAACCAGCCCGGTTTCTGCTCTCAGCAGGGCTTAAATTTAGTCACTGTGTTAACCATCTTCACATTGCTAATATGATTTGTAGCATTTACTACTGGTAGCACTAACATTACTGCTAACAATAACTACCATCTAGTGAAAACTTCATATATGCTCAGTACTTTTTTATAAGTCTACCAATGGTGTTTAGGTATTAGCATGCCTGACTTCTTAGATGGAGAAGCTCAGACTATAAGAGATAAGGTCATTGATTTAAGGTCCCCCAGTTAATAGATGCTAAAGCCAAGTTTTATATCCCTTTGCCTGACCCCAAAGGGTGTGCCTGGCAAGATACAGAGCACAGTCATTGTCATAATGACTGACAAAGGACAAGATGGTATCTTGATCGATGGAGAAAATGAATACTAAAATTAGATCTTCTTATTTCCAAAAGCAATAGAATAAACACCAAAGAGAGGAGAAAGCAAAATTTTTTTATTGTTTTTTTGAACATTTAAGCAGATGAGGAGGAGGAGGCTTAGGAAGTGTGGACATGGCCAAACCAGCATGATTTCCAGTAACCTGTTGCTGAAATGCATGATTCAGGCTGGACCCCTTCCTGAGCAGGGCCTTCTCCCACGCCTGCCCAGCATGGTTTTGCCTACATTCTGATGTCCCACCCACCAGAAGAGATGAGCAGCATCAGTATAGAGAGTTGTTTTTCCAAGCCCAGAATGAATACCACTGCTCTTAGCTCAGGCCAGGGGAGCACATAGTCAGCACAATCTCACTCTGGTTCTGGAAACCAGGCATTATCCACCTATGACTCCCTCTCATCAGTCTTGGCCAAGTATTTCTCAGAATGAAATATGGGTTCTGGGAATATTAGGATAAGCAAAAGGGCTTAACAAAATCAACTGATCTCCAGGGTCATTAACAGCCATAGAAGTGCTATCTCCAAGTGCCTTCTCAATTTTGAAAGGGTGAAGGGCTCCTGTTTGGTGCTAATACCACCAAAATTGCTTATATAAACTTTTATAGATTACTCTAATGCACTACTAAACTTTGTAGTAAGTGAACCATTATAGGTTCTCTTCTACAGATGGGCAAACTGAGACCCATAGAAGTTAAAAATTGAACCGATAGTTCCATTGATAAATTTATTCATTTGTTTGTTTCTACATTTATTCACTCGTGCATTTAATAGGAGTGCCTACTGCATGTCAATCTTTGTACTGGGAGTGTAACTCTGAATCTTATAATCTGGTAGGAGAGCTGAATAATAGTACACACAAAATTATAATTACAAACTGAAGAGTATTATTTCAAGAGGTTATAATAGAGTATACATCCCCCTTAAATTAAGAGAGAGTCTGTAGAAGATGAGTAAAGAGATAAGAAGGAGCCAGACTATTATAAAAAGATAAAAAATAACAGATGTTGGTAAGGGTGTGGAGAAAAGGGAACCCTTATACACTTCTGATGAAAATGTAAATTAGTACAACCTCTATGGAAAAGAGCATGGAGATTTTTCAAAGAACTACAAATAGAACTACTGTTTGATCCAGCAATCCCACTCCTGGGTATCTACCCAAAAGAAGATAAATCATTAGAAAGATACCTGCACCCATATGTTTATCACAGCACTGTTCACAATTGCAAAGATATGGAATCAACCTAAGCATCCATCAATGGATGATGGGATAAAGAAAACGAGGTATATGTACACAATGGAATGTTACTCAGCCATTAAAAGGAGTGGAATCTTGTCGTTTGAAGCAGCATGGGTGGCACTGGAGGCTATTATCTTAAGTAAAACATCTCAGACATAGACAAATACCTCATATTCTCACTTAGAAGTGGGAGCTAAATAATGTGTACACATAGACATAGAGTATGGAGTGACAGACAATATGGACACTCAGAAGGGTGGGGGAATGGAAGGGGGTGGATGATGGGCAATTACTTAAGGGGCACAATGTACATTATTCAGACCGTAGATACCCCCCAAACCCTGAATTCACTCTGCCATCTATGCATGTAATAAAATTATATTTGTACCCCATAAATTTATACAAATAAAAAAAGAAGGGGCCAGATTATGAAGAGTTTGTGGCTCATGTTGAGTTTAGATTTATTCATTATGAAATAGAGGGACTAAACCAATCAGGTCTGAGATTTTACAATACTGCCCTGGTATTCTGTGAAGAAAGGATTGAGGAAGGGTGAGTGAATCCATTTAGGGTTGACTGCTGAAGTCCAAACCAAAGATGATGATTATTTGCATAGAAAAGTGAATGAATTGGAGGTATGTTTTAAAGGTAGAACCAACAGGACTTGGTGATAGATTGGATTCAAGCAGTTTAGTAAGAAGTAGCTGTTTAATGATTCTCCAACTTCTGGTTTGAATATCTGGAATGAGGGAAACGTTATTTCCTGAAATAGAGGAATATATTTTAATTTATTGTTTTGTTGGGCATGGGGTAGATCAAGAGTTCAGTCTTAGACATATTGTGTTTGAGACTCCCATGAGTCGTAAGAGAGGAAATGCTAAGAAGGCTGTTAAACACGTAGGACTGAAATTGCTCATGGCTGAACTGGAACTATTGCCACCCATGTCTACTTACAACATGGTAAGAAACCTCTCCGCAAAGTAACAGAATCTTTTTCCATAACCATAAAATTACTATCTCATCCACCATATTTTCTATCCCACTTATCTTTCAGAATCATTAAAAATAATCTGCTCAATCCTGATGCCATCCAAATAGAAAGAAAGCAATATTCTATATGGAAAATTGTGTGTAGTTAACATAACCCTTCCTGGTTTAGAATGATTTTAAAAGGCTTTGAGAAGGTGTTTTAAATGTGTATTTGAATGAATTATCCAAAATGCATTAGGCCTGTTCCCCATATAATGATAGGAAAAATGTAATAGGTCTTTACAATGGACCTGACACACTTCCCATTAATATATAATCTCAAACAGATATCCTAATGTCCTCAACAGATTTTTCCCCCATTCTATAAAAGATGCTCAGATAAACTATGTAACGGGCCCACATACACCCAGCTGGTAAAATAATGGGTTTGATGACTCTAAGCTAGGACTATTTGTGTTATTATACAAGTGTAATAATTATATCCATCATTTATTGGCTATGTACAAGGCATTGTGCTAAGTGCTTTAAAAAATTTTTCTTATTTAATCCTTTTAAAAAATTCTTTGAGCTTTTATTATTAGTTCCACTTTACAGCTGAGAAAACTAATGTTTAAGGACATTAAGAAACTTCCCTCTGGAAGAGTTAGAGGTGAGATTCTTAGCCACTTCAACCTTGTGCCTCTTATAAACATGCATGAATAAACTTGAGTGGAAAGAAACTTCCTGGCATGCAAGACTATTGGTTAGAATTGAGATGTTTCTCCTCAGAAATGATCAGAGTCTAGACATTGAAGTCAAGTTTGCTAAAAAGCAAGGTTATAGATAGAAAAGAAAATGAAGGCCAAATGCGGTGGCTCATGCCTGTAATCCCAACAATTTGGGAGGCTGAGGTGGGAGGACTGCTTGAGCCAAAGAGTTCAAGACCAGCCTGGACAGCATAGAAAGACCCCATCTTGACAAAATAACAATAATAATAATTTAGTCAGGTATAGTGATGTGCACCTGTGGTTCCAGTTACTCAGGAGGGTGAGGGAGGAGGATCACTTGAGGCTGGGAGGGAAAGGCTGCAGTGGTGAGCCATGATTGTACCACTGCACTCCAGCTTGGGCAACAGAGTGAGACCCTGTCTCCAAGAATAAAAAAAAGAGAGAGAGAAAATAAATGTTGTTACCTTGGGGAAGGAGATGATGGGTCTTGATCATCCAGCTGCACCACATTGATAGAGGAAATGTGTCTATATCTCTCAGCAGAAAAACAAACAGAGCAATTGTTATATGTCCAAATATTTCTATAGATGTCTATGGATTAATAGTTTCATGACATATTAATATCAATTCTGAGAGGGAAAAAGAGGTCTGTGTGTATGCAAGGAATGCTAGTTTCAACTCTATTCAGGAGGTCTTGTTCTGCAGAACTTCACAGAACATGCTACTTTTCCTTTTAATTGTGAGGCTCCCAGAGGTTGCTGAAATGCTTTATGTAGTCTATTCTGACATTGTTTGAAAAAGGTACCCTGTTTTCTTATCACATATCATATGACTAGCGTTACTGAGGAAGCTCCTTTGGAAAATGATGAGTTAGTGAAATCAGGTTGCAATGTGTGTCCTGGTGTCACCTACTACTTTGTTATTTTCTGTTCACTCTGGGGGTAGGTAGGATGGACTAGACTTGGTTGTGCTGCTCCAATTCCTGATTTTTAAGAAAACAAATAAATGAAGAGGAAAGAGAAGGAAAATAACAGCTGTCAGAGCAATTACAGATGTGAGAAGAATGGAGGAATTTATCTCACACTGGGCATTGGCAAGAGGAATGGACAAAATCTATTCAGTCTGTGCTTGGAGACACTGAGAATCATGAGGGCAGGTCTTGGTGGGTTTATGTTGTGTCTGTTAAAACACAACCTCAGACACCACTTTAGAGATGCTGAATTTGGAATCAAGAGATCTGACTCCCACACCAGCACCAGCCTTGCTGTGGAACAGCTTTCTTCCATTGTTTAAGCTTAAGTTCCTTCCCTTGGACAAAGTGGGTGACTGTCCATATAGTCTAACAAGGAGTGGTGGGAAAAACTGATAAGATAATAGACTTGCAAGAACATGATGCAATCTAGTGAACTGTAAAGATTTAAATGTTCATGATTCTTTCTATTGTTTGATTTTTCACTACGCTTGTTCTTGGCCAGAGCCATGATAGAGAGTATGTGTAAAAGGCAAACACTCTGACACATACAGACACACACACATCAAGCAGTTTCCCGTAAACTCTACCAGGAGTTGCTATGCTTCAGTGTTGGGTTAGAAGAAGGAAAAGATAAATTGTACTTTAACCTTTGTAACTGAGCTAAAGAAAAAATAAGAGAGAAAACACACCATGTGCTGGCCCTGGATCAGGAGACCTGGATTCTAGTACTGGTATCCTGAAATTTTGTTGTGTCCTTGATCAGGTGGGTCCCCAACTGTGGGCCCAAGACCCCTGTCTATAAAATAAAGGGGTAGGTCATAGCTCTGAAATTCTGTTCAGATTATCCTTTAGCTCTCACCTGCACTCAGTGCATCTAATTAAGTAAAGACGGAGGCAGCAGGTTACATGTCATGTTGTTAGTAAGTCTGAACTTTGAGTTTGGGGGCTGGCCATCTAGATCTAAAGAAAGCCTCCAGGCACAGTGGGACTCTCAGGACTCCACCTAGACCCAGCCTCTCTCTTAGGACTTACAAAGCTCTTCCTTTGAGACAATTTCAAAATGTTTTGGTGCATTTTTCCTGGATGGCATTTTAACTTGACACTGAGATATTAGAGGTGGGGGCTGTGTAATATCTGCCATGTTATTCTCTACCCCTAGCTTCTTGTGCAAGGCCAGACATCATGTAGATGGTCAATAAATACAGATAAATAAATGCATGCATGCATGAATAAATGGATCAGTAAACCCTGTGGTACATCAATAAGTGGTCAGAAAATCATGATAATACACATCATATCTGGTATATTGAAGGTCTTTCTTTTAACTTCTAAGGTGGATTAGTTACTAGAGGATTGAAAGGACAAATGAGAATCTTACAGCATGGTCACTGCTCCTCTTGGGGCCTCAGCTCTCTTATCCTTAAAGCAAAGGCATTGGGCCAGAAGGTGTAATTCTGTGTTTCATTCATTCAACAGGCAATTATTTAGCACTGTCTGTGTAACAGGTCCTATAGTAGGCAGTGAAGATAAACCAGTCAGTAAGGGACATACTAGCCTTTCAGGAGCTTAGTCTACTTAATGTGAAAGTAAACACATAAACAAGTGATATCTAACAGTGCAAAAGCTATTATGTAAAGGGAAGCACATGGGCTAAGAGCTCCTCACTCAGCTTCACAGGTTAGTGAGAATCTCCTGAAAGAGGCAGCAACTAAGCCAAGGCAAGAAAATTTAGCCAGGGAAGGAAAGTGAGACTGCTTGCTCAGGGTGGTGGCTGAGGGTAAAATTTCAAGAAGAGAGTTTGAGCAAAGAGGCCAGAGAAGTTGACAGGGGTTAGATCATGATGATCCCAGAGTTCATTGCTGTAAGGTCTGGACTTCATCCTGAGAGTGGTGATGAGCCATTGAGTGTCTGTAAGGTAAGAGAAGATCTTCATTAGATTTGGTTTTAGGACATCTTTTTGGCTGTGTGTGTATGTCTGGATAGAAGTAAGGATGGAGGCATAGATCAAAATGGTAAACGAGGAAAAGCAATGTTGCCAAAACTGAAGTAGATGATGGCACTTGTCTATGGTGGTCAAGTGGAAATGCAGAGCACCGGGTGGGGCTGAGGGATATTAATGGGATAAAATACTTGGAAAACTAATCAAAAGGAGGAGGCAGGTGAGTGTGTTATGAAAGATGCCTGTGTTACTGGCATCACTGAAACACACAATGAATGCAGCTATAGAGGCATATTTGGGTTGGGATGAAACAAGGAGAAGGAGTTCAAAAGTGCCTTCCAGTTGCTGGCCTGTGAATCAGAGGCAGGCATACAGGGCAGTTCACCTTCAGCCACAACATTTCTTTCCTATGCAGAGATGCAGGAGCAATTGAGGCATACATATGCATGTTTGTATGCATGTGTGTGTGTGCATGTACATGCATGCATGAGTACCTGCATATGTGTGTGTGTGTGTGTGTGTGTGTGTGTGTGTGTGTGTTTGGAGCAGGCAAACAAAGACCTGTGAGACCACCTGTTTTCATCATCTGCTGATTCTCAAAGTGTAGTCCAATGTTCTAAAGAGGTCCCATGGGGTATCGGGGGTTAATCTTCCATAGAACTAATACCTATAACGTTACAAGGCTCAGGCTTTGTTTTCTACCCAGGATTAATCATTCACTCATGGGCTTTAATACAAGCCAGACACAACCTCACTGTGCAAAGCAATGCCAGCTCCCCTTCCATTCTGATGCTAGCTTTTACATTCTTGTTGTCAGAGTGGGAACTAGGTTTTTGCCCCAGTTTCAGAATCCTATGAAGTGAAAAGTTTAGAAACTTCCATCCAAGGATGTTAGTCAAAAATGCCAGGACAGCTGGACTCAGCCATTAATTTGCCATATGACTTGCGGCCATTTATTTCCCATATCTGGGCTTTAGTATCCATCCCACAATGAGAAACTTGGAGTAAGTGATATTCAAAGTCATCCAGCTCTGATTTCTACATATTTGTGTTTCCTTCTTGAGCTAAGCTCTGTGTATACGAAGTCAGTCTCCAAAAATTTTAAGCAGAGAATTTTGAGATGCTTGAACTTCTTACTGTCTGGGAATTAGACTGAAAAACTCTCAGACCAGGAAAGATTATTGAAGATCATCTATGCCAGGACTGACACTTGACATATGAGAGAATTGAGCTGAAAGAGGAAGCCACTTCTTCAGAGTCACACAGCCATTCAATGGCAGAACAGAGAATTGAACTTAGCGCTCCTAATTCCCAGTCCAGGTGTTTCTTCCCCTATGTAACAGAGTGTTGGACATTGGCCAGACCTTGGGACTCACATTTGAACTCAGCTCCCTCTGATCATAGAGAAGTCTCCCTTGTTTGCTGGGAATGAAATCTTAGAGAGCTGACATAGTAACGTCATGGCAGCTGGTGCCGGTGATGGGGTTGGTATAGGAAATGAGAGAACACATTTGGCTAAGCTCAGGGTTCATGTGACCCTCCAAGAGTCTTAATTTCAAAACAAACTCAACCTTTTAGGTTCAAGTTCTCTCTCTCATCAGAAATGTGACTTCCTGCTTCTAAGAAGCAAGGCTTACAAAAGAGCTCAGAAGACTTCGTGGACATCAAATAGCTCTTACAAAATAGCGTTTTGATGAGTTAAGTGTAAATGAATCAGAAACATAAGGATTACATTTTCCCCAAGTGCACATGGGTTTCAGAATTGAGGGGAAATGTAGTTTGCTAACTGCACGCTGGTTTTCATGGAACTCAAGCCACTCCTGGGAAGGGTAAGGGGAGAGAAGAAAGAGAAGCCCAGTCCCCAAATGGTTTTAGATGTGGTGCCAAATTCGAAAATGCTGTTGGGTTTGCCCTCTGCCAGTAATAAAATTGCTGGCCACCCAGAGAGGCCACAGGGAGGAGAAAGGAGATGGCTTTCCTTACTGGCCCCTAGTCCTCCACAACTGTGTTCAGTTAGTGCCGCTCAATCACCAGCTGTCACTGGGGCCCTCCGTTGGACTCCCTGGCCCTGACTTGGCCTCGATTTTCACACTCTGCAGCATGCCTGTTTACCTCCAACTGTATCTGGTGTTTTGGCTCCCAGAGTCCTTGGTGACTGGTCAGCTTGTCACAAGCCCCTGCTCTGTAATCAAGTGACCTGTCCATCACCAGTAGAATGTTTGGGGAAGCTGTCACACATCGCCTTTGGTTGCATTCAGGAAAAAAACAAGAGTTCTTTGTAGATCTTTTCCTCTCTCCCTTCTTTAATGCTATCCAGGTGTGGAGTTTCCTCCAAACTGTTAAATGTCTTCCCTTCAAATCTCAGTCTGACACAAATTACCAGTTAAATCTCAGGACCGCTGTTACCTCGTCCCGGGATTCGAAGCTCTGGATCTTTTATAATTTCCACATTGTCCCTCCATTCTTTCCCTTCTATTTTGTTTTATTGCACCAAGAAAGTAGAAAATCATTTCAATTGGTGGTAAAAGATGATTAAAACAAAATAACAAAGGCCTTGGCTGCAAACTGTTAGTTTTATTAAATTGGCTACTGTGTTTTAAATTAGTACCAGGGCAAATCTTTGGACAATTATATCAAAGATTGCTGGAATTAATCAGTCACATGTACACAATTGCTCCTTTCAGAGCCTTGTACAGAGTAAGGATGTCGTTGCCAGTAGGAAAAGAATGAGTTTTGCATTACCTGTGTGAGAGGGATGGACCCTAGCCCCATTGAGAAGGAATCCAAATGCCCAATGGAGTCTCAGATCTCTGTCATCTCATTTTTCATTTATTTAATCCAGACAATGGGTTGGAGCTCACAGTGACCACCAGGAGAAATAAGAAAATGGATGTTACAGGGCAAAAGGCCATTTTCCCAAAGATTTTTTCTTGGCACTGAGTCCTCAGCATGACAGCTTTGCTTTAATAAGGGGGCACCTGAAGTGGAAGGGCTGCAGTCTACTGAGTAGCTGGGTCCAGAAAGAGGGAAGATGGGTGTGGTGGGATCCCAGGCTATACAAAGACTGGAGGCAGATTCAGTATCTCAACTACCCTTAGCACATCTAAGTTCTGACTTCTACAGCTGGAGATAGGCTGGAGGCTTGGAGAATTATTGCATTCAGTTCCTTGCGTTTACAACAGTGATTCTCCGTCACTTGATGATTCAAGCCCCAACATCTCACCTCAGAGCCTCCTGCCATCTACTGCTCACTCCACCCAACCATTTTAGCGAAACGTTTCCACTTCCTTTGGTATACCGTGAATTTCAGTCTAAATGAACTGTTCTTAATCTAGAAAAATTTACCTCTGTCTTGTTTTATGCTGTTTCTACTGCTCAGAGCACTATACTTATCACTCACATTTTTTGATATGTGTGCTTTCTCAAACTATTAATTCATTCAACAGATATTGCTGAGAACTTATTCTGTGCTAGGCACTGCACCAGGCACAGAGATACAGCAAGGAAGGGCTAATATTCTCTGTCCTTGAAGCACTTAACATACACCAAGGTAGTCAGGCATTCAACATGTGATTGCAAAATGTGTGCTCACTTTTGTAATAAAGTATGGGACACTAAGGATACCTGTGGAAGGAAACCAACATAACCCAGCTATCAAAAAAAAAAGCCTCCCTAAGCCTTTCTCGTTCTTTAAACCACTATTTGGTCTTCCTCTGCTAGCACTCTCCAAACTCTACTTTGTGTTACAATCACACTCTACTTGGTTTATCCTCTCTTTTGCCCTTTGAACTGTTTGAAACCAATGGCAGTATCTTCTTCATCTTTGAGTCCTCCATTTTGACTGAGCTTCATACATTTTTTTAAAAAATTGAACAATAAAAGTGATGTCCAGAGAAAAATAGCTGATTGGGCCACAATCACAACAAAAACTAATAAAACAGTAGCCATTTTTTTCTGATACTTGGTCCACAGTCAGTATGTTAAACTATCTTTCAAAACATTTCTTCCCAAGGGCATACAATACTTTCTGTCTCAGATCCTTACCAACCACCCCTCACCACCAATAAAAAGTGAGACCAAAGTACCTCTCAGTCAACAGAAATAAAAGGTTTCCTTAAAAATTCAGAGTAATACTCAGACAAAATTGGAATTAAGGCATACATAGTCATCACTCAGTGGAAAAAACTGTGTGTATATAACTTTAATATGTGAATATTAAGAAATAAATTCTTTTGAGAAGACTAATCACAGCTCCAACGCCATTCAGTAAAGAAGGACATTTTGTAAGTTTTAGTTATTGTTAAATAAAATAGAATATAAAAATATCTAGCATACTACCAAAATTTTCTAGGTACTCAATTTATTCCATCCTACAGGGAATATTTGGTCTCTTTGCCTTCAGGTACTGCCTTTTCAACTTTCCTTCCAAACTCATTATCTATACTGCTACCTAAATGGTCTTCCACCAAACAAGTATGATGATGTCATTTGCTGGGAAAGCCAGTCCTTTCCTCTTTCTCCTGATGACTTCTGACTTTCTCCAGTCAAGCCAGTATACCTCCTTGGGAAATTTTCTCACTCCCTCCCCATCATCAAGGGTAAGAAACCAACCCTCTGTGCTCCTACAGCCCCTACATTTTTTAGGCTGTTTTAAAGCCTCAATTTTAATGTTGTCTCTTCCTTGCCATCCAATGAGCATCCTAAAAGCAGGACCATAATGTGTTCATCTTTGCATCCCAGAAACCAGTGAAGGCTATTTCGTTGGATAAGTGTAAGCATACCTAAAACAATACAAATATATTTATTCAGAAATTTTAAAAAATAATCAAACCATAAATATAATCAGCTAGCATTAAGCTACTATCTGGGTTTACTTGTCAGTCTTTCTTCATGAACACTAAATATGAAATGATATTACAAATTTGTGATCTTATATTTATACAAAATAATGTGTGTATGTGTGTTTACACGTAGAAAGATACTGAAAGGGCCGGGCGCGGTGGCTCACACCTGTAATCCCAGCACTTTGGGAGGCCAGGGTGGGCGGATCACAAGGTCAGGAGATCGAGACCATCCCGGCTAATACGGTGAAACCCCATCTCTACTAAAAATACAAAAAATTAGCCGGGCGTGGTGGTGGGCGCCTGTAATCCCAGCTACTCAGGAAGCTGAGGCAGGAGAATGGCGTGAACCTGGGAGGCGGAGCTTGCAGTGAGCCAAGACTGCACCACTGCACTCCAGCCTGGGTGACAGAGCAAGACTCCGTCTCAAAAAAAAAAAAAAAAAAAAAGAGAGAAAGAAAGACACTGAAAGGATCCTGACCAAAACGTTCCTGGTAGCTGTCTCAGGATAATGGAATTTGAGATTATTCTACTTTAATTCTTTCATATAGCCTTCTAATTTGCTATAATAAGCATGGATGATTTTTATTTTGGGGAGAAAAAAGCAATTGAGATTATATACTGTCACTTCCCAGTCTTTTTTTAAAAGTCAGCTTCCATTCTAAAGATATGTTTGCGTTGAAACGATTGTTCTCTACCTTTCTACATTTAAAAAATATATAATATAATATACTCTGAGTTTCACCTTCCTAAAATACTTTAGAACCATAAAGGGAAGCTTGTTTTATCTTCAAATAGTTTTTGTGGTCTGTATTTTACTGGATATTACTATATGGCTCACTAGGGTGTGCCCATCCAAAAAGTCAGCTCAATGTCTTGGAAAGATAAAGGGTTCTAGAGTCAAACAGCATGGTTTAAATCTTGTTTTATAATTGTTACATCTCTGACATTGAGCAGATGACTGAACTACATTGAATCGCAACTAAAAAATTCAAATAATTTCTGCCTTTCAGGTTTATATTAGAAATAGTATGGAAAATTTGGTAAAGTAACTAAACTAAAAACTTTTCCAATATGAGCATCCATTGGATATTCTAGATAAAATATTACAGATATAACTAGCATCCTTTAAAATGCCTGATTGAGATTAGAAAAACAGAAAAGGATATTTCCAGGGGCAAGACATGCAAGAAATAAAATAGAACTGGGAACTAAACAGGTAAACCCTGGATCTAAATTTGTGGTTGGTATAGTTTGGATAAGGGAGAGCCATCAGTTTTGGCAATTGAGTGGCTTGAATATTCTTGTTCACCCCAGGAGAGATGTGGCTTTGCAACTCTGCAAGGTAGTGTATTGGGACTAACACTTTTAAAATAAGGATTTTAAATGAGATTTTCAGGACCCCTGAAACGACCCCTGAAAATCTACATGTTTGGTGAAAGGGTGTACTAGGGAAAAAATATGTATATGCATATGTCTAGCTACCTACCTTAATACCATGATAATTAACATGATTTGATTTAACTGTCATCTTACTATCTTTGCCTAGGATCTAAGTGGAAATTTATAACCATTGTCTTATACCTCAAAAGACTTGATGTTTGAATTTATACTGCTCAGTATGGTGTGAAAATGCCTGAGCTGAAAAATTAAGTGAAAAAAAAAAAAAGATTCCAGGTTAGTGATGTTGCAGGGATACCTAGAAATTAACGTAAAATCGCTCTGAGGGAGGACATGGACTTGACCCAGGGAGCACATGATTCCCACAGATTAAAACCCACTGAATCTGAAAATTAAAAACATGAAAAAAGTAAACAAGGCATCAAAATAAGGGTCAGTAAACAACCTAAGGGCTTTTTACTAAATTTTGACTTTGGTGAGAAGTATACAAATTAGTATTTTAGAATAAACAGAATGCAATAACAACAAAAAATAAATAAAACTAGAAAGTACAATTTTCACAGTTAAGATGAACAAAGAAGAGACAAATAATGGAAATTTAAAAATTCGATAAATCCAAGTGAAGGGAAGAAAGGAGGAAAGGAATAAATAAGCAAGGAAAAAATGGAAACATAAGTCATTATACTAATCAGATTAAAGCCAATTGGATGAAGATAGAGCTTCTCTAGTCAGATTTAACTCAAGAGTTTTGCTGAAAGGTTAAAGGTAAAGGTGGGGACAATATTTACCAGGTAAATGCTAACTAAATAAATTAATATAGTTTTCAGACTAAGGAAACATTTGGCAAATATGTTACTGTGATTTAAAAAAAGAAGTCACCACATAATGATAAAAGGAAGATATTATGATTTACAACCTGAATTTATGAAATAATATGACCTGAAAATATATAAGTCAATGACTTTTACCTAAAAAAAGATAAATGCATGACATTGTGATATTTTAACACATTTTTCTCAATAATTTATAGATCAAGCAAACTAAAATATAGTAATAATCTAGAAGATCTTGAACAACACAAAAAAGTTTGAGCTGATAAAAATGTATAGAACCCTGATACAGAACTAAATTATGAATATTTCCTTCTTGAATAGAGATGTAGACTATTTTTTAAAGTTTTTTTTTTACCATGTACTAGGCCACAAAACAAATTTAAACAAATATCAAAGTATCAGTATCAGATAGAACATAAGCTCTGTCCACAATGCAGCACATTAACAAACAAAACACAAATAAACAAATGAAAAAGGTAAAACTTTTCAATCAATGGAATTTCTAACAAGCGAAAATCTTATATATTTGCCAACAGAATTCAGCAATGTATTAAAAACCACATATAATGTTAAAGAGGTGACTTTAATATTAGGTGGTCTATTAATGTAATTCACAATATTTGTGAATTAAATAATTTTTAAAACAGGAATTTTTACTAGATGTAGTTTTTAAAACCCTGTAAAATCAGATTCCTTCATGATGAAAAAATTATAGTAAACTGGGAATAAGTACAATGTAAAAAGTTTTTTGATCACAGGGTCATCTTCAGAATGCCCAGTTTTGCCATTGGTCTCCTACCTAGCGCAGCTGGACAAAAAATAAAAACAAAAGGCTGGGCACGGTGGCTCAAGCCTGTAATCCCAGTGCTTTGGGAGGCCAAGGCGGGTGGATCATGAGGTCAGGAGATCGAGACCATCCTGGCTAGAGACGGTGAAACCCCGTCTCTATTAAAAATACAAAAAAATTAGTGGGGCATGGTGGCGGGCGCCTGTAGTCCCAGCTACTCGGGAGGCTGAGGCAGGAGAATGGCGTGAACCCCAGACGCGGAGCTTGCAGTGAGCCGAGATCGCGCCACTGCACTCCAGCCTGGGCGACAGAGCGAGACTCCGTCTCAAAAAACAAAAAAAGTCTGAGGATTGAAAAGGAAACGACAAAACTAACATTATTCTTCATCTACTGGAAACAATATAGAAAAATTACTAAGAATCAACAATTACTAGAACAAATAAAACAGTCTATGAGGACTTCTAAATATAATATAAATTTATATAAAACTCAATTATTTTTATTATCCCCAAACTATTAGAATACAAATAAACCTACACGTAATTATGTGTATGTGTGTGTGTGTGTAAATAGCTAGATAAAAAGCTACTATTTACTGTAGGACTGACACCTATAAAATGCTTAGAGTAAGGCATATATTGCTAATAAAAAATCATCACCATTTTTATAATGAAAGCTTTAAAACTTTACTGAAACTATAAAAGAAGACCTAAATAAGTAAAAAGATAAACTGTGTGCATAAATGGGGGAAGACACAGTATCATAAAAATGCCCTTTCTCCTCAAATACACTGATACATTCAATGAAATTGGAATCAAAATCCCAACAGGCATTTGTAAGGAGAAAGCTTCACATGGAATTTCACATGGAAGAGCAAGGGGCCCTTTTGAAAAGGAAAACTATAGAATGAACTTATAATGTAAATCAAGACTTTTATGTTGCTGTGGAAATCGCTATAGACTGCTACCGATAAAACAGTAGATAAAAAATAGACCAATGAGGCTGGGTGGCATGGCTCATGCCTGTAATCCCAGCACTTTGAGAGGCCAAGGCAGGCAGATCGCCTGAGGTTGGGAGTTTGATACCAGCCTGACGAACATGGAGAAACCCTGTCTCTATTAAAAATACAAAATTAGCCAGGCGTGGTGGCGCATGCCTGTAATCCCAGCTACTGGGAAGGCTGAGGCAGGAGAATCCCTTGAACCCGGGAGGCGGAGGTTGAGGTGAGCCGAGATCGCACCATTGCACTCCAGCCTGGGCAACAAGAGCAAAAATAGACCGATGAAACAAGATAACCCCGAAAAAAAAAATTATGAAAGTACTGAAATGATATATGGCAAAGGCAGTATTACAATTCAGTAGTGAAAGGATTAACTGTTATCTTAAAGAGATTAACTAGTGCTGGACAAATAATTTTAATACATATTTGGGGGGAAAAACAATCCTTATTTCACATCATTTAAAAAACTATACTGTGGGCCAGACATGGTGGCTTACGCCTGTAATCCCAACACTTTGGGAGGCCAAGGCAGGTGGATCACCTGAGGTCAGGGGTTCGAAAGCAGCCTGGCCAACATGGTAAAACCCCATCTCTACTAAAAATATAAAATTCGCCAGGCATGGTGGCACATGCCTGTAATCCCAGCTACTTGGGAGGCTGAGGCAGGGGAATTGCTTGAACATGGGAGACAGAGGTTGCAGTAAGCCAAGATTGCTCCACTGCACTCCAGCCTGGACAACAATAATGAAACTCCGTCTAAAAAATAATAATAGTAAATAATAATAATAATAATAAAAACCTATATTGTAGGTGCTTGAAACCATATAGGTAACAAACAAAACCTTAAAATTATTGAAAGGAAATAAAAGAGACTATTTTATGATCTTAGATTAAAGGAATGTTTATTCAACAACATACGAAAAACACAAATCATGAAGGATACAAAATTCTCTTATCAACAAAGCAGCATAAACATAATGAAAAATTAGGAGTCATAGACCATGAAATGGTATTTACAATGGCTTTAATTATAAAGAATTAATATCCAGTATATGTAAATATACTTATGTATTAATATAGAAAAACAAAACTTAATTTAAAATAGGCAAAAAGATGAACAAACAATATGCATGACTAGAAACCTACTTGATCCACAAACATGTGAAAAGATACTCAGGCTTGTTAGTAATCAGGGAAAGGCAAAATAAAACAATAATTAAGTATCATTTAGTAACCATCAGATTGACCAAAAAAAATTACATATTTGGCAGAATCAAGTGCTGACAAGGACCAGCACTTTGGGAATGGGAAGCCTTTGTGCAGATGTGTTAATTGATACAATCATTTTGGTAAATACTTTGGCAATATCTAATAGTTGAAGATGCAATTATCTTAACCTAATGATACCATTTTAGCCTTTTTTCCCTCAGAAAACTCTTGCTATGTGCACAGAGGAAAAGAACACAAATATTTCAAGTAACATTGTAAATAATAAACACAGTGATTAAATAACAATAATAGCAATAATAAAAGAACCAACCTAGGTATCTATCAAGAAAAGAATGGCCAAATAAATTATGATATATTCATATGGTAAAATATTTATGTTAGTGAAAATAAATACGCCAGATCTACTTGTAGCAATATGTGTGATCTCAAACAATGCTAAGGAAAAAAGAAAAACAGCCAGCTACAAAATAAGTATAGTATTGAAACATCTATGAAATTTAAAATATGTAAAACAATACACTGTGCAAAAAGTGTAAAAATGTGCATGGGAAGGAAATGAGATACAGGAGGAGCATACAGGTGGGTTTAAACTTGATCAGTATTTATTCCTTTCACACCAAAAACAAAAGATATGAAGAAAATATGGCACAATGTTATAATTTGACAAAGCTGTATAGTAAGCCTATGAAAATTTGTTATAGTATAGTCTGTACTTTTCTATATAAGTGAAGTATTTTCTAATTAAAACAATAATAATAGCATGTATAGTCTTTGGCACATCATCTCAGGCTCAAAAAGTGAATGTTTCCTTCCCTTCCCATTCTTGGCTGGAGGGTTATATACAAAGTGCCCAGACATTACCCTCTGGTTCTTAGCTCAAGGCTACACTGGAATACTTGGACTCTTCCTGAGCCAAAGTCATCCTAGGTGGTCCCATCTTACATCTTCTAACTCAGACAATCTGGGTGGTAGGTCCAGACCTACACACGTTCTCAGTGCAGAATTTTAAATGCTGAAGCAGTTTCTAGCCTATGGAAAAGCTCAAGACATAAGGATACAACACAACACTCCTCCTTAAATTAGACCCATGGATTGCAGAACTAATCATCACATCCTTCCCAGATTCTTCTTTCATAGTTAAAAAAAAAATGGGTGGACAGAAAGAGGAAATGGCTTGTCCATGGTCAATGAGTCAACGGTAGTATTTCATAGGGAAATACTATGAAATTAATACAGAAAAACAAAGATTTGGAAGTCATGAAACACAAATTCCAAATCTTTCAACTGGTCTTTGTATGTAAGGTCTTTGTGATCCAAAACAAAGTCTTTTGATTTCTATTCTGCTGTACTTTGAGAAAGCTTGGGGCTTCTGTCTTTGGAAAGCACTGTCTTGGAATGGAGTTAGACAGAACTGGTTCAAATCCCTACTCCATGACAAAAATATTGTGACTATCGGCAAGTAGCTTAATCTTCCTAAGTGTTAGTTTCCTCATCTCACAAGGAGGATAATTATTCGAGGGATTGTTCTTTTGGTTGAGACTGTAAATACAAAATATGATACGTAGTGCGTAGCATATAATAAGTAGGCAACACATAGAAACTATGATAGCTGTTTTTATTCCAGAGGATGAAGTTTTAAAGAAATATAACACAGTTTAGTTATAGAGACTATTTGAAGAGATAGACAATGATAAACGAATGCTATGATATAGAAACAATAGGATCAATAATGAGTATTTAAGGAGCTCAGAGAGAGTTTTCTGGAAGAAGCAAAATGTGATGTTTCCATAGGGTAATGAGCCTGTCTCTCCCCTTCCTCCTATATGACTTTTTTGTTTCTTATTTGACCTTCACAGTGGTATGGGACAAGAATCAAACATCCTAATTAAAAGACAGAAAAACAGACCCCCGCAAAATCACATGACTTGTCTACAGATTTCAGATAGGTTTTAATTGACCTATCATATTAACTACATACCAATAAACTTTAATTTATGCATTTTAAATGCATATTTAAGCTTAAGTCATAAGGTGCTTACCCTCCTTATGTATATATTAATATTTTAGATAATGATTTCACAACCTGTAATTAAATTTTAGTGTAAGTTGTGCTCTAAATTCGATACACATTTACCATCAGTATGACTTTCTGAGGCAGAATACTGAGATCATATCAACCAGAAATGCCAGCATTTTTGTTTCTAATTATCAGAAATACAACCCTATGGCACATATGCCATTTGCGATATGTGTTAAAGAATGACGGTTAAATGTAGAAAAAAGTGTTTTGTTTTGTTTTGTTTTGTTTAAAAAAAAAATGCATGAGGGCCAGGCACAGTGGCTCATGCCTGTAATCCCAGCACTTTGGGAGGCCGAGTGAGGAGGCTCACTGGATCCCAGGTGTTCTAAACCAGCCTGCGCAACCTGATTAGACCCCATCTCTACAAAATATATTTTAAAAATTAGCCACTGTGGTGGTGCATGCCTGTAGTCCCAGCTACTCGGGAGGCTGAGGTGGGAGGATTGGTTGAGCCAGCGAGTTTGAGGCTACAGTGAGAGCTGTGACTTCTGCCTGGGTGACAGAGCAAGACTGTCTTAAAAAAAAAAAAAAAATCGCAAAGATTCCACAGAACAACCCTTCAAAATAGACAAACAACTTCATCACATTTAAATATATTAGCTACAAACATAAAATATTCAGATGCAGACTTTATGATTTACTACTACGGATGGTTGAAGTTTAAAAAGAAAAAACTTAAAATGGCATTCAGAATTTGATGTGAGAAATCAGAAGTAGCCAAAATAATCACATCTCAGGTGATCTGCTAAAATTTTAGTTCCAAAGAAAGAGTAAATTGGAAGTTTCAGCTTGGTAGCAAGCTGCTGTCGCTGCACTAAATGAAAAGATTTTGAGCTGGACAGTGGCTCTAAATTTAAGAATATTCTGACGATGTTGGCAAGACTGGAAACGGGATATGCTTGAAGCAGGACATTAAGCCAGAGGCTGCTTTGGCCGTCAAGATTGACATATGGGCCTCAGGAGAGCTGAAGAAAGGATGACGTGGAAACTCCTGGGTGGGGAGAATTGAGAGGGCTTAGGGTCCATCTGAATGTAGGAGGCACAGGAGGGGAAGGAGTTCAAGTGATAGCATAAGGCTTTCCAGATGGTTTTAGGAGCAGCTGAAAGGAACAACTTGACAAAAATGTCCTACTTTTAGACCAACAATGAAATAGGTTCTAACCTCCAGCAAAGCCTTCAGAAGCCACTAGCTTATCCTTCTGAAAGAAATCTATTCTACCTAGGTTCTTGAGAAAAGAGCCCTCATTTAACATTAACTCTGACTTAAACTTGGGTAAAATATAGTTTTATCATAGGAATTTTTCCGTGGAAAACATAATCTTTTTAGTAACTGCTGTACCCATCCCACTGTCCCCACCTTTTAACTTAAGGGAGTGACTTGGGTTTTTATTTTTCAATCTGAAAACTTGGGATAACAACACCTTCCTCAAAGAGCTGCTTAAGCTTCTGGAAAACAATGAAATATGAACCACACACACACAGCTAGAAGAAGGAAGGTTATTAAGGTTTCTGTACTAATCAAATATGATGTTAGTGGATAAGAAGGAGGTCGGTGGGTAGACGTTACAGGGACACAGATTTCGCCCCAGGGTAAAGAGAAACCTTCTGGGATCCAGAATTTTCAGAAGCTGAAATGGGTCACCTGGAAAGAGAGCAAGCTGCCAGGCACTGGGGGTGTTCCAGCCAAGTGAAGTAGTAGAAAAGATATTTTCATCAAGCCACGGCACACATGGTAGATGATGGCTGCATCTTCACGGGTTTGCCTCACCAAGGTTACATTACTTATTTGTCTCTCCATCTCTTCTAGTAAGGGGACCATAGCATAAATTCAGTGGACAGGAATGTTGATAATTAACCATTAATTGTAATGGATTAACATTTATTAAATGTTCGTCATAGGCTGGGCCCATATGTGCTTTATAATTGTTCTCATGCTTCATCTGCAGATAAATGCTGTGAAGCCAGGTTTATGACTGATTTGAAATAGGCTCAGAAAGGTAAAACACCGGCCCATGACTTCCTGGCTAATAAGTGAGGCAGCCAGGACAGAAACACATGTTTTCTTGTCTCTGTGTTGATATTTATTGAGGAAAAGGAGGAGGAAGAGACGCGACGAGAGGACAAAGTGGAGAGAGGAGCAAAACATTCACAAATATTAGCCAACCACCTTAAATATCATCAGCCGCAAATCACTCGTGACACATGCCAGAAGTGAAAAACACAATGTAGAGAAGTACTTTTCATACTCACCCTTTTCCAGAGAACTACCCCCATCTACTTAGACAATGACTGGATAGCCCCAGTGGACTGGGATGTAGTCTGAAGAAAATTTCTTATTTTATATCACAATGTGGCCGTTTAAAAAATATAAAGCATGCCTCTGTATTTTAGAAAAAAATGAACGCATAATACAAGGCATGTCATATTTATCATGTAACTTTGTGTATCCCCTGGGATTGTTACTTTTTTCTCCACCCCACTCCAGTTTTAGAATTATCACCAGGTGAAGTATATGCTCATTAGTCTAGATGTGGATAAAGTAGCCAATAAGCTAAATGAAATCATAAACCCTATAATTCTATCAACAAATTAGGATTCGAGGTTTACAAAACAACCATCACTCATGCATAAAAATCTCTCAAGATATTGGTATGTCCACCTATTTCATCTTCATTGGCAGAGCACTAAATCTCCAGGGATTTTTGGTCTACCCACAATATTAGCAGTTCCAGTGCTGCTAAAACAAACTCCCTTTGGGGTAATACATCCAACATTCTCAGGAAAGTTGTGTTCTTTCCCAGAGTCCTTCAATGCTCATAAACTCCAGCTCATTATTGTGTTGAGAGTCTGAAGACATTCTCTGTCCATTGCCCCTGCACCTGTTATCTTGTTGGCCTTAACCAAACAGCCCAAGTCCTAACAGCAGCTGAAATAACAGACGGGCAGGAGAACTTGAGATTTTTTGACATCATCCTTTTGTTTATGAAATCCCCCCCAATGCTGGAATCTGACAGGAATTCTCTTCATTATCATTTTGTGTTTTTTCCCATGGTACTTTGTTGTTATTAAAAAATTATTACTAAAAATAATTGATGCAGAGGTAGATGAAAGATAGGAATAACATCTTCATTTGAAAATTGTCAAAAAGGACATAGGGAGGGGGATGTGGTCGTGTGGAATTGACATAAACATATATTTGCCTTGGAGGATAATTGGCAGTAGCTGTGTTCATTTGGTGGTGTGTTTGTGAGGAAGCCCAAGCAGGTACTAGGAGGTCTTTAGGTCAGAGGAGAGATGCAGTCTAGGCAAGTTGGAAATCTGGCAGGAAGCAGTCCTTGGAATTGCGATTCCCAGGACATGACCCAACTTTGCAAGGGGTGAGGTTATTAAAACAGACCTAAAATAGGGATAAGATAGGCAGAATATAGGATATCACTTAATAGCATATGATTGTAAGCAAGTTGCTTTACCTTCCTATGCCTCAGATTCACCATCTGTAAAATCAACATGTAAATACTAGCAGCCATGTAGGGATGTTTTGTTTCTCAAATAAGAAATTCATGAAAAGTGTTTAGCCTAAGGCCCTATATTCTATTAATGGATGCTGCTATTATTATTATTATTTTGTCGAGAGTGAAAGAAATAGGGAGAAGCAAGTGGCAGGGAGGCAGAGAGCCACTGTACACACAGCATCAGAAAAGGGTTTGCTCACGTGTAATGGAGTTTCTGCTCAGGTCTTAAAATGAGGAAACATGATCAGATAATGCCCTAAGAATCTGATGTGGTGCTTTCCCACCTCTGTGCTTTTGTTTATATTTATTTTTCCTGGATGGCTTCCTCACAAACGTCTTCATTTTTAGTCATTTGCCATCTGATACTTTTCCAACAGGGTTGCTGTATAGGTTAAATTAAAGAAAAAAACAACACCTAGTAAGTACATAGTTATCAGTCAATTGATGCTGGTTATTACTGTACATTTTAGTGTAGTCCATTATACTTAGCTAACTGATGTAGCCATAGTGGACAATAGAAAGTATTGGATAGCTAAATGTGCATTTGATTTCAAAAATGAGCAAGACTGATAGAACCTACTCCAGGGGATCAATTTTCCATTCTCTCTTTGTCTGCCCAGTATTGTAATTGTATAATTATGTCTTCTTTGTATTTTCCAGGGATCTAAATCTTGGCAGTGTGTACCAGTATTGGGTCATAACTATTTCAGGAACTGAAGAGAGTGAGCCATCACCTGCTGTCACATACATCCATGGAAGTGGGTACTGTGGCGATGGCATTATACAAAAGTAAGTAGATCTAATTAAAGAAAGAAGAGGAGGGATGCTGGTTAGGTCAAGAGATGGTTAGGGTGCTGAACAGAAGAGCTTATGACATATTCTTCAGTGCATGAGCTGTGAGCTACTAGTGGTCCCCAGCAGTCTCTGGATTGGTCTCCAAACAATTTGCTGAACTCAGAAGAAAAGCAATGACTCTTTTTGAACACGTACATTTTGCGACTATGTAATACAATATATGATTTAGACAGAACTACCCTTATGTACCTACTACCATTTGCTCTTGCTCTCAGTTGCTTTATGTGTGCTACAAGGATTCCATTAGATTTTTCCCTCACAGTCACAGCGTACATTCAGTTAACAGGACACAGTTCATCTAGGTTAAAACACTTTTAAGTTCTTTGCTGGTTACCATTCACATTTATGAAAACTGCATATTTATTTGTTATCTCTATTGTATCATATTATACAACAATTTACAAAATGGGTCAAAGGCTTATAAAAACAGTGGAGTATTTTAACTCACTACAATGTTTAAACCATAAATAATAAACAGTGCTCTGGAGTGAATATTGAATGTGAATATGAGTACACTGAGGCAAATGAAGCATCATTTGTGGGTCCAATCAGTAAGTGTGGATTTTATCAGATTATCAACCCATTCATCTTCCTGTTCTCAGGACAAGATGCTATGCAACTGGCAAACAGGGGTGAGGAGCCACCAAGACTTTTGCATTGTTTAAAACTCAATAAATAAACTTTTAAGTGCTTTTCCTCCAGAATAAGAAAAAAAGTTTTCTAGTACAAAATAGAGAATTTTGTCTCTAGAGGTGGAAAAGAGACCAATAATTATTCAAAATTAAATCTCTTATTGCTAAAATTATGTTCCTCATTGCTAAAATGTTTATTTGCAAGTCACACTATTGCTAAGAGACTTTTTAAACTATTGACAGATTTAATGATAAACATTACATGTGGAGAAGGCAAAACAAGCTATTGGCAAAATTCCTTCATTAAATAGCACTGTTGGGTGTCACATAATATCTGTGCAATATGGAATTGCAATTACTATTTCTATAAGGGGAGGGGTGGTATGAAAAAAGAATTTGCTTCACAGTTGGATGAAACCACTGATGTGTAGAACATGAATCAACTCGTAGGAGTAGTACATATATGAAAGAGACACATTAGATGACTCTTTCTTTCTGTTCATCACTAACACTAAGCTAGAGGGGAAGAACAATTTAATTTGTTTCTGATGATTTTGTGGTATGGAATGTAAACTGGAAACCTCTGCTTTAGGATGAAAGGACCAGCTAGGAATACAGCAAGGATGATGCAGTAATGCAAGTGAAAAGAGCTGGCATATAAATACTCATCCACATAGACATCAGTTATTTGCCAGCAGTGTTCTTTCTGAACATGATTTAACATTAAAGGCAATAGAAATATTGCAAACATGATCAGATGATTGGTAAATTATATCTTTTAAACTTGCTGTGTAACAAGATAGTAGCATGTACAAGATTCTGTTCCTCTTTGCTCCCCACTCCACAACTAAAGTTTGCCAACTGTTAATGAAAAGATACCAACTCAAGTTTTTAAAATAAGAAATGGCGGCCGGGTGCGGTGGCTCACGCCTGTAATCCCAGCACTTTGGGAGGCCGAGGCGGGTGGATCATGAGGTCAGGAGATCGAGACCATCCTGGCTAACAAGGTGAAACCCCGTCTCTACTAAAAAAATACAAAAAATTAGCCGGGCGCGGTGGCGGGCGCCTGTAGTCCCAGCTACTCGGGAGGCTGAGGCAGAAGAATGGCGTGAACCCGGGAAGCGGAGCTTGCAGTGAGCCGAGATTGCGCCACTGCAGTCTGCAGTCCGGCCTGGGCGACAGAGCGAGACTCCGTCTCAAAAAAAAAAAAAAAAAAAAAAAAAAAAGAAATGGCATTAAAAAAATATTGGCACTGATGAGGCAAGTAATTATTTGCATAATCTCAAGTGGCTTTCTGAAGCAGGAACATAGCAGGAACATATATGTATATTTATCTATATATTTCCGGATCATATGTTTATTTCTTAAATGTCCTACACCTAAAATTTTATATCTGAATTGTCAAAATGTTTAAGATTGAAGAGATTAGTGTAAGGGTTTATAACTGTTGCATTATGGTGCAAATCAGCTGATTGCCAAGAATTTGACTCCTCAAGCACAGAATAGAAAGCTCCTCACTTGTTTGAGCTATTTAACATACAATGCTGTATGTATTTAAGATCCACATTCATATGAAGCAACAGAACAAGAAGATACAGTTTCCAATGCAGTAAAATTGGGGAAAGGGAAACTTCTCACTGTTCTCTCCCACATTAATACATCAAATTCCAGCTTTTGATAAAGTTGCTGTCTGATGGAACATTGAACAACTAAACAGAGGACTCTCCATGGAGAAAGTACCCCATCATTTGTGGGTCCAAGATTGAACTTCATATCTAGACTATCCAGAAAACATTTGCAGTCACTGGTGATAACTCATAATTGTGATTTGGGAATTTCTAATTTAGCCCAATTTTTTTTTTAAGTCATCAGATTTGGAGCCTCATCTACAGCTCATCTCAGCTCATGGTGGAAACAGATATAGATGAATTGGTTAAACACTGCAAATGATATCATTCTTGCTGATCTAAAACTATTAGTATCATAATTATTATTAATTTTAAATAGTATACTTAATACAGTTTTTTTTTAGTATTTTTACCTAGAATTAGTATCTTTCATAAACATCAAACACATGTTCAGTTACCTGTAGATATCAAATATTTGTTGATATACTTTGTAGAAAACTAAATTTAGCTTATGGATGTTTCCCTAAGTAGGGGTGGGGGGGTAGGGGGGAAGGAAAACTTTGGGGAAAAGAAGGGATATCATCTTAGCTAATACGATTTTTCATGGAATGATGCAAGTTAATTTGCTCTGTCTGTAAAATAATTTATGAAGAAATATGGATAGACTCAGCACTCAGTGAGGCCCTTAATGGATGAGTGCTGTCTTAAATGATCCATAGCAACAGGTTCTACATTTGATAGATCGGGTAAAGGTGAAGGCAATGGATGAACGTTTTGATAATGACAATAATATTTATACACACTTCTTGAGTCTCTACTGTGCATGAAGCACTGTGCTACATTATTGTCTCCTTGAGTTCTCCCACCCAACAGCCATGTGAGATAGGTCTTATTATAATACTTTACGGATAAACAATGAATACACAAAGAGATTACAGAGGTTTTCTCAAGCTTCCACATCTGGTAAGATGTAGAACCAATACATGAACAGAGGGCCCAGATTCTCATCTGGATTCCCCATTGCATTGTTGTGTGATGTGACAACTCTGCAAAACTAACAAGTAAAGGAGTGGCTGCATGCTGTCTGTTATATCCTAGGCACTGTGCCAGAAACTGGGGTGCTAGGATGATGAAGACTCTGTCACTTCCTTTGGCAAATTACAGCCTCTTATAAGGGGCTCTCAAGTAACAGGCAAAGGCAGTCAGTTTGACAAGTGCTGTGATAGATGGAGCAAGATGTCTGTGGACACAGAGAAAGATGGCCACCCGCTCCAGCCCCAGAGGTCAAATAAGGTTTCGCAGAACTTCTTTATCTAATGATAGATCTGTCATGCCTAGAAGATATTTGTAGTGACCCGAATATTTTGTTTAAACCAGTAGAACACTGTTTGGGTGGCGATGGAAGGGAGGTTGAAAGTAAGCTTTGTGGCTTAGGGAACCAGCCCAGGTATTTTTTTGTTTTTAAAGTCTTTTCCAAAACAACCTATGCATTAGCTTAGAAGCACAAGGTCATCGGCAATTTCCAGCAAGCAAGACCCACTGCCAGACAATGCTGAGACCAGCTAAAAATACAAACTTCTTCTTTGCTCATAGGTGTGCAGACAGGAGAGGACTTGGGTGGCTCCTTGGAGATCAATTCAATGCCCTAGCCATCTTAAGGATTGATTGCAAGGCATTATCCTGCTACTCTGACACCTCTTAAAAGCAACAAACATTGCCCAGTGTTAATTGCCTGGGTGAAAGGAAAAGTCTAAGGCCTCTTCCATGCTGTGACAGGTCCCAGCTGGTCTCTGGGGAGGGAGGGACAGCTGTCACACACTCTGCAGAGACCTCCCAACGCAAAGTGGGAATGGGGACTGTGATTCCTTGAGCATCTTCTATGTGTCACCCACTGTGCCAACCACTTTAAGCTACTCAGAGGCATAGGACTAATTATCTCCATTTTAGCACATGAGAAAACTGAAGTTCAGCATCCACAGGAGCACTGTTCAATGGATTTTTCTGCAATGATGGAAATGTGTTCTGTGCTGTCCATTACAGTAGCCACTAGCTACATGTGGTTCCTGAATACTTGAAATGTGGCTACTATGACTGAGGATTGGAATTTTAATTATAATTCATTTCAATTAATTTAAATGTAAATCATCACAGAAATATCAGATCAAGAGGTCAAGTGACTTTGTCAAGATTATACAGTTAGTTTGAGACATGGGGTTCTAAACCCAAGTGTTTTGTTTTTTAAAGGATGACCGTTTTCCAGAAAGCAGTAACCCATCCAGACTTTCAGGTGTTGTTCCTCCTTCTCATCACCTAAGCCCAATTCAAAGATCATTGCTCATTTTCTGCCCATCCCAACCCTTTGCAAAATCATCCTTAGGTGGTGGAAATAATTCCAACAAAAACAAAGGGGGCATTAGTATTTCATAACAGTGTAGTCTCGCAGCCCTTGGAGTTCTTGACACCAACAAATGACACACCCGATGGAGAAAGCAAAACTTTCCAATGGAAGGATGACTAAACTTGAATGCATGAATGAAAAAAAAAAAGTTACCTTTAAGTATATTGGGGGAATAAGAAGGATATCAAGGCAGGGAGTGGTGAAGGACCAGAATCTCTACATTTTCCTTCAAATATGCTTTTTTTAAGATCAGAGACAAGGAAATGTCTGTGAGACTTCCTAGACACTGTGGGAGCAAGACCATTTATTTGTTCATTAGTTCTTCCATGTCTTACTCCCATCTGACTTAACTGACTTGAGATCTCAGAGAATGAGTTGGAATCAGGACTTCTACTTTGTCATCAGAAACACAAAGCAAGGCAAATGTGAAAGTATCTTATAAATCCATACCTTTTAGAAATCTCATTTTGAAGATGAAGAAGCAGAGACTCAGACAGAGAAAGGGATTTGTGCAAGGTCTCACTGAAGGTTCATGGCCCAGGGAGGGACTTTTCCATGTCCAGCCATGGTTTTAAGACTAAATTGGCAAATTTCTCTTCCATATCTGCTCTGCAGAGACCAAGGTGAACAATGCGACGACATGAATAAGATCAATGGTGATGGCTGCTCCCTTTTCTGCCGACAAGAAGTCTCCTTCAATTGTATTGGTACGTCTTTTTCATTTCTTGTGGCCTTCATGAAGAAATGAACGGTGCAGAATGGTTGGTCAATGATAATGCCAACAATAGTTATGACTAAATGATGATTCACTCCTTTGTATTACACCTGTTTATTGAGTGCCTCCTACATGCCAGGCACTGTTTTCAATATCGGGAAATACAGCAGTGAAAAAACAAACAAACAAAGCAATCCCTCAAGAGCTTAAGCTCTCATAGATGATGCCAATGACGGGTAACTTCTTTTGATCAAGCTTTACCTTACAAACATCCCTGCTTTTCTTCACACTAACTGTCCAGGATGGGTATTACTGGAGATGTTTTAAGGCTTTTATTCCTACTTCAGAGATAAGAAAAAATCAAACGCCAGAAAAATTTCAAAAGTTGTCCAGAGTTATACAGGTCAAAAGTGATTAAAGACAGAATCAGGACTTGAACCTGATTTTGTCTGATTCTCAAGCACGTGCTCAACTCATTTTGCTTTGCAACCTCCAGCCGTGATGCAGGAACCACCAAGGTCCCCTCTGCAGACTCAGAACCTTGGGCAGTCTCTCTGATCTGAGGAAGGAGGAATAGCAGACCAGCCTGTGTTTAGAAAGCAAATGTCCTTTTCCCACCTTCACCGAGTCATTTGGGAAATTTGTTTTCCTCTGCCTTCTCTTGGAGTCTGGCTGATCTTGTTGTTTCAGCCCCACTTGGGAGGCCCTGGTCAGCCCCGGGCTGGTAAACAGACAGGGGTTGGGAGGGGCAGGGGTGGAATTTTGAGCTGGTCCAGATGAGATCATACTTCCTTTAAGATGCAAATCGATACCTGAAGATCAAAGGTCCCCCAGCTAATCCCCTGGGCTGGAGGTGAAAACTAATCACAATTCATTTGCAAGTACAAAAGACAGAGGTGCTCTATCTGAAGAGAGAAGGGGCAGTTACAAGCGGATGAAAACCTTCGTGGGAAGATTTCTCACTGACAGGCAATTTTCTAGGACTAAAGAGGAAAAGATAGCATTGCATCCTCGCATCTGCAGTGCATTACAGGGGTGCATTTAGACATTCTTTCTCCCAGTAGATTGTGAGCTCCGTGATGGTGAAGACCATATACCATGTGTCTCTTATTCAATTCTCAACACGCATTTGTTGAGCACCTACTATCTTCTTGGCACCCAGTAGGGGTTGAGCAACACAATAGAAGTGCTCTGTAAATATTTATGGTTGGAAGATAGGTAGATGCCCCAGGAGAAAAGACATGGGAGTTTCTAGGCAGGGCCTTGGGTTTTAAATTGCCAAAAAATTTTCTCTCCTCTGTTGATTTGAATATGGTCCGGTCCCTAGTAAAAGCTTGATATTAGCCTAGTGATGTGGTGGAAAGAACTTTGGATTAAAATTAGGAAAACCAGGTTCTAGTACCAACTGTGCTGAGAACTTACATAAAGCTGGCCAAGTGGCTTCCCTAGTCTTGGCCTCAGTTTACCTACTGTAAATTTTTAAATGATTGGGTTAAGTGGTCCTAACTCTTAACTTAAGAGCCTTACCTGCACTTCTGTTGTGTGATTTTTTGAGGTGGGTGACTGAATTCCTTCTAATTGTGAACTCTACCTGAGCCAAACTCTTACCTTTGTCGTCATCCTTATGGCAACCAACACTAGTCCCAGACCATGCTGAAAAATATCTGCCTGTTTGACTTGCACTAATGTGGCATGTAATTTATGTGCTTCTGGAAAGAAAGTAGGATGGGGTGAAGGTAGGATATGGTACCCTGAAAGAGATGCTTGAGCCTTGACATTCATCTGCTGTGTTGATTTAGAGCTATGCAATGATCAGGAAAAATAAGGACATCTCTAATAGGTAGAAGCTCCTCATCCATGGAAGGGGTCTGCAAACTATGGTCCATAGGCCATAGCCAGCCTGCCCCCTGTAATTGTAAATAAAGATTTATTGGAACACAGTCACACTCATTTGCATATTGACTGTGGCTGCTTTCATGCTACAATGAGAGTTCAGTGATGACAGCAGAGATTCTATGACCCAAAGAAACTAAAATATTTATTATCTGGTATTTTACCTGTGAAGTTTATCAACCCTTGTTCCATGAATTTGGGATATTTTATATGCTTGTTTACTGGAGCCAGGTGCAGAGAGTAGGTGAAAATTATAATGTGGTTCACCATTTCTTGTTAACAAAAAACTGAATTTTAAACATACAGTGTAGCTGGGAGTGGTGGCGGGCACCCATAATCCCAGCTACTCTGGAGGCTGAAGCAGGAGAATCACTTGAACCCAGGAGACGGAGGTTGCAGTGAGCCGAGATCATGCCATTGCATTCCAGCCTGGGTGACAGAGCGAGACCCTGTCTCAAAATAAAATAAAAAAGATGAGGGAGTTTCCAAGAGGATGAGACTGAGATCCTCCTAGATTCATTTTATAGACTGTTGTTCTCTACCAGATTCTGTGTTCTGCTGCTGATGGTGATATTTGCTTAATACTTCTTATATACCAAGCACATTTATAAACTCTTATTCTCGTAACAACTCTTTTACTGAACTGCTCTTTCAAAAGAGGAAATTGAGGTATGGGGTGATGATCTAAGGATACACAGTTAAATGGTGGAGCTGGAATTTAAACCCAGAGAGCCTGACTCCAGAGCTCACTGTGGTAAGCTACCTGCAAAAAAAAAAAAGATAGCTCCTGGTCTTGCAGGCTTTCAGGGTGAATGAAAAAAAAACATTGCAAAACAAGTCGTATCACAAATTAATGGAATGGAATACAAAACCATCAGTGTTGTGGACAGTGTCTAGGGAAGGCTCTCTGTTACCCCTGTATGTTCAGTGGAATTTGTATTACAGGAAAGCCTTCAGCTACGCCCTTCACTGGCCACTTAAAATCTCATTATAGACACTCACAGAGATACAGGCATCCCAGAGATCCCAGCTCCCAGGGACTACATTCCAAGGACAAATCGTGTAGCTGAAGTCTAGAAAACTATCTTCCTCCGAAAGGAACAGCTGAAAAATAGACAGTGAATCTTTACTCCCAGCAGACCAATCTTTAATGAGTCAGAGAAGAGAGACAAGTGTGGGAGGCTGTGCTGAGGTTGACATTGTTCCCATGATTGCATTTGTTAAGACAGTGGTCAAGATAACAGTCAGGAGATCAGGCATACCATGACTTAGATGTGTAACTTTGGCTAAGCCTCAGTGTTCTCATGTAGAAAATGGTAAAAGCCCTAGAACCCAACAGTGGAAGATATTGACCAATATTTTTGGATACTTTCTATCAGAATTTCCTTCTTAGACTTAGGAGATAATTATTCTAATAAGGAAGAGCCCAACGCTTAGTATAGAAGTTGATTATCCAAGCATCTCCTTCTCCCCGTCTTCTGGGTAGCTTGAGTGTGGGTATATACAACCTAGGCTTTCCCTCTGCCCTCCAGTCAGACACACCAACCCAAGACTTTGAATTGGAAGCTAGTAGTGATTAGACTTAGGGATACTGTAGACACCATTTTGCTGAGGATGGTGGGAGTAGCCACATCCATACCAGCCTCCTAAGTACCAGGGAAGGCATCTAGCATCAAAGCTGAGCTAGCTATGCACAGCACCAGCTCTGGATCCCCTCACTAAACTAGTTCTGGGACCTAATCTTGGGCTTGGAATTGAGCTTCAGAGCACGCAAGCCTGGCTCTCCAGAGAGTGTTCCATACGTAACCAATATTCTTTGAACAAATTTTGCTTGTTTGTTTTGCTTAAGTTATCCAAAGTTGGTTTTTGTTGACTGTCACTCAGAATCTTGACTGAAAATTATTGCCATAAGATAATGTGAGATTTAACCCCATTTCTAGCAAGTTGGATGTGCTTGATGCACAGATGCACATTAGCTATTACTTTTCTCTATGTGTGTTTGTGTGGAATGTTGCGGGCACAGGATACCAGCAACAACCACCATTTATGGATACCCACTAGGTGATAGGTTCTTCATACGCATCTTTGTTTTCTGTGAACTACGGGTCGTCTCTTGTTTCCGTATGTGAGATCTGAGGTCTCTTATGACATCTTAACTTGCACCAGGTCACACAGCACACAGAGGTATGATCCTCTCTCCAGTCTGAGTAGAGAACCTGGCTTTTTCTACTCTGCCACTCTGCCTCTCCATTTGAATGACTTTCTTCCTTCCACTGTTCTTTCTTTGTTCTTCTTTTCTCTTCACCCCTTCCTCTTCCCCCTTTTTCCTCTCCTCCTCCTCTTCTTCCTTCACTCCTTCTTCTGCCTCATATTCTTCTCCTTTTTCTCCTTCTCTTCCTCCACCTCTTCTACCTTCTTGTCCTTCTCCTGCTTCAATTTAGAAGGGCTGATGTTTTCTCTGGCTTAGTAACACCAGCGTTAGGGTGGGTGACAGATTTATGGTGACATTCCCATTCACTTTTCAGAAGCCCACACATCCGGAAGTATTCCCAAGGTGCCAGTGTGTTATTATGCAACACCCTGGGGACTTCCCGTTCTCAATTTCCCACCCCTGGTGCCCTCATCCCCCAGCACATAATAAGTTGCTTGTTAAAATGAACACCACCCACATGACCTCTCAGGCAAGGCAGGCTTCATCCCTTTGCAATGTGGAAGTTATCTTGTCTTTTTTTCCCCTCTTTTAAAAATATAACATACACCAGGCCTGAGGTTTCAGTGAAAAAATGTGGTATCAGTAAAATGATAACTCTCCCCAACAGGCACTGGCTGCAGGCATTGTTCACAGCATTGGGAATTCTGTCTCTAAAGCATTGAGTCATAAACTACAGACAGGCTGCTGATAAAAGCTGAAGGAGGTGGGATAATAGTCAAATTAGTCAGACAAAATGTGAAGGGTCCCCAAAAGGGGTTATACTGTGTAATATATCTTTAGCTGGTGCTGGAAATGTGTTACCTTCTGAGATGGAATCTAGTGCATTACAGGAGATGCAGCTGTGGAGAAGCCCTCATGCTCTGTTTTGACTTTCCACCCTGTATTCTTCAGCATAGTTGGGTCCAGTTCCCAGTTTAGATCTAGAGGCCTCCTGGCTGCAGCTTAGCACCTCAGAGCCTCAGTTTCTTCCTTTGTGAAATTAGGGAGACTGGACTGAGACTCTAAAGCTTCTTCCCTCATCTGATACTGAGGAATCTCCGATTTGTCAAACAGCTATTTAAAGGCTTTAGGTTTCAAATCCTGCCTGACGCTGATATATAGTTAAGAAAACAAAGGAAAGGGACCCCCACGTCGTCTTTCCCAGACGTGGAGGCATTCCCTGTGTGTCTCTTTTTCTCCCTCCCTCCCCACTCCTCTTCTCTCCCCTACTCCTGCCATTAGCATCACTCTGTGATCCCTGACACAGCATCCCCAGCCCTGTCCTAGAGCCAGGGCCAGTAACTCAATTAGCAACCCCCAGCCCCAGCTCCCTCCCCTCCCCTGTGAGGGACATCGAGGAGAGGAGAAGAATCGGTCTGCCTCCCCACCAGTTGCTGGGAGGGGCAGGGGTTCACCGAGCCTTGTGGCCCCTCTGTCAGGCTGCTCTGGCCTGCTCTGAGCCAAGGCGAGAAAGGAAAACAAGAAGATGAATCGCCACGTCTTCTTGGTGGAGGTTCCGATGAGACTTTAGAACAACAGTGACTGGAAAGAAAAACAGCATCTGCTGGAGGAGAGGGGGAAGAATGGGCTCTGCTGGGAGTTGCATTTATTATTATTTTTCTTTCTAACAACGTGAAATCATAATAGATGATCCACCTCTCACCTTAAAAAAATTAAAATTAAGAAAACAAAATAAAACTTCTCCAGACTGCATGTATTCAATCAGACCTCCCTCCGTGGAAAAAGTAGTAACTTTCCCCAGAACACGTTTTTGAAATAAAGCTTCCCTTGGCTTGAAGGCAGGCCTATGAAAGAGGAAAAAGAAAGAGGAATATAGGTGGGGGTCATGGTGGTAGTGATTAAGGTGACGACGAGGGTGATAATATCTCAGCTAGGTTGGTGGCATTCTTAACACTGGAGTAATGACATAGGGTATCCATTGTTAAGAACACGGATTCTGGGTGGAAAGCCTGTCCCTGACACTTAGCTTGTGTCGCAGTTTTTTCAATCATAAAATGGGTTAGTAAGTTCCTACTTCTTAGAATTATTGCAAGGAAAAACAAGTTTATTTTTGTAAAGCATTTAAAATGGTGACACCTGCCTGACAAGTGTTATAGATGTGTTTGCTACTGATGCTATTATTGTCATAATTAATATTTTATTTTTTATTTTAATTTTTTATTTTTTGAGACAGAATCTCACTCTGTCACCCAGCTGGGGTGCAGCAGCATGATCTGGACTCACTGCAACCTCCGCCTCCCAGGTTCAAGTGATTCTCCTACGTCAGCCTCCTGAGTAGCTGGGATTACAGGCGCGTGCCACCACACCCAGCTACTTTTTGTAGAGACAGAGTTTCACCATGTCGGACAGGCTAGTCTCAAACTCCTGACCTCAGGTGATCTGCCTGCCTTGGCCTCCCAAAGTGCTGGGATTACAGGCGTGAGCCACCGTGCCTGACTGAATATGATTAATTCAGAAGTTATATCCATCTTCCCAGAAACCCTATGAGATAAATAATGTTATCCCCGTTTTGTAGAGGAAAAAACTGTGGTTCAGAGAGATTTAGTAACTTGCCTACAGTTACACAGAGACATAGCAGACGTGAGATTCACAGCATCTAGGCAGAGTCTACACATTTTAACCATGAAGTTATTCCATTTATTAGATACCCAGCTGTGCCAGTTTTTCTGCTAAGAACTCTTTGTAAAAATGATTTCATTCACCCTCCCAGCAACTCTGTAGAGTCAAAATAATTGCACCATTTTGCTGGTCAGAAAATTGAGGCGTTGAGAGGTTAAGTGAATATCCAAAGTCATATAGCCAGGTAGGTCAGAGAAGGAGACTTCAGAGTTTGTCTGTCTGCCCTAAAGCCTATGTCCAACTCCAGACTAACTCTTGAAATAGCCAGAGAGTGTTTCTCTTTTCCACTATTTCTGTTTGGTGCCATTGAATCACAGCAGGAAACAAAAGTGAATGCACATGTCCTTGTGCCATTTTCATGAGTCATGAAACAACAATTTTCAGTTATTATCACCCTAGAAATGTTCCATGGCATAAAGCTCATACCCCCAATGGAGGGTCATTCTGTATTTTAGGCTGTATTTTCATTTTTAACAGATCACCCTCCATTGACAGTAGCCAAATCGTTTTTTTTTTAGCATAGAATGTGTTTGGCACTTAATAAAGTTGTCATAGCAATGTTGGAGACAGAGGAGCTTGAGTTCAAATGTCTATTGGTTGCAATTACTACATGGGTCTTTTTAGGCATCTCTCAATACCTCTGAGTCTCGGTTTCCTCTTCTGAAAAATGGACGTAATTATAACACCTATAGTTTTGTTAAGGAAAAGAATGACATAACATCTATAGAGTGTTTAGCACAATGCACAGCAGTTAGTGGACAATCAAGGATGTCAGTTAACGCCACCTCTTCTTCCCCTTCCTCATTGCCTATCTCAATTGTGACTGATGCAAAGGCAGCCAACCCATCATCAGCAAAAATGGTCCTGAACCAAATCCTGATGCTAAATTACAGTGGTGCCATTTGCAAAATGATCAAACCTCCTAGTTCTCAGTTTCCCCACTGTAAAATAATGAGGGAATTTGATGAGCTCCCAGGGAGCTTTCAGCTCCGATTTTTAGGATTTAAATCCCAGGTTGTTATTGTTTTAAAACTGGTACATTTTAAAAGAAATCAGGGCTTGGGGAAGAGAAAGGAATTCCTTTCACCCAAAGGGTCAAAGGGGGTCACTGAGGGGACAAAAGAGCAGGAAAAGGAGGCGATGGGGCGGAAGGCTGACGTGCGGGCAGCACCAAAGATCTGAAGTACTCAACAGGGAGGTCTGATGGATGCATTCAAACACCCTTGAGTCAGCACCGGTTAGGATCAAGCTTGCCATCCTGCCTCAGACCAAGGCTTACCACCTCCTTTGGAAACCCGGGAGGCCTACCCCACAGAGAGGCAGGGCTGGAATGAAAAGAAACAGAACGGCCTCTGACGCCAGAAGGGAGGAATTCTAGCCCGCAGCCCAGGTCTGCTTCCTGACTCTCAGGAAGGGGTCAGGCTCAGGGAACCGACTTGGTGCTTGCTTGAATGTGAGGAATCGAGACCAAACTTTGATGTGTGCCTTTGAAAGGCAGCCAGAGTCCAAGGCAGGTGAATCTGGGTAGCCAAGAACAAGGACTTCATTGTGATATTTAAAGTGACCAGAAATTCATCTGCACATACATGTGCCTTGATGTACATCTGTGCAGTTATGACTGAGGCGGACTGGGAGAGGGTAGAGGCCTCTAGGCTGGGTATCAGGGCCTTTTCTTAGCTCCTGGCTCTCAGTTGTTTCTTGGAGTCCATGTTGGGTTGGAAAAGACATTTAATATTCATGAGCTGTGATCTCTACTTGAAGGGAGTGCCCTGAGGGAAATTGAAATATTAAGCAAGTGAGGGATATAGACCTAATTGTAGCCTCCTTTTCTTTTTGGACAGAAAAGTAATGTGCCTAAAATAAAATGATGGATGGGCAGTAAGGATTGTGTGAAAACCTCACTGCTAGAGCCTGCAGGAAAAAATCGGCTGCTTGCCCCAACATGTGCAGTCGGACCCAGGCAGAAGATTCTGCAAATTGGCTGCTGGATGATGTCATTCATTCATTTAGTTCATATTTTTTGATGCCTGCTGTATGCCAGGCACTGTGCTTGTTTCAAAGAAAACAGCAGTGAAAAAGGAAGGCCAGGGAGGTTAGGAAAATGATACAAATAATTATTTAAGTGTCATTGTGGAAAATGGCACTAAATGGAAATACTTGGAAGTATATAACCAAAGGGCCTCCTTTACATTGAGGGGGTCAAGGAGATCTCCTTGAAGATTTGACATTTAAGCTGAGACTTGAGGGTTGAGTAGGATGTGGACTCATTAGGGAGATATGGAACAGGTAACTGAGCAAGGATTGCAAGAAGTTAAGACTATTCAATTCCCAAGGCAGAGAAGAACTTTTGAAGAGGGAAAAGCAAGTCAGCATTGCTGGACTGTAGTGAACAAAGGAGGGATGAGGCTGAAGTCTAGCAGTCTCTGATTTCTCAGGCCCTTGAGGACTGTGGTGAAGCTGCTATTTACGGCATGAAGGAAGGAGAAGTTGACTCAAGCATATACCTTCTACACTCTCTACCAAGCCCTGCCCTGGGCATAATAGCCATGTGCATGCTTGCACAGACCAGGTGTCAGTAAACCACCACCCATGGCCAACCCAGCCTGCTGCCTGTTTTCATAGACAAAGTTTTACTGAAACACAACTATGCTCCTTTGTTTACATATTTGCCACTACAAAGGTGGAGTTGAGTCATTCCAACAGAAATCTTGTATGGACCACAAAGCCAAAATATTTACCATCTGGTCCTTTACTGAAAAGTTGTTGACTGCTGGCAGAGGTGGATGAGTACACAGTTGGCCTGTCATATCCTCAGATCCTACATCCTCAGATTCAACCAATCTCAGATACAAAATATTTGAAACTAACTGGCTAAATAAATAACACTACGACAATTTAAAAACAGCACAAATAGAAAAAACAATAAAGTATTTCCAATGTATTAAGTTTTATGAGTAATCTAGAGCTGATTTAAAGTACATGGTAGGGTGTGCATAGGTCATATGCAAATACTAAGGGACTTTATATAAGGGTCTTGAATATCTTCAGATTTTTGTATCCAAGGGGGTCCAGAGACCAATGCTTCGAAGATACCTAGAGATGACTGTGTAAGCGGGTAAAAGTATAGCCAGTTGGGCAGAATAAGCCAGATGAGAGAGACAGCGCGAGGAGTTAGACAATCATTTCATCCATCTCCCTCCTGAGCCTATACCAGCATAGCTATAATTTCACTGACTCCTCATGTATTTTACTTCCACATCTGTGTCCCTTACCCTTAAGGGAAGAAGCCTTGCCATCTACCCTCGTGTCCCAACATCCAGCTCGAGCCAATCATTGAGACACTGAAGCAAATGACACTCTGAGGCTAAAAAGGGTGGCCAGAGGAACCCAAACAGATGACCTTCCAAACGGTTTAGGCAGCATCCAGGATCCTCCCCTGACCAGTAGAAGGGACTGTATTGATATTTATGGAGAACCTGCTGCAGTAGCTCATTTCAAACCCACAGCACCCCTGGCTACCAGGTATTGTTAACACCACATTCCAGGTGACACAACAGAGCCCCCAAATGTTTAAGTGACTTTTGAGAATGTGGCCTCCATTCAATAAATATTTACTGAGCTGGGAAACCACCCACCAGACAAGCAAATCTTCCTGAGTGCTGCATCTTATGCCAGGCCAACTGCCTCACACCCCACTTAACCATCCTCTTGATTTTCCCAAGGCTACGGGAAGGTAGGGGCCATTATCCCCCACTTTACACGAGGAGAAGTTCAGGCTCAAGAAGATGAAATGGCTTATTCAAAGCGGGTGCTTATTAAGTGACAGAGTTGAGATTTGAACCAAGATCTGCCCAACTTCAAAACTAAAGTCACCAGATGACCTCCTCCAAAATATGAAACCTTTAGAACAAGAAGGAGCCAGTGAGAAATATACAGTCATCCCTCAGTATCCTTGGGCGATTTCTGCCAGGACCTCTGTGAACACCAAAATCTGTGGCTGCTCAATTCCCTGATATAAAATGGAGTAGTATTTGCATGTAACCTATGCACACCTTCCTATATACTTCAAATCATCTCTAGATTACTTCTAATACCTAATACAATGTAAATGCTACATAAATAGTTGTTATACTGTAATGTTTAGGGAATAAGAACAAGAAAAAATGTCTATACATGTTTAGTACAGATAGAATTTTATTTTGCATCTCTTGAATTCACAGATGGAGAACCCATGAATATGGAGGGCCAACTGCATAGACTGCATATATTTCCACCCTTTTTCCATCTCACCATCTCAGACAAAAGTCATAATAGTATACATAACTCAAATTATTAATTTAATTAAATTAATTGGATAAAATTCACTCAAGCTTTTTCTCTATTAATTCCACTGGTTAATCACATTAATGCTATGAGGTAGTTTTAACATTATACAGGCATTATAAGTAAGGAAATGGAGGCACAGAGATGTTACGTTCCCAGTAAGGGATTCTAGCCCTGGAAGTCTCTGGCTCTTAAGCCCTCAGGCTTAACTACTAATTTATGCTACATCTCCATCATTAAGGTTATCTAATAAAGTGTGTACTCTCAAGAGCTGAACAGCCTAGCAGCAAACAGATAATGAGAAGGGGAAACAATGCAGGAAGCTAAAGAAATCTTCACATAACAAAAGGATCCCAGGGTCTTTTTAAGAAACACTGTCTGAAGTGTTTGTTTACAGATCATTAAATACTTAACAGAGGAAGAAACTAAAAACCACTGACTTTCTCTAAGCCAATACTGATTAAGTACCAAAGAGATGTTAACATAAAGCAAATAAGAAATTATAATAATTATTAAAGGACTGAGTTTTTTTCATTTTATCTTACTGGACAGAAAGATAAAATAGCCCAGGTCCAGTGCCTGTCACTCTGCCCTCATGCACACGGTTGCTTTTCTCTCTCCTCCAGGCAGCAGCCATGGTGGTCCTGCAATCAGCCTAAAATGCATGTGACCAGGCTCACACTGATTATTGTCTATATTAAGCACCTGCTGCATACAAAGTTCTGTGCAATGCAGGGTTAAGCAGCAGAAACCTTTGTTAGAGGGCTGCAGAAGACAGTGGTCATTAAAGATATGAAGGGATTGGCATTAGAGGTCCCCTGGGAGCAGTGGAAAGCCTCTGGTGCAGGGGTTGGTGAGCCTGGGAAAGATTTCTGGACAGTGGGACTCAGATAAGACCAGGTTTGACACTCTGCCACTATAAAGATCCAGACAGAGGGTTTTTCTCTATACAGTGAGTGCACCAGTCCTAAAGGAAACTACTCCAGGGAAGTCACAGGGGGTGAGTGGGCAGTTCTCATCCCATAGCAAGCAGTAGTTTCTGGGCAGAGGCATAACATGATAGGAGCAGTATTTTAAAAAAGATCAACCTCCCTGAATGGGATGCTCTTCAAGGGCCAACAAAATACTCTTGGCAAACTGACCCAAAGAGAAATCAGGGTGATTTTAGCTTTCAACAGCAGTCAGAAACCCAGCCCAAATTATCCGTAAGTTTAAATTTAACTATCAGCCGCCATTGGCAGGACTCTGAAAGGTCCTGGCTGGAGTTGGTTCCTCAGTTTAGGAGTCCAAAACCACATGTATAGCTTGAGTTCAGCCTCATTACCAAGGAAGGGTCTCCACAAGAGTCTGAAATCCCTTTTCCATTTGTCCCGTGTGCATTTTGCCAAGAGAACTTCTAAAGGGACAGGGAGGGAGGAAAAGCTGATTGACCAGCCCCGAAGCACAAGGACCACTTGTCTGCCTCAGGGTTCATCCCCCAAATACCTTTTTCCACCTGAGAAGTAGGAGTGATATTCCTGACTTCATATGATTGTTATGATATATTGTTTTATTAATTTATAAACTTATTCATTCATCACATAGGCTTTTATTTATTGAGCACCTCTTATGTGCCAGGTTCATGCTAGACACCAAGGATGCCTGTGTTTGTGACAGTTCCTGTCTTCCAGAAAGTGATCAACAAATATTGATTATTATGGCTAACAAAAATAATAATCTAGTTCTTACTCACAAGTAGAGAGTGACCTGTCCCCGGAAGAGATTGAGCAGAAATTTGAGAATCATTCTTTAGGGAAGTCATGCATGAGATTCTATTAAATAGCATGTTCAAACAGACATATTTCAATATTTTTCTCTTTTGTCTTATCTGGCTCTTTCTTGAAATTCAGAACTCCTGGTACCTGTGAAGTGTTAGCCTCTTCTGTTTTTCTTAACTTTTCTGACCATCCCTCCACAGACCTTCTTTCACCTACTCTTTAAGTATCAGCAGTCTCCAATGTTCCATAATAGGCACACTTCTCATTCTCCATTCTCTCCTTGTATGACTCCAAAATCTCTATCTTTAGTCTGGGCCTTTTTTTTTTTTTTTTTTTTTTTGACCCATGAACTTGTATATCTAATTGCTCTACTTTGACGCCCCAAGGGAACTCACATTCGACACATCTTACACAAAGCTTGCCATCTTTCTTTCCAGACCTGCTGCAAGTGTTTTTCCTAATCTCAACTGGTGGCGCCAGTAGCCAACCAGACATTTAAACAGAAGCTTGGGAAACATCCATAACTCTTCCCTCTCTGCCATTTCCCACATCCAAATAATTGCCATTCTTCCCATTTTACTTTGAAAACGTTATCTTGTCTGCGTCCAAATCAGTCTCTCTCGCCCCATGATCATTACTCTACCTGAGGCCCTCTTCAGCTCCTGATTAGGCTTTTATAAGAGAAAGCTTGTAAAATGAACATGTTGCTTGTTCATTTTTTTGCTTGCCCCAATCTACCTGCCCATAGGTGAGAGCAAGTTTCCTAAAGTGCAGACACCTTTTGTTGCTCTCCAATTGAGAGTGTCAGATGGCTCCATGTTGCCCTTGAGATAAATTTAAATTCCTTACTGTGTCATTTAAGACCTTGCGTGATCTGAGCCCAGGATTTGCTTTTCTTTTCTTTTTCTTTTTTCTTTCTTTTTCTTTTTCTTTTCTTTCTTTCTTTTTTTTTTTTTTTTTTTGACAGATTCTCACTTTGTTGCCAGGCCAGAGTGCAGTGGCACTGTCTGGGCTCACTGCAACCTCCACCTCCTGGGTTCAAGTGATTCTCCTGCCTCAGCCTCCCAAGTAGCTGGGACTACAGGCACATACCACCACACCCAGCTAATTTTTGTATTTTTGTAGACATGGGGTCTCACCATGTTGGCTAGGATGGTCTCGATCTCTTGACCTTGTGTCCTGCCCACCTCGGCCAGGATTTGCATTTTATACTCCAATACCATCTTGTGCTTTATACCTCCTACTATATTGCTGGCCTCATCTCATTTGCTCACAGTGTCCCCCTGCTGGAATGTGCTCCTCACCACCCGTTCCTCCTCTGAGAGATACAGCCCAGGTGTTGCCTCCTAAGGGAAACCTTCTTAAATCTGGGTTAGATTGGATTGGGGGTCCCTCCTCTGTGCTCCCACAGTATCTTGTACCTCATGAGGGTCAGAATCCTGTGCCGTCATCATTTACATATCTCCCCTCTCACTAGGACCTGAGTTCTTGGAGCACTGAGACCTGCTTTAATTCATCTGATTTCCCAAGAGTTAGTCCAGGGACTGACAAATAATTTGCAGTTCAGTAAATATAGAATAAATGAGTAAAAGAAGGATGTATTTCTTAAGAGACAGTTTTATTTTTCAGGCAAGAAAGTGTAGTTGAGCTTTGCTGGTCTTTAGAGTCAGACAATCCTGTTTGAATAGGAGACTTTCCCCCTTAGCTGTCATCTCGGGCAGGTTATCTTGGGTCAGGTGGCTTGGGGTGGTGGTTTCATGCTCAGACCCCTGAACTGGGCTGCTTGTATCCAAATCCTAGTTCCCCCACAAAAGGGGTGGGGGCTTCTTTAAAATGTTAATGTTACTATATCGATACACCAAGAGGTAGAAAGTATGCTATCTTAGCCAGCAGTACTTTTTTGAGGCTTCTTTCACTAAGTAGAGACGGGCTCAAATGCTGCCTTTCCTTCTCTATCTCTATACTGACAGAGGTCATTACTCTTTGGTAAGGTCCAAAGGCTTTAGAATTTTAGAAGAATGGGTGGGTGGAACCAGTGATTTTGGTGGTATTTGGATCACCCCATAAGACTCTCGGATGGCCCCAAATTGAGCTGCTTTTTAATACCAAATCTCAGTCTGCGGCTTGCTTCCATTTGGGGAGAGAGCCTAATTAACTCGTAGCTGGAAAGAACTGCAGGTCTGCCACCCCCCAGGCAGAGAATTCAAAAGGAAGTGGATAGCTGTGTAAATAACACTGCTTTAAGGGGCATTTAAGCCAATGCTCTTTGTTAAGGAAATTGATGGCTTTGTAAGTACTGCGTCTGAAGGGAGTACTTGAGCTGAAGGTCCCCATCTCGCCTCGTAAATTTCCTAATGGACTGTGGGCCTGCAGGCTGGGCCCAGCGTGTTCAATCACTTGCCAACAAAAACTCGGATTTCACTCTAAAAAAATTAAAAACGTTTAACCAAAACATAAGTTATTGAGCCTGTGCAGTTTAACTGTGGCACAAGGTAGCAGAGACAGATTACTTCCTTTAAGGAAAGGGAAACTCCTCATCTTTTACTTTAAAAAATTTGTTTTTTAAATGCTGGATGTGGTGCTACGTGCTTTCTCAACAGCTTCTCATTTTTTTGTCCTCATAACAGTTGGGAAGGTAGTCATTATTTTGCCAATTTGCCAAAGAGGAAACGGACTCAGGGCTAAAGTGTGCTGGTCATTGACACCAGCTAATTAGTGAAGAGCCAGGTTGTGATCACAGCTCCATCAGGCCCCTGAGCCCCCAAGTAGTGCCAAATCATAGGGCATCCGAGAGAGAATCAGATCAGCCCATCTCATCAGATTCTCCTGAATATCCACATCCATTCAAAATAGATTAACTGGACAGCATGGGAATGACTTACCCTCTTGAAACCTCAATTTCATTGTCTGTAAAATGGGGATAATAATAGGACCAAACACGGGGCTCTTCTAGATTTGAATGCCTTATGTACTTGAAACATTTAGCACAATGCCCAGCATGGAGAAAGTCATCCAGTTATTCATTTCACAAATACGCTAAGTACAATTTTAACTGGGGAAGCGGATGATGGTATAGGAAGACCTAGTGAGGGTCCATTAGCCCTTCTGGGGGTGGGTTTCCAGGCAGGTTTTTGAGAGGTTAAACTGTGAATAAAGGACAAATGGGGACTAGTCACAGAAAAGGCAGCTCTGGGGATTTGAAGAAAGCTTCTGCAAACGTGGGGAGGTGAGAGGGAACATGGTCCACTCAGGGCAACGACAATTTGTGTCTGGAGCTTAGACTAGAGTGCGTTCGAGAAGAGAGAAGCCTGCAGAGGCAGGCAAGGACCAGAGTACACCTTGTCAATCATCATCAAGCTCCTGTTGGGAAAAGTTGAATGAATAACTCAGTATCTTCTAGGGCAACCACTTTCAATTTTAGACCAACTGTACTTTGTTAGAAGAGTTTTCCATTGTGTCCTCCCTGAGCCTTCTTTTCTTCAGGTTAAGCATCTTCATACCTACATGATTATTGCTCAGTGGTTGGTGCCTATCCAGGGTCCTATTCTTTGACCATATCCTACCACATCAGTGGCCCAGAATTGGCCTCTTCAGCCATGACTGGTCCAGCTAGGACTGGAGACAACTTCTCTGGCCTCTAGCTTGGAATCTATAGCCAATGACTCAATCTGCAGTCTCATGCTTTTGTTTGGGCAAACACATCCTTCATTTGGCGGAATCTGACTTCAGAGTGACTGCTTCTTGGAACTTTTCGTGAACATGAATAGTTATGATGACTCTTATCATCCCTGATCAAAAAGGGCAGTGGTTTTGATTGATATTTTCAAATGTTCCCAGTTAACTCTTAAGATTTAGGACCAGGCCAGGCGCGATGGCTTACACCTATAATCCCAGCACTCTGGGAGGCTGAAATGGGCGGATCACGAGGTCAGGAGTTTAAGACAAGCCTGACAAACATGGTGAAACCCTGCCTCTACTAAAAATACAAAAATTAGCCGAGTGTAGTGGTCCGTGCCTGTAATCCCAGCTACTTGGGAGGCTGAGGCAAGAGAATCGCTTGAACCCGAGAGGCAGAGGTTGCAGTGAGCCAAGATTGCGCCACCGCACTCAAGCCCAGGTGACAGAGCGCACTCAAGCCCAGGTGTCAAAAAAAGAAAAAGAGAAAAGATTTAGGACCAATTTATTTCTGTCTCCCTCCCTCCCTCCCTCCCTCCCTCCCTTCCTTCCTTCCTTGCTCCCTCCCTCCCTCCCTGCCTCCCTTTCTTCCTTCTCTCACTGCTTTCCCTCTTCTTACTGAGAGATGAGAAAGACATATACACACCTTGTTAAAGAAGAAAATTACAGCTAAGCAATACAAATCAGAACATATAGATTTAAGTTATTATAGTATTTTTATTCTAAGGGCTGAAGAGTAACCCATTCATTACATAAGAAAAAGAAAACTTACCCAAGAGCAATCTTGTGCACTGTCTCTCTTCTGTTCTGTAGAGGACTGCAGTGTGTCTCACCAGCTTGGAGATAGAAGACACTGTGGCTTGAATGGCTCATCTTTTTAGACTTATCGAAACCATATAGCAGGAGGATGGTCTTTGAGGTGAACCAAACCAGTCAGAGTTCAGGGTGGGAGGGATCCATTTTAACACTCTGGTTTCTGCATGGGAGCCCTGCCAAGAACATAGCATGCTGCGGTCACCTTAGTCACAACCAGCTATGCCAGATTGGGGTAACTGGCTTGGTTTTCATGTGGTGCCTGACTCATCCTCGAGTCCTTGGCCCACTGGTAGACATAGCATCCACTTGTCCAAGCTTCTTTCTTTGCTGGACTCTTATGCATGCCCTATCAGAATGACGGGCTGCTTGTTTTACTGGATTGCAGAATAGATATGCATATACATATATATATATATATATATATATATATATATATATATAGCATATATATATAGCATATATGTAGCATATATATAGCATATATATATAGCATATATGTAGCATATATATATAGCATATATATATAGCATATATGTAGCATATATATATAGCATATATATAGCATATAAATAGCATATATATAGCATATATATGGCATATATATGGCATATATATAGCATATATATGGCATATATATGGCATATATATGGCATATATATAGCATATGTATATATAGCTATATATATATAGCATATATATAGCATATATATATATAGACTTTCATTTGCATGCATTGTTTTACTTAATGCTTACAAACATGCATTTCTCACAGAGCAATTTTTATTTGACATTGAATATTCCCAATATTTGTATAATAAGCCTTAATCAGCCAGTCAGAACCCTTGACCTCTAACATTTATGCAGCATTCAGTGAGTTACTTAATCTTTCTAAGTTTCAGTTGCCACTTTATACAGAGAAGCACAGGAATTAGAATCATATAGAATGTCTAGAGAACCTTGCAGTGTTAAAACGTTCATTCGTTCAGCAAATATTTCTGATTATCTTCTATGTACTAGTATCTGACTGCAACAATGCACACAACAGCCTATGTTTCTGCTCTCAAGGAGTTGCCATTCTGTTTTAGAGAGAATACAATTATCAAGCAAACATTTGAAGAAGTGAGATCATGCTATGAAGGGAATAAAATAGACTAGTGGTATAGACACTCTAGTGAAGGTGAAAACTATTTGTTGATAGTGTGTTTAGAAAAGTCCTCACTGAGAAGGTAATGGTTGAGCTAAGACCTAAACAAAAAATTAGAAAAGCCATTTGATAATTGGGGAGATGAGGTCTGGATTGTATCTGCAAAAGTAAAATGTGAAAACAACACAGCTTATAGTTTTTATGTTTGAGTAGTTTTTAGTTTTCACAGCATTATTTTACTTTATCTTTACACCCACTTTTGAAAATGGGTAGGAAAATAATGCTGTCATTTTTTTTAATAAGCAAAAAGAATCAGATGCAGAATGATGATGTATGTTACTGGTACCATGAAAGTAAGTTAGCAACAGAGTTGAGGCACACACTTTACCTTCTGGCCCCTTATTCCATCTGCTTTTCGTTATAGTTCTATGCATGTTTTTCAGAATGGGTTCATCATCTACACGCTTCTCGATCTTCATTTTGCTGATCATGTTTCTCCATCTTTTTTTTTTTTTCATGTTTCCCCTCTTAACTGAATAACTGATTTAGTGATCAAAGGGCAAAATGTCAAGAACCAAATATATCTTAGAGTGACACAGCTAAAAGGGATCACAAAGCTACTTGATTTAACTCTTATTCTATACAAGGGGAAACTGCAGCCCAGAGAGGGAAAGTGACTTGTCCAAAGTCATAGGGTTGATCAGGGCATCTATTCTAATCTCCAGTTCCCTTGACTCCCTGACCATTACTGTAGCAGGCTGCAGAGTTTGAGAAAGTGTCTCATATTTTCTCTCTTTTCTTTCTCTCTCTCTCTTTCTTTCTTCCTTCCTTTCTCTCTCTCTTTTTTTTAATATGGAGATACAATCACACTAAAACTGCTGAAACTCCCTTTGTAGTTTGCCATCTTTTATTACCCTCTTTCTTTGCCACTTTTTGCACACTCTCTGCATATCCATGTTTTGGATTTTTTTTTCCATTTATTAGCTTATATTATCCAGGCCAAATTTCATTTCATTATTTCCTGCCCATACTTTTATAGACCTTTGGGTCCTAGGTATTGCTCTTCCTTCTGTTTGTGGTTAGAATGCCAGCCTATCTCTTGGCTGCTATATAATTCATGTGACACTGGATTTTACCGCCTCTTTCATATCTTGAGATATCATTGAAACCCAAAAGAGAACTGGCTGAAAGTCATTTAGGGCTTTGAACATTCTGCTCTGTTGGCTGCATTGTCATTTATAAGGATTACTATCTTTGCTTACAATCTTTTTAAGCCATTCAAATTACTATACTAAATTTAAGGTGATGTAAATGCATCTTCAAGTTCCAATTCATAAGACTGTCAAATCTCTTTATTAAATTTTACTCTAATATGTGCTACCTTTCCTATCCAGATATTCCATTTCTTTTCAAATTCAGTTAGGATAGAAAATAAAACAATATATAAGACAGATGGTGAGGCATGATGTCTCATAGGAAAAAAAATATATTGTGGGACAATTTGTGTAGAATTGGATTTTCCCCCTAATATGTGCTTGGATTTATGCTCTGACCTCTTTATAATTAATATTTTCATAAAAATTTTTACATAATACTATCTGCTAAAGCAGATTGAAATCAGGTTTGGGACATCTTCAGAATCATTGATAACAGAGATTCTAAAACTCCAAAATAACTTTGTTAATTCATCATTTACTGAGTATCTGCTATGAGATTGACACTATCCTAAGTATTCGGGATATTAATTAAAGTAAGACAAGGGCCAGAAATATCTGAAAATTCAAGAGCTGTACAAAATCATTCATTTATTCACTTATTCATGTATTTTTAAACATGACATAATATAGCCAGGTAGTTTTCTTGACCCTAATGGAAAAGATGCACTTTGAAACATGCTTCTATTAAACTTGTGTTGGTTGTATGGGAGCAGGGAACAATAATAAATAAATATTTTATTTTTTATTTTATTTATTTTAAATAAAATAAATATTTAAAATAGTGAATACTACAGTAAAGGAAATAAAACAATATGGTATGCTACTTTGCAGTGGGGATGGAGGATTAGAATGTGAATTAACTGCTTGTTACTTGAATATTTGAAATGACTGCTAAATAATGAAGAGGTCATGAGAAAAGCCAAGAAAGAGATATTCCAGAAAATGTGAACATCAAGTTCAGGTTCTTGGATGCTTACTTAAGGAATAGATACTTGTTGTGTCGATAGATGTCTGTCTGGATGAATGAATGAATGCATGAATGAATGGAAGGTAGTGAGCAAGGAGGACAGTAACAGAAGATGGAGGGATAAAGCAGGGGCTTGTAGGCCTGGATACAGACTTTGAACTCTTCCACATGAGATGTTAAGCCATTGAGGAGTTTTAGATGAGGGGCATGGCATGGCGTAGTTTACGTTTTTAGAAGAGCACTATAGCTGTTCTGAAGGAGGGATAGTTGGGAAACAAATGGTTGAGAAAAGAGAAGCAGATAGGCTGGTTAAGTGAGAATTGCAGCAGTGATGTTGGCTTGAACTAGGGTGGTAATGATAGAACAAATTAGATCTATTTTAAATATCCCAGGGAAAAGGAGCCTATAAGGTATACTGATGGACTTTGTGTGGTGTTAAAGGGTGAGCTGAAAAAAAGTAGGACAGATGACTGGGAAGGTTTTGGTTTGGTCATTGTTAAGTGATGGTGTTGTCATTTACTAAGGTGGAGAAAAAGGGAATGTGGGGAGAAATCAGTATTTTTGTTTTAGATATGTTTTTTGATGTCTTTTGATGATTTTGTGATGCCTTTAAATAGGCAGATATTTAGTAGAGATATAATTTTAGGCAGTTGGGACTCAGAGAAGAGGTCATATCTAAGGCTATAAATGTTTCAGTGATTGGCACATAGAGGTTTTAAAATTTTTATTTAGAAACTGAGACAGGATGAGAAACTGTAGATAAAAAAGAAAAAGGGGTCCCCATCTAACCCTGAAGTCTGGCAGCATTCCATGTAGAGTTAGGGAAGGAGAAGCCCTCAAATGAGTCTGTGGGGGAGGATCCCAGACAACTAGGATGACATGATGTCATGGAAGTCAAGAGAGGGAGGACTGCAAGAAGACAGGAGGGGGCTACTTCTTTATATGCTTCAAGGCAGTCTAGCAAGATGGGGATTTTGACATCATGCTCAGCTTTAGCAACTTTGAGGTTGATGACGACGTTAATGAGATTGATTTTGGTGGAGTGGTGAGTATAGAAGCTAGACTGGAGAGAACCGATAGGTGAAGTGCAGGAGACAAAGTGAATAACACTAGTTTAGATAACGCAATAAATTTTACTGTGAATCATAGAAAGAGAGATGTGGGATAGGAGAAATAGTATTTAGGAGACGTATAACAGAATGAAAGGAGGTTTGCGTTTTTATTAATTTAAAAACTTTGAATTTTTCAAGAATTTTTACATTTTTAAATCTTTAGATGGGCTATATTCTATTTTGCTGATTTGGGAGACTAATGATGTAGGAAATAGAGGGAAATGGTTTGTACCAAACAAGTAGTGATGCAGAAAAGTGAGAGATGTCATGGAGCTGAAGTTGCTAGAACTGAATCTTAATGGAAGACTCATAGGCAGGACCAGCCTTTCAGGCTAAGGAAGTAAGGGCAGATGCTCTGAGATGTGAGTTCTGGGAAAGAACTGGATGCATTTGACGGTGGAGATGTGGTTGGAACTAAGAATAAATAGGAAAGTTGGAGCTAGATTACAAAAAGACTTGAAAGCTAGTTGGGGAAGTTAAAATTTTGTAGGAGTCTATGAAGTATTTCAAACAGGCTGGGCACGGTGGCTCATGCCTGTAATCCCAGCATTTTGGGAGGTCAAGGCAGGCGGATCACCTGAGGTCGGGAGTTCGAGACCAGCCTGACCAATGTGGAGAAACCCCGTCTCTATTCAAAATACAAAAAATTCGCCGGCTTGGTGGCGCATTCCTGTAATCCCAGCTACTCAGGAGGCTGAGGCAGGAGAATCACTTGAACCCACGGAGGTTGCAGTGAGCCAAGATTGCACCATTGCACTTCAGCCTGGGCAACAAGAGCAAAACTCTGTCTCAAAATAAATAAATAAATAAATAAAGTATTTCAAACATGAAAATATTCATATTTTAGATAAATCATTCATAGATTCATAAGCTGCTTTGTGAGAAGGGATTGAGGTGAGGAAGATGCAAAGCCAGTTTTGAGTGTGTAAGGGCTAAGTAGATAGAATATGAGGCTGTGCTATAGGTGCCTTCCTTGATGGGCCTGAGTGTAGAGTTAGTGTGATAATGTGATTACTTCCAGGGATGCTCTTCTTTTCCAGTGCCTTCAGTTTGTTGGAGGATGCTTGATTCTCACAGTGAAACACAGGGAGGAATTTCTGGCCCATGTGGGTATGTGGCCAACCTTTGAAGGAACTGGAAACCAACTTAAGCTCCTCAGATTCAGGTCTCCTTCAGTAGACCTAATCAGCATCTGAAGCTTGTTAGCAGATTCATGGTTCCTTAGGAGCCCTCACTACCCTGTCTTTTGTACTCTGGGCAGGCTGATCTGGTTGAGGAGGTTAAGAAGAAACCCTGGTTTGAATAGAATTAAATGAGGTCAGCAATGTGGGTTTGACACGAAGCCTTTGAAAGATAGGCTATATAAAGTCAAGATATTTCTGTCCCAGAGGAAACATATGCCAATATATAGCCACCTCCCAGCCCCACCCAAGCTTCCCCTTTGTAAACCTTCAGCAGGTAAGCACTCCTGCTCCCCCTGTTCCAAGAAACTAACGTTTAAGTACAAAGATCACGCTTTGTTGTGTGTGGGGGTGTTTCTTTTTGTTGCTGTTTGGAAGAATTGTGATGTGGCATAAAGACTGTTGTTATTGAACCCATCTCTAAATAAACAGCTAAACTTAAAATATGCTACTTTTTTTCTGGCCTTTAAAGATCTTTTTGAAAAGTAATCGTTGGACTAAAAGAGAATATCATAATGCCAATCACTGTTTTATTAGCTAGAAATAGAAATAGATGCTAATTTCTCAAAAGCTGTCCTATCTTTATTTGCAAGAAATTTAGAAAGACAGGTGAATCCACTCATCGTTTGGAAGGAGGTTCATTTCAGAAGAGTGCACATTCAAAATCTTTGCTTTCTCCTTGAGCTCTAAATTAGTGACTAAGAACTCTCATCTCCTCATCTACAGGTAGTTTTGTGTATGTTTGGTTTTCTTTTTGGCTCATCAATGGGCTGGAAGATTAGTAACCTCAATAGCTTCCCAGACTAGTTATATTTAGCCAATACCAGTGAATGTTACAAAAAGTGAAATCAGAGATTTCCAAAAGTAATATTGAGACTTACTTAAGGGTAATCAACTATTTTGCTCCCAGAATTATATATTGAAAAGTGGGCCGGGCATGGTGGCTCACACCTGTAATCCCAGCACTTTGGGAGGCTGAACGGGGGGTGGATCACCTGAGGTTAAGAGTTCGAGACCAGCCTGACCAACATGGTGAAACCCCGTTTCTACTAAAAATACAAAAATTAGCCGGATGTGGTGGCGGGTGCCTGTAATCCCAGCTACTCAGGAGGCTGAGGCAGGAGAATTGCTAGAACCCAAGAGGAAGAGGTTGCAGTGAGCCAAGATCGCACCATTGCATTCCAGCCTGGGCAACAGAGCGAGACTCGGTCTCAAAAAAAAAAAAAAAAAGAAAAGAAAAGAAAAATTTCAAAGTCTCCTCATTTCTGAAGGATAATTTCGATTTATTTAACATAGTATTGCAATCTTTTTTAAATCTAGCTTCAGATCAGTTTCTTACTGTATTAGTTCCAGGATTTACTGCATTCCCTTACTCAAGTATTGGTCAAAGTTTATCCTTTACTCAGACACCTCTCTTTACATGCTCAAACTATTTATACCCTCTAAGATGTTTCTCCCAAATCATTTTGTCAAGGAAGCCTTCTCTCATTTTCCCAAGAAGTATTGATAGGAGGAGGGCCTGTCCTGATTCATTAACGTATTTCCAGCACCAGCACAACAAGAAGCAGATGTTAGTATATTGATTAAATGAATGTATAGACTTCTCCAGTTCTCATCTACTGATTAGAAGATATTTTAGCTGGGGATTGCAATAGCCCTCACTCCTAAAATCTCCAGAAAGCTTTGGTAGCTCTTATCTGTTGCTCATTCATTGCTGAAATAATCAAAAATGAATTACTGGGTTCTTAGTGTTAGCTGGGCATCTCAGAAATGTTTGAGAAGCAATCCCTTGGGGTTTAATTTTGAAAACTGCAATCCCAAGGTTTGAGGAAATTTTATAGTGAAGCTGATAAATCTTTTAGAAAAAGTGTGACATACCCTATAAGAAGGTGCCTCTGTTTTGATGAAATCTGGTTTGTAGTACTATCATGGTATGGTCAGTAATAGCATTACAAATAAGTACACAAGCACCTAGTTAGTTTAGTCTATGTATAATCTGGTAATAAATGAACTCAAAGATAAATCCGTTGTTACCTTTCATTTGTTGTTTATCTAGTCATATATTCCTCAATCACTGGTTTGGTGTCCCCTTTACTCTGAGCACTGTTATGGGTTGGAAATACTACCGTGAAGGACTCCACAATTCTGTTCGCAGAGATCTTGTCTGCCTGATAAGGAAACAGACCCACAGACAGACAGTGAGGAAACTGTGATGGAAGAAATCTAGGAACTGTGATAACACAGGAATGACACTCAGCTAGGGTGGGGTCAGGAAAAAGGGATGAGGAATAGAGAAGACTTGCAAAGGAGATGCTCTAGATGAACCTTGAAGAACCAGTGGGAGTTAGCAAAGTGAAAAATGGAAAGCACATTTCAGGCAGAGAAAAACAACCTTTGTAAGGGTGTGGAGAAATGAAACGGAATTGTTCGTGTGGAATGTGCATGAAGAGGACAGTTTGTGGATGGTCTTGTATGCCAAGCTAAGGAAAATGATGTTTTTTAAAATTATTTTTATGTGTTTATTTTTTTTTTGAGACAGAGTCTTGCTCTGTCACCCAGGCTGGAGTGCAGTGGCGTGATCTCAGCTCACTGCAACCTCCACCTCCCATGTTCAACTGATTCTCCTGCCTCAGCCTCCTGTGTAGCTGGGATTACAGGCATACACCACCATGCCTGGCTAATTTTTGTATTTTTTGTAGACACAGGGTTTCACCATGTTAGCCAGGCTGGTCTTGAACTCCTGACCTCGGATGATCTGCCTGCCTCAACCTCCCAAAGTGCTGGGATTACAGGCATGAGCCACCATGTCTGGCAGAAAATGACCTTCTATAAGTAGTGGGGATCTATCAAAGGAGGGGCATGGTAAGATTTGTATGTCAGGTAGAAGACTTATAGCCAAAATACCTTAAATTATCCCACTATCCTAGAGAATACACATTATCTCAGGCCATGTTTGAAGAACACATTGACTTCAGTTAGCTTTTACAGTAACCGATAACTTATGACTATCTGTTCAACGTTTTGAAACTGATGAGAGTCAATGTGAAGGCAAGTTTCCTTGTGAAAATTATCCCTAATATCTTGTACTGAGAAGACACGAATAATTTAATTTCTTCCTCCCTTCTCCAGCTCTGACCTCTTTAACCTCTTTAGGTATTTCTGTCACTTATTCACCTGAGTGATTCTAGTGACATCATAAATTCCCAAAGTTTCTAATTCAGCTAAGTTAATTATTGTCCACCAATTGTGTTGAAATCATTCCAATGTAAGTCAATATATTCTTTTCTTTAGGTTGTTACTTTTTTCTTTTGTTTGTTTACTTGCTTCCTTGGCATTTATATTGAAAATAGCTCATGCATCCTCTTTAATCATGTCTATCCTTCAAGATACCTTAGGGTCTAGGGCTGGGTAGAGAAAAGTAGAATCTCTAATTAAGAAGACTTCTTCTCCAACTCCAACCTCATTATCATCATTGTTAAGAATAGACCCTGTGTCTTTAAGACCAGTATTATTTTCCCATCTCAGTCTGTTATGCTATTTGATCATCCTCAGAACCTTGTTGAGAAAGTCTAAAATGTAATTTTGTTTTCATTTTATATATGGGGAAACTGAGGCATAGGGAGGTGAAATACCATGTCCAAGATTAACCAATAATCAGAGATAGATCAAGAGCTTGAATCCAGGATTTCTGACTTCAAGGATAAGAACTCTTAACAATAGCTCTAACCTGAGCCTTTGCTTCAAGGTAAACTAATATCATTTTCCTAAGATTTGGTTTTCCAAGCTTTCAAATGGGAATAACGATCTCTGTGCATCTTAAGTAGTGTCCTGCAGACATGCCTCAGGAACTCAGGGACATGGCATTTCACCTTGATGCTCCAGATAAATGAAAATAAGTCAGCTGGTGGCAGTATCAACTATGTCTGTCCACTTACACCAAGTCCATCTGCCTCGGGCTCTTGAAGCTGAACTCATTTCTTCCAAAAGGAAAAGAAAGTTTCTGGCATATGAAATCTCAACTGGAGAAGACAGACTTTGCTAATGGCACCTACCCACGTCAAGTCTCCTAGCTGGATAGAACAGATTTCTAAATGTGTCACCACATGAAAGGGAATGAATCTGAAGTGAGGAATTCCCTGATATGAGGGGAAGATGGCGTGGGATGGAGAAATCAGAATGCCCAGTGCAATCCCACTATCAGCTAGTCACCACCTGGCTTACAGCTCCATTTCCTTCTCCCTAAGACATAGTCTAAAGAAAATAGTCAAAGGGTACAGAGTTTAAACTGTATTTGGTTGAGAGTATATACATCGGGGATGCCAGATTTTGGTCATTCGTTCATTCAACAAATATTTATTGAAAGTGTATTATGTTTTCAGGATGTGTATGTGTATAAAAGTGTGTATGTGTGCACATGAATGTGTATGTCTGTGTATAATTTTCTTAGTATCCCTCACAGTGAAATTTACTGTATTATTATCAATGCTACCTAGCTACTACACGGAAGTTATTTGACCTTGGTATTGACTTCAGACTCTTTTCACTACAACCTGCTCAGCATCTAGCAGAAAGTATTTAAGGAGCACCAAGTAAATTGATGTAATGAAAACAAGACCAGTTTGTTTTAGTGTTTTGTTGTTGCTGTCTTTGTTTTTTGCGGCCGCACATTTGTATTCCATTCCTCACTCTGTTCTCTTCTGTGCTTGGGGCAGAGGGAGTAGAGAGGGAGAGAGAATTCCCCAGACACGGGCTGGCAGATGTAGCTGAAGGGCCCCCGGGACACTAATAGCAACAGAAACTGAATAGCTGTGTCCAAGGATGTTATTTTAAAAAGAGACTCACAATAGCTTTGTCAGCAGAATCTTGGAGAAGAAACTGCATCTTCTGTCTCTCTTTCTCTCTCTCTCCCTTGCTTTCTTTTTAACTCCATCTTATTTTTCTGTCTTTTAACTCTTCCTCTACGTATCTATATATCATCTATTACTTATCGACCTGCCTGTATACCTGTTTACCTACCTGTGTCTATTTCTACCTTTCCTCCATTCTCAGGTTCTGCTGATTCCTAGCAGACAAATTTATTGTGGTCTTTAACATAATCAGGAAGAAATTAGCCTTTAGAAGAACTAAAATCTAACCCCAATTTCTGTCATTCCGAGAGGTTTTTTGCTAAGGAAATTAAGTCACTTTAGAGACTAGATCTTACCCTTACAGAGAACATAATCTTACCCTATTTTTCTTTACATTGGAGGAGAAGAAAGTGATACCAAGAATTAGGCACCCCTATGATCTTATTTCCAAGAGGTTGTTTTCGTCATTCTGTAGCTGTGGCATGTAGGGAGAAGATTTCTCTGCTAGGTGTAAAAAGGCCAGTCTTCTACTTCTTGCTCTGCTACCACCTGTCTCTGTGACCTGGAAGCAGATGGCTTCTTCCTCAAGCTCACAGTTTTCCATTAGATAAAATGGATGAAGGGGCCAGCATTATACCCACAATCATCTGAAATCACTGCAACAACGCTGGGTAAATATCATTACCTCCATTTTTTTTTTTTTTTCAGATGAGGAAAATGAAGTTCAGAGAGGTTAGGTTATTTTATTTATGTCCTCTTTGTAGTGCTTATAGGAAGCAGAATTCAGATTTGTACCTACTTCTGCCTGATGTCAAAACCCTTGCTCTTTTCAGTTCTCTGTATTGGGTTTCTGAAGAGTAAAGTCTGGATTTATGGCTGGTCACTCTTGGATTGGGCCTAGGTTATACGATATGTAGAGTGGCCACATTCACATGAGGTTGGAGCTACTGAGAAGTACTGAGCCTGTATTCTTTCTATATTGAACTGCCATGAATGCTACTGGTCACTTATAATGAATTGATTTATTCTGTTTCTTTTGCTCATTCTTTCTTTCTTTTCTCTTTCTGTTTTTCTTTTGTTTTGTTTTGTTTTGTTTTTTTGTTTTTTTCAGACAGGGTCTTGCTCTGTCACCCAGGCTGGAGTGCAGTGGTGTGATCACTACTCACTGCAGCTCTGACCTACTGGGCTCAATAAATCCTCCCACCTCAGCCTCATGAGTAGCTGGGACTACAGATGTGCACCACTGTGCCCAGCTAACTTTTGTATGTTTTGGAGAGACAGGGTCTCATCATGTTGCTCAGGCTCATCTGATTGCTCAAGCAATCTGCCTGCCTTGGCTCTCCCCAAAGTGCTGGGATTACAGGCATGAGCCACTGTGCCCGGCCCTATTTGGGCTCTTTTGATAGTATTTCACTGGGTAAACTGTTGGCAGAAATAAACAAGGGATTTTGCAGCTTGGAAGAAGTTCAGCATTCTGGTGCCCCTGAATCCAATGACTCTTCTTTTCAGATACTTAGCATCATAGAAATCTGTCTTGTTTCTCCTTGGCAGGGGCTCTTTCTAGCTAGGGGAAAGTTGCTTGAATGTGTTTCAAGTGAGCACTGATTTCACAAGCTGATTTAATTCCTCCACTTAGAAGCAAATCAACCCATTAAAAGAAGAGTATTTTTTTTTTCTCTCGATGATTATTCTAGGATGTACAAAGCACATTTATGTTCATTTCCTATTAGAGTTCTATGGTTATCCTGAGAGGTTTTCCTGGTTGGGACTATAATTTCTACATTACAGACTGGGGACAGGGGGAAGAGGCCAAGAAGTAAGTGAAGCCAGTTGTGCAAAGATACATAGCTAATGTAAGGGACAGAAACCAAACCCTTGTCTTTGGCCCTAAATTCAGTGCCCTCTCCAGAGCTCCACTCTATTATTTTGTGGAAGAATGTTCTAAATCAAGCAGAAGCCTTAGGGTGACCATATATCCTGATTTGCCTGAGAAATTCAGATTTTCCCAGGATATGTTCCTTTTGTCTGGACATAATTTTTAATAGCACCACTATCATTTTCAAAGTGCTCTGGTTTGGATGATAAATTATATAGTAACCCTAAGACACTGGCTAGCAACTATATTTCAAGGAGCTCAGAATCTTTCAAAAGTCCTGCAACATGTAGACTTAATAGCAGCACAGTGTGATAAGTGTTAAGATAGAAATCTTTATAAAATAGGCACCCACACAGGAGGTGGTATTTAGCTTTGCCTAGAAAAGTTGGGAAAATAGCACAGAAGAGCTGATGCTAGAATTAGTAAAAAGGTGGACAAGGTGATCTCTTTTGGTTGGCCACATTGAGGTTTTTCCTTGTATTGTTCTGTGTTGAAATATCAAGAAACATGCATAGGTCACACCTACTTAGAAGGCATCCTACTGCTAGCTTTGTGCTTCTGTTATCCTTGTCCTTGCAGCTAAGTGAGAATCATTGCAGCCGGCTGCAGCTTTAAATCATTCCAAACAGAAGCACTTGCTGTGGTCTAGATGACATGGGAGCTTGAGAATTCACTTGGTCTTTAACTAAAACTCCTAGGGTATCCGACAAGCCCTTAGAAGCCTATAGCATTAGACAGGAAGGGTTCTTGGTGTCTCAATAGTGTAACCTCTTTCTCTGCTCTGATGGTTGAGCCCAGTGTGGCAAGGAGACTTATTCAAATTAACAGAGCAATTTGGTTTCAGAGCTGGAATTGAAGCCAATGTCCCTTGTAAATCAGTTCATGTTTTAAAGCAAAACTGAAATCCTCTTTGGAGTTAAACAACCCCCAGTTTGCCTCTGTGAAATTCTTTTGTGTCAAATAATGCACTCAGAACTTGGAAAGTGAATGCCTGAGTTGGAGACCCAGATCAGGTATTAACACACTGTGTGATCTTGGGCAAGTTATTAAAGATGTATGGAATCTCAGTTTCCTCATCTGGAAGAATAATATCTTCCACATGAAGTTTTTATGAGGAATATTTCGAATAATGAAGGTGAAAGTGTTTGTGAACTTTTTATTACAGTATAGACACACAACACAAGGTCTACCTTCTTTATATATTTTAAATGTAAAGTACAATATTGTTAACTATAAGCACACTATTTTACAGCAGATTCCTATAACTTTTTCATGTTGCACAATTGAAACCACATACTCACTGAAAAGCAACTCTCCATTTCCTCCTCCCCCGAGATCCTGGAAACCACCATTTTACTTTCTACTTCTATGAGCTTCCCTACTTTACATGCCATCTATAAGTCGAATCATGCAGTATTTGTCTTTCTGTGACTGGATTATTTCCCTTAACATGGTGGCCTCCACGTTTCCTATAACATGGTTATCTCCTTGAACATGGTTCATCCATGTTGTTGCAGATGACAGAATTTCCTTCTTTTTTTTTCAAGACTGAGTAATAGTCCATCGTGACTAATGTGATGGGCTTGACAGTACCAATGGTTTTGGTGGTCTGACTCTGCAGCTGCTGATGATTGCTGAGGCCAAAGAACAAATATTTATTTATTCTCTCCCTTTCTATGTCAATCTTTTGCAGATGAACCCAGCCGGTGCTATTTCCATGATGGTGATGGGGTATGTGAGGAGTTTGAACAAAAAACCAGCATTAAGGACTGTGGTGTCTACACGCCCCAGGGATTCCTGGATCAGTGGGCATCCAATGCTTCAGTATCTCATCAAGACCAGCAATGCCCAGGCTGGGTCATCATCGGACAGCCAGCAGCATCCCAGGTAAGATCCTAACCATGTGTGGCATTTCCTGCAGACATTCAAAGTCTCCGCTATGCCCCACAAGGCTACTCACCTCTAAGGCAGTGTCATTGGCTATAGCCACTTGAGCATATCTTTATTAAATGTACTGTTAGGGCTTCATGAATACCATTTGTAAAAGATTAGATCTGGAATTGTTAGGGCAGGGAACATTGTATGATAGGGTAATGACTGTCCTCCTATTTCCTTGCCTGTAATAACTAATATTTGGAGAAAGAACTCCATTTTGCATATATCATGTATTTCAATGAGGTAAGAATGAATTTATATTGGAAGTCCCACTTTTTAGGGGGCGCCAAGCTGTGTACTACTTGAATTAACAGTAATTATACAGTAATTTGCTATGTGGCCTTAGACTAGTTCTCCCACCTCTCTGGGCCCTATTTTTCGACTCATCCTTAAAATAAAGAGTAGTTGAGCTTGTTGATCTCCAAGGGCCTTCCCAATTCTAAGAAGCTGTGACTCATGCCTCAGTCCCCTAATGCACTATTTATGTGCCACAGTTCTTCCCCAAGGGACTGACAGCTTAGTCCAGGGAGTGAGAGTTTTGGGGCCACTAGTGCTTGTATGATTCTAGAGATGGTCATGCTGTCCCGAGAGCCCCCTTTCCAATTATCCTACCAAGGAAGCACCTGCCTTCCCCGAGACTCAAATTTCCCAGAGACACGACTCAGTGCTTCTGGCTGCCTGGCCTAGTGGCCTTTCAGAGACCAGCCTGCCTCCTGGCCTTGCAGATGAGCTGCTATTCCCAGGCATTCCTTTCCAATATTGCTTTCTTGATTTAGGTTTAGTCGGGTAGCCCTGGCTTCTAGATGAAAGAAAGATATGACCTTCCTCTGGGGTCAAGTGAAGAATCACTGGGTGAGGTACAGAATAGGACTACCTCATTTTTAGTTGTTGCCTGTATTTGATTATTTCTTCATTCACTTTTTGTTTATGTTTACATCACTAAAGCCTTTATTCATTTGCATTTATTTTTGAATGCCCTCAGGAGAGTGGAAACAAATGGTAACATGGCATTTCCTGATGCTTAACAATGTATAGTGCCAGCCTGCTGAATGAATGAATGAATGAATGAGTGCACAGATAGATGAATGGCTAGGGTTCATCCTCCCCCTGTGCCACGTCTGTACTTGGTGGAATCATCTGTGTGGTTGCATTTATCATACTGAACTCTGAAGTATCTATTTGTCTGTCTGGCTCCCCCATTAGGCTGCTGGTTCTTTGAGAACAAGTTTCAGTTTATTCATCTTTGTCCTCTCATGTTCAAGCAAAGGCTAGATAGGTGCCCAGCAAATGTGTGTTTAATTGACTGTAGATACACACACATACACATACATACATCCCATTGCCACATGCAAATGAACGACACTGACAGAAAACACTCACGCATTGCCTCTCTATCACATAGAATGTCCTGCTTCAGAAACAACAGTGCTGGGGCCAGCAAGAGAACAAGGAATCCAAATTCAACACTAGCATCCAGTTCTTAGAAATGTTTTAAAAACAACCTTCAAACAAGAGAATTATTAACACACTCAGAACCTCCCATGAGGAAGAGTTGAGGTAGCAGCTGTGCTTAAAAATCACCCAAATGTTATTGCGACTAATGTGAGAAAAGGAGAGAAAGAATTTTCCAGTCTTAGCATTTGAAAAGAAGCTTCATGGGGCAATTATTCCAATCTTGTAAGGGGGGGCTGTCAGGAATTACTGGTGATTATCTCTTCCTAAACAAAAATCCAATTTAAAAAATCATTATAAATACTAGCTCTTCGATCTACAAAGAGGAGATGAGGAAACAAAATCATCCTATTGAATTATTCATTGTAACCAATTTTATTTTAATGAAATCGACTAGGTTCCATTACTCTGGGCTTGGACATAATCTTTGTTACAAGGAGATTTCAGCTGTAACTAAATTTGCCATAATGAGATCAGCTCACTGGAGAATACAGGGTCGGGGAGGGAATATGTGTGCAGGCTGGGTGCAGGGCCAGGAAGAGGGCAGCAGAACAAAAGTCTCCTGAATTCCTCATCTGAAAGCAAGTACCTAGAAGTCATTCACAAACACACACACACACACACCCTACCACCACCACACACAGAGGCACAGGCACACGCATACACAAGTACGTGGGCACACAGACACACACACACACACACACACACACACACACACACACACACGGAGTCTGCATAATTAGAGGTAAAGGCTATTCCTGAAGTGTAAACGTACCTTCCTTCCAACAACAGAGAATGAGGAGGAAGTATAATTGTGCTCTTCATTACCTTGTACAGTGATTAGAAGAGATTGGTAGTTAATTTTCACCCTGTCAGGGCTTCCAGTGAAGATGTTGATAGCTTGAGAGGAGGAGCTGGGAGGCTCTTAGAAGTTGGGCTTAGGAAGAAGATGGGAATTGTATCATGTGCTTCTCACTTTCCCCCCAGATGCTCATACTCTCCCTCTTCTCTCTCTCTCTCTCACACACACACACACACACATACATACACAAATTTACACACCAAAAGGCCCTGTAGGAGCATGGGAGTACCAAAGCAGATAGAAGAGAATAGCAGGAAAGAAATAGTAGTTATCAAGGTCCACCAGGCACTGGACACATGTATGCACATTACAGCCAATCCCCTTGTCATTCTTCAAGGTAGGAATTGTTGTCTACCTTGGAGAAACTGAGGAACACAGTGGCTTCACTATAAGTTACATGGTCCATAAGGGAAGAATCTAGGATTAGAAGAATCTCATGGAAGATGAATGACAGTGGGTCCTTGGGAACATGAGGTCACATTCAAAAGTTGGAAGTGGCTGGATTCCTGGAAAACTTCACTACAAAACAGGCAGAAAGACTCCTAGATGGATAGATCTCAGCATTGAGTGTCACTCTGCAGACCTCATGAGGTACTTCAGTTCTCCTTGAACAAACTTATAGTCACTGCCCATACCTTCAAATTCAGGCTGTTCCCATTCCCTGACAAGGTGGCCCTGTTCCATGATGCCCTGGAGTTCCCTAGGACACTCCATTAACTTAGGGAATGATGAAATAACCTAGTCATTCCCATTTCCTCTTTACAATTCAGTTTGGTCCCACTTTCTGTCTTTCCCTGATGCAATAAAAATGATAAATGCGAAGGTGTTTATTGGAGTTATGTGCCTAGTTCTGTGCTAGAGCCTGTGGAAGAAACCAAAGAACTGAAATACCCAGCCTCTGACCTAGTCACTGTACAAGAGTTAGGAGTGAGAATTCTATCAAAGGCACATTCTTATCACAATAAGTCTGCAGGATCTCTATGACTACTGCAAAGAAACAACATGCATTGTGCTATATGGCTTGAGAATATTGATTAAAACTTCAGTTTTGATGTTGTAAAAGCCTGCCATATCTAATGGTTTCCAGTGTTTCTCGTTCATTCTTTTCAAACATGATTCCCAAATTTGGTTAGGGCAAAGCTAACCCTGAACATTGAGTCTCATATCCAAATCTTATCAGAAGTATCAAAACTTCCTGGTTGTGCAAATTGGGTTGAACATCCTATAATAAGAGACATTCTTTGGATATTTTGGCCATGCACCTTCCTGGCCCAGCTGGAATCAAGAAGTTCCTGAGACAGAAAAAAATGGAAATTAACCGAAAAAATCAAGTTATCTCTCTTCTGGGAACCTCAGAACCTGGTTTGGTTTAAGTGCTTGCAAATATCTTGTATTGTTCTTATTTGGTCTCCATGTTTCACATTTCTCTAATGCTTTACACAAAAGGATGCCAAAATGAGATGTTGATATTCCTTCCTTTTACCCCGGCCTCCAGCATTTCTACCAAAGTCTGTTTCCTCCTATCCAAACAGGCACCTCCCTCCTTTGCAGTGGCCTGAGGAGGAAATGGAAATACTAAGACTATCTGGAATTTACAGTGCTCTCCTAAGGGATTACAGACCTTCAGTCAACCAACCAATTTATTTCCTTAATCCTTTGAGGGTAAAACTTAGACTAAGCATTTCAAGGGGAGTAGTTTGAGGGCCAAAGTAAAGAAAACTTTTCAAAGAATGAGAACTATCCACAGTGAGATGGAGTGCCTTGTGATATAAGAAGTTCCCCAACATAAGGCATTCAGGCTGGACAGCTGACTGAACAGAAGATTCCTGCACTAGAAGGCAGGTGAGACCTAGGTATGCCTCTTTTCTTTGTAATTGATTCTCTGACTTTATGTCCCATTAACCCACGATTGGGTATATTAGTCCTTGGCCACTTCATTTTGAGTTGCTATTATCATTCCTTGGCCCATCCATAATACTTCATGCCTCTACTAGAATACAAACCAGGCCGGGCACGGTGGCTCACGCTTGTAATTCCAGCGCTTTGGGAGGCTGAGGCGGGCGGATCACCTGAGGTCAGGAGTTTGAGGCCAGCCTGACCAACATGGTGAAACCCCGTCTCTACTAAAAATACAAAATTGAGTCGGTTGTGGTGGCAGGCACCTGTAATCCCAGCTACTTGGGAAGCTGAGGCAGGAGAATCGCTTGAACCCGGTTCAAGCGGTTGCAGTGAGCCGAGACGGTGCCATTACATTCCAGCCTTGGTGATGAGAGGGAAAATCCATCTCAAGAAAAATAAAAATAAAATAAAATACAAACCATACTATACCTTGTAATATAACAATTTATACATTAATTTATTTATTCACTTGATTGAACAGAAATATATTTGAGTCCTGCACTGAGGAATGTGAGAGAGAGAGAGAGAGCATGGCCGTTAATGAGGTGAAGTAGAAATCATGCAGATCTGGCTCTGCTCTCTTAAATTCCATTCTGACATGGAAACCTTGAGTAAGTTACTCTTCTGGGAATCTTAGTGTCCTGTAGAAAATGAGAATGATAACATCTACCTGGTAGAAATTAAGATGAATGATATCTACCTGGTAGAAATGAAGGATGCAGAGAAAACACTCTGTGCTGGGTTTGTTAACTTGATGGGTAGTTCAAATGTTAATTCTCTGTCTTGTTCATGTCAGGTTTCCTTCTTTGCACTCCCCCCAAAGCTGGCTCTAGGGACCCACACAGAACAGAAGCTCAGTCAACATTTTGTTGAATTAAACACAGTTGCGTCAGCAAACGTTTGCTGCATCCTCAGAACTGCAGCAGGCACTTTGAGAAGCTTCAGAGAAGTACTGGTTCTTTTTCTGCCTTCATAAAGCTTACCATGTCATCAGAAGGGTGTTTTCAACTAGAAATAGTAGCCAAAGACCCAAGAGTGAGAGTGTAAGATCTAGAGGGAGTTTCCCCGAGGAAGAAACCACACTGCTATCAGCTTACTCAGCCAGTAGTGATGAGAGCCAGTGTGTAAGATAGAAAAGTCCTTTGCCCACTTTCAGAAGATCCTGGACAAATTATAAAAATAGCATTTATCAACTTCTTCCAGGCTTTCCACCAAATTTCACGAATCCTACTAAAGCTACTACAAAAATAGGAATCACTGTTTTCATTTTACAGATTAGGACACAAAGGCTCAGAGAGCAGAGTAACTTGCTTCAGGGCTCATCTCTATAAGGGGCAGAACCAAGATGCAGGCCACTGTGTTCATAATAGAAATACAGCTACAGGACCAGGCAGCTCAAGCCTGCTCCAATGACTGACACATGAGAACAAGCTAGAAGAGCTAGTGTCTTTTGCATCTTTTAATATGTGGTACGTATTTAAGGAACACCGGGAAAGTGGGCATTCCCTCTCTCTAATACCCAAAATACTGCCCTACAATTTTTGCCTGCTGCTAAGATCTCCATCTTTTGGCCCCCATTCTTTCACCCATTGCCCTTTCCAGAGAGTTTTCTAAAATGTGTGTATGGAAATAAGAGAGACACATAAGTGTTGTAAATTGCCAACCCTTGCATGTAAAAATTATTTCTTAAATTTTGGAATGTCTGCTTAATTATAGTAGGGATATGGGGAGAAAAAAATAATAAATGCACAAATAGGAAGAAGAAACTTTGCTCAATTTACAGTTTTGTCACAAGCTATGTGCTATACATAGGAAACCTTAAAATGTCAGTGAAAGGGAATTGTAAGATGTGCATATTTTCTTTCTTTTTTTCTTTTTTTTTTTGGCAAAGTCTCACTCCGTCCTCCAGGCTGAAGTGCGGTGGCACAATCTCGGCTCACTGCAGCCTCCACCTCCCAGGTTCAAGTGGTCCTCCTGCCTCAGCCTCCCAAGTAGCTGGGATTACAAGCCTATGCCACTATGCCCAGCTAATTTTTGTATTTTTAGTAGAGATGGGGTTTCACCATGTTGGTCAGGCTGGTCTCAAACTTCTAACCTTAAGTGATCCATCTTCCTCAGCCTCCCAAAGTGCTGGGATTACAGGTGTGACCCACTGCGCCCAGCCAGATGTGCATATTTTCTGATGGCTGCCAAGTCTGAGGCAGGAGGGGAGAAGCCATTCATCTGTGTCTTCTTCATCCTTGTCTCCACAGCAAGGGACTAGATACCCACTAGGGTATTGTATGGATACAAGGATAAGAAATCTTTCCACGTACACTTATGATGCAGTGTAGGAAGTGCTCAGAGAGGCGGACTGAGAGGAGGTCAGGGAGAAGTGATTGCTGAGTTTCAACTAAGAGGATAAGCTGGAGGACAGGAGAGGGAGGACGGGAGAGGGAGGAAAGAATCACATAATGGGGGCTGCGAGGGGTATATCCAAAAAAAGGTAAATAATAGATGAAGGGGAAGTCAAGAGAGATGAGCTAGGAAACATGGTTAGGAAAATCCTGCCAATGCTTGGAACTTGACATTATCCTGAGGGCAATGGGGAGTTTTTCTGAGTTTTTCAGCAGGGGGCTAACATGTTTGGATCATTGAAAGAAGAACATTGACAAGTGTTGAACACTTCTTACATGCCAGGCCCTGTATTATTTTGCATAGATTTCAGAACAACCCTGCTGAGAATTCTTAATATTCCTCTCTCAAAATGAAGAAACTGAGTCTCAGGGAGATGAATCACCCCACCCATGGTACTCTTTCTTCTGTTTTCTTTTCTTATACCAGGATACTGGTATTGCATTAAAACAGCCTCACTTGGAAATTCTGCATTGATAAGCAATTCTGCAATGCTAATTAGAGTGTGCTATTTGCAAAGGGCAGGAAGAAATCCTGTGCTCTATACCCAATGCCGAAGTCACTTCTAAGGGGCTCTCTGCCCCTTCCTTGCCTGCTCTGCCTGCTATGGCCTTCACCAAAGCATTCATCTCCTCTCATTAGTGAAATGAGAGAGCCTTTGCCAATGGTGGTGGAAGGAGGAAAGGCGAAGGGAACATGCTGAAATTTCAGAGACAATTCCAAGCAGTTTTCCCAAATACCCAAAGGATCTGCTTTCTCCTGGTGGTTTCTGAATAATTTTTCAAGAGCACGTGTGCAAGTCATCTAAGGAGACAGAACAGAAAGTACCATGGTCTAGTTCAGCCTGTCCCATGGTGTGGGGCACCAAAAAAATCCCTCCAGGAAAGTAAAAATCAGAGCCTGCCTCAGAAAGGAGCCCACTGAGTTGGTCACTATAACCACCCCCAAAACTTTCATGGAAACCTTGGACTGTGGGAGACTTTAAATCTACTGAATCTTATGGGGCCCCAGCAAAGAGATCTACTAGATTCTGCTCCTGGCTCTCTCTTCTATTCATCCTTTGGTCATTTACCCTTTCAATATCTGTTCAAATCTACAAAAGTCTAGACACTCTGGCCCTAGGATTTGGACTGAAAAACTCTGAGTGACTGGAGCTTTATAAAAAATGAGATCTAGGATCAGTTCAACCTGATTTTCAGTTCTAGAGTCCACCACTTACTAGCTGTGAGACTTTAAGCAAGTCAGTTCTCTTTGCCCCCACCCCAGTTTTTCATCTGTAATATAGGAGTAATAACATCTCCATGGCAGGTATTTGTCAAGGATGAGACAGTTGATCTAGAAATACAGTTTTCCTTCTGGTAGCAACCGACAAAGTTTTAAAGAAACACTTCTGTCTGCCTGTGAAGTTTTGGCAACTGAGGAACAAATCGAATTAGGAACAACATGTGGACTTTTTTTTTTTTTTTTTTTTTCTAACAGAATAGTATTTGGGGCATAGAAATTTAACCAGAGAGAGACTTTGAGAGTCTCTTGGTCTTACTTCACTTAATTAAGACTTGGTTTTGATTAAACAACTTCCCTGAACCTCTCAATCCCATCCGTTATAAAATGATTCTGGTATTTGGATTCAAAATCAACAGAATCTTGTGAATCTTCTGGGTCCAAAGCATCATTTTCAACATGAGGTTGAACAAAGCAACCACTGCTCTCAGGCAGTAAGTTATGTGCCATGGAGGAAGGAAGACACCAAAATAGCTTCTTTCGATAAGAAAAGACAAAGCTTGCAAAGTGCTGTGATATGTGGACAAATGGAATTAACCTTAGAGGTTAACCTTTGAGGAGGAAGGGCGAACCTGAATAAAGTGACAGGTTATGTAGAAAGTGATTTTTCTTTCCACTTGGGCATTTGGGGGAAGCTTTAAAAAACATTGTAGTGTAGCCATATTGTTTCACAGAGGAAGCATAAGCTTTAAAGCCAGAAAGACCTGACTTGGGTACTGTTTGTTACCAGCTGTCTGATGCCTGGCGAATGATTTCAGTTTTCTGAGCCTCAATTGTCCTCATCTTCACATGATCCTGCTGTCATTCTGTGAGATGGTATGAGGATCCAATGAGCTAACATATATAAAGTGTATAATACGTGGCTACGTCTTGCGAGGCATCTAATTCTTGTCAGTTCACATCCCTACTAAACTACATTATCCCTGAGCAAATTGAATCTGGAGAAGGAACAAAAATGTGTAAGAGAGGAAAGCAAGGAAGGGATGGGTTTGGCATTTGTAGGCATACAACAAACACATATTGATTGATCAGGGAAGGTGCCACGTGGAACGGTGAGATCCTGCTTTGAATAGCGAGTCTTCATTTTTCAGTTGACACTTGACTCTTGACTTGAAGCCCAAGAATAAGCAAGGCTTTGTGGTTTGGGGCTGCATCTACTGGTTCTCCATGTAGACTAGATAAAACCCTGCCAACCCCTTCCATGGCCCATCTAGGAAGATTCCTTGGCCTCTGTCTTCCTTTTTCTTCCAAACCTGGCCTACCCCTATCTCATTACCTTCATTCTCCACATCCTCTTTAGCTTCAGGACCAGAAACCTTTCTTTTATCCCTGTCATTTGTTCTGGCTCCCTTAAAACCCTTCTTTGTTCTTGTCTTTCATTTTCTTTTCTTTTCTTTCTTTCTTTTTTTTTTTTTTTTTGTTATTGTTTTGTTTTAAGTGGGGTCACCAGCATTCAGCCAGCATGGCCTTTGCTGTGTAATTTAGTTTCATGTTCTGTACCCAAGAAACATGTAAAAAATGTAAACAGCGTTCACTCTCCTGGGCTGTAATGCACTTAGGAAGCAATAGCCAGTTGAGCTTGCTGAGCCTGCTGCTTTGGCGGTATTGAATTTTGTCCCTAAAACCACATACTCATTTCTCTAAGTCTGAAAGTAAACTTTCTCAAGCCAGACCCAAAGGATGGGGTTTTGAGGTGAGTTAGAGTTTGGCTGTGCACAAGATTTTGTTTTTATTTTTGTACACACAAATGTGTTCATTTGTTTTTGTTTGTCTTTCAAGTCCCCTCGTCTCTACTCTCTATTCCTCCCCACTCTCTATTCCTTCCCATCCTTACTTTGATAAATTAGACTGGGTATGTTACCTGTAGAATGAGACCAGAAAGGGCCTTCTGCCTCCTCTTAAGAAACTCCAACCAGGCCAGGCGTGGTGGCTCACGCCTGTAATCCCAGCACTTTGGGAGGCCAGGGCAGGCGGATCACAAGGTCAGGAGATGGAGACCATCCTGGCTAACACGGTGAAACCTCATCTCTACTAAAAACACAAAAAATTAGCTGGGCGTGGTGGTGGGTACCTGTAGTCCCAGCTACTCGGGAGGCTGAGGCAGAAGAATGGCGTGAACCCGGGAGGCAGAGCTTGCAGTGAGCGGAGATTGGGCCACTGCACACCAGCCTAGGTGACAGAGTGAGACTCCATCTCAAAAAAAAAAAAAAAAAAAGAAACTCCAACCATGATTTTCTTAAACCCTGATTAATTCTTCAGCCAGATCCAAGCACCAGAGCACCCTGGGTACATTTGTACATGTTTGTTTTCCAGGGAGAAATGGGCCCAGAGAGGCCCATGAGAGATGTCCCTGCTGAGAGGTTCCCTGTGCCAGGGCAGTCCAAAAAAGTTGTCCCTGGGGCTCCTGCCCACCCCAGAATCCTTTTCCAAACATGACTCATATGTGCAGGTGGTGAAAGGGGACACTTCGGTGATGTCTACATTTCTCTCCTTCCTGGAAGAGAGGCCCCTGGGGAAGTCACAGGTTTGGGAGAGATCTGGTCTACTGGCAAGATACTGCTTTCAGAGATGCAGATGCCACCTGGGTAATGCCCATGTCTGCAGTGCAACTGACTGGTGGCAAGGGGTCCAGGAAGAGAATATCAATTTAAAGCAACGGGAAGGAGGAGATAAACTGACATGCACCAGGGAGCTACGGTCAGGGGTTTATGTTTCAGAGAGAGCAAAATTGTATCAGTGTTCACAGGCCAGGCTCCAGACTATCTGTCCAGTAGAAACTTCCATGATGATGAAAATGTTCTACATATGAATGTCCTGTTCAGTAGCCTCTAGCCACCTATGATATTAAGCCCTAGGAATGTGGTTCATGAAACTGAGGAACTAATTGGTTTAATTTTAATTCGTTAAATTTAAATAGCCTATTTGTGGGCATTGGGTTCCCCTACTGGACAGAGCAGGTCTAGAGTACTTCACATGCCAGGGCTGCTACTTGCATTGAGATCTCGAGCAACTTAATTAGCCTCTCTGTGCCTTAGTCCTCTCATCTGTAAAATTAAATAATTAAGGGGAGATGGTGAGAATTCCATGGGATAGCACGCTTAAAGCACTTAGGACAGTGCTTGGAATAGAGTAAGTACTACCTAAATTCATTCAGTTCTGTCATTGCATCGAATCTTTTTTTTTTTTTTTTTTTTTTTTTTTTTTGAGATGGAGTCTCACTCTTTCGCCAGGCTGGAGTATAGTGGTGCAATCTTGGCTCACTGCAGCCTCCACCTCCCAGGTTTTTCAAGCGTCCTGCCTCAACCTCCCAAGTAGCTGGGACTACAGGCACACACCACCACATCCAACTAATTTTTGTATTTTTAGTAGAGACAGGGTTTCACCATGTTGGCCAGGATGGTCTCGATCTCCTGATCTCGTGATCCACCTGCCTCAGCCTCCCAAAGTGCTGGGATTACAGGTGTGAGCCACCACACCCGGTCTCTCCAGAGATTTTTAAAATGACATTTCTCTTTCCCAGAGTGAGATATGACATACTAATCTTTTTGTAACTCAATGTCTTAAATTTTTTAAGTCTGCATAAATTCTCACTGGAGGACTTTTGCTTTTGGATCATATTCTCCGTATTCACAAGAAATATTGGTCTCAGTGATTTCTCACCTGTGAAGCTCTCTATTTTGTTCCCCATGGCCTATAAACTCCAAAAGTCTTAGCAGACAAGGCCATGCACAATCTCTACCTTTGCTTTACAGACTATTGCCTAAGGGGCACGTTCCAGGCAGTATGGACCAACTTGCAATTTCCAGATATATCTTGGGGTTTCCTTTTCTCCTGCCTGGAAACACCATCATTTGCTCCTCAACCTTCTTAGGGCTTAATTATCCTACAGGGTTTAGCTCAAGTGGCTCCTCTTCCATATCCCTCCCCTGACAACCTCAGCCCATGAGCAGCCTCCCTCTTCCATGTACAGAATACTTCTGGAATTATCAGACAGGCTTGAGCACAAGCTGACTTTCAGTGTGCATTGCTTGTGTCCACAGCTTTTCATACCAAATGACCGGTTAGCAGCTAACGATTTGGCCCTCATCTTATGCCTTTAGGTATTTCCTGTGCCCAGCACAGGACCTGCTGTGTGGACAATACTCAGAAAATGGACTCATTAAATGATGTTGTTGGGAACAATAGCTGCTGGGTGTTACCTCTTTTATGATTGGATTAAATTTATAAATCGGTGTCTACAAGTGATTCCCTTATGTTTCCGGATTACAGCCTCCTGTTAATACCATAGGTGATCAAAGCAGGCAGGGCCTTCTGAAATCCCCTGTTTCATCCCTTCACATTACAAAGGAGATAAGTGCTACTGTGTGAATTGGGGGAGGAAGAGGTCCCGAAAACCCATCCTGAACCCAGACCTCATGTTCTTTCTGCTACTCTGTGCCTCCATAATCTATCCTCACCCCCGGAATGTTCACTGCACAGTGAGAAGGGTTGTTTGGTAACTGTTTTTGTGTGCTTACTCCTGTGTGTTCCAGCATCAAGAACAGGGCCTGGCATATAGAATTTCATGATAAATACTGATAAATAAATGTTTTTTTCTCTGCTAACAGCTTTGGGCAAAAAGTAGGAAACAGCTTCTGGAGGCTGAGCGCCAGGAAGGAAGCTCTACCCTTTGCTTCTTGTTTTTGCAGGAAAGATTGGGGTCTAAGCAATTTTCCTGTGATTGGCTTCCTACAGAGATGGATGGAAATCTAAGGGTCTTCCTTTCTGACTTGAGAATGTGGTTCACCTTCAGAGAGATCTCCCAATACAAGGCCCAGCACAGGAGGGTGTGAAGGAGTAAGAGGAAGAAAGATGGGAGGAAGAAGAGGTAGAGGTAAAAGGAAAGAAGGAATATAGAATGAAGAGACAGAGAAAAAGGAAGGACTACACAATAACAACAAATACCAGTAATAACCATAATGTAATAGTAATCACAGAAATTGATAATGATGAGTAGAGTAAAGAGAATGGCTTGGCTGTCAGAGTGATTACATTATGTAGAGAACTCTACACTGTTTTTTGTACATTTAAACCTGTCAACCACTGTATGAGGTAACTACTGTAATTAAGACTCACAAAGGTTAGGTCACTTACCCAAGTTCTACAGGTAGCCCAGTGGTAGAACAGGGAAGTCTAGAATTTGAAACCAGAACCATGTCCCTCTACAGCCAGGAAGAAAGAAGCAGCAAGTGATGGAGGAAAATGTCAATTTTGTATTTTTAGTGAGTAGGGTGTATCTAAATATTTGCATGTGCAAGAGCTCTTTGAATCCTCACAATGCTACAACATAGGTACCATCATCTCATTCTGCAGTGGAAGATATTAGAGTTTATGAAGGGTTCAAGGCCATGTTGTCAGTGAATGGCAGAAGCTGAAATTCCAACTCACATTCCTTTGATTTAAAATGCATGTGTCTTCTGGTGCTTAGTGGAAGATTCAGGGAAGTGGCAGGTGCAGGGGTTGTTGAGAAGTTCACATTGTGGATCCCAGATTCTCAGGCACTGCATCTCAGAACAGCTGCTTCAACACCCTGCGTTTGTGCAGATGTCTGTTGCCCTGGCCAAGGCTGCCACTAGGGAAAAGCATCACTCTGGAAGGTCCTTGTTCCTCAGAGAACCCTGCTGATAGAGTGGTGGACATATAAGTCAACAGTGTCCATTGCACCTGTGGTGGACAAAGCTCCCCGGTTTGTACATCACAGTCACTGTTTCTACCTCTGAAGCCTGGAGGGGCAGGCCAGGGAGAAATACCACTTTTGTCTTTAAAAATGGGAGTTCTTGTTTGAGTTGGAAGGTCTGCAGGATGCTGTTAAAAACATAAGTGACTGCTGTCCACCTGTTCCTTTCATACATCACTGCATTGCATCCTTTGGAGACTCTTCCTAGGAAAAATCAAGCTCGAGGCAACCTAGACAAGAGTACTGCCTCCTCTTCAAAAGCAAAAGGAAGAGAGCGAATCATGTAGTGATTCCCAGCCCTTACTCATTGAGGCTATAGGAGGGGATGGGAGGACCCTGAGGTCTGCAGTGAGAAGCAGGACTCAGAGACAATGCACTCTGCATGATCATCTTGGCATCTAGTGGGGTTCCCTGCAGGTAATGTGACTTGTACTTCAATTTCAACACAATCTGGAACACACAGATCTTAATTTGGAAAGCTGAATAACAGGAGAAAGGGGGAAGAGGGGAGGAAACAAAAACAACAACCTGGAAACTTCTAGTTTTATGAACTTGAGAAAGTCTTGTTCTTTCAAGACAGATGTTTTTAAGTAAAAAATCATTCCTCTGACCTTTCTTGAATAGGCCGATGCGGTCAAGACTGCCATTAACCACTGTTCAACTATTCATAACCAAGGGTTTCGGTGACCAGGCACCGAACTTGGATGTGATCATCACTTTCCTGATTAACCCATGAATGCCCAGGGACTTTGATTTAAAATCAAAGGACAAAGAGAGGTGTAGAAGCTTCCTAAGACATCCCCCTTTAGTCTTAATAGCTCTGAGCTGAGTGATGGAGATGTCCATATTTTAGTGCCTTACTCCAGGGTTGTCTGTGTTTCTGAATTTCACTCTAGAGCCAGCAGAGAAAGCATTTGGATTAAAGCTAAGTAGATTTTTGTTTTTTATCTTCAGTGTCTAAATCTCAGTCAGTTTCAGGTTTGGGGCTATAGAGCAGAAGGCATTACCCAGCCCTGTTTTAGGATTATGGTGTTTTCGTATTCTGGTCCAGAACTTAGAAGTGTTTCAGTGCTCAACATACTGCTCTAGAACTGACAATGCCTCGGGCCCTGAAATAAAATTCATGATTTTTCAGGATTCTTATCTGGAGCTGGAAATGCCTCAGAATTTTCTACTGCTGGCAATAGCTCTGTGCTCCTGTCTAGAGTTGAGTGTTCATCCTGACTGAAGTTAACAGTGCTCTCTTGATCTGATCCAGAGTCTACACTGGTTTTATATTCTGATCTAGAATTCATGACATTTCATTAATTTCTTTCAGTACAAATGCAAAAATAAAGTTTAAACTACAGAAAGTTAGCAATGTATTTTTTTAAATAACGTGCTCAGAACTGTGTTTGCAACAATATTCAGCATCTCAAACTTATCCTTCACGCCTCCGCTGTTGACATCATTTGGGAAACTGGGTTTGTCATGGCTTAGCTGTGGCCGAGTTTTTCTCCTCTGGCCATTTTTTTTCCTCCAGTTCCTGCTCTCCAGAGCCCATTTGATATTAAGATCTTGCCTTTCAGACCTGGCCTTCAGATATAGATTGCCTCAGCAACTCCCTTCTCCAAGCCCCTCCCTCAGCCTTCAGAGAGCTTGAACACAGAACCTACCACATTTCTCTATGAGTGTTTGCTTGCTTCGTTCTTCACCTCCCACCCCCATGGGAGGAGAAGGAATTTTTATCTTTGTTGCTTTTGTTCCTTTGGGGTCCATTTTCTTCATGTGGACCATGGGAATGAAGAACCTAACACATAAATAAGTGCTAAATAAATGTTGAATGAATGAATGACAGAATGAGAGAGACATAGAAACATTTGATCCTAGGCTGGACAGAAAAAAAAAAGATGCTTTCAAAAGAAAACAGATCCCTGGGAGCACCCAAACCACTGCCTCTCACCCTGTAAGAATACAAGGAAGGTTTTGCATCCCACTCTTTTAACCCCGTCAGCATCTTACTCTTGGAGGTAGCACATGTGCTGTGAAGTCACCCACGGACCATCTGGCTGGGGATCCCGTGTTCCTCCTCTGCAGCAAGAGATTACGTAAACTGGACAGCAGCCTCCAGATGTTAGCAGTTTCTGCTCATTTTTTTCCTCCCTTTTCAACAACAATAATAATAATTAAAACAAACACAGGCCTCATCCCCCACCCGCACCCCTGAAATTACAAACAGGTGGGCCCAGATGTCCTCCCCCTTCCCATCCAAGGGCCTCCTATTCTTGAGGCCCAGCCGCCGACCCTCAGCAGGGCCTGCCCTGGGCTGAGCCGGACAGTCATGCCAGCTGCCCTGTGGCTCAGGCCACAGTCTCCCGAAAGGGGAAATGGCCATGTCATGAGAAGTCTCTGTGCCAGACTTTCCCTCTCCCCGCCTCCCACCCCAAAGCCTTGGCCTCCAACTTAAATGGATGTATTTTGGAGGACTAGGTGGCTTAAGAGATTAGTAATGAGATCCCAAGTCTTTCACTGCTGGGTCAGGAGTTCATAGGCGGGCCTGGGCGACTAGTGAATGGCATAATTAGGGAGACAGGGAGCAGGCCTGCGGAGGGCCCGTGTGAAATGAGCCCAGCCAGGCCTTTAATGGCAGCAGTTGTCAGCAGCACAAAAGGCGGCCGCCACATCCGACACTAATCACTCTCCCTTGTTAGAGGATTTACTAGCTGGAGGAGCTCAAGCCCCCTGCCCATCTCCTCCTCAAAACGGGCATCTGGGAAGGGACTCGGCCCAATGCCTGGCTGTACTGTCTGCAGAACGGGGAGCTGATGCCAACCCCATGGGGTAGAGGTGTGAGAACTAACATTTCATGCAATATAAATGAGTGACTAGTGTCATTATATTAATCAGTACTTCCACTGCTATTGTGAATTTTCTTTCTCCATTTGAAAAAGGGGGTGGGGTGGGTGATGAATCTCCCCATCACAGTGACATAAGGATGGTGTCCATGGAGGTGGAAGCATTTGGATATTTATCATCCTCACCGTTATTGTCATCATTCTCATTAAGATCAGCATGTACACTGTGTGGGTCTCAGTTTTCTCATCTGCAGAATGGACTGGGAATAGGAGATAGAACTGAAGTAACACAGACTTCAACATCCACTCCGAACAGGTGTGGCCTTGGCACCTTATTTATTACCTCTGAGCCCAGGCTGTTTATCTGTAGGACAAACAAGAAGGAGGATAGTAATACTGGCTTCCCGGGAATGTGGGGAATCTATGTTTGGAACATAGGTGCTGGACAGTAAATGATGGCAAAGAAAACATGTTAGCTTTACCACTTTCATGAATGGTGTCTTAGGCCTCTAACATAAGCTTTTCCCTTAGAAGAAGGTTGAGACATCTATCTGTTGTCCCCCAGAAATCCTGAACCTGTGTGTATGAAATTGAGGAATTTAATGAGTAGTCTCTAAGAATCAATTCTATGATTCTGAACCATATCATTTCTAAGAAACTTAGTTTCCCTATCTGTAAAAATGTTAGTATGCTGTAGGGCAATACGTCTTATATGATTTCTATATTCCCTTTCCATTGAAAGCCTGGCTTTTCCTCCATGATCATTTGGTCTGGCCAGGGGTTTGCACCCTAAATCCCAGGATTTCAGACTTGTGGGGAGGTGCCAGCCTGAAGGGTATGAGACCCCTAAGGAGTGTGAAATGCCTAATGTGTTAGGGACAGATCCCTGGAGCAACGAGGTGCTAATCAGCCCAGAGCTGAGCCCCAAGGCTGGAGGGCATCCAATGCCAAGTTATCTTATCAGAAAGTGTCTCCTGGGTAGAGGCTCTGAGATCTGCTGCTATTTCTAGAACTCTGGGAGGGAAGAAGAAGCCATCTCTCTGTTTCACACTCTGGCCCTGCACACAGGAAATGCTTCTTTCCTTGATTGTCTGTCTATGCCGAATAATAAATGCTCATATTGAAAGAAACGCAAACCACCCCTCCCTTTCCCCTCTATCTCTTTAAGGCAGGCATCAAAGGGGAAAGCTGCTCTGGAGGCCTGGGGAAAGTGATAATTGTTTCTAATGGTTGGTAAAAGAAAGCCTGGCTCCCCCCTCTCTTTTTTCTGCCATTGCTATTAAGTGTGTAAAAAGGAAGTGTGTGTGTATGTGTATGTGTGTGTGTGCCTGTGTGTTGTGTTGTGTTGTGTATCTGTTAACCCTCGGCTTCCCTTAAAGTTTTCTGTGTTCATTGGTCAGTTTGGAATTAGAGGCATAAGAGGGAAGCAGGGATAGAAGTAGGAATGAAGAGAAGATCTCAGGTAGGAGAGGTCTATAGTGCTCCGCAGGTAGTGGGAGAGGCCCTGAACCTGAAGTTGGAAGATTTGAGTTGTGTTTGTTCATTATATGCATTAACTGAGATGAGACATGTAAAGTGGTATTGTTGTTATACATTTTTTTTTTTTTTTGAGACGGAGTCTCACTCTTTCACCCAGGCCGGACTGCAGTAGTGCTATCTCGGCTCACTGCAGGCTCCACCTCCTGGATTCACTCCATTTTCCTGCCTCAGCCTCCCGAGTAGCTGGGACTACAGGCGCCCACCACCGCACCCAGCTAATTTTTTGTATTTTTAGTAGAGACAGGGTTTCACCGTGTTAGCCAAGATGGTCTCGATCTCCTGACCTCGTGATCCGCCCGCCTCAGCCTCCCAAAGTGCTGGGATTACAGGCGTGAGCCACCGCGCCTGGCCATACATTCGCTTAGCATCTAAGCTGGACCTTCCTCTGCTCTTAATACTGAAGATAGAAAAGACAAGAGCTCATTCTTCCCCTCAGTGAGCTAATGACCAAGTTCAAGAATTGCAAATAGGATTCATCTTCTAGGCCAGTTCTGAGCAATTAGAGTGACTCCCCATAGTGTTTTGTTGAGAAGGATTTAGAGGCCTACCTTCAGGGATGCACTATGTAATTAATGGTGCCTGTCCTGTGCAATGGATGAGAGAATGGTAGCACTGATGTCACGTGGGAATGAGTCCTGGTTCTCCTGGTCCCTTTCCTGCACTACATGGTTATTATTATCTCTAAACATTGGTCTAGGCCCTATAGACTTTGATTTCTAGATCTAATGCGTCACCAATCTTATAAAGCCTTGGGAAAGCCATATTAGTTTAACATAGGGGACATTTGGTGAGCCCTGCCCAGTAACCTGCATTAGACACTGATGAAAAGGAAAGAGAAGTCAGGCATAGGCACTGTCTTTGAAGCTCATACATGGAGATTCAGATGGACAAACAAGAAACCATAATGCAAGTGTATTACCTCAAGGGTATGGACCAAGAGTTATTGGGAGGTCAAGCCATGGAGTAAGAAGAGAACAGACTTTGCGTCAGACGAGCATGAGTTTGACTGCTAAGCCGTGGCAGGCTGATCAATGCCTACCCAAACCTCAGAGTCCTTATATCTCAATTGGGGATAAAGATGCTTATTTCACAAGATTATTAGGAAGGTAAAATGAGATAATACACAGGCAGCACCCATACTGGGCAGACCATCTTTAAGAGTTGGTGCTGGCCAGGCGCGGTGACTCACGCCTGTAATCCTAGCACTTTGGTAGGCCAAGGCAGGTGGATCACCTGACGCCTGGCCAACATGGTAAAAACCCCATCTCTACTAAAAATACAAAAATTAGCTGGGTGTGGTGGCAGGAGCCTGTAATCCCAGCTACTCGGGGGGTGGAGGCAGGAGAACCGCTTGAACCTGGTAGGCAGAGGTTGCAGTGAGCTGAGATCGTGCCATCGCATTCCAGCCTGGGGTACAATAGGAAGACTTAGTCTCAAAAAAAAAAAAAAAAAAAAAAAGAGCTGGTGCCCTCTCTCACTCTCCCAGGAAAGCACTGAGGAGGGAGAACATCATCTGATAAAAACAGCAAAGCCTGGTTTATGGAGGAGGTTTTATTTCACCTGGGCCATTCTGTGTCCAGGTTCCCTGAGGCCCTTTACAGCTGTAGTCTTATAGGCTGTCTCCCAGCAGGCTTTCCCTCCTGTAGTCCTCAGGACCCTTAAGAATCTTGGAGGTTTATATCAGGAAACCAACTTCTGTCCTTCTTGCACCCTTGCAATTCTTGGGAAATAACCTGGCATTGGAACTGCAAGCCTGAGGTTAAAATGTGGCCTAAGGAGAAATATTGAGAAACACTGGCTGGCTGTGTGTGTGTGTGTGTGTGTCTGTGTTTGTGTGTGTTGCACACTTGTACATTTATGGGTACTGTTAGTGTCAGTATCCATCCCCGCACTCCTCCTCCCCATTCCTTTTCCTATTTTCTTCTATAAGGCTCATTCGCAGGTCCCTTTGGGTGGAAAAAGGAAATTGGAGAGGTTGGACTAGAGGCTTGATGAGCACTTCCTCCCTCCCATGATTGACAAAAGGGCATGTAAATCTGTAAAATCGAAATTCAATGGAAACCTCATGGCATGTCCCCTGTGTGGGAAAATACCAGAGCCCCCGCTCCCCCTCTTCTCCCTCCGTCTCCCTGCCTTTGTGTACATCGTGTGTGGGTGGAAGATAAACTGGATTTAAAAAAACCCTTTGAAAGCAAGACATCGTTAACTCCTCTAATTGAAAGCAGTCTTCTGCAAAGGAGGGGGATTTGGAGGCGGGTGCTGGATGTAGCGGCTGGCAGTGCACTGAGTGGACAAGAGTCTCTGGGTCCTGGAGCCACAGAGTCCTCTGTTTCTGCAGACCTGGAACGCCTAGTCACCACCAGACATCCTGGCCCGTCACAGAGGAGCTTACTGTATATGTTCAAGCCGGTCTCTTCTCCCTCCACCGGGCTATGTTTCTCCATCCATCAAATGTGAGAATTGGAGTAAGAATTTCTGAGGACCCTCCCAGCTCAGATATCCAGTGATCCCAAAGCTCTGGACAAAGGATTTCCCCAGCTATTTTGCAGCTTCCAATTGCAGACACAAAAAGAAAGAAAGAGAGAGAGAGAGAGAAAAAAAACACATTGCTAGAAAGGCTGCAGTAAACTTTTATGTTACTGTTCTGATTGTCTTTGCCCAAAAAGGTGTCTTGGAAATTAGCCTTCAGCTTCAGAGAAAGGGACCCATAAGTCTCAGAAGTCAACAGGATGTTCACCTGCTGCACAGTGTGGCTTTGTTTGTTTCTTTGTTTGTTTTACACTTAATTTTAGAGTCAACATTCTTTTCTGCAGCATTCACCTGAGAAGCTGGAAATCAAAAGCTGGCAGAATGTCAGGACTGAAAAGCCCTTTGGAGATGAATTCATCTTACTCTGTCTTTCCATAAATAGGAAGAGTGAAGGTCAGAAAAAGTGAGCAATTGAGTCAGTTCTAGGAGGCAGGTCCCTTGCCTGGCAATTGCAGGCTCTTTCTACTGTATCACTCCACTCCGGGGCAGACCTGAAAAGGCCTGTTTTGGTCTGTTGAAGCAGCTTCTATTTCAGGAGCCCCAGGGAAAGACAACAAGAAGTCCCAAGTCCATCTTCCATGTGGCTGGGATTAAGACCCCGCTAGCACAAATATATCTATTCTCTTATTTAAAAATCTCATCACAGCCCTGAGAGACATGTGGGCAGGCTCTCTTGAAGTTAACATCTATGGTTAAGAATGTGGGCTAAACTTGTGCCTGGATTTCAATTTTGGTTCTACCGCTAACTAGTTGTATGACCCTAGGTAAATTACTGGGCCTCGATTTTGTTATCTGTAAAATGCATATCATTGTAATACCCACCTCACAGAGTCATGGTGAGCACTGCATGATTTAGTACATACAGAGTCCTTAAAACAGTGCCCAGCATAGAATAGGCACCCGATACATGTTGCTGCTGCTGCTACTGCTGCTGTTGCCTGCTGGGCCCCTATTATTTCCTGTGTGCTGGGAAATCTGCTGGGATTTATTTGAGGATAAATAAAACATGCTTCTCACCTTGGAAATCTTCAGAGTTTAAAGAGATGAGGCTGGACTCTATACAACTATAATCTAACTTGACAAGTGCTGTAACTGAGGTATAAATAAGGAACTATACGGACACATAAGAAAGAGCAATTAATTCTGCCTGGGGAGTGAGTAAAGGCTTTCAGAGGAGGGATGATATTTGAGAGTGGCTTTGAAATGCGTGTAGTATTTCACAAAATGGGCAATGCAGCGGTGGTGGGCGTGGGGGTTCTGGGCTCCAGCATCATGGAGGGGGAGTCCACAACATGTGAGAGAAAGAGTTGTCCAGCATGAAGGAAGCACCACTGTATAGATGCCAGGGAAGGGAGCACAGAGAGCAGTGAAATTGGTGGAAGCTGCTGAAACCAGCTCCTGAAAACCTTTGTAAGCTGTGTCAAGGGAAGGTTCCATCCTGTGGATCATGGGCAGCATGGTGGGTGGATAAGTAGCAGGGTGGTATGGTTAGTTTTTCTCCTTTGGAAAGTTAATTATGGGGAGCATTTTTATGAATGAATGTGGTGGGACCAGAAGCAAAAAGACTGGTCGTTGGTGCCCTTTCTCCACCAGAGGAAGTGGAGGTTTCAGTTGAGTCCAAGTAGCAATTGTGTTGCTTTGTAATTAAGTACGCAGAACATGGAATTCTAGAGATCAGTCAACTCCTAGTTGTGATATACAACTGGATTTAGGACCTTGAAAGGATTTTTCAAAGCCTCTGAGCCTCATTTTCTCACCAGAGAAAATGCAGTGGCTCTAAACTCCCAGACTATCAGGGTTAAATGATATTGTGACTATGAAACCCTTGGTGGATATTATGACTGTGGGTGTCCTTAAGCTCCTGGGGCCCTTAAAGGTCATTCCGTGCAACCATTCAGTACAACTGCAGAGGGGGAATCGGAGAGTCAGAGAAATGTCCAGTTAATTGGTGACAGAGCTGGAATTAAGCCAGGTCTTCTACTGTCCATGGACGGTATTTGAAGGAAACACAGAATATCTCTGCAGATAATGGATAGTCTAAGGGATTCTGCTAAAATGAGTGCCCCCCGCCCCCAAGGCCAAGTGGACAAGGGGTCACTTGCCTTTCAATTCCTCCAGGTGCTAGGATGAGGATGAGAAGCAGTCATCTGCCCAGCTTCCATAAAAGACACAGGGCTGGGTATCTTGGAGAAGAGAATGGTGTTGGGCACTAGAATTGCCGTCTGTCATTTCTGCCATGATTTCTTGGGGGAAGAGATATAAATGTCACTGGAGATGGTTCTACACAGCAAAAAATAGGATCAATAAGGTACAGAACATAAGTGAGAAAAGTGCACTATTTCTGGGAGACAGAAAAATTTGCTTTTTCATAAACGTGTTGCTCCTTATTGGCTGTATATTGCCGTGCAAGATACCTCCCTTCCCTTGACCACTGCAAAGGGGAATGATCTCAGCAGATAACCTATTCTAGTCCCATCTAACTTTAAAATAAGAAAGCTTATAGGCATTGCTACTTAGAAGAAACAGTAGGAGAAAGTGGATCCAGGAGTCTCTCTCTCTCTCTGACTGTTGGAGAGGACTGTCCAATGGTACATAGGCTTTCTATAAATGGAAATGAGCTGTATGTCCATGAAGTAATCAAGAGGCTTATGTCATCCATCCTCCAACCTGAGAGGACCTAAGTGAGGGTGCTTGTCAGCCCAACCACACCTGCTCTTTGCCTAGGACTACTATATCAATTTATTTTTCCCTTCACTTGATTATTTTATGTAAAAAATATTTAATGTATTTATACATTAATAAATGTAATTATTTATTGTTGTCCCAGGACAACAAAGCTGTGACCTGAAGCCACCCCAGGGACCAACTATTTTCTTGGAATAAGGGCTGGGGAAGCTGCTTATAGGGTCCTGCTAGATTGCCCAGGATGGGAAAAGAAGTAAGAAGGTTTTCTGCCAATGTAGACACCATTAAATCTGTACCAGGGGTTCAAAGAGTCAAATACATTCAGGCCAGTGGATCAACATTGAATGTCAACATTTTAGTCATTCAAAGTAATAATTCTTTATTTTTTATTGTGGGAAGAGCACACCGTGAGATCTACCCTCTTAACAAATTTTTAAGTGTATGGTACAGTATTGTTCACTATAGGAATAATGTTTTACTGCAGAGTCCTAGAACTTATTCATCTTGCTTAACTGAAACCTTATGCCTATTGATTAGTCACTAATCACTTTTCCCTTCCCCATCCCCTAGCAACCACCATTCATTTTGTCTTTGGTTCTATGAATTTGATTATTTTAGATACTTCATATTAAGTGAGCTAATGCAGTATTTGTTTTCCATGTCTGGCTTATTTAACTTAGCATAATGTTCTCAAAGTTCATTCCTCTTATTGCAGATTGCAGAATTTCCTTTTTTAAGGTCAAGTAATATTCCATTGTGTGTATATATCACATATTCTTTATCCATTCTTCTGTTGATGGACATGTAGGTTGTTACATCTTGGCTATCATGAATAATACTGCAATAAACATGGGACTGGGCAGGACAGAAAAACAGGTTTGAGCTCCATGGAATCTCTCCTTATCTCCTTTTCCATTTCCCTAGGGAAACCCAAAGCCTAGTGGTTGCCTGTGTTTCTAGAGCACTCTTGATGTGTTCCACAAGACAGGGAGCAATGTGAAAGGAGGGACCAGGTCTTGTTCACACCAGCATGACAGAGAGGGGAAAAAGGGTTACTGTGTTACTTCCTGACATCTCTAGGGCTGGAAGGCTGGGAAGAACCTTGGCATCACTGGAAGGATGGAAAACAGTATGGCTCTGCACGGGGTATAAGAAATGTGCAGATTGGGAAGGGGGAAAAGGTTAAGATTGGGAATGTCACCGGAGCCAGTGTCACTGAAGAAACTGGAGGAGGGGAGATGATGAGCGAAGAAGAGCTTAGGGGTGATGGTAGGGAGAGCTAAAGAGGCCCCTAGAATGCGTGATATAACTCTCCTGCATGTCTCCTCCCAAAACATTCAGTAAAGTCAACATTGCTCAGCAATGCTTTATGGAGTTGGATTTGCCTTTTTGGAAGGTGAAAAAAAAAAACACAGGCGGATGAAAACAGAGCATCCCCATAAAATCAGTCACCTTGGGGATCACACTTGTGTCCTTAGTGGCCAACTTTGTATCATGGGCAAGGCTCTTTTGTTTGCAGTTCTCTGAAGCCTGGCATGCCATATGCCCTCAGTAAATGGCTGCTGAATGAGCAGATTCACTCAATGTCTATGAAAGCAGGAGGCTTGTAAGGGTTTGCCTCTCTCTTCCTCTCCAGCCTCCCTCCAGTTCCCCAGGAACATAGATTATTTTGCAGATCAACTAGGGCTTTGGGCAAAGTTTCAGCTGGATTTGTTCATTCTTCTCTGATTTGCTTTGACTGTCCTTGGTCAGGATTGCAGCCAACTTGAAACAAACACAAAACAAAATAGGAAAACAGAAGAATAAAATAACACCAGTATATTCCTTTAAAACCCTGTCTAGTGCTAATAGAACTGACAAGAGGAAATAGTATTTAAGCAATAAGAGGGCTTTGTTCATGTCAGAGAATCCTGTAGCTATGAATGCTTCAGATGCAGAGATAAGACCCCCAATCCAGCCTTCAGAGATGTGCTTCACCAAGCTCTGCTGGGAGACAGGCAGCTAAGAACACAAGGGGAAAGAATTCCAAAATGATACATGTCGAATTGCTGGCCTGGATTTCAAATTCCATAGATAGTTTATGCAAAGTCTTGCGCTGTTGTAAAGTGTAACACAATCCACTGGCAGATCTGCCTAAACCCGGTCCCAGTTGTTTTTGAGAAAAATAAATAAACTTAAAAACGTCTTCCAGCCCATTTAAGTGGCTATGTTCTACCCTTAGCCTCCTCAGTGTGAGGCTTCTAGAGATTTGAATAACTGAAGCCATCACCTAATTTGTCAGCAATGGGATAGGAGATTCATGGCATGTTTCTTCTCAAGAAGTTACCAGTGATATTCAGAGAATTAATATTGTGCTTTCAGAACCTATCAATTCCTAGGGCCAGGGTGAGGGGAACTTTGGCAGCTAACACATTTCAATACTTTTTGATGCTTTTAAAGCAATGAAACTCTTTTCTTAAAAGAAATATTATAAGGCAGCTTTATATATACAACAGGTGAGTGCAGATGCTCTGTTTGAAATAGTAGAGTGGAAACTAAGTAGATCTTCTCTACATCATGATCCCCTGGCCAACTTCTTCATGGAATCCAAGGAATCCATGGAAGACATGTGAAAACCTATTGTCTAACCCAACATTCGGATGTGCAAGGTAAACTAAGGGCCAAAAGACAAGACAACTTGTTCAAAATTGCACACCACATTTTGGTTATCTGTATTATCCATATTGTATTTGCAACTTTACTATAAATATGAAATTACTTCAACAAAAGTTTTATTTAAAAATAAAAGTATTAATGCTTGCAACTGCAGATTATAATGCAACCATGTGCTTTGATTAGTGTCTCATTATTATAAAGAGAATTGAGACCTGGCATTTTCCAAGACCTCCTCGAAGCCAGAACCATTGCAAGAAGTAATGGAAAGAGAGACATTTGAATTTGCACAGATTTATAGATGGGATTCCCAGGATGGAATATAGCATAGAATATAGATGGGATTCTCAGCAAGATGGTGCCAAGAGTAAGAAGGATGGGCTGTCATAGAAAATTCAGACCTGGTCCCGTTCATTGGAGCCCACTGTACTGAACACATTGTTAGGAAAACTGATGTTGATGGTTTTATATCTATTTTCAATGGCTTTCTAAGCTAACAGTTTGGATTTTTTTTAATTTATAAAATTACATATGATGATGTAAACCAAAACCACCTATGTATAACAGGTGTATGCACTACCTGAAATTGACAACTATACAAGTTTTTCATATTTGCTTCATGTCTCTTTCTGTAAGAAAAATAACACACCACAAATAAGATTGAGGTCCTTTTTTTTCCTGACTCCCGGTGTCATTTCCTTTCCTTGATACACAGAGGCAACTACCACCCTGAATTTGATGTATAGTTCTCTACTCTATTTTTAATTCACATGAATCGCTGGGCAATATATAGTTTTGCTTTGTGTTATTTTTATAAATGACGTCATGATGTACTTATCCATTTGCACCTTATTTCTTTTTTCCTCTCAATGTTATGTTTTGCGATCTCTCCATGTTGATGTCTATGAGCTTACCATTAGGGCTTCCTTTTTATTTGGCTAGAGACCATACTGAGCCAAGTGTTAAACTATTTTTATATCATCCTTGTATATGAATCCAGTTTATTTCTCTTACTGTTCCTTTGCCATAATAGAATTCTGTCATGTGAATATTTCATATTTTATACATTTCTCCACCAACAGGAGAACATATAGACTATTTCCAATCTTTTCCTACTATATTTATTGTAGAAATGGATATTCTTAATCCTTGTATATACTTTTCCATTTTACTTTTGTTTTTGCTTGTTTTAGGTGTTTATGTTTGTTTGATCTTGTTGAGGATATATCACTTTTTTTCAATAGCATATGAGATCCTCAGGGCTCTCCAGGTCAGCCGTACTTTTCGGATGAGTAGAATGCACTGACAAGACATGAAATGACAGGCCCAAATTCACAGGGAAGTTTTGTGAGAGAAGCCACATTAGAGACCAGAGGAGAAGTACTAATTTGGGATGACCTTCTACCAAAGACCTCACCGATTTCAAGGACAGCTCAGCTGTTCCTATCCTCTTTCCCTCATTGCACTGTTTTCTGTTTATATTTATATATACATTTGTAATTACTTGACTAATATCTGCACACATTGCCTGCTCTAAGCTCTTCAGCATCTGTCTTTTTTATCATTTTGTCCCAGAGTGTTTGACAAGCAATAGTTACTCAATAAATATCATTTGAATGAATGAATGAACCAGTAAACGAAGTGACATTTGAATATGCAAGAAACCCCTAAGTTTGAAGAATCCTGCTTGTCTATAAATGTTTCCTGTTTCTTTTAATACTGTTTGGTATTTACTATCATTGAGAATGAATTTGTGTGTGTGTGTGTGTGCGTGTGTGTGTAGGGGTGTGTGTGTGTGTATAAAGTGATGGAACTGATTTTCTTTGTTGATGGAAAAGCAAATACTAATGTTTTCAGTCTTTTCTCTGTTGTAATATCACTTGGAGCACAATTTACAGATTTGTTCTAAAATCTTCTACTTGACACTCAAGATTCTATGAGATCTAATTGTTCAACCCACTTTTCTGCCACTGTCCCTCAGCCTCAGTAGTAACCATTTGATCACAACTTAAGGCGTTTGATCAAACCTAAGCATTCTGGGTTTCTGCTTTCCTCTGAGCCTTGCTTCTGTTCCCTCTGCCTGCAATGCCCTTCCTCTTATCACTGCCCTACTCTTCCAGGCCCAAATCAAATAACAACTCCTCCAAGATTTGTCTCCGTGAGAATATCTCTGTCATCTCTACCATCAAAATATGTTATCTATTATATCCTTAAAAGTGTTGAGGATTACCTCTTCTACATTAGAATGTGAGCTCCTGGACCAGATTCTGGTCTTTTCATCCCTGTTTTTTCCTGTGGTGCCAAGAGCAAAATAGGTGAACAGTAAAGGTTTGTAAAATTGAATTTAGTTGAACTTCTGACACTCTCTAAAACATGATTATTTTTTCTTTATATTTTTCCAGGTGTGTCGAACCAAGGTGATAGATCTCAGTGAAGGCATTTCCCAGCATGCCTGGTACCCTTGCACCATCAGCTACCCATATTCCCAGCTGGCTCAGACCACTTTTTGGCTCCGGGTAAGCTGAAGCTCTGAGAGCTTTGGAATCTCCAGCAGCGAGCCACAGAAAACACTGACTCCCATGACCCTTTCTGAAGATGGGTTGTCTACCTGCTGAGGGTGTTAATTGTAAGAACAGGGAACAAAACACTTAGCAGTGTGATGCTTCCTGAAATGGAATCCTAATTGCTCATGGAATGCCCCCACTGAGCTCTTGTTTTAGCAAAGAGTTTGGATACATCTTGTCTGCCTGGAACCTCCTATTCATTGTTCAAGATCTTTTAAAATTATCTTTTCCTCCTTGAGCCTTTTACTGATCACCAGAAAAAGAAGTGACCATTATCTCCCTTCTTGTCCTGCATGTTTGGTCGCTTGTTGGATGGTACTTGTCACATGGTATTACAGAACTGTCTATGGTCTTTCTTTCTGGCTAAGGATTGTGGATATTACTGCATTTTGGCTTGTGTGTCACTGACCTACTTTGAATTCCCAAAAATGCAAGGGCCATATCTTATTTAGCTTTCTCTCCTCAAAGCCGAGTGCAGAGGTTGACATGGAGAAGTGAAAGATAACAGTATGCACCTTTTTTTGTGTGTGTGGGTTTTAGTGTGGACCGGGACCTTTGCTACACACTTTACTCTCATTATCTTACTAGAACCTCACAACAATCCTATGATGTACCTGTTGATTTTTTTATTTTTTTTTAATCCACCATTTGGAAATAATGGAACTTAGACCCAGAGTGGCCCAGCCATTCACTCAATGTCACACAGCTAAGTATGAGCAGAGAAAGATTGAAATTGGGTTTCTGATCTCAGAGCCTGTGCTCTTCACTGTTAGGTTTCATTGCCTCCTCCTTCCCATCTTGGACCCCTGATGAGTAGTAGCCCAGTTCTTAAAAAGGAAGTTTCTCCTCAAATGCACCCCAATGTGGCTGCCTCCCCACCACATGACTGAGTGCACATGTGACCCTCCTACGTCTTCACAATTTCAGGCGTATTTTTCTCAACCAATGGTTGCCGCAGCTGTCATTGTCCACCTGGTGACGGATGGGACATATTATGGGGACCAAAAGCAGGAGACCATCAGCGTGCAGCTGCTTGATACCAAAGATCAGAGCCACGATCTAGGTAAGCATGCTCTCTTGGTCTTGGCTTGCTTTCAGTACCTGATTCCACCTCTGCCCCATAACTAGTTGTGAGGATCAGCTTAGAATGAGCTCTTCCTTCCTTTTTCCCCTTTCTTGCTTCTTTTCTATTTGGCATTCTGGTTGCCCTCAAATCAAGATGTGGTTATGTATCCAGAGAAATCAAGATCTGGCAGATACAGGGATAAGGGGCCAATGGCCAAGCACTCCCTTCTGCCAGCCACCTTTAACTCAGACATCCTGTATTATTCCCCACAGACCCCAAGAAGGAGAGAGACTGAGTAAGAGCCATTTCCCCGTTGTACATGTCACCATCTGAGACCCAAAGAGAGGCACTGAGAGACCCCAAGTCACATGGCAGGTCAGGAATTACTAGTTAGATTTTCAGCGTCATAGCCTATTGCTTTTTACCCTATAACCGGGAGTGTTCATGACCCTCCACCCCAAGTGGGGACTGTATCACCAGTACAACCTCTGGAGAAGTTTCCAATGAGAATAGGAATAGGAATATTGTAGGAGTAGGGAGGCAGTTGAGGAGTCAGGTTCTACCATGGGAGGACCTCCCTGAGTGCAGGGCCAAGGGGGAGGACAAGGGCTGGACTTGGCCACTTGTACCACCCCTTTGAATACCCACATGCACCGTGGTCCAGAGGAGAGAGCCTGAATCCAGAGCTGACAGCTGAGGTTTGGATCCTGTCCCCACCACTCACTCACCTTGAGAAGGTGAGCAATCTTCCTGTCCTCACAGCACATCACTTAGAGGCTCACTTGCTTCACATACACAGCAAGGACAATGATATCCACCTTAGAGTCAGAGTGCACTATTATTTGACACTGTTGTAACCATGCCTAGCACAAGATCGGGCCCTAAGAATTCCTATTGTCGCTAAGAATTTCCTATGACACCTTCACACTTCCAGTCTACCCTGGAGAGCTCTGGGCAGCCTGGATACTCCAAGTATTTGGAATTTTTGGCCACTACTGAAGCCTGGACTTCAAAGTTGTGCCCACACCATTCTGCAGAGAACGCCTTTCAAAGACCTGTATGAAGCAAGCCAGGCAAGGGGTCATTTCAGGGTCAGATAAAAGCCAAGGGAGCAGGGAAGATTTTCTTGTTTTGTTTTTATGCTTGTTTATTTAGTTCCTTTTAAAGGCAAGGGGAACCTATGAATAAGGAAGAGAAAGAAAACCCCTCTGGACTTAGCAGGATTCCTGGGAAATTTCCCTAAGTGAGAAACAAATATTTTCATAGTTGTCGTTGCACAGCCCAGGGCTCTGAGGAGAGGTTTTTTCAGCAGAGTGGGGAAAAGTCTGGTTCCACAGGAGCTCTTTGGATCCTGGTACTGATGCCTGAGGCTTTTCTGTTTTTCCCCTCCACCCCCACCATCACCATCTTCCTCAGTCTATGACATCCCAGCATTCTCCGAGGCAGCTTCACCTCTGGAACTGAGAAGGGCACCTGCTTCAGGCTTCCACATGGGAGATTTCTCCTTACATAGCAAGCCCGCCAGGACATGGTTAGGATTATACCATTTTTTGGATGTGAAAACTGAGTTTTAGGGGCTTTCTGGAGTCCCATTATTAGGAAGGGGCTACACCAGCATTTAAACTCAGGTCCACCCAACACCAAAGCCAACTTCTGTTTTGCTAATTCCATCTTGCCACAGCCTTCCTTTCCTTCTGTCCCTTGTGTATCTTTTCTCCCTGGCCCTCTCCCTTCCTTCTTGGAGAATGGGAACCTGCTGGCTGCATTAAAAAAAAAAAAAAAAAAAAAACAGGGCTCTTGAGTGAGGCAAGCTTGAATTCTCCCTAGAGTTTTAGCCATGCCTGGGCTGTGCTTCTCTGGAAAACCACCCCTGCCCACGATTCTCAACCTCTTCTGCAGACTAAGCAAGAAGTCCTTCCCTCTCAGGGCTGCTCCCAGGTTCACAGATTACTTATGAGAGTGGGCTTTTTACCCTGGGAAGCGCCTGTTGCTATGAATTATTTCCATCACTTTTCCAACTGACCAGGCAGGCAGCCTGAAACTCAGCAACTCAGACCAACAAGCCCTACAGCAATGTGGGAGGGAGGTGAGGGCCTGGGATGCTTGGCTGAGGGGTGGCCATTTGGGGGAGGGAGAGGGACTTTGGGCAGTAGGTGAAGGGGAAGCTTAGGGGGCAGGGAGGCAGGGGGATTGGAAAGATTTGGAACCAAGAAAAAAAGGCAGACAAAGAAACTTTCAATCAGACTCAAAATCCTCACCGGCCGCCCAATGGTGCTTTTGTGCAGTGACATGAAAGGGTCTGGGGGCTTCGGGAAGGGCCCGTTGGGGAGGGCGTGACTGGCCTTGAGTAATGAGCCTGGCCCCTCGGCCCCTCTGTCTCCCCTGACAGGCCTCCATGTCCTGAGCTGCAGGAACAATCCCCTGATTATCCCTGTGGTCCATGACCTCAGCCAGCCCTTCTACCACAGCCAGGCGGTACGTGTGAGCTTCAGTTCGCCCCTGGTCGCCATCTCGGGGGTGGCCCTCCGTTCCTTCGACAACTTTGACCCCGTCACCCTGAGCAGCTGCCAGAGAGGGGAGACCTACAGCCCTGCCGAGCAGAGGTAAGGGATCCGCGGCAGACTCGCCCTAGGCCACTTGTAGCCGAGTGGAGACAGTGTGATTTTGAAGCTGGGTAGCCATTTGTGTGGATGTAAAAAGTCTGTGCATTTCTCCCTTCTCCATCCATCCTCTGGCCTCTGGCCGGCTCTGCCTTGTGGCCCATGAGTCTCTGAATTCCTGGGGCAATTAAGGGAAACGGTTGTGTGGTGAAAAAAGAACCTCATTCACCTGGCTTGCAGCGGCAGAATTGACAATAGCTTGCAGGTTGACCCTGGAAACATCGGTTTCCTTCTCTGAGCTTCAGTGTCCTCATCTGAACAAAAAGAGGATTAGCTCTCTTTTATCTCTGAAATACTGGAATATTCTGCTTCCCGTGGCACAAGCAGGAGGCATAACCTTCCTAACCAAGGGGGATAGAGTGAGACTGGTATTTGCATCATCCTAGTTCACCGTGTGTTTCAGGGATAGGTGAAATCTCTATGTCTTCCACAAGCCTAGCTCCTGTGACCTCATGAGTGGTCTAAGAGCCTGTCTTTCAACTGCATGACATCACTCCCTCAGTGCTTTTGAGGTGCCATCTGTTAATGCACCTAGTTTGGAGCTACAAGCGAGTGGAGTTTCCTGAAAAGAATACGAGCTTTGGGAATACTCTTACTTGGGTTTGAACCTCCACATTACCACTTCTTGAATGGGTGTTCTTGGGCAAGTCACTTCAGTTTTCTGGGTCATAGTTTTCTATTTTGGAATAAGCAGATGAAATCTACTCCACAGGGTGGTTGTGAGGGTTACATGTTGCACTATAGATAAAAGTATTCCTGCAGACTGTTAGGCACTATGCAAACATAACATATTAAAGAAGAATATTTATAACCATCTTTTGATGATGATGGTGCTGCTTCTGTGCACAGAATTTTTTGTAAAGTTCTTAAAGTTAGAGCTGGAAAAAGCTTCAGAGATTATCTCATGCATCTGACATGTCCAAACTTCTGTGTTACCATGTAGAATCACAGGGCCCAGAAAGGGAAGAACTTGCGCAGAGTTGCACAGCGTCTCTCAGATTTGTTTCATGAGGTCCAGAAGAAGAGAGAGTTGTGATTTTTGTAGGCTACCCAAGAGTGAGGCTCTCTGAAAGTCGATTCAGCCTTGCCCTGTATACCTGGGGGCAAGAAAAAAAAAAGAGAAGAGGGGGACACTAGCCTTTCCCACGCCCCTGTTACCACAGAGGACACAAAAGGTGGTTGCAAAATCCACATTGTTTAGTACCCACTGTCTCTAGCTTCTGTTGTGCAAAGTCTGTCGTAATCTTTCAGAGGCAAGAGCTTCTTAAATATAATTCATTGTCTTATTTCACTCTAAGAGGATGTTTTCCACAAGCCCTTGTTCTCCAGACCCTATAAAAATAAGTTAATTCTCAGAGCCTAGGGAAACCATGTCAATGGAAATCCACTAGACCTTTTCCACAACACTTTCCCATTTTTAACCAGCCTTCCTGACCATCCATAAGTTGACTGAGGCCCAGACTGACTTGTTTGAATTCTCGACGAATGGTGTCTGTGCCCTAAGTAAATAGTAGGAAATATTTAACCACTGAAACATATCGATTGATACGTATTTGTTAGTTCTTTGGTTGTAGGAGGAACATTGAATGAGGGCAAAATGCTGCCCTATATCTGACTAATTATTTGACCTTGGATTAGTCATTCCCCTTCTCTGGGCCTCAGTTTCCCCATCTTTAAAATGATGATGGTGGATTGTGTGGATTCTCTGAGGTTCTTTTCAGTTCTAAATCTGTGTTTCTCAACAGTTAGGAAACATGAGAGAGGACAGGAAGGGACAAACCCTTGTTGAGCCCTTAATAGAAAGGAACATTATCTTATTTTATTATTGCACCTCTTGAATAGATAGGAACAGTATCTTATTTTATTATTGCACCTCTTCTGCGAGGTATGGCTCAGAGAAACAGAGTGAGTGAGTCATGACCATTCAGGCAGTAAGAGGCAAAATCCTGCTTTGTCTGTCCCTGAAAGCCGTGCTCTGCCTACCACAGCAAGGCACGAGTAGCAGAGAAGGAATTTTCATAACTGGACCCATGTGATGATTTATTCAGAGGAACTCTGAGTAAGGGGATGGAGCTGCAGCTCTGAGGTCTTTGGCTGCCTTATCCCTGAGCTTGGATCAGGCTATGACAGGCTGAATCTTGAGGGCTGAGGCTGCAGGGCAGGAGCACCTCCTCCTGAGTGCCCCAGTGGGGAAAGGACAGCAGCTGTTCATGGGGAGCTAAAGAGGCATTTACCAAAACAAGCAGGACTCTGCAAACATGCAAATGCATTAAAACAAACAAACAAGGGAGGAAAGGAAAGAAAAATAAGCAACAACTGTAAAGAACCATGGGATGTTTTCCTTCATTCTCAAAACACCAAAATAAATAGCATCACTTTTTATAACACAAATTTCAACTGGTTGTAGGAGAAACATCCCACTTTACTCTCAGCTGTTTCCCAGGTAGTGAAAAGTACTGTTTCTCCCCTCCCCTTCTCTCCTCCCTCCACAACCTTTCCTCTTTTTCCTGCATCTCTCCCTCTCTCTCCTCTCCCTTTTCTCCCACCTCTCCATCTCCTCTCTCTCTCTCTCCCCCGCCCCCCACCTTCTCTTACCTCCTTTCTCTTCCTCATTTTCTGTCTCTCCTGAGAGCAGTGTGATGCCTACTGTGCTGCCTTGGGAGGAGTCCTGTAGCAAAACCAGTTTGGGCAATGTGTTCCACTCTAGCTTCAGGGGTCTCCAGTCTCTTTGCAGTACTTGGTATAAATTCAGAGACCCAAGAAAACAGGATCAGGTTTCAAAGGAGAGGTCCAGTTGTGCAATTCTAGCCAAATCTCAGCCCCACACCAAGTTGTGGAAAGGAGAAAAGGTGGGGAGGGAAGGATAGTGATGGGGTGTGGGGTGGTTAATAGGCTTCTTTAATGAGAAAAACTACAGTGGTGATATTGAGGCTCCAGTATCTGTCACACACACATACATGCACATACATCATGTTCATCCACGTTGTGGTTCTTAACAGAAATTGAACAGTTTATTATAAAATTGAATGGACCATGTATTTAGAAAAGTAACTTCCTTCCCTCCTCCCTCCATTTATTCTTCTTTCCTTTCATGCTTCCTTTCTTCCTCTCACTCTTTTTCACATTCGCTTTCTTCCTTTATCTCAAACTCTTCCCCATTTCTACAAGCTGGTCCATTCAGAGAGAGACAGTTCTGATTGAGAGCTAAGTTTTAAAAGGCCAACTTTGGGGGGCAACAAGTTCTTCACATGGCTAGATTAACTCTTTCAGCCAGGGAGAACTTAGACTGTTGTTTGTTGGTTGGGGGTGGGGGTGCCCAAAGACTGGAGCCAAGTATTTCTAGAGTCTGTGCCCTGATGAGACCCCATGTGTAGAATATCTCATTAGGTAATGACACAGGGATTCATAGGTAGGATTTGGAACACAGAATGAAGCTGCTCTTGGCCAGAGACCACAGATTGCTCAGATCGCTGCCATAACCTCATTCAACTTCCCCAACCCACAAAGGAATTAGTGCCTCTCAGCACATTGATTGGGAATCACTAGTCTGGGGAATATAACTACAAATGGAACTGCTGTGCCTAAGCATGTGTGTGTCTTTGACTATGCCAAATACTGCCTGACTCTTCTCCAAAATATTGTCCAATTCACAGCCCCATCAGTGATCTACCAGAGTTCCAGTTGCTCCGTATCCTTGGCAGTGCTTGAGATTACCAAGACAACTTTTTCCTATTTTTCTCATTTCAAAGGGCTCTGAAATTATAGACCTCTGTTGTTTTGTTCTCATAAAATCATGAGGCCTAAAAGCGGGGAAGGCTCTGAAAGATTTCCTGGTTCTGTGCCCTCATTTGAGGATGGGAAATCTAAGTTCTAAGCAAGACAAGTGACTCGCCTAAAATCACCTAACAAGTTGGGGGCAAAACCAGCACTGGAATCTAGTTCTCAGGAATCCAGTTATCTTTCCTCTCCATCAGAGGTTTCAAGGCTGGTGTTCCATAGACCATATTAGTCCATAAACAATCTCTCTTTGGCCTTTATTAGTTATCTCCTTTAATTAGTTGCCAACATTTAAATATCAGGAGAGTTCATATTAAAAAACAGAATTCTTCTTGGAACTCTTTAAAGAAATGAGAAGCTTTGAAAACATCAGGCCCTCCATCCTACTAGGCAACCTTGGACTAGAGCAAAGCGCTCTGCTCTTTGGCCAGGCACATACCCTCTCCTCGACACACCCCACTCAGCTCGCTTGAACCCTGCAGGCTACTGAGCTTGCATCACCTAATCTTCAAAACTTGCCTCCATACCACACCACAATACACTGGCGCCTAGAAATCCAGGGTAAAGAACCTTTTAGGATCATTCCCCCAGGTGCCTCATTTCTGGGTAGAAAAATGAGGTCCTAGCATAGTAGCTCTTTCACTGTTTCACTTCCTAAGTGAACTTGCAGAATTGATGCCAAGAACAGTTTTCCCTCCATTTTCTAGTGTGGAGCACTTGTCTTTTTTGTTGTCCCCATCTGAGCAACCCAGAATGATTTATAAACAGCCTTTCTGTTTTTATCTCTGCTTCCCTGTGGCATAATTGCAGCTAAGTGGCAGGGCACAGCAGTTACACCGTGAGTCAAGGAACAGAACCAGGAGAGGGACCCTTGTCAGCCCTTTAACTTCTGGCTTTATCCGGGTTCCAGCACTCTCCAGCTATCCTCTGTTATGTGTGACTGGAATCCATTCTTATTGACAATGGAGACAGCAGTGGGGGGATTGGCTATTGGATCAGATAAGGTTTTACCTCTACATGGAATTTGAGTCCAAAGGTAAATATATTAAACATATAGATAAGAAGAAAAGAAAAACGTTATTTAAGTATCTGATCAGCTCTGCACCCCAGGGACCTCCACTTTTGCCCAGGTTTGAGAATTTGATCTATAGAATTACCTGCATTCTTTCCCGCTCATCCATCCAATCAGCCACCTTTCTCCCTTCAAAGAAGTGTCTTCATTTTTTTCCTTCTTTTGTTATTTTTATTGACTGCCCATCACTGTTATTAAATCCTTCCCTCTTTTTTTGAATGAAGCAGCAGAGCCTTTTATTTTGTTTTCCTTGTTTTGTTTTTTGTTTTTGTGTTTCAGAAATGACAGGGCTGTATCACAGAGTTATTTGAGACGGTCAGTTAGGGTAATGTTTATCATTTTTGGACAGTGTGTTCACACAACCTTGTCCAACTAACAGGATAGCAAAGAAAAAAGAGCAGGGACTTAGGGGACAGACTGGCAGATCTCTATTAGAATTCTTTCCAAGCTGAGTGCCCTTGGGCAAGCAATTTAAAACTCTTAGTCCTAGTTTCCTGTTCTTGAAAATGGGACTAATATCACTACCTCAAGGAGTTGCTGTGTGGAATGCAAATAAGGTGATGTAGGTGAAACAGAGTGGCCAATGCCTGACACATATTACCTCCCTTATCCCTTTTCTTCCTGTTTTCAAGCCTGCAGGCCAGGTGCAGACAGATGTGCTGAAAAAGCAAGATGCCTCAATCCCTGAAGTGTATTCTGGAAGGCAGTAGTCCTAAGAAATGTCCCATGAAAAAAAAATGTTATCAGAGTTTAAAAAACAATGTGTACCTTAGCCCCTTCTGGAAATTTTCAATGGGTTATCCAAATTATTGAGAAGTCCTGCAACTAAGAAAACTAACTGGTTTCATTAACTCAATGCTACCCCTACTGATCTGACCACGAAATCTTTTGATCAGGTGATTCATGGGACCAAGGACCATTTTTTCTTTTATAGCAAAAAGAGACAGAGTAGAGAGACTCATCTTCTCAAGGAGCTTCATAGTTCCAGAAGCATTTCTCTCGCTCTTTCTCTCTCTCTTGCCCTCTCTTTTTTTATTTTTATTTTTTTGTTTTATTTATTTATTTATTTATTTATTTTGATACACAGTCTCACTCTGTTTCCCAGGCTGGAGTACAGTGGTGTAATCTTGTCTCACTGCAACCTCTGCCCTCCAGATTCAAGTGATTCTTGTGCTTCAGCCTCCCAAGTAGCTGGGATTATAGGTGTGCACCACCGCTCCCAGCTAATTTTTTTATTTTTACTAGAGACAGGGATGCACCATGGTGGCCAGGCTGGTCTTGAACTCCTGACCTCAAGTGATCTATCTGCCTCAGCTCCCAAAGTGCTGAGATTACAGGTGTGAGCCACCACACCCGACCTCAAAGCATTTCTCATATATTGGCCTTACTAGTCTACAAACACACCAAGCTCCATCCTGTGCTGGAATTTTATACCTGCTCTTCCCTCTGCCTGATTATACCTCTGCCCCAAACCTGTGTATGGCTTATCCCTTCATTTTACCCAGGTAGTAGTTTAGATGTCCCTTCCTCATGGATCCTTCTATACAAAGTGCCTTGCCCCTTTCCACCAACTGTCACTATAATTTCACCTTGGTTTAACGGCCTAACTGCATGCATCATTATCTGAAATGATCTCATGTATTACTTTTCTTTGGCACACACCCTCCCTCCTGAAATACACAGGATAACAGGCATCTTGTTTATCCCCTCCGTCCACTATATTCCCAATGTATAGAACAATGTCTGGTGCTCAGTAAAGCCCCCAGTGAAGGTCTGTTGAATAGACGAATCAGTGGATGATGTCTCACCCTGTTGACAATCCTAAGAAACAAATTATTTTATTACTTCCACTTTACAGATAAAGAAACTGAACCTCAGGATGTTATATAAGTTTCCAAAGTCAGACAACTGATAAATGGCAGAGCAGGGGCTGGAGCCCAGATTTCCCTGATTGGTAAACCTTGTGCTCCTTCTACCCCAGAAAACGAAGCATTTCAGATCTTCATTTTCCTGTGAAGAAGAACTTAATGTGCACAAAATAATTGGGGAGGGCACTATTTATACTTTAATGGCTCTGCAACTTAAAGAAGAAAGTCATCTTTCCCTCTGGGTCTTCATAAGAGCCCAGGTACCTTCTGAGCGTGCAGAGTAAGAATGCCCAAACTGTTAGGCACAGGTCAGAACAGCTTGGGAGCTAGTAGCTTACAGAGTAAATATATTTAAATTGGAACCATGTGGTTCCTTCCCCTGGTGCTTACACAATGTGAACAGATGCATTGTTTAGTGTCAAAGCCCTTGTGTTGACTCCACAGTTACAGTCTCTTTGAGGTCTCCACATGGTACAATGCTGAGGCTGTCAGGAGTAAGAAAAAGGGCAGAGAATTGGAGTTGTCTCAACAAGTGTTCCTTAATGCCAGTTGCCCTGCATTTCAGAAGGAGAGTATTGGAGAACTGCAAAGCTCCCATCAGTGAGGGTCTGAGACCTAAATTAAATGCTTGTCCTTTCTGGGTCTTTAAAAAAGTAAATTGGTTTGTGATATGCTTTGGAAGCTTTTAGCTCCCCCCGCCTCCAGACTTTATTTCTCACTATACTTTTGAGCAGAGGGTAGAGAATAGGAATAGATCCCAGTAAAACCCTCAGTTGGGTATCGTGAAACTGAGAGAAAACAAAAAACAAAAAACAAAAACAACGACAAAAAAAAAGTGCAAAACTTTTCTGACACTGGTTTGGCCAAAATGTCTCCCTGTCTCCTAGATAAAAATAGGAACATAAAAGCCTTGAGGTTCTAGATGTAAATCATCGGTGCATACGATAGGCCAGGTGTTGGGGGTAGACACAGTCAGAGAGGCAAAAGTCAGAGAAAACTGCCCCCTAGAAGCTTTTACTGTTAGGCAGAATCAACCTCTTTAAAGTGTTTAAGAGCTATTGCAAGGCATCATCACCATTGGTTTCCTGCCATTTAGGAAACATCTGCAAGGAATTTTTATTGGCACTGCAAAGTACACCAAGATGAAATAGGCATTTTCTCTGCCCTCAAGGACGTTCTAGTCCAGAAACATGGGACAAGGTTAACAACAAGGCCTTTGGAGTCACCCCTCTGGATGGGCACTTAAACAAGTAACCTAATCTTGCCAGTCCCCAATTTACCCAACTGTAAAATGAGTAACGCTTAGCTCATAGGGTTGTTGTAAGGATGGAGTGAGCTCATGTATATAAGCAATCAGCAAATAGTAACTAATGTTATTGAGTGCTTGCCTAACTATAATACAAGGGGAATGATCATCCAAGAATGAGGATTTCATGCTGTTTCTGTTTGCATCCTTAAAGATTAGCCTGCAATCTGTTATGTTCCACTGGCACTGAGGAACTGAGTTTTTAATACATCAAACATGAGGCAACAGCATTATAGAAAGAAGGGTAGAATACCCATGAGGGTGCTTGCCGAGGGACACAAGAGAAAGCTTCCTATGGAAATTTGCATGATGCTTAGACCTAAAGAACGGGTGGAATTCAGACTGGCAGAAAGGTAGAATTCAGAGTTGCAGCAAGATGCAAGACATAGTCTCTGTACAACTCCACTAATGATGTGTAAGTTATCTTACAGTTTATAAAAGACTTCTACCTCCATCACCTCAGTTGAGTCTCGTGGCTATATGAGGTTGGCCAAATTTAAGAGTATACCGAAGCTCAGAGATGTGATGTACTTTGCCAACTAGGTAATAGAGCATAGGTATATTTACAACATCAGCTACCACTTATTTTTATTTATTTATTTATTTATTTATTTATTTATTTAGAGATGGAGTTTCACTCTTGTTGCCCAGGCTGGAGTGCAATGGCGCAATCTCAGCTCACTGCAACCTCCACCTCCCAGGTTCAAGCTATTCTCCTGCCTCAACCTCCTGAGTAGCTGGGATTACAGGCGCCTGCCACCACGCCCAGCTAATTTTTTGTATTTTCTTTTTTAGCAGAGGTGGGGTTTTACCATGTTGGTCAGCCTGGTCTCAAACTCCTGACCTCGTGATCTGCCCATCTCAGGCTCCGAAAGTGCTGGGATTACAGGCATGAGCCACCGCGCCCAGCCCAGCTACCATTTACTGAGTGCTTAGTATATGCCAGGAGTTCTGCTATGCGTTTTTTTCTAAACTGATTTAATTCTCAAAATGATCCTTGTAAGTGGGTACTCACAAAATAGAAAAAGGCTTTTGCTCAACCTGGTGCCTGGTAGAAAAATGCAATAAATATTCACTGTAATCATGATGATCCCTTTCTCACAAATGGAAAAACTGAGGCTATTCAAGGTTTAAATCTTGATAACATACAAAGCTTTCAAGTGGCAAGATTTGAACTCTGGTTTGTCTGTTGCCATAACTTGTGCTCTTAATGAGAAACTTTAATCGCTGCCTCTAGAGTCATCTTCACCCTAGCCAGCACCCCTTTCTGTCCTCAGTCTCAAGCCCCCTGAAATCTTGGAGAAAGAGGCTCTTAGCCTTTATCTTCCAACTGAGCATAGCTGTCCTGTGAGGAGACTCCTTCTTCCCCTCGTTTCTTTCCTCCCCAGCTGCGTGCACTTCGCATGTGAGAAAACTGACTGTCCAGAGCTGGCTGTGGAGAATGCTTCTCTCAATTGCTCCAGCAGCGACCGCTACCACGGTGCCCAGTGTACTGTGAGCTGCCGGACAGGCTACGTGCTCCAGATACGGCGGGATGATGAGCTGATCAAGAGCCAGGTATGTGCAGGTGCTGAGCTCAGAGCCTCTCTGCAGCCCAGGGAAGGCTTACTGGGTGTTAACCATGTTCTCTGCTAAATACCCAGCAGCACTTAAAATAGTGCTGCCACATAGTAGGTGCTCAATAAATATTTATTGATTAAATGAATGCATGAATGAATCAATTAACCAAGCAAGCAGTCTGGAATCTCTAAGAAAAAGGGTTCCTGTGCAGAGTAGTGTTCCACACAATACTTACCAATGTTTTTGTGTAGGTTGCAAATCTCCAAGACCATGGGGCTGAGTATTTTGGAATGAATATCTTACAGTGAGAACATAATTGAATGGGCTGCTTTATGACAAGGTGAGCCCTCTGTCAATGAGATGCTCATTCATTCACTAATTCATTGCAAAGCATCTGTTCACTGGAAATTGGATGCTATAGTAAGTACTAAAGAAAAAGAAGCCATTAAGACAAATCGAGTCCTTCTTCTGAAGGAGCTTAGTGCCTAGTGGTGGAGGAAGAGTCAGACAACTCATTAATGATGACCCCACTGTGTGATAAATGCTGTCAAGGGAATTGTAGGGTGTTGTGGAGGCACAGAGAGATTCAAGGGAGGTGCCTTGGAAAAGTGACATGGAAACAGCTAACTAGACAGATCAGCAAAGGGGTGTGTGTTGGGGAGAAGGAAGAAATATATGTAGTAGGCACAGGCATGGATAGTATGTGGAAGCACATTGATGAGAAAAAAAAAAAAAAAAACATGCCACAGATTTTTTTGTTTGTTTGTTTTCTTTTTCTGTACTCACCCAAGCAATGAGGCTGGAAGGGCCAGCTGAATCCACTGGTGCAGGGCCTGTT